>NC_000004.12:10572916-11197916 GCF_000001405.40 Homo sapiens
CTCCTGGGTTCAAGCGATTCTCGTGCCTCAGCCTCCCGAGTGGCTGGGATTACAGGAGCACACCACCACACCCAGCTAATTTTTTGTATTTTTAGTAGAAATGGGTTTCACTATGTTGGCCAGGCTATTCTCGAACTCCTGACCTCAAATGATCCGCCTACCTTGGCCTCACAAAGTGCTGGGATTGCAGGTATGAGCCATGGCACCTGGCCTTTTATTTTCTTAAACATTAGTTATTTCACTCTGAATTCCCCTATCTTACCAAAATATGAAATAAAGAGTTGTTAATTGTATCAGCATGCCCAAATCTTTTCTAAGGTGTAATGTACAAATTAATGCAAATTTGGCTCAGTGGAAACACAGTTCTCTGGAATTTGCCTAGGACCAGTACATATGGGAAGTGTTAATGAGACAGAGCTAATCTCCTTGAAATAATGAGCTGGGAGGAACAGAATCCTGCCTACACCTGCCCCTGGTCCCAGCCCATCCTTGGGGTTGGATAGCAGCTCTAGGGCACTGATGACACCTTCCTGACCCAGCACAATTACATCCCCACTGAGATCCCTGGCAGAGAAACCAACACGTTTTCCAGCCCTTTAGAGCAGCAATTTGTACTCTCTCATGAATCGAGTTAAATTAATAAGGTCACCCATTAAAGACCAGCTGGCCCGGAAGGAGCAAATGAGCTCAGAATTATTGGGGATCTGCTCTGGCCCTCGTTATCGAGGAAAACAACTCCACTGTTTAATTCAGGGTTCAATATAATTTCATTTTAGAAAATTGGCCTCAAGGAGTGCGGTCATGATACTGACATCTTCTTGGGGAGCTGCGGGGTCTCCTTTCTCACCAGAGGCGAGCGTTCCAGCCTGAGACTCTCCCAGATTCCCCAAATACGCTTCATGCCCCTTCTGTGTCTGTGGGTACAGACCCTGCCTGGAGCCTCTTCTCCCTCTCACCTCCCCTTTGCTTCCCAAATGCTCATCATCCTTTCAGATCCCATTTCTCTGCTTTTCTCTCTGACTACTCCAGGCCACATCAATCTCACTGAATTGTTAACGCATATGTTTTCTGTCTCACTCACCATGACATTTAAATACGAATAGGCAGGATCTGATTACTTTTTTGTTGTGTGTTCTTTAGGGAAGGAATTGCCTTTTATCTCTCAGTCTCCTAGAGTACCTATCTGTGTCATCAGTGCAGAGTTTTGGAAAATGCAATTTTAAAGCCTGATCCTAACACCGTGCATCAGTTCATGTCACTCATGGCCCATGTCATACAGACTAGGTGCCCTGTGTGGCCCCCAGAGCTCAGCACAACCTGCCCCACCCTGCTCTCTGACCTCATCCCTTTTCAGCCTCTTCTCTCCTGGACCAAACTGTAGTCAGGCTACCTTGAACTCTCTTCTCTGTGAGGCCCTACCTTGTGGGATTCCATATTCATTTCTGCATTGTCCAATTTTTGCAAGACTCCTGCTCAGTCAGTTTAGCCAGAATCTCCCATTCTCCATGTCTGATCAGCCTCCATATCTCATCCAATCAGGGCCCTCCTCTGCCACCTTCCTCTGGTGATGTCTGATCACCCTGGTCTGCCTTCCGCAAGAACATTTCAGGTCAGTTTAGCCGGAAACCACCTCTGCCCCCGCCCTTTCCCTTACCCCTGAGGTTTCCTCTTTGTAATTTTCCTTTCCCAGACCCTCACGCCACTCCCTTTAAGGGAGGAGACCACCCCTCATATTGTCTTATGCCCAATATCTGCCTCCAAAGAAAGAAGTAAAAACTAAAAGGCAGAAATGAAATCCACAGGCAGACAGCCTGGCGTTGCACCCTGGGCCTGGTTAAAGATTGACCCCTGACCTAACCGCTTATGTTATCTATAGATTCCAGACATTGTATGGAAAAGCATTGTGAAAATCCCTGTCCTGTTCTGTTCCGTTCTGATTACTGGTGCATGCAACCCCCAGTCATGTACCCCCTGCTTGCTCAGTCAATCACGACCCTCTCACGCGGACCCCCTTAGAGTTGTAAGCCCTTGAAAGGGACAGGAATTGCTCACTTGGGGAGCTCGGTTGTTGGAGACGTGAGTCTTGCCAAAACTCCTGGCAGAATAGAGCCCTTCCTTCTTTAACTCGGTGTCTGAGGGGTTTTGTCTGCAGCTTGTCCTGCTACACCTTGGCTATAAATTTCCACTTGTCCGTATTGTATTCTGAGTTGAGCCCAGTCTCTCCCGTACTGCACTCATTGTGGTAATCCCGTACCTATCTCCATTGTCTGGAATAAAGCCTGTCTCAGCATTCTGCAATAAGAATCATGAAACTCTTCCTTTACCTCTTTCTCACCTCCGACTTCAGCTGCTTCAGCCAGCCTCTCCTTGAGTCTGCCAGCACACCCAGCTCACGCTACTTCAGGAGCTTGCACACACCATCCCTCTGTCTAGAGCCCTCTTTTCTTGGCTCTGCCCATGCCTGGATCTTTGTCCACCATCCAACTGTGTCTGAAATGTCATCTCCCCTGGAGGGGTCTTCCCTGACTACCGGTGTCAAGCAAAAATTAAAGAGCGCCTCTCCAGCGCTGTTCCTCACCACTCCTGGCACCTGGTATGGCAGTGAGAATGCTGCACACACGTGCACACCAGGCCTGTCTCCTTTCCCTGTGGTGCTTGGCTGGCGTACATATCTCTCCTTCCCCTGCACTGGGCAGGTGGGTGGGCATGGCGTGGATCTCCCAGCCCTGGGGCGTTGGCTGTGATGGACTCTAGGTTGCCCTACTTGACCTTCTATGCTCTTGTTCTTGCCTTGATAGCTGGGCAGAGACCCCAAGGCCCATGGGGATGATGGAAGCTGTTGGGTAAAAGGGAAGTGAATCACAATGACTGTTTGGAAAAAGCCTTCCTTTGATCCACATTGGATTGTGATGTGAGGAAGAAATAAACCTTTATTATATTCCACTAACATTTGTAGTTTATTCATTATAGGTGGTAGTCCTCCCTGATTAAGACTTTTTTTTTATGTTTCTCCATAGCATCTAGGAACAAAGCCAACCAATAAATAATCTAGTTACAGACTGTGGTACCTGCCTCCCCCCAGGCAGTGGCAAGACGTCAGGCTCCTGATGGCTCCCGCAACCCACGTGTAGCAGAGATGGGCATATGGTGAATGCACAATCAATCAATAGTCAGTTGTCAAATACAGCATGTGGTACAGCAGGAACATGTCAGAACCGGGAAGCAGCGATAGAACCTTCCTCCTCCCTCACTGAGTGAACAGAGCTTTACACTTCCCCTCATGGACCCAGATCCCCACCAAAGTGGCTCACCCAAACCCTTCCAGGTCTTCACGTCTTCCTGGACCTGAAAGACAGATTGGCTTCCTAGGGCCATTTTCTAAAAAGAGAAAGGGAGTTGCTCAATAGATTTCATATCTGCATCCCAGGAGAGTTATGGTCGTGTTGCATGGATGTGTGGAGGGTCATCCATCACCCACAGACACCAGACAGCTCCAGAGAACAACTGACTTCTGTGTTTCCCTCAAGGAAACATCTTTTTGCAAGAAACAATGTCCCTTTGAAAGTTACTTTTAGGAGGGAAGTGAAGATGGATATACGCAGTGTAAAGCCCAGGAGAGCCTCCTGATAGGCAGAAGGCAATTACTCCAGCCCTGTGGCTGTCCCTTGAACAGCTCTTCTCGTGTCTGCAGAGGTCCAGCCAAGGATGACAGAGGTGCTTGGCCAATACCTGTCCAACTGAGGTCCCCTGACCATTTGCATCAAACTCACCTTGGGAGCTGAAAAAAGGAAATAAGGCAAAACCTGAGCCCCAGAGCAAACCAATTGAATCAGTCTGCTTTTTTCCTCCAGCTCCTCTGGTGACATTTATTCACCTTGAAGTTTTAGAACCGCTAAGTTAGAAGCTCCAATTCCCTTCCAAAGGAAGACAGGCCATTAGGTAAATAGAGACTCTCAGATTATTTTCATTTGGAAACACTTCTGGGAGCTCAAATCTCTGGAGGTGCAGGGCCGGTGCCTTCATCTATGCCCCCATTTAGTGGCTTTGCAGGGACAGGGTAGCTGGTGGACCTTCAAATGCTGTTGCCATGGGATATTCACATTCAAAGGAAATCCTGAACTGGAAGAATTCCCAGTGGGTCCCATGGTGAGAATATGCTCATCTTGCATGAGAAGAGAAATAAAAATAGGAAGCCTGCAGAGGTTTAGCACTCTCTATTTCCCTAGGAAAGCAAGTCAGTTAGCAGGTTGCTTAGACATTCTCAAGCCAGACAGGTTCCCCAAGCAAAACCAGCTTCCGGTTTCATTTCAGTTTCAAGAGAAGACTCAGGGGAGTGGAGAAGGGGAGGAGAGGTGTGGCAAAGATCAGGGCTGGCTCCAAATCTGCAGGTTGCCAGCTGGACTTAAGAATATGTGTTGAAAATTGAGGGGTCTGTGAGTCCTAGCCACCTGTCACTAACTACTCTGTGGCAGAGACAGTTGTGTGTCTCCCCATACCTATTTTCTCTGTCTTCTCAGGTACCAGAACCGCTTGCTGTTTAGCTGGGCACATGGTCGGAGCTACATGTCTTCCTTGTAGCTATGCATGGCCATAAGTCCAAGCTTTGGTCAATGGAATCTAGGTAGAAAATCAAGTCAGAATTTCCAGGATACTCCCTGAAGTTGTTACGCACTTTTTATTTCTCCTTTTTGTTTTCTTTCTCCATCCTGTTGCCTGGAGTACAGACATCACGATTTCAGGCTGTAAGATTAAGGCCAGTACAAGGGAGGGAGCAAGAAGGCGGGAAGAACAGGGTCTCTGAGGACTTTCAGGAGCAGAGCTGCCAAAGAGCCTTGGACTGCTTACCTTGGGACTTGACTTACATAAGAAAAAAAAAAAATAAACGTCTATCGTGTTTAAGCCCCATTTTTTTAAATGTCTTGCAGCCTTTGATGTTTTATCTCCTTATGGAGGTTAGTGTTTGGCAGTAACATAGCAGAGCAGCTGATCAAAGGCACGAGGAAGGCAACATGTATTTCATGGGAGCTGAGTCGAGAAGTTTTAGGTTTAAATCCTGGCCCTGTCACTCTTGAGCCATGTGACCTCAGGCAAACCCAGTTACTTACAAGCCTCAGTTAACTAGGGTTAACTTGTAGAATGGGAATAATACTACCTACCCCCAAATGGCTGTTGAGAAGTTTTGGTCCATGGAATTTAGGTGGGAAATCAACTCATAATTACCAGAGGATAACTTCTTGGCTCAGTGCCCAGTAACAAGATGCTGTGTTGTGTGTTTTTCTTTTCGAGTTTAACGTCACAGCCAAATCCTTCTCACTCAACCCAGGTCGTTAGCACTGCTTTCAGATCTATATTGAGAACTTGTTCTGTTTTTAGTGCTCATTTTTAAGCAAAATGTGTGGCTTTTTCAGCATTCAACTCTGTTGATATCCACCTGCTGATTCTTCACAAGGGTTCTTCAAGCTGGGATCCCCTTCAGCTGTGAGGCACAGAGATTCGGTGGACACCATCATCTGGGTGTCCCCTTATCATAAGATTTAAAAAAATCCTGAGGCCAAAATCATTTGGCACATAACACCAACACATGCACTGTTATGGGTTTGAGTTCTACTTTGCTGATGTCTTTCCAAACTTTCTGACTTCTCTTGGACTTGGCTTACCTTATCTTTTTTTTTTTTTTTTTTTTTTTTTGAGATGGAGTTTTGCTCTGTCACCCAGGCTGGAGTGCAGTGGCACAATCTTGGTTCACTGCAACCTCTGCCTCCTGAGTTCAAGTGATTCTCCTGCCTCTCAGCCTCCTGAGCAGCACCACCACATCTGGCTAATTTTTGTATTTTTAGTAAAGATGGGATTTTACCATGTTGGCCAGGCTGGTCTTGAACTGCTAACTTCAAGTAATCCACCTGCCTCAGCCTCCCAAACTGCTGGCATTACAGGTGTGCGCCACCATGCCCAGCCAGTTTACCTTATCTATACAGTGAGAATAATAAGATCAGCACTGTGTAGCTAAATTAGATAAGTTTATAAAGTGCCAGGCACAAACTGGTGACTCCATGTATGTGAATGTCTTTCCTTTTTCCTCATCCACAGGTCCTAAGACTTGGTTGTGGTGTAAGAGAACCAGGGATCAAACTCTGGGGTCTGGATTGACAGCCCCATGCACTTTCTTTCCTCTATACTGTGCTGCTTTTCACAGTTTTTGTCTTTTAGGAACCATACAGTATTTGGGGAAAGAGGGCGTCAAGCTGATTTTACCCCAGTGTAATGAGAAATAGGGTAGTCCACACCCTTTCCCCTGGCAGGTTCCAAACTTCAGAACATCTTCAGTTTGGCATCGATCTATATCTGTGGGGAAAGGGAGAAATCTACTTTCTTGCATTCCTTTTCACCATCTCTGAGTAAAGTATTATGAGAGTAAATGAGTTTTTGACTATATGGCTTATAATTGGGAAGAAGAAGAAAAGAGGAAGGAAGAGGGGAATGAGAGAGAGAGAGATAGAGATAGAAAAAAATATATACATATATACATTTACATGCCATATAACCATATTTTGGTCAATGATGGATCACATATATGACCGTGGTCTCATAAGAATATAATGGAGCAGAAAAATTCCTATTACTGTTATAGGAGTTATTAATAAATTATTTTAGGCAAATGGAGAGGAAAAGGGGTCCTTGGAAAGTTTTTGTTTCTTTTAAAGCAGCTCCAGAAATGCTTCTTGTCTAACAGGAAAGCCTGGGCTCTTAGAGCCAGCTAGCAAACTTTGATATGGAAATGCCAGCCATTAGAAACTGGGTCCACCCAAACTTGGTGATTCCCACCCTGTTCTTCTTGCCCTTGTCCCCACATGTGCCTGGCAACATGGCCACCCCCACATATCCCCACCTGTGTAGAACACCATGGTGCCTTGCATTTGCATATTAAAAGGCTAGGGTAGGAGGGCCAGTTTTATTCACGGGCTACATGAATGACATGCCTGGTCAAACCAATCCCCTAAACCCTATGCAAATCAGGCACCACCTCCTCCAGCCTCCTCCTATAAGCAACCACTTTTCTGCCACACAGGGGTTTTGTCTTTGTTCAAATCCCCCTCCATCTCTGTATGGGGGAGCTGTTTTCTTCTTCCTTCCTTCTTTCTTGCCTATTAAACTCTCTACTGCTTAAAACCACCCCACATGTGTCCATGTTGTTTTATCCAGTTCGGCACAAGACTAAGGACCCTGGTGTTCCTCCACTGATCGGATCCATATCATTACCTAATGATGTTGTAGCCATTATAACATCATAGCACAATGCATGACTCATGTGCTTCTGACGGTGACATTGGTGTAAACAAGCTCACTGTGCTGCCAGTCATATGAAAGTCTAGCACATACAATTATGTACAGTACATAATACTTCTTAATGATAAAATAACTATAACACTGGTTTGAGTGTTTACTATATCATACTTTTTATTGTTATTTTAAAGCATCCCGCTACTGATTAGAAAAAGTTAACTGTAAAACAGTCTCAGGCAGGCCCTTTCGGAGGGATTCCAGAAGAAGTCATTGTTATCCTAGTAGATGACAGCTCCATACGTATCATTGCCCCTGAAGACCTTCTAGTAGGACAAGATGTGGAGGCGGAAGGCAGTGATATTGATGATCCTGATGCTCAGCAGCTCTAGGCTAATGTGTGCATTTGTGTCTTAGTTTTTGGCAAAAACATTTAAAAAGTAAAAAAAAATAAAATAAAAATTAAAAAATTAAAAATAGAAAAAATTCTTCTGGAATAAGGACGTGAGGAAGGGAAATATTTTTGTAAAATGGTACAATGCGTTTGTGCTTAAGATAAGTCTTATTAGGAAAGAGTAAAAAAGTCAGAAAACTTTAAACATTTATAATTGTAAAAGTTATGGTAACCTAAGGTTAATTTATTATTGAAGAAAAAATATAGTTTTATCAGTTCGATGTAGCCTAAGTGTAGAGATTCTAATGTTGACGTGGGTTTACGGTGATGATCAAGCCTTCGCATTCACTCACCACTCATTCGTTAACTCATTCAGAGAAATTTCCAGTCCGCAAGCTCCCTTTATGGTAAGTGTCCTACACAGGTGTACCCCTTTTATCTTTTATGTTGTATTTCTACTGTACCTTTTCTATGTTTAGATACACAAATTCTTACCATTGTGTTACAACTGCCTACAATATTCAGCACAGCAACATCCTGTACAGGATGTTTTGTTTGTAACCTAGGTGCAATAGACCATGCTATATGGCCTAGGTAAGTAGTAGGTTACACAATCTAGGTTTGTGTAAGTACATTCTATGACGTACACACAATGTTGAAATCACCTAACGATGTATTTTTCAGAATACGTCCCCATTAGTATGTGACACATGACTGTGTATGTATATATATGTGTATATTCATATACATATACATACACACACACACACATATAAAGAGAGAGGAGAGAGAGAGACTCAGTCATCTAGCTCTCTGGGTATTTCAGTTTATTCACTGGACAACAGTTCTTTGATCTGAAGATTATGAGCTAATAATTCGAAGCCACAGATAGTCCAAACTCACAGAAACAGCTACACAGGAAACACTTAACAGGGGGTTGAAGAACAGGCATAATGTTCTAAGTAGGTGGCCCTTGGAAGTTTACTTCTGTTCTCTAGTTCTTAATTTCCTCATATGTAAAATATAGTAATACAATCTCAGACTACCCGAGTCCCCAGGACCTTTAATTTTTTTTTTTTTTAAATCTGTGCCTAAAGCTGGTTATATGGAGCTACCACAAATTGGTTGAATGAATGGATGGGTGAGTGGGTGAATGGTGATAGGGAAGGCAGCTGCCTCCCACCTCATTCCTTGATTGCCCTTAGAAATGCAAATGAAATAATAGAGACATTTGTTATCTAGAGAATAGAGAACAGCTTCTTGGTGGGAACAGTCTGGATAGTTTTCTTCTCTCTCTCTCTTTTTAACCCTTGGTCAGCAAGTCTAAAGAATGGCCCAGAACTACTTGAATTGGAATTATCTTGTTAAAAGTAGGGATTCCCTGGCCTTACCATATGCCTGCCAAAGAGCGTAAACCCTAACATGGGCTAGAAAATATTCATTTTCAACTGTTGTGATTTTTAACTATTGTAATTGAATTTTGAAGACAATGTTAATCCTTGAGTTTACCAATCTTGGGATGATCTGAAATCCTGGCTTGTCCCAGAGATTCAACTATCAATTTTTTTATTTGTTTCTGTTCACGAATATTCCCAACACCCTGGGGAGAGAACCAGGAGGATCCAGCCTCTGCTAAATTAATACAGGCATTGCAGCATCTGGAAACAGCCAGCAGGAGGCATTGGATGCTCACATATTCTATACCTGCCTGTCTCCCTCTTGTCCTAAAATCCTTATTAATTTTTCTTTTACAAGTAGGAAAAATCAACCTTGAAGACTGCTTTCCTTAGAAAAACTTAAAAGTAGTATTTTCCCTGACAAGATGAAATTTCTTGTCTTTTAAATCAAATCAGCTAATATCTATCTTCATCAATGTTTTTATTATACGTGGAGGCTTAAGACAGAAGGACCCACTTTCTAAATAGGGCCATCTTTTCCAGTTTCATTCTTTATTTAGGGGAAGGAGAAAAACTCATGAGTTTATTTTATGGAAAGCATTGCACTGTTCTCTGTGTATCAGCCTCCGAGAAGGTATTGACCTTGACAGACTGTCCCAGTTGGAACATGTGTCTGTCTTCTCCAGGCTTGGAATGGTTTTCTAAAGAATATTTTTCGATAGATTGTTTTTAGTATACAAAATCATATGCTACTGTAGAAAGTTATAAGACACAGATATGCAAAAAAGAAGGAAATAAAAATTACTATACTGTTACCACAAATAATCCAAATATACAAATATTTGATTATAGTCAAGTCACTCATACACATACACAGACACACACACAATCACACACACCTCACATCATAGATATATAGCTTATAAATATACAATCACTCCTTGTACCCTATTTTTTACCTGCTTTTTCACAAAATCACATGCTATCAACATATCCATGGCAATGAATGTGCTTCAACATCATCATTTTAATGGCTTCCTAGTATTTTCTCGCATGAACGCCCTCTCCTGTTTTCAAATGATCCCATCGTCAAAAATCAGAAACAACTTGAAGGATCTGGGAATGTTATCAAGCCACCGTCACGCACAGTCTTTTTTGTAAATCCTCATGCATATCTTAATTAGATCAGGTCTGCTATTCTTTGGTAGACATTTGTAGTGGTTCATAAGTATGCCTAGGCTGATTCATAAGTATGCATAGGTCTGCTGGGCTGTTATTTCTTTCTCTCTCTCTCTTTTTTTTTCTTTTTTGAGACGGAGTCTTGCTCTGTCGTCCACAGCGCCCAGGCTGGAGTGCAGTGGGGTGATCTGGGCTCCCTGCAACCTCCATCTCCCGGGTTCAAGTGACTGTCCTGCCTCAGCCTCCCAAGTAGCTGGGACTACAGGTGCCCACCATCATGCCCAGATAATTTTAGTATTTTTAGTAGAGATAGTGTTTCACCATATTGGCCAGGCTTGTCTCAAACTCCTGACCTTGTGATCCGCCTGCTTTGGCCTCCCAAAGTGCTGGGACTACAGGTGTGAGTCACCGTGCCTGGTCTGGGCTGTTATTTTGAACAGACTGGGAATGTCATAATTTGCTGCTAAGTGTTTCTTTCCGGTAAGGTGTAGGTTCGAGTGTGTATGAGCAGGCCTGGGCGACTTTATATCAATGGACTTTTGTGGGGTTTCGATTTGTTTTCTTTTTCCTGCTGGTGTCTCTAGATTGCTGTCAAGGAAACGGAGTGCCCATCTGCCCATTTCTCTGTGCCTTAACCAAGGTGGGGAGCAAGATGGGAGGAAGAGGATACAGGTAGTTGGAGCTGGCTGCTGTATTTTACCTGTGTGCTTTATGATTCACCGGTCACCAAGCACATCAGACAAGCCACTTCATTCCCAGGTACCACCCCCTTAGAATATTCTCTTCCCTCCAGGATGCCAGTGCAGGATGGGAGGGGTGAGAGGTGCAGGTAGGTGGAGAGGTGCATTTGATACTAAAGACCCCAACACAATTTGGTATCATCTACCTTGAGAGAAGACAATCTTGTTTAGGCCTGACTGGGAAGTTGAATGAAAACTTTTTCTGTAGAGGGATTAAGGCTGGGTGCTCTCTCCCTGTGTGAACTCGTATTTCCCACTTTCACTTTTGCTTTTGCCCAGTTCTCCCAGCTGCTGGGTGGGACATGCTGAGTGCTGGTTTTGTACTCCCACATGCTCTATAGTGAAACTTTCAAATGCCTTTGCTGATTACATAACTCCTTATGACTCCATCGCTTCTTTGGTGTTTCCTCTGGACAATGTCTCCATTTTTCTGCCTCATTCCAGTCATTCTATCTAGACACCAGCTTTCTAGGGAAGTTCTGTGGGACTTTCCCTGAAATAATAACCCTCCCCAGTGAATACTACATGCTTTTTCTCAAACTTTAATGGGCTCCTGTTAAGTGCGTAGTACCAGAAAATAGGCTATGAAGAGAGATACAGGAGAGGCATCAAAGGTGGCTTTTGAACCATTCATTCTTTCCACTCATGTTTTGGGGGTAACCAATTATATGGAATTTAGTTGAGTGAATACTAGTGAGTCACCATAAGACTGGCACTGAGGTAGACTTATACCCATTGCACAGATGAAGGAACTCAGGCTCAGAAAGATCTGTGCTTCATGCAAAGCTGCACAGCTAAGTAGAGAGCCAGGATTCCCATCCAGCCACCCAGCCTCCAAAGCTTTGGACAGTCACAGATCAGGCTGTACCCTGGGGCAACTGGAAGGAATGGCATTACTAGCTAATGTCATTTCAAATAGGCCATAGTTTTATTGAAATAAAAACAAAAAAGAATGGAAATAACAGCCCAACAGACCCATGCTGACATTCCCACCACTTAGGTGACAGAGAGCCCCGACTCACCTGTGGCACTATTGATGCGAGGCCATGACCTAGGGCAGAAAAGAGAACCAAGTTAAATGTCCATTGCTCCACCTCCACCGACCCCCCGCCACATAGGAACAGGCAGTCATCAAACGTCATTGTACAAGTCAGCCTCTGAAGCTGCTTTATGTATGTACTATTGTAGACCTGAAGTCACATATTATTCTATTATATATAGAAATATTGTACATATTTCTATTTTCTGGAAAATAGCATGTAGAAGAAAATAAAAATTGACACCACAGGTTATATGTTGGTTATTCTCATGTAAATAGCTGTATACGTACCTGAAGATGTATGCATACATTTAAACACATATAGGTAGTGTTAAATCAAGCTTAGCCTAAAGCTGCCTCCTTACATATTTTAAGTTCTGCCTAAAGGTTTCTCTATACATCATGAACTATAAACAGATGGTAGCCTATAGTTGTGGCAATCACCGAGTTTTGGCCAATCAAATGTAGCCAACTGTTCGAACTGTGTTCAAATCAGGCAAACGCCGAGCTGTAACCAATCCAGCTGTTTCTGTACCTCACTTCCATTTTCTATATATCACTTTCCTTTTTCTGTCCATAAACCTTCTTTCACCACGTGGCTGCACCGGAGTCTCAGCCTCCTCTGGCTGGGAAGGCCACCTGATTCTCAAACCATTCATTGGCCAATTAAGCTCCTTTAAATTTCATTCAGCTGAAGTTTTTCTTTTATCAGTATAAATATAAAAGAGCCCAGCATGGTGGCACACACCTGTAGTCCCAACTCCTCAGGTGGCTGGGGTGGGATGATCACTTGAGCCCAGGAGTTCACGTCCAACCTGGGCAACATAGCAAGATCTCTTGAAAAAATAATAATATCAAATAACGTGTAGGATTTTGATGTTACAAATATATTCTATATCTTCAAATGTTATTCAAAAACAAAGTATTGATTATCTACCTCAGTGGTCCTCAACCATTTTGGCATCAGGGACCAGTTTCCTGGTATTTCCACAGATGGGGGTGGGGGATGGTTTCGGGATGAAGGGAAGAAATTGTTCTACCTCAGATCATCATGCGTTGGTAGGAGTCTCACAAAGAGCGTGAACCTAGATCACTCTCATGCACGGTTCACGGTAGGGTTTGTGCTCCTATGAGAATCTAATGCTGCTGCTGCTCCGACAGGAGACAAAGCTTAGGCGATAATGCTTGCTTGTCCACTGCCCACCTCCTGCTGTGCCCAGTTCCTAACACACCACAGACCAGTACTGGTTCGTGGCCTGGGTGTTGGGGACCCCTGATCTACATGATATTTTGAAGGGGCATTTAGGTTTTTGCTAGTCCTAACTATGTAAAATGCTGCTGCTGTGTGTATTTATCATTTTAAACCTCATCTCTGAATCTTTCTTTTTTTTTCTTTTTTTTTTTTTTTTTTGAGACAGAGTCTCTGTCACCAGGCTGGAGTGCAGTGGTACGATCTCTCCTCCCAGGTTCAAGCAATTCTCCTGCCTCAGCCTCCTGAGTAACTGGGATTACAGGCACGTGCCACCACGCCTGGCTAATTTTTGTATTTTTAGTAGAGACGGGGTTTCACCATGTTGGCCAGGATGGTCTCGATCTCTTGACCTCATGATCCACCCACCTCGGCCTCCCACAGTGCTGGGATTACAGGCTTGAGCCACCACGCCCAGCTTGAATCTTTCTATATAGAGATGTTATCAAGCACAATGAAGGGGTCAAATAATGTGAACACTCTGGGCCCTTTGTTGCATATTACTCAGTAGCTTTCTGGATGAGCTGCACCAATTTATATTAATTGATATTCTTATGCATGGAATGTGAAGTGCTCGTCTCACTGTATCTCACCACCATTAAATCCATACCTTATAACCAGTTTGCCTACATGGCACTTGATTCCGCATTTTACCCATTTCACTTCCTTGATGACTAGTGAGATTGAATTTCTTTTTTCCCAAAAGGTTTTGGGCCATTTATGTGTCTTCTTTCGTAAGTTATCTGTACATGTCTTTGCCCATTTTTTTTCTTTTTTTTTTTGAGACAGAGTCTCACTCTGTTGCCCAGGCTGGAGGGCAATGGTGCAATCTTGGAATCTTGGCTCACTGCAACCTCCGCCTCCCACGTTCAAGCCATTCTCCGGCCTCAGCCTCACAAGTAACTGGGACTACAGGCATGCGCCACCACACTGGGCTAATTTTTTGTATTTGTAGTAGAGATGAGGTTTCACCATGTTGGCCAGGCTGGTCTCAAACTCCTGACCTCAGGTGATCCACCCGCCTCAGCCTCCCAAAGTGCTGGGATTACAGGTGTGAGCCACTGTGCCTGGCCTCATTTTCTGACAAGGTCTTTGCACAGCCACAATCCAACCATTGGATGGGATCCCTTTGGAAACACTTTTTCCCTAGGTTTTGGGCCATGCTTTGAAAAGCCCCGAGGCAGTGGAAGGCTCCCGAGGATGCTACTTCGGTGAGCTTACTTGTTTGTGCCTTTAATAATCCCAGGCCTCTGCATTACACCTTTCCTCCAAGGCACTCAACGTGCGTCACAGGAGCAATTAATTGAACATCGCAACACACGCCAGGTGTAAATATTTATGAGGTCTCTTCGGTGTCTGGGACGTTGGGCACAGAACAGTGAAGCAGTAAGATGTTTGTAACCAGGAGACCACGGTCTACAAGTTGAGTCTGACTTCAGCGTAACTTACTGCCTTCTGTTCACCATTTTAAACCCCAAATGAAATAACCTGTGGGCTCGCTGTTATCGCCTCAACTTTACAGAATAGGAAATAGGGTATTCAGAGGGCTCTACAACTTGCCCAATCCACAGAGCCTCTAAGAGTGAGGGATTTGACACCAGCCTATCTGCCTCCCCGGTCCCTACTGTCTCCCCTACCCCAGGCCTATAGGAAATGGCAAGTCCTGCTTAGGAGGCACCGTGCAGCTGCGACCTCAGAGCCCTTGTGGTTAACAGTTGGCGCCCTTTCAAGCTGCCGGAGGTTCTGCAGAAATTAGCAGTAAATCAGCTGGTGAGGAGCAAATCATTTATCGACGGCCTGAGTGCTCTCTCTTGACACTTTAGACATATGGCCTCTTCTCTGATGTCTTGGTCTTTGATTAAGGCCTCAAAAGGCTCCCAGGACTTGCAACTCATGACATGGGAAGTGGAAATGATATGTTTTTGTGATTGTGTACAGTGAGCTTAATGTAAGCGTGGCAAGCCATCCCATTGATCAAAGGCAGAGCATCCAACGCAGGCGGCATGCAAATCTGAGCTCGGGAATTTTGAAGAAAAGGCAAACCGTTCCTGAGATTCCAGAAGGAACTTTGACTTCTAAATTAGGGTTCTTGTTATCTTCTAACCCTGACCTTATCTGGATTTTAGCCTGACCTTATCTGGATTTTAGAATCAAAGACAAACTAGTGCTAAAAAGCATGTTGGAGATAATGTCCAGTTCGTTAGTTTTTTAAATGGGAGAACTGGGGCCTAGAGTGGCTAGCGGGTTGTTCCCAGTCTCAGACACTTGGAGGCAGAACTGAAGTCTTCTGACATCTAAAAAGAGTAGCACCAAACAGAAAATAAAATAACTCGTATTCGTGAGCACCTGTTTGGGCACTAAGATAGGTTCAACTCTGGCTGGTAGACATTTTGTTGTTGTTGTTGTCTGTTCAACCCATTTACATTCATTTTCACAATTTTTAGAATGTTCCTATTTACTTTTTTAACTTACAAAAAGCTGTACATAGTTAATGTTTACAACTTGATGAGGTTGGATATAAGTATATACTTGTGAATGGACAAGTATTACATGATACTACTTTTATGATACATCTAAAATAGTCAAACTCATAGAGGCAAATATACATCTATATTATATATCTAAAATAGTCTATATATTATATGGTATATACTATATTGTATATACTACATACAATGTATTATACGTCTAAAATAGTCAAACCTATAGAGTGGAAGGGTGGGTTGCCAAGGGCTGGGTGGAGGAGAAAATGAGGAGATATCAGTCAAAGGGTACAAAGCTTTGGTTAGACAAGATAAATAAGTCCTCAAGATATACTGGACAGCATAGTGCCTACACCTAACGGTACTATATCATATAATTGAATTTTTGCTAAGAGAGTAAATCTTATATTAATTGTTCTTGAAGTATACACACTTAATCATAATAATAAGTAAAGAGGGTGGGAGGAAACTTTTGGAGGTGATGGGTACATTGAAGGCATAGACTTAGGCCGTTAGGCATTTCCAGCTCCACTTTGCAGATTGCAACTACAACTTAGATGAGTTCAGTAACTTGCCTGAAGTGGCAGAAGCAATTGGCAGGGCTGGGATTTGTCCGAGTCCCTCCAAATCCCTTCTTATTTACAAGCCTATAGCAGCAACGTAGACCGCAGAGTTCTCTTGTCTGGGAGCTTCCTCCCAATTGTCAAATTTGTCTGAAAGTGGCTTATCTGATCCAGTCTACCTCTCAGTGGGGCCCCAGAGTAATGGTGCTCATTCATATGTCACATCCTCCGGGATTATGCACCCTGGGGCTCTCCGTGCGTCAATGCAAGCCAAGTGAATTAGCAGAGGAAGCATCAGCAAAACAGGGAATGGTGTTGTTATTCCAGCTGAGCCTGCTGCTGTGAGCCAGAGAGCTGCAGAAACAAAGCAGGGAGGGAAAAGAGGAAGGCTGGGACCAGCCGCCTAGGGTCTGGGAGGGAGGGGATCAGGAGAGGTGGTCCGAACACCATAGTTTGGTCTAGATGGATTGTGGACATTGTCTTGACACAAGCAATGGATGAGGTATCTGAAAGGACTCCTGTGTTAACACTCTGCAACTTGACAGCCCAGGGTGATTAATGAAAGGAACTGCTAGCAAACTTCGTGGAGATTTGATGTACTCTATCTGTGCTCAAGCAAGGCCCATGTATTAGCAAGCTGCCTCTTGCCAGGGAATTACAAGGATGCACCCTGGCTGCCTTTTGTCAACAGCATCCATAACATGGCCACGTGCAAGCGGGCCACAGCTGGATGGTGTTATAACTTGGCAGCCACCCTTCTGCCTTCCCTATCTCTGCTCCCCTCCACATTTGGGCCTAAAGAAAGCAATTTTTCCTTCCTCTCTATTTCCGGTGTATATAAGCCGGTGTCAACACTGTGGCAAGAAAGTGCATGGCACAGGAAATGAACAAGGCTGACATTTGGAGGTCTGTGGTTTTTAATATTTAAAGCTCATTACAAATACAGATTTTTAATTCTGAATTATTTTTAATTTGTAATACTTTTGAATAATTTAATACATCTAATAATCTTTAATTTTTAAAGGCTACTAAAGTAAACTCCGCCCCCTCTTCCACTTCTCTCTCCTGCTGCCCAGCAGAACTGGCTTTGATGAAGTAGACAGGGCATGCTTGCCTTCTACTTATCCATGGGAACAGAGTTTGGATGGTGTGTTATTCCAGTCCCATAGAGAGGGATTTGGTTCTGTCTCCAGGGTCAAGCTCCTGGCATGGAGATGAATCTTTCTTTGCCCCCTTGAGTGTGGTATGCAGTCCTTTGGTTCTCCCCAGGCACCGACTGTTAGTCCAGAATTCAGCAGCGAAACCCCTGGGAAAAGATCAGGGTGATTTCACACTGCCAGCCTTCTCTCTCTCTCAAACCTCTGAAATTAACTGGCCCAGCTCCACATCTCATTTTAAGTTCACCCCCTGACATTAGAAGGCTACTCTAGAATAAGATTCTCTGATTTTTGAAAGACAATTTGTACTTCTAAGAGTTACTCATTTTAAATATAATCTAGATAAAAACAAGGAAGGATGGAAAGTTTCTGCATTCATCACCTTCTTTCCTCTAGTTGAACGTCTGCACTGCATCTGGAACTGAGCACTGTACAAAAATGATTTCACTCAAACCTCATAGCAATTCTTGGTGGAAAGCATCTTTATCTCAATTTTAGGGCCATTGTAAAATATCACTAGTGCCAAAAGGGACATTAAACACCATAAACGAACCCTTTAATTTTGCAGATGGATTAGCTGAGGTTAGCCCTCTTGGGAGTGCCACCGAGTCTGTCTGATGACACATCTCTCCACCACTCAAAGGTGGAGCGTTTGCACCATGGAGCTGTGGGGACTATGGTTTGGAAATGCACAGTGTGCTCAGACAGTAGGGAATCTGGAGGGATGAATGAGCAAAGCCTGTGTCATCCTAGAGGTCGTGTGGAGGTTTGCAAGAGTAAAGGATGCTTAGAACTGTGTCTCACAGAGGTAACGTAGGAACACACAGCATTGATTTGAGAGAGGAGTGGACTCTGTAATATTCTAGGGAATAGGTATGATGGCCTGGACAGACCGTTTATCTTGTTTCCCATGTGGCCACCAATGCCCTCTTCTCCTTATTTGGGCATATTCTTGGTACCTATGTAATGGAACTCACACTGACATAACTAGAACAGAATGCAACTGGAATTCTCAGACTGCCTACCCTGAACCTCTAGCTCCTAAATGGGAGGTCTGGTGCCTAACACAGTGCCTGGAGCATGTGCACACCAATGTGGTGCTGAATGGGTAAGAGTGAGTGAATGTGTGAGTGAATGAATGCCACAGGCACATGCAGAGGGAAATATACAAAAGAGGGCATCCCAAAGTGAGACGGGCCAGAGATACACTGCAGATCATGTCTGGGTCTATACCTGGACCTGTCCTATCCGAGCAAGGCCAATGGAGTGCCTGGCACGTAGTAGGAAACTACTCCACGTGTGTGCACAAGTGCCACTTAAATTCCCCTGGAATCGGTTGTACATTTTCAAGATTAGAGATTGGAGAGCCTCTCTCAATCCAGATGAAATTCACTCTGAGGTGGAATCAGGCCAAGGCTCATTTTAAATAAGTGAATCCATGGGTTCATTCTTTCTAGAAGGCATTCCCTATTGGTTTCAAGAATTCTCCTCTTACCTATTTTATTTGTATAAGAAATATTTGGGGCATGTAATTCCCTGAAGGGGACCTGGGAAAAACACTGGAAGTGTTTAGTGCCACTCACAACTCTCATCAAGCTCATACACCCAAGACCCTCTTGGCCGAGTGAGGCTCCCACCTCCTCAGACCCTGCCCTGCCGGGGCCTGTCTGGTCTCCTCCCTCCTCTGAGAACCTGTGGCACTTCTTACTCGAATCATGCATTTAGTAAATCTGGACGATGACATATAATTATTCATTTATTATTTAAATCTCATATTGTAAAACCTTACTTGAGTTTTTTTCCTTTCCTCAATTAGACTTTAAGTTCTTTGAGGGCAGAAAACATGTCTATATAAGCTATAGTCCTGTTCCTATAAGCTATCAATCAGTGCTCCCAATACATATTAAAAAACAAAAACAAAAATATTTGACACTCTGATGGGTTCTGCAGCAGACAAGTAGAGTAGCAGGATGATTTGCCAGACATGTTTTAGCTCAGACATTCCTCTAGCGGGCAGAGCCACTCCTGAAATCCCTTCATCCACTCTCTGAGCCTCCCCCACTTCCCCACTTGGTCTCTGTCTTCTTCCTCCTTTCTCCATCCTTCTCTCCCTATTGAAGTTTCTTTTTCACGTCTATTTAAGTATCTAGTAAGTGCCAGGCATCATAGGAGGCTCTCGGTATACTACAGATCAACAGCATCCTAGGGTTATCCACAACATAAGAACCTAGGGTTCTGCCTTGATTCTTCCTTCTTCCTACTCCCCCATCAGCCAATGTTTCTTGAGCATCTACTTGTTGTTTGTTTGTTTGTTTGTTTGTTTATTTATTTATTTATTAGTTTCTTTTGAGGCAGAGTCTCACTCTGTCGCCCAGGTTGGAGTGCAGTGAGGTGATGTCAGCTCACTGCAACCTCCACCTCCCGAGTTCAAGAGATTTTCCTGCCTCAGCCTCCCTTGTAGCTTGGATTACAGGCACCCACTACCATGCCTGGCTAATTTTTGTATTTTTTAGTAGAGATCAGGTTTTGCCATGTTGGCCAGGCTGGTCTGGAACTCCTGACCTCAAATGATCCACCCATCTCAGCCTCCCAAAGTGCTGGGATTACAAGTGTGAGCCGCAGTGCCCAGCCTGAGCATCTACGCTGTAGGAGCCCTTTGAGGACAACTCCCAGAAAGCCAGTGGAACAACACATTTTCTTCCCTGCATCCTCTGTGAAAGAACCTAGGACCTGTCACAAAGCTCTTTGCTTGTGAGACCTTTCAGGGCGGCACTCCGCCTTCTGCATGGTGAGGTGGGCCACAGTGAGAAAAGTGACCCTTATGGCTCTCTCAGTGCTGCAGAGGCTCAGGGCAGGCGGGGCAGACCAGAGCAGTCAGGAGAGCGGGCAGCGGTTATGGCCAGCAGGTTCCTGGGCTTGCCTGACTGAAGGGACCCAGTAGAGGGCCTCCTAATTCATGGAATAGAGGAGGACTCCAGGCGGGGCACGGTGGCTCATGCCTGTCATCCCAGGTCTTTGGGAGGCTGAGGTGGGTGGATCACTTGAGGTCAGGAGTTCGAGACCAGCCTGGCTAATATGGCGAAACCCCATCTCTACTAAAAATACAAAACTTGCTGGGCGTGGTGGCAGGCAGCTGTAATCCCAGCTACTCAGGAGGCTGAGGCACAAGAATTGCTTGAACCTGAGAGGCGGAGGTTGCAGTGAGCTGAGATAGCACCACTGCACTCCACCCTGGGTGGTAGCATGAGACTCAGTCTGAAAACAAAACAAAACAAAACAACCCAGAAAAACAAAAAGAGGACTCCCGTCTCCAAAGGATGATGACTGGGCCTCATGGGCCCTGAGAAATTATGGCTGCCTGCACTTTGTCCCCCTGGATCTAACTATTGCTGCAGGTGCTAGTGGCAGAAAGGAAGAACTCCATAGCCAATGAGGTGACGAATGGGAAGGGTCTGAATGTGGATAGTGTGGTGACACTGTTCCTAGCATCGCTGTCAAGAGTAAAGGATGGAAAGGAGACTAGTGCTTGGAAAGTGAAGATGTGGATTAGAATCTTGGTGCCACTGCTCAGTACAGAGAGGACTTGGCAAGCCCTTCAGCTCCCTGGTTGATCCTGTGTCCCTCCTGTTCCCTAGGGCCTGCGTCTGTGTCTGCCATGGTGCATGACACAGGCTTATGATCTGTTATGTATATACTTTGCAGTTCCACACCCACTCTTCTGCTTCCCACCAGATACTGAGCATGCAGGTATCCAGGACTATGTCTCGTTCATCTTTGATTTTTCCAGTGCCCAACAAAGAGAACTTAAGGAGGTTAATGTAAGAGGTCAGACATTTCCCCAGTGGGGAAACAGCTCCTGCACCCACCATTTCTCCAATCTCCCCCCATCCTCTGCCTTCCATCTTCCTCCCTCCACCCCACTCACTGTCACTTAGCGAGTAGGGGCAGAGTGGAATTCAAGCCCAGGGGCCTCTCCCTCCACTTGGAAGCTTGCACTCCTGGTAACCATGCTTCCATCCGAGGTTCTCTAACTTGAGCAAACATTGGCACCCACAGGGAGGGCTTATTTCAACATGGGTGCCTGGGCTCCAGCACGTGTCCTTCTGGTGCAGTTGGCCAGAATCTGGGAATCAGCACTGCTAAGTTCTCAGATGATGCTGAAGCTGCTGGTCCCAGGCCCATGCTCTAGGAGCCACAGCTACCAGGCCTCACTGTTATAGATGTGGCTGTGCTTTCCAGAAGGGCTGGGCACATGCTCCTTCCTCATGGTGGGGAAACTTGACAGGAGCAGATTAGTGACTCATCAGAGTAGAAATCTACATTCATATGTATATGCTGACATATACTTATAAATAAGAATATACATATACATACATATACATATACATAAGAAAGTTTTTGATCACTTAGAACCCAGAGCTAGGCATGATGGCCCACACCTGTAATCCCAGCACTTTGGGAGGCCAAGGCGGGCAGATCACCTGAGGTTGGGAGTTCGAGACCAGCCTGACCAACTTGGAGGAACCCCATCTCTACTAAAAATTCAAAATTAGCTGGATGTGGTGGCACATGCCTGTAATCCCAGCTACTGGCTGGGGGGCTGAGGCAGGAGAATCGTTTGAACCTGGGAGGCGGAGATTGCGCGATTGCACTCCAGCCTGGGCAACAAGAGTGAAACCCCGTCTCAAAAAAAACCAAACCAAACCAAACCAAACCAAAACAAAAACCCAGAAATGCCACTTGACTTGAAGCTAGACTCAGAATTCAAATCCAACTGGTACCACTTTCTACTGGGACTGTGACAAAAAGATATAACCTCCCTCAGACTATTTTTCCCTATCTGTAAATGGGAATACGAATGCCTACTTCAAAGCATTATGGTGAAGACCGAATGCCAAGGTTCTGGTGCATATTGGGTGCTCAGTTATTGAGTGGAATTCGGATTTAATTGACAAATATCAGCTGGTGTTTTTCTTTCATTATAGACATGAGGAAACAGTACAAAATAAAAGTGGGTATTGCGGATTTAGTAGGATGTTATAAAACACATTCATCTCAATATTGCAGACAGGTCATGGTTAATGAATATGGATGTGATCTGTATTTTACTTGGAGATCCTCCCAGGCCGTATCATCCAAGTGGGGCCCAGCACTCAGCTTGGTGTTTTACTTTGTTTATTACCAGGAGATCAAGGCACTTTTGACCTTGGGGTGGTTGGGCTGTGGGGGCCTGCAGGAGACTTAACTCCCACACTCAACCTAGCATGAGGGCAGTGATGGGGAGCACCAGGGTTGTTGATATTAGTAATAATAATTACAGCTGCCATTTACCATATCACAACTAGCCACTGAGCCTCTAGGGAAGTTATTCACCCTCTCTGGGCTGCATTCTTCTTTCCTGTAGAAAGGAGACTAATAAGAGTGTAATTGTTGGGATCCAGTGAGGGTTACCTATTAGCTGTTAGAACAGCACCTAGCACATAGTGAGCACTCAGTGACTATTAGCCCACATTATTTAATGAGAACCTACTCTATTCCCAGCACACCTCTGAGGTCATCCATTTATTCTGCGGACACAGGAAGGTTCAAGAGATTCAATAGTGAACATGAGAGTCTACTTTTTCAAATACCATTTGTTTTTCTTTTTGAGACAGAGTTTCGCTCTTGTTGCCCAGGCTGGAGGGCAATGTCTCTATCTTGACTCACCACAACCTCCGCCTCCCGGGTTCAAGTGATTCTCCTGCCTCAGCCTCCCAAGTAGCTCGGATTACAGGCATGCACCACCACATCTGGCTACTTTTGTATTTTTAGTAGAGACGGGGTTTCTCCATGTTGGTCAGGGTGGTCTCGAACTCCTGACCTCAGGTGATCCGCCTGCCTCAGCCTCCCAAAGTGCTGGGATTACAGGCATAAGCCACCACATCTGGCTTCAAATATCACTTCTAAAACACAGGAGGTGTTGGAATGGAAAAAGAGGCTTGTCTGGGGCCACACGGCTAATAAGCAGCTCAGATGAGGTTGAAATCCTGATTCAATGGACTCATTCTACACTGCAATGCTGCCCATAAGTAGCTTCTTCCTTATCTTATCATCATCAAATATTGATAATTATAATTTTTACAGGAGTAAATACATTGGTTTAATAGTTAAAGGAAGATGGTAGACACAAATTTGTAGTTTTCAGACATTTTTAGTTGATTTATATATCTCAAATAGTTTATATTCATATAATGCATTCATTATAAAATATGCAGTGGTATAGAGATTTGTATGTCTATGTTTTTTTTTAAATTTAGGTTTATAAATAGTTTGGAACAGGTTGCAAAAACATCATCTGTTGCTCTTTTTAATATATCTTGAGCATGCTATGACACATTCTGAAATAATTTGCTTCAGAAAAAAGCACTGCTCTTCTCTGTCTGTCTTTTTTCCTCCAAATGTAACTGTAAATATTACTTTGATGTATGTAATTGCTTCAACCCTCTCCATCTGAAAGAGGGCTTCTAAACCTTCTATCTCCCATCTCTTGCTATTGTCAAGAAATAAGGAAAATGGACTTAAAATGCATTATTCAAATGTATTTAGTGTAAACATTAAAGAAGTCTGAGAAAGCCACAAATTTCCCTCTACTCAAAGTGGTTTTGCAAAACACCTCAAGTATTCTATCATCTTACCAGCATTCATTCACTCTGCTTAGGATAATTATTTATTCTGGCACATTTTAGAATTCCAAGACCGCTTATAGTGTCTGGCACATAGTAAGGACTGAAGGATGTTTGATGGATGGACTTGAATTGGGATTCGAGGATTGATAGAACTTGTGAGGACCCTTGGGTGCCTCCAGGAAGAGAAGCCACCCCAGGAAGGCTTGGCCAGGGAGTCCCACCTGAGCATGGGAGAGACGGTTCTGCGCATGAGGATGTGGCCCAGGTTTAGTCGGCTGGGCAGCCCTGGGCAGTGTAGAGCTGGATTTGACTTTAGGTCTTGTCTCTAGTCAGTAATTCGATCAAGTTAGCACAGGATTCGATCAAGTTCTGAGCTTTTTGACTAGTCTGCGAGCTCCTTGAGGGAGAGACTTTGTCTTTTGTTGCTGCATTTTCAGTAGTCTATGCAAGTTTTGATACCATAACCACTCAGCAAATGTTATTCTCAATTGAAGGACAAAGGAAATAACAGTGTAAGCACTTGGCTCTCTCTTGTCTGCTTGCTGTGAGGCTCCAAGGTAAACTCGTGGCTGGATCCATGATCCATCATTCAAATCATTCATTGGCAGAGGAATAGAAGCCTCTCCATCACTGGCTCTCTCTGGGGTTGTTTAGAGACCTGGGAGGAGTGGGTGGAAAGAGGCCTGGCCTGCAGAGCTGTGGAGGTGGGGGCTTCTCAGCCTAGGTTTGTATCACACACCTGCTGGCTGCTCAACCCCAGCCAATCCCCTTCTCCTGCACCTTGGTCTCTGTCTGACCTCTAAGTCACTACAGGTCATTCCATCACATTGACAATTTTCGTGTTTGTGATGGTCAGCTTATTTGCTACAGAATTAAAATTTTCACTCCTCTATTAATAAACAAGTAAATATTCTGACCTGTTTTTTGGCAGACTGAAGTTCTGGAATTTCAAATCGTTGGATCCTTCTTTAGTTGTCTTTCTATTGCCCCTGGGATGAAAGAAAATAAATTATAGCTGGGAAATAGCAAGAAGCTAGGGGAAAAATTAATTAAGTGCATTCATTCATAGAAAGAGCCACCCAGTCAGATTTAAGTAATTATGTCTCACACATAATTCTGAATCTCTCTTTGCATTACCACTAGGGTTAAAGAAAATTTGTGTTTAAAGTAATCCAATTCTTAATTTTTTAAATGTAAGAGCTTTATTTTACAGGAAACAGTAGTGTGGGGCAGAAGAAATGCCCATTCAAGACAAGGATGTGGGCTGCCTCTCCCTCATCAACAGGGTGACCTTGGTACCGTCCTTAAGCTCTGCCAGTATCTGTCTCTTCTGTAAAATGAAGAATATCATACTTTTGCCACATGGTTGATGAGAGGCTGTTAAGAAATTTGAGGGACAGCAACCGTGAGCCAGGCAATGTCTCAGATGCTTCCCTATGTTGGTTGAATTTCATAAAAATCTAGCAAACATTATCCAACGTGGGAAGACAGACTATTTAGCAACAGCCACTCTGATTCAAGTAATATTTATTGAGCTCCCATATCATTTAGGCACTTTGCTAAGGCACTTTCTATGAAGAGATTAACTTATTTTTCATTGAGTTAATTTGCTAACATTCATTAAATACATTCACTGTCATAAAGCATCATTGTTATGCATTCCTAGTTCATTTAATCAGCCACGTTTCCCACATTTTCCTTTCTTTTGCAGGCATTTCATTAGCTCTATCAAACACTGACTGGTGATTTTTTTCCTCCACAAATGCTCCTGACCAACTGCCTCCTTAGCTCAGCTACCCTCTTTGTCCTCCCAGTTCCACTTGGGGCAAATTTGCCTCTTTCTGGTCCTTGGACTTTCTCTGCTCCCTCCCACGGGGCCCTTTCAGGTACCGTTCCCTCTTTATCAGATGCCCTTGTCTTCCTTCTTCTTATTAACAACAACTCTTACTTCCGAACTCAGCTCAAGTGCTACTTCCTCAGAGAATCCTCCTCGGCCTCACAGACTCGCTCCTTCACAGCACTTGCCTGAGTTTTAATTTTCCTTTTGTTTTAACTGGTAACTTGTGTTCACATCTGACTGTTGAACTTCCATCTCCACTAGAGCAGAGATTTGTAGGACTTAGCATCCCCAGGGCCTGGGTCAATGCCTGGTCCACCGAGGAGCTGAGTGGACACTCACACATGTACACAAAAAACTAAAGAACTCCAGGAAATACTTTATGATGACTTGAGGCTCTCTCTTCATCTGGGATTTGCCTGTAGCCCATAGAATAGAACATAATAAATTTAAAAATCTGCGAGTTGTTTGGGTATATTTTGTCACTGTGTAAATTGACCATCTAGAAAGATGATGGCTTATTTCATTATCATTAATTTCATTCTTTATTTTAAAATTTCATTATTGTACTATTTCACATATTTCATTATTCATTGTTTTTTTTCTATCCAAATACAGCTTAATTCACATATTTCCATCTGCATTCTGACTTCTCTACTAAGTTCCAGGCATGAACACTGAACTATTTTCTGGATCTTTCTAATTGGTTATTTCCCAGCAGACACAGGCCTTTTTCCTAGCGAGAAGCTCCATTGCTCACATGGTTTCCACACCAGTAGCCTGGGTGCTAATCTTGAGTCTTCCCACCCCTCCCCCTCTATCATTGACATCATCCGAATCTGTTAACAGATCCTAACAGTCAGATTCCCCAGATGCCTCCTGACTCTGTCTCTTCTTTGTCGTGTTCATGAGCTATTTAATATATTCAGCCTTACTTCTGCTTTCAGTATCTCTAGGCTGACCTCCAGCATCTACCCCTAGCTGCTTTCCTGGCCTCCTGGGTTCCAATCCATACGCCAAACTGGATCAAGAAGAACCTTTGTAATTATTAATAGCAGAATATTATCAAGTCACCTCCTTGAGAATCCTCATCAGTTCTCTATTCCTGCAAGATAAAACCCAAACTCTTAACCATGATAGCTAAGTTTCCTGCCCCAGTGGCTTTGAATCCCATTTCTGTTGCTCCTTTATTTCCTGCTACCCTCTCTCTCTGCCAAGTCATCCCACACTGTGGCCTCTGGGCCCGACCTTTTTTTTTCTTAATGCTCCCATATCATTGATCTAATTATTCTTTTTGCCTCCTCTGGGCCTGGCAAAATGCTTTTCATTCTTCAAGGTCAATTTCAAATATTACTTCCCCGTGAACTCTTCCCTGCTGCTTCCGCTTTGAGTCCCTCTGGTACTTTTGCATACCTCTCTATGGCCATTCATTTCGTTTGTTCATGAGTCTAATCATTCATTTACTCAACAAATAGTTATTGGGTTTATTCCATACTAGGCAACGCACTAGGTAATAGGGTATAGTAATTAAAGGACAGATGAAGGCTGCTTCCTGGAGTTTTTAGTGTATTTAGGGAGCCAGGCCATAAGCAAGTAAACAATATAATATTGTTAAATGCCCTGTACATGCATTCATTATGCATGTACATGTCCATATCCCCTTGCATTGGAGCCTTGCAAGGGTAGATTGTAGCCTGGGCATCTTTTTCTCTCCTAGAACACTGGCTAACTGACCCTGCCTGCTTGCAGGAATGTTTGTAAGATAATAAATAGATACCTAGATGCAAATACATAAATAACTTGTGAGTCTGGGCTCATACACAATAGCGAGCCATGTAGTTAACTGGACAGAGTCCTTTGAATCTCTCTGATACCAGGGGAGTTCTGGCCTATCCCTGCACTGAGTAGGAGCCCTCACTTTCATCATGTCTCTAGGTTATTGGCAACTTTTCTGTTTTCTGACAGCCCATGTAGCATTTGCCTAAATGGCTTTAACCAGGCCAATTTTAGGAGGATGGGATAGAGTCTGAGAGTTTCTTAACTTCTTCCTGGGTGCCTCGAGAACCCAACAGACTGGGAGCTACCTCTGACCTTTCTAGATAATCAGCTTTGGCCTTTTTAACTTTAAGAAGAGAGCTGGACTCAAACTCTCTTTTTATTTCATGTTTGTAGCAACCCTCAGTAGCGAATAGGCAGGCATTCTTCTCAACTCCATGCTACAGATGAGGAAACGGGACCCTAGAGTGGAGAGCATTTAGTTCCAGGTGGCCAGGCTAGTTGGGGGTAGAACCAGGGCTACACATCTCTTCGCCTGTCTCCTGGAGAATGTGTGTCAGCTATGTTGCAGAGGAAGCCAGCGCAGGCCCAGCTGGAAGCAACTAAGGGACACACCAGCGAGAAGGAAAGCAGGTGGGGAGAATGGAGAATGGGGAGGAGGAGGTGTTCTTTCTACAGTGGATTATTGAAGCAAAATATTAACAAGGCTGGAAAATAAAGAGCCATCTACCTAGACAGTAAGTGGTTAAAGCCTGTTTGAAAATTACTTACAAAGAGCAACAAGCATTACCAGGTCTCCCTGCCCTAAATCTGAATCCTAAGTGTTCAGATTTTAGAGAAACTTTTAAAAATATACAATGCTGGGAGATTTATAAACTCTCAACACATCACAGAAAATGTTATTAAAGAATGTTAAGCATAATAGGGCAAAATTGTTTGTTTTGCATTGAATTGAGATCTGACCTCGAAAGGAGATGCTCAAGGTTCCCAAGTTGGCTACCCCACCTGGGGAGGACAGTGCCATTTACTAGTCTCCTAAGTAGATGCACATCATTTTACAAGGCCTCAAACATTTGGGGCCAGCTGCCTTTCCTGTCCACTCAGCCCATCCCACCCACCTAGTGAAATGAATCACAAAAGCTTTTTAAACTGCTGCTCGATTTGCTTGTCACAGACTCTGGCCAAGTGTCCTCCAGGGAAACAACACAGGCTAATTGATTGCACAAAGAACTGAGCACATCCTGGGAAAGCTGGAAGTGCCATAGGCTTGTAGGGAAACTGAGGTACAGAACATCAGTGGGCCAACCAAATAATTGTTCTTGCAATCACTTCATCTTCTGCTGAAACAGAGCACATCGCCCCACACACTCCAGACTGTTTTCTTGAGCACCCTTCCAGCACCTTCAGGTCCAACACTTTGCATTGATCTTTGATTTCCTTTTCACTTTCCGCATCTCCCTCCTGCATGACCAGTCAATGATACCCATCTAGTCCTCCTTCACATTTTCCTTGCCTTGTCCCTATCTAATTTCCCCTGTGAAAATGTCTTCTGCAGACCCTTATTATTTTTCATGTAGACCTAATAGCAGCCAATACAGTGTAGTTGAATTGATTTGTGGGTTTAACGACGTGTACCAAGGTGTATGTCTACCCCAAAACTGTACATGTGACCTTATTTGGAAAAAGCGTCTTTAGCAATGTAACTAAGCTAAGGATCTTGAGATCAGATGATCTTGGGTTAAAGTGGGCTCTAAATCTTGGGTTAAAGTGTTCTTCTATGAGGAGGCTGTGGAAAAGACCCATGTGAAGATGGCGGAGATTGGAGTGATGTTGTCACAAATCAAGGAACACCTGGAGCCACTAAACGCTGGAAGAGGCAGGAAAGAAATCTCTCCTAGAGGCTTGGGAGGGAGCACGGCCCTAGCTAAACTTTGATTTCAGACTTCTGGACTCCAGAACGGTGAGAGTAAATCTCTGTTGTATTCAGCCAGTACGTTTACGTTTGTGGCAATTTGTTATGGCAGCCGCAGGAAAGACATGCACTAAACATCTCTTCTGTCCCAAGAGACGAAAAAATGAATCAGACTCCCATCCAAACACAGGCAATGCAATAGGCACAATGATAAAAAATGTACACATGGTCTAGAAGAAAAACGAGGAAGAAGCTGGTCAAATATTTAAGTGATGGTATAGTCAAGGAAGGCTTTCACTAGGTGGTGACAACCAGTGAGGGGTTGAATTTGCCAGATGGATGACATGGCAAGTTGACGGTGGAGAGTAAGTACAAGAAGCCTACTCCGAGAGTTAAAGACATCTTCTCCATCCCATCTTAGTTATTCCCCTCTAATTTCTCACCTTTTCAGAGAGATGCTCCCGGCTACACCCAATGTGACTGGTGCAGTCTGACTAGCACAGAAAGAATTGCCATTTCTTCTGTTGTAAAACTGCACTTCTCTCAATGGAGTTTAGCTTAAGTTCTGACTTTTCCAGAACCTTCTCATTCTATACACTCAGAGTGAGCTTGCAGGCTGCTGAGAAATCACTAAAATTGCTCTTAAGCCACAGTTCTCTTTCAAGGTCTTATACAGTTTGATTTTTGGCACAAACATCATGAATAATAATAATAAGGTATAGCACCATCATTATAATGAAAATCAGAACTGCAAGAAATTTATATAAGATTTTCACCTAACTGGTCATTGTTTGTATTTCACAACATATTAGTCCATTTAATCCTCTTAACAATCCTATGAGACCAGTCCTATTCTATCCTCATCCTGCTGAGTTTTTTTTGCCTCATGTTCAGCACATGTCCCATCTCCTCAGGAACTGCCGCAGGTTGGGCTCCTGAGGAAGCAGACTCTGAGACAGAGATGACCACGTAGAAAGTGTTTTAGGGAGTGCTCCTGGCACCAACCCCTGTGGAGGGAAGAGAAAGAGGCAGAATTGGGCAGGGGGAAAAGTGGGCTGTGATGCAGTTGCAACAGAGGCCTCAGCGGCCCCCACGGGGAATGAGGGCTCTTCTGAGTATCCCATGTTGGGGTGGGAAGGCCAGGTCTATGCACTCCTGGGTGGCCCAGTCAGTGGGTGTGGGCTGCTCCAGGTGAGGCAATCCTGCTCAGCCAAGGCAATTCCCAAAAAAGGTTAAGAGAGAGACCTGGATGGAGACTCACAGAGTGTAGTACAAGATCATCTTGGATTCTGACTCTTTTATTTAGTGAGTTTGAGGATCCAAAGAAGCCAAGATGGGCTTTGGTTATATTTTTTAGTAGAAGAGAATGAGAAGGAGCAGAAAGAAGGAGAAAGGAAGGGCTGAAGGCAGGAGTTATCCTGAGGGCAGGTGTCCCCGGGGAGCGAGTAGACTGGATATGAATGCAGCTATGCCAACTGAACAAGCTATTCAATGAATCTCATTCCCATTTTGCACATGGGGAATAGCAGGGGGTATATCACCTTCCTCATACATTGATTGCATGTTCGTGATTATATTTATTCTCTAGGGCCCAATTCTTACCCCAAATGACGAAAGAATATCATAGTTGAACAACCAGTAGCATCAAGAAGGGCAATTGGTAATTGAGATATTTCAGCCAGGTCAGAAATGTGGCTTACTCAATTACAAAGAGGCAAAGCTGCAGTTCTAGAACTGTAGCCAAGTGATCGATGTCCATTTTGTTCATTCCATTTGATCCCTAAGCTGTAAGGGTGCCAGGTGTAAACTTCCTTCAAATTGCATATTCATGCACACGCTTCTTCTAAGCCGAGGAGATTTTTAGCACTCTCCTTGAGCAACTAAAGGAAGGTTCTGGGGTCATGATACACCATGGCCTAGATGCCAGTCAACATCCATGTGCTTGATCTGCCCATCCTGGAAAAAGTAAAGGGCACAAAAAGGCTTCTTGTCACAGCTTTTTTTTTTTTTTTAAGTTTAAATATGTGTGTATGGGGTCTACTCTTTCAAGTTCATCAAGCCCCACCATTCATTCCCTATTATCTCACATTTTTATATTAGGAGACTGCCCCCTGAAAATTTGAGCTGTAACCCTTCACATAGGAACTTGAGAGGGAAGTCCACTAATGAATTTCCAGCAATGAGATGTTTTAATCACTACTCCCCACCTATTCACTGCCTTTGCAGTTTCATGGTGTGATGGTTAATTTTGTGAGTCAACTTGGCTAGGCTATGGTGCCCAGTTGTTTGTTCAAACACCAGTGTAGACGTTGCTGTGAAGCTATTTCTTAGATGTGATTAATATTTAAATCAGTAGATTTTGACTAAAGCAGATGATGCTTCATAATGTGGGTGGGCCTCATCCAATCAGCTGAAGGCCTTAATAACAAAGACTAGGGTTTCCTGAACAAGAAGAAATTATGCCTCAAGACTGCACCATAAAAAGCCTGCCTGAGTTTCCAGCCTATTGCCCTGTGGAATTTAGTTTTAAGACTACAACATCAACTCTTACCCGGATCTCTCGCCTGCCAGCCTGCCCTACGGATTTCAAACTTGCCAGTTCCCAGAAGCTTGTGAGACATTTCCTTAAAATAAATCTCTCTTGCTTTCTCTCTCTCTCTCTACGGATACATATGTATATACAGTGACACATCGCTTAATGACGGGAATGTGTTCTGGGAAGTGTGTCCTTGTGTGAACATCGTAGAGTGTACTTACACAAACCGAGACGGTGGAACCTACTACACACCCAGGTGATACGGTATAGCCTATTGCTCCTAGGCTACAAACCTAAAGAGCATGTTACTGTAATGAATACTGTAGGCAATTGTAACACAATGGTACTTGTATATATAAAGATATCTAAAAATAGAAAGGTACAGTAAAAATAAGTTAAAAAAAGATAAAAAAGGTACACCTGGGTGGGGCACGGTGGCTCACACCTGTAATCCCAGCAGCACTTTGGGAGGCCAAGGTGGGTAGATCATAAGGTCAGGAGATCGAGACCATCCTGCCCAACATGGTAAAACCCCGTCTCTACTAAAAATACAAAAATTAGCTGGGCGTGGTGGTGCACACCTGTAGTCTCAGCTACTTGGGAGGCTGAGGCAGGAGAATCGCTTGAAGCCAGGAGGCAGAGGTTGCAGTGAGCTGAGATCACACCACTGCACTGTAGCCTGGGGACAGAGCAAGACTCTGTCCAAAAAAAAAAAAAAAAATAGAAAAAAGAAAAGAAAAGAAAAGGAAGTGGTATACCTGTATAAGGCACTTACCATGAATGAAGCTTGCAGGACAGGAATTTGCTCTGGGTGAGTCAGTGAGTGAGTGGTGGGTGAATGTGAAGGCCTAGGACATGACTGTACACTACTGTAGGCTTTGGAGACTCTGTATGTTTATTTTAGAAACATTCTTTTCTTTAAACTTAGCTTACTGTAATTTTTTATGTTATTAATATTTCAATTTAAAAATGTTGACTCTTGTAATAACACTTAAAACAAAAACACATTGTATAGCTGTACGAAGATACTTGTTATATACTTATTCTGTAAACATTTAATTTTAAACTTTCAAAATTTTTATTACTTTTTAAACATTTTTGTTAAAAAATTAAGACAGTAACACACACCTTAGCCTAGGCCTGCATAGGGTCAGGGTCAATGGCATCACTACCTGCCGCCCCAACACCTTGTCCCACTGGAAGGTCGTCAGGGGCAATGACACGCATGGAGTTGTCATTTCCTGTGATATCAATGCCTTCTTCCGGAATCCCTCCTCAAGAACCTGCCTGAGGTTGTTTTACAGTTAACTTTTTTTTTTTTAATATAAGTAAAAGGAGCACACTCTAAAATAACAATAAAAAGTATAGTCTAGTAAATATATAAACCAGTAACATAGTCATTTATTATTACTAAGTATTGTGTACTTTACGTAATTGTATGTGATATGCTTTTATATGCTGGCAGCACAGTTTTGTTTACACCAGCATCATCACAAACATGTGAGTAATGTGTTGCATTACAATGTTATAGCAGCTGCCGCATTACTAGGTGATAGGAAGTTTGCAGCTCCATTATAATCTTATGGGGTCACCATCATATAGAAGGCCCATCATTCACCTAAATGTTATATGGTGCATGACTGTATCTATATATCTATATCTATATCTATATATACACACACACATAGTTGATTCTGTTTTTCTATAGAGCTCTGACTAATACACATCATAAAGCTGTAGTCATTGGGAACAGCTTCTTGACAGATACAGGAGAAAAAAAATGTTTTTAACAGGTAGTAAGCATCTAGGTTGTTGCGGGTACTGCCCTGGGTGAGCTGATTTAATCGTCACAACTTCTTAAATTAGATACACATATTGTGCTGATGTTACAGATGAGAAAACCATGGTTCAGGGCTCTAGCCATTTGGGTCCTATAGTTAGACATATCTTGGTTCAAAACCTGTCACTTCAATGAACAGACTCTGTTGATGATTGGTAGTCCATTCTAGGCAACACTGGGTGTCTGAGGAACGGGGGAAAAGGTGCATCCATAGAGTTTCTGTGCTGATGGAGCTCACAAGAGTCGAGCAAGGCTTTGAGCTGGTTTCTGGTAAGAAGAACAAGGACAGGTGAGAAGGTCCTAGTAGGTTGCCGTTGCCCCACTGTGGCATGCTCTCTTTTCCCCCACCTGAGTCATACTGGAGTTTGAGCTGCCAGTGAAGACACAGTGGGTCTTGTTATCTATCATTTGGCCATAGTACAATCTCTCTCCTGATCTGGGTTGTTTCAATGAACGCATGCCTTGCTATCTTGCAGGAAGCTTCATTTGCTGGGAAGCAGACACTGATGATAAGGCATGATTGCAAACCCTACTCAGAGATTGTAATCCTATAAAGTACAGTATCTCCTTGTGCCTTTGCATGCCAGGAAACACAACCCACTGAATTTGGAGGCTGTTTTTGTCTTGCCTGGCAATATGTCTGTAGCACAAAGTTAGGGAAATGGCTCAAATAGAAGACAAGCTTCTATTCTGAAGCAGCTGCAGCATTAGGGACCTTGCTCAGAGGGTCCTATACATCTTGTCAGTGCCTCCCATTTATGGTGTTTTCAGCCACAATCCTGGACAATGAGTCCAGGGACAGCCAGCTGAATAGGACTGAGGGCTTGGCTGTGTGATTCAGATTTGAGCCCTAACTATTTTATCAACTCATTGTGTCACTGAACTAAATCACTTAACCATTCATAACTATAAGCCCTGGTTATTGAATCTGTAAAATCAGAGGGTGAGGCTGTTTCATGTTGTCCATGGTGGATAATCATGAAAAATATCCTGAGCAATTTACTGTACCTGTGTTAAACAGAGAGGAATAAGAGTGCTGAATCATTAGCAGCTGAAAATCTAGTAGAAGAGTCCCAAAAAATCCATGTACTTGGAGAGATGTGCATATGTAACATGACATGAGAACTTGGAGTGTCCTGTGCTTACCAAAGCCTCTTGATCTTTCTCCCGGACCCCTGCAAGAATTCCTCCATTGATCTCCTTGACACTAATCCCTTTCCACTCAAAGATCTTTTACAATTTTATCTTAGTTATCATTTCAACTCTTCAATTTTGTTTTGCAACCTACAGTCCACGCAAACTGAACTTCCTGCTCAGCTGAAATACAGCAACTTGAGATGCAGATTGCTCATGCAGTCTCCTCGGCCTGCTAGGCCCATTCCCTCTCTTCTCCTCCTCTTCTCCCATCTCTACATCTTCCAACTCTCCTTGGTCTTCTGGTACCAGCACAGATGCCATCCTTTCCAATAATCTTTCCCAAATGTGTCTAGGTGGATGTAACATGTTTCCTCTGTGAACTAGAATGATGCTTGCTCTCTCCTTAGTGAACAACAGCTGTGTTTTCTGAGCCCCCAGCTTCGTCTCGAACCTTTTGCCTCTCCTTTTGCATCCTTGTTGACTATTCCTAAAAGGCTCTGTGTCTGGGTCATGGGAACCAACTCCTTAACAATGACGAAAATTCTTTACTGAACTGTGTTGAAATCGGGAAGAAAACCCTCATGTTATTCTGAAGTCAACTATGCATTAAGTAGCCTCTGTGGGCTGGGGATTGCATTAGGCCTTGTCTGAGTCAGTTCGGGCTGCTATAACAAATTACCATAGGCTGGGGGGCTTGAATAGCAAACATTTATCCCTCATAGTTCTGTAGGCTGAAAAGTCCAAAATCAAGCTACCCTTAGAACTGGCGTTTGGTGAGAGCCTGTTTCCTGATTTGCAGAGAGCTGTTTCCCTGTGGTATCCTCACGTGGCCAAAAAAATCATCTCTCTTACATTTCTTCTTAGAAGAGCACTAATCTCATTCATGAGGGCCTCAAGGGCCCCACTTAACAATACCATCATTGGTAGTTGGAATTTTGACGTAGGAACTTAAAGGACACAAACATTCAGTTCATAACAGGCCTGGGTCACGTTAAACAAGACAGGATAGGTGCTGCCCTCGTGAAGCTGACAGCCAAGTGAGTGGGAACCAAGCCAATGAGCAAGGGGCTCTCATCCCCCCTGCTTCTCTTTTCCCCATACTCCTACCTTTATTTACTCCTGATTTGAATGGCTGCCTGGTTTCAGGACAGTCTACCTGGCTCTGGCCCTATTTTCCCTTGGTACTCAGCTCTAACAGCTGCCTGTTGGGTTCATACTTAGTCAGAACTCCTTATTGGTCAGGAGGTAGCCCATTCTCTGATCTCCTTCCAGTCCCTGGGGTCCACCTGGGCTGCATTCCTGTCTTCTAGCTTCTTCTGACTCACAGTAAGGCCCTCGGTTCTCCATTGAAATGGATCAGACTTTGGTTTTCAGTGACTGCCACCTGCACAGTCATCATTTGCATGCATAACTTCTACCAAAACTCTGGATTTCCTGACATTAGGGACCACCTGTCAAGACCCTCACACAGAAGAGCAGCAGAGGAAATATTTGTGCATGAGAAGATCCAAGACTCCTGGAGGCAGGAATGCCTCAAGGGAATAACTAATTCTTGTTTACTGAGGCAGAAAAGGGCTTCAGACTGTTCTAGAATAGACCAGCACTGCCGATGGGTTGCAGGTGCAAAGTGGAGGGTGGCATTTGATTTTAGCTCCTTCTTTTGCCAGAGTTGTAGTCTCAAAGAATCTCAAAGCATGAAGCTGGGTGGAAAAATATATATCATCTGCTTGAACCTGCTAATTTTACAAATGAGGAAAATGAGATCCTATGAAGTGAAATCATCTGTCCAAGCTAACCAGATGCTGAGAGAGAGAAGGTTCCACTGCAGCTTCTGGCTCCATGTGAGGTGATCCGGGTCCCTTCTATTTGGCCTTGACTTCCCTAGTACTCGTTTTCTAATTAAGCCTCGTTATGTGCCTTTTAAATGAATGCTCGTTTTTTTTTTTTTTTTTTTTTTTTTTTTTTTTTTTTTTTTTGAGACGGAGTCTCGTTCTGTCGCCCAGGCGGGAGTGCTGTGGCGCGATCTCCGCTCACTGCAAGCTCCGCCTTCCGGGTTCACGCCATTCTCCTGCCTCAGCCTCCCGAGTAGCTGGGACTACAGGCGCCCGCCACTGCGCCCGGCTAATTTTTTGTATTTTTAGTAGAGACGGGGTTTCACCGTGGTCTCGATCTCCTGACCTCGTGATCCGCCCGCCTCGGCCTCCCAAAGTGCTGGGATTACAGGCGTGAGCCACCGCGCCCGGCCCGTTTTTTTTTTTTCTTTTTAATCTTCTTGGGGAGAGAAAAAGAGAAAGACAAAAAAAGCTGATCTAATTTAGAAAACAAGAAAATAATCCTGAATCTTTGATGCCCAGGTTTCCAGAAAACCCATAAAAGCTTTTTCCCCCCTCTTCTTTTTGGTTTAAATTTTGATTCAGCAAGAGGAAATAAATGAACCTAGACAAAGAGAGGCCTTACATCTCATTTTTCAAATGCTTTCTCCTTTTTTTCTCTGTCTCGACTGTCAAGAGATGTAGCTTTTAATAGACCATCAATGTATGTAATGAGCAAATAAAATAACAACAGTGAATTACCCCTTTTATAGGTCCATAGACGTGTTCCTGGTGGTTTAATTTATAGGTGGTCATGCCTGAAAGATTCTGGATGCGTGATAGAAAACAACATAAAAAAGCAACACACACACACACACACACACACACACACACACACACACACACACACGTATGAATCCTCAAAATAAAAACTTGATTTGTACCTGGTAAGTAGACACCCCATAAATAGCCTGAGTAAAAAAGACATAATGAGCTGGCCATGGTGGTTCACGTCTGTAATCCCAGCGATTTGGGAGGCCGAGGCAGGCGGATCACTTGAGGTCAGGAGTTCGAGACCAGCCGGGGCAACATGGTGAAACCCCATCTCTACTAAAAATACAAAAATTAGGCTGGGCGCAGTGGCTCACGCCTGTAATCCCAGCACTTTGGGAGGTTGAGGCAAACAGATCATGAGGTCAGGAGATCAAGACCATCCTGCCCAACATGGTGAAACCCCGTCTCTACTAAAAATACAAAAATTAGCTGGGTGTGGTGGCATGTGCCTGTAATCCCAGATATTTGGGAGGCTGAGGCAGGAGAATCGCTTGAACCCAGGAGGCAGAGGTTGCAGTGAGCCAAGATCACAGTACTGCACTCCAGCCTGGTGACAGAGCAAGGCTCCGTCTCAAAAACAAACAAACAAACAAACAACACAAAAATTAGCTGGGCATGGTGGCGGGTGCCTGTAATCCCACCTATTCAGGAGGCTGAGGCATGAGAATCATCTGAACCTGGGAGGTGGAGGTTGCAGTGGGCTGAAATCATGCCACTGCACTCCAGCCTGGCCACAGAGGGAGGCTAAGTCTGAAAAAAAAAAAAAAATGTAGTGGACCTTCTTCTGCAGTCTGCAGGGAAGCTGGGAGGGGCCTCCCGTGAGTGCCAGAGGGGCTTCTAGAGAAGGAGCCCCCCAGGAAAATAGCCTTTCCTCTATCTCCTGGTGCCACACTTTATGATCCCAGCAGGTCCACAAAAAAGAAGGGAAAACAAGGTAGGGGAGGGAAATGAGAAGACAGAGTGAGGCCCAATGATGTGCTGCTCCTGGGGGTGGCTCCTGCCTTCTGTCCTCTGAGAATCTCCAGCACCCTCTCCCCTTCCTTTCCTCCACTTCTTACTTCCTCCAATCCATTCACTGTGTTGCAGCCAGGATCCTCATTGTAAAATCTGGCATTCCTAATGCCTGTAGTCACAGTCCATCTTTGGAACATGACTCACCGGCCCTCCATGGTCTGGTCCCTGACAATCCACTCTCTCCCTACAGCCCCGATTCTGCCCCCAAAGAGCAGCCATCATGAACAATTGGCCAAATCTCTGTCTGTAAACAGTAAACGCTGCATGTCACAGCCAGTATTCCCACAATGTCTACAATGAAAAGGTGCATAGGTGAACATGGGATTCATGCTTTCTTGTTCCAGACCCATCTCTCATTTGATCCTCTCAGTAACCAAGTGTTGAGAGAGCTGAAGAAACCTACCCACATCTCTCAGCGAAAAAAATGACATTTATTTTATTTCCATATTCCCAGCTCTTAGAATGGGGCCCCGCCCACAGGAAGAGTTCAATACAGATTGGTGTGAAGTGACAGAAATGAGCTTTTGTACAAGGTCTGCCCAACATCATGGTCCTGAGAAAGACACCTGAGTTTGAAGTCATTCCCCAAAAGACAATGGACACATTGGCCTGTGAAAGATCCCACGTCCAAAGTGTCTTGCTGAGAGTGTGTCAGCCACTTTTCTCAATTATTCCTGTTGACAACATTTCAGGTTAAGCCATATTTCTACTTTACAGATTGGGAGGAAAAGCCCAGGGAGGCAAAGTATATTGTTTGCAGCTGCACAACAGTAAACACCTGAATGGCATTCAGTATCAGGCCTATCTGACCCAAAGACTGTTTCTTTCCACTGCGTCATGCTGGGTTTCATGGAAATGGAGAGTGGCTGGAATCCTAGATTTACCCCATGGCTTATCTACTGCCCTTGGTACACAGTTGATTTCCCATGCTGATGAGCTCTGGGGTGTGGCAGATCTATCTTATCATGTTGTCTAGAGACATGGGTTTTCAAAGCACTTATCAAAAGATAATCAAACCCAGGAAGCCAGGGTTGGAGTCAATCATTATATCTCATCTGTGTTCCCCAGGGACTGTTTAATAGCAGCATTTGGCATCGAAGGTGTTTAGGTTTTGCTACATATTGAGAATATTGTAAGAATTAAATGAGATAATGCATGCAAAATGCTTACAACCATGCTTGGAATAGAACAAGTCCTCAGTAAGTATTTAGGCTAGAAATTTTTACCAAAATGAATTCAACAACACATTTATTTTTTTCTTAGTGCTCAATGTGGGCCGAGAATTACTCTCAGTGCTCAAGATATATCAGTGAACAAAATAAAGAAGATGGCTAATTCCTATGGAACAAAGCAGAAAAGGATCTCTATCCATGGAACAGAGAAGGACAACAATAACAGTAAACAGAATGAATCAGGAATGGGTATAGCATGTTAGCAGGTGATAAGGTGCTCTGGAAGGACTGTAGAGCAGGTGGGGGAATCAGAGTGCTGGGTGGGGTGGGCAGGTGGGTATGAATAGTCCTTGGGGTGGTCAAGGTGAGCCTTGCTGGAAAGATGGGAACAGGGAAAAGGCACTGGGCACATCAGCTGTGGGATAACTGAAGGAAAAGTTCAAAGGCAGGAATGTGGCTAAGTAGTTGAATCAAGGTAATGAGGTCCACGTGGCTGAACTGGAATGCCTGCAGGGATGGATGGGGAAGATGGTCCAAGAGCCTTTTGGGAGAATCAAGGCAGATGTGACAATACCCTGTCTGTAGTCATTGAGAGGCACTAGACTTAGGCCATGGCTATGAAGCCATGTCAGGGTCTCAGACACAGGAACACAAAGATAACAATTATGACTCAATAGGATCTCTCTGTCTTCTGGCTAGAGAATAGGTATGTCATTGAGGGATAAAGTGGAAGCAGAGAGACCCTTTGGGAAGCTATTGCCACAACCCCAGCAGGAGATGGAACAGGGTGGGAGCAGGGGAGGTGTTACTCTCTTTGTAGTAGCTGAGACTTCACCCACAGAATTAATCTCTCCTGAATGTCTGCTCTTTTGGAAACCATTAAAAAAGCAAGCCCACTTTGTATGTTTTCCCTTGTTCCATCCTGAATAGTTCATCTGACTCTGTGGCTTTGTCTTTGACAACCTGCAGGATAGGTTCTGTCTCACCTGGAGAATGTGCTTAAGATTCCAGAGGAAGCAGGGAGCCAGGTGCTGACCAAGGACCCTGAATGCCCAGGCCACCCTCAGTGGCAACCACCATACCAACTGGAGATTGAGAGAGCAACATCGGACTCATAGTGTGCCTGCCCTCTCCACATTGAAATTTCTCCAGCTGTAATATAGGAATTTAGATTATTTGGGCTCTGAGAGTCTTCTGGCTCAAACTCCAGTAAATGTAGTGATTAAATTCTCCTCCCCTGGCAGATGTCTGGGTGAGATGTCTGCATGGAGCCTGCTGGTAGGAAATTTCTGTGGGATGTTAGACATCTTGTGTGTATGGTAACTAGCACGTTGATGAGTGGCTCAAATAATGGTAAACACTGTCATTACAGAGATGCCAGGTGACCTGGATATGTTAGATTTATCCACATAGAGCCCTGGTTCCCTTAAGTAAGGCTGAGTTTTCATCCTTGGTTCTACAGATATCTATGATGCCGTTGTTTCTCCAGGAACTCTCCTCCGCAGACTTAGGCTCTTCTAGAAGGTTGAATATCATCGACATTAAGAGTGTGGGATTTGGAATTGGCTAACTGGCCAGATCTGTTTTTCAGCCTGAGAATTCCCATTTCTTGCTAGTCAAAGTGTGGTTCCCAGACCAGCAGCATCTCCCAAGGGCTGGTTAGGCAGGCAGAATCCCAGACACCACCCCAGCCCCACTGAACCGAAATCTGCATTGTAATAAGAGGCCACGGAATCTGTGTGCACATTCAAGTTGGAGGAAGTTGATGTGATCCCTCTGGGATTTATTTCTCTTATCTGCAATACAGTTGATGACAGCATGTCACAGAATTGTTGTAAGGATCAAAAAATCAATACATAAAGAGCCTTGTTGTGATTGTTTCCTATGAGTACCCACTCTCCTAATCACAGAGGTCATCTGGTTGCTATCAGTTCTGGGTGCACTAATAACAGAGATTAGAAGAGCAAAGAAGGGGCTGGGTGCGGTGGCTCACACCTGTAATCCCAGCACTTTGGGAGGTCTAAGAAGGGAAGATCACTTTAGGTCAGGTGTTCGAGACCAGCCTGGCCAACATAGCAAAACGCCATCTCTACTAAAAATACAAAAATTAGTCACTCATGGTGGTGCATACTTGTAATTCCAGTCACTCAGGTGACTGAAGCAGGAGAATTGCTTGGACCCAGAAGGTGGAGGTCGGCAGTGACCCGAGTTTGTGTCACTTCACTCCAGCCTGAGCAACAGGGTGAGACTCTTAAAAAACAAGAAAGAGGCTGGGCGCGGTGGCTTATGCCTGTAATCCCAGCACTTTGGGAGGCCAAGACGGGCAGATCACCTGAGGCCAGGAGTTCGAAACCAGCCAGGCCAACATGGCAAAACCCTGTCTCTACTAAAAAATACACAAATTAGCCAGGCATGGTGGCACATGCCTATAATCCCAGATACTTGGGATTGGAAGGAGGAAGGAGAATCGCTTGAAGGAGGGAGGAGGGAGGAAAGAGAATAGCTTGAATCTGGGAGGCGGAGGTTGCAGTAAGCAGAGGTCGTGCCGCCGCACTCCAGCCTGGGCAACGGAGTAAGACTCTGTCTCAAAAAACAAAACAAAACAAAACAAAACACCAAGAAAGAAAAAAAATGAAAAAGAAGAGCAAAGAAGAGCCAGTAGAGTTCTCCATGCACCTGCTCCAGGTATAGACCCCAGGACTTTTGAGGGGCAGATGAGGATGCGAGCTCATAGTTTCTGAGTAAGTATGCTGTCTTGTCATAGTCCTGGTTACTTTACCTGTCTTTACAGTGGTGCTATGATGAAGGTAAAATAACCTTGATTTACAAATAATGAAATGACTCTCTAAGGTCAAAGATTTTTCCAAGGTCAACTAGTCAATGGTAGTGTTCTGGTAAAGCCTGAAACATTTTCATAAAAAGTCAATAACAAAGGAGGCATTCAATGTCAGACCTGCATGGAGAGGAAGAAGAAGAGCAGAGGGAATATTGAGTTATCAGTGGTGTGCTGAAGCTGGCTTATGCTCCCCAGCAGAGCTGCTTTCTGTATTAAAGTTTCAGGAATTTTGCACGCCAGTTGTTAAACAGTCATTATTAAAAATTAAATTATATAAAATTATAATTGACAAAATTAGACTAAAAGCAAAGATAATGAATATACAAAATACATGAATTTCTAATTATTTTACTACATTTCGCGATTACCTATGGTCTTGATGTTATCTACATCTATTTTATCTGAATGGTGGAAATATGCTGCTGTTCATCTCTTCACCACCCTCAATTTAGTGAAGTAATATTTGCAGCTGGACGTTGGCCATAGTGGGAGTACTTACACCACAGAAATTGGCACATGCTACAAATCGGGGTTTAGTTTATTGCTTTGTGGACACATTAGACTTAAGAAGATAATGGAGGAAATGTTAATAAAGCAGATTTAACTTAACAGTATGCTGTGTCAATATCTATAACATTGCGAATAGCACAAAATAGGACATATTCTTCCAATATTGAAAAGTATTATCTGATTCAACAAAGAAGCTGCCCACATCTCTGAAGAACAAGTAAAGTCCTCATATTTCTTTGTTGTTCCACTTTTGTTTTACTCATTAATACAAAGGAAAATAGCAGCAATATTGATGTTAGAACTATACTAATTTGTCAGTTGCAACCATAGATTTGCTAAAGATATGAGAGTTCAGCAAAAATCAATGAAATCATTCTATGAGAAGGAACTGACTATATGGAATTTATAATGAAGAGTACTGCATATTTCATTATTATTTGTAAATTATGTACTATACAACTTTTATACCAGTAACATTTATAATAAAGTTGTGTGTGTATATATGTGTGTGTGTGTATATATATATATATATATATATATATATATATACACGCATTTTTTTTTCTAGAGAATTGTTCAACATTTACTAAAATTTGCCAGAACACCACTGGCTAACCCACCTTAAAGCATTGCCATTTATAATGTCTGTGGTAGAACGAACTCAGCTTGGGGGTCAAATATAGCTAGTACATGGCACACCTAGGATGAAACTCTGGGCTTCTGGCCTGACAATGATTTTACTGCTCTGATCCACATGCTTCTTATCTTTCAAGTGGGAACAGTATTAGTGTCTTAGTTGTACTGTGAGAGTGAGTGCACAATATAAGTTAATGCTACTATCCTTTCAAGAATAGCAACACAAAAGAAACAAAAATCCCATAGAACTTCCTCACCTCCCTCTCTTTCCTCCCCTCCCCATCCCAATGCATACATATATAAATTAAGAAACCTCCTTATCCCTTGCTTAATATGCTAATGTCTTCAATATTTGTTTATCTGTTCTCTAAGTTCAACTCTCCAGCATCTATTGTTTATAGCTGGAGATATAAAACTGGAGATGATCCAAGTTCAATCTTCCTTTTATCTTCTCCCCCAAAAGAATATTTGTTAATAGGATTGATGTGTGCAAAAGGGGAGAAAAAAATTCCAAAATCCCCTTACGAACTACCATGTGATATGTAACTGTAAGGTATGGATTTCTCACCAGTGGGACTATGAGCTGCTCATTGGAAATTTCTACTTCTGTCATTTTCTGTACTAGACACTTGGTAGTTATGCAAAACTCTCTGGTAAATTAAATGGCAATGAAATAATAGTCAATTTTTGCTCAGAACATTAAAAATAAAGGCTTTAGCTAGTGATCCATGAGCCAAGCCAGACTTTTGAAGCTTATGGTTTGATTTTCAGTATCTCTACTGTTATTTTGTTTTATTTGTACCATATAGCCAGAAAAGACTGAAAAAGACGGAAAAAGAGTTTGTTACTTCTTTGGCAGGCTCATTTTGTGGTTCCAACTCTGCGCTTTTCTACTATGAGTGTAATCAGGAGAGAAAAAACAGCTTTGTTTGCTTTTGTTTTTGATTTTCATCCTGGGCTGTAGGGAAAGATGTGGAGGCATGTTCCTTACATCTGAATCACTAGTGTTTTAGTTGGGGAGCAAAGAGGAAATGAGCTTCTACAAAAGAATCAAGATTCTGGAGATGGTTTCTTAAAAAGTTGAACATATGACCCAGTAATACCACTCTTAGGTATCTACCAAAGAGAAATAAAAATGTATGTTCACACAAAGACTTACACACGAACATTCTTAGTAGTATTATCCATAAGAGCCTCAGACGGAAAACAACCCAAATGCCTATAAATTGGTGAGTAGATAGACAAAATGTATACTCATGCAATGGAATATTATTTAGCAATAAAAATGGATAAACTGTTACACGCGCTACATCAACTAACCTCAAAAATATCATGAAAAGTGAAAGAAGCCAGACACAAGAAAATACCTATTGACTGATTTCATTTAGGTGAAATAATCCAGAAAAGGCAAATCTGTAGAGAAAAAAGTAGATTAGTAATTGCCTGGGGAAGTGGGTGGGGGACTGGGATCAACCATAAATGGGTATAAGAAATCTTATTAGGTTGATGGAAATCTTCCGAAACTGATTTATAGTGAGAGTCACACTAGTTGGTGAATTTACTAAAGAATCATTGAATAGTATACTTTAAAATGGGTGAATTATATGACATGTAAAATATGCTGTTTTAGTTTATTCTTGCACTGCTATAAAGAAATACCTTAGACTGGGTAATTTATAAAGAAATGAGGTTTAATTGGCTCACGGTTCTGCAGGCTGTACGGGAAGCATAGCTGCTTCTGCTTCTGGGGAGGCCTCAGGAAACTTACAATCATGGCAGAAAGTGAAGCAGAAGCAGGCACATCTTCCATGGCAGAAGCAGGAGCAGGAAAGAAAGGAGGAAGGTGCTGTACACTTTTAAACAACCATATCTCACAATAACTCACTCAGTCACGGTTATGTTATGAGAACAGCATCAAGGGGATGGTGCTAACTCATTCGTGAGGACTCTGGCCGCTGGATCCAATCACGTCCCACCAGGCCCCACTTCCAGCACTGGGCATTACAACTGGACCTGAGATTTGGGTGAAGACACAGATCCAAACCATATTGTATGCCTAAATAAATTTATATCTAAAAGAAGGTTCAGGAGAAAAGTACATGTTGTCAGCATTCTTTTAGCCTTGATCAATCATCAATGAGTGTCTCAGGCTCTGTCTTTGACCACAGAAAATCAGTGAGTAGCTCTGTGTTCTACACTGCCAGTTGCACAGTTCCGCTGAAACTTGGTAACACATTAGTCCTTCTGGAGCTATACTTGCAGGTAGGCGAACACCCATGGACCAAGTGCTGTAATTCAAGCTAACAATGCCTAGCTATCTCCAAAGGCAATCGCTGGAGCCTTTTCACGCTAAATTAGAGGTAAGCATTGTAATCACCGGCTAGGAAAATAAACTCACTCTGGTTTCAGGAGCTTTGTGTTTTTAAACCGGTCAGACTCCTTGAACTGCTGCCAGCAAACCATGAATATACATCAATGGGAGACAGATGGCGCCTTTGGGACTGTGTTTTGGTAATAATGATGTGGTTAACCTTGTTCGAAATAAAATGAAATGTTTTGAGCTACCATCCCTCCCAAAGCACCTTGGCTGCTCTCTGTGTGGCAATGACTTCACTAATTAAGTGTTGGAATTAGCTTCATTTCTGCAGGAAACATAGGTGTGTTTGTGTGTGCAGGAGGGGTTGGGGTGGAAAAAGAAAAAAAAGGAAAATAAATAAAAGGGAAAGGAAAAGGGACATTCAGTAAATGAATGGGTTGGAATAGATCTCTCTGATCTTCAAAAGACAGAATTAAACAAACAGCAACAAATAGAAAGGCGGTCAGCATGGTGTGCTATGTGATCCACACAGGCTCTCAAGTAGTCTTTCCAGTATCGTGTGGAGCTGGCATTCCTATTTATATTTTACAGATGAAGAAACTGAGGCTAAGGAGGGTAAAAACTCTATCCCAGTCACCAAGAGGTAAGAGGCTGCTACAGGCCAGACTCTTCTGCTTGGCTCAAAGCCCGGGGCGTTTTCCCATAATACTCTGTGTTAATCGCTGGTGGGTTTCAATGGTACAGAAAGAGGGAACCTCAATCACCAACCCCTGTTTTCTTTTCACACAAGAATGTGAGAAATCTGTAGACTGGATAGTCCCTTCCTTTCTCTGCTCTTCACGGCCAAGTGAGAAATTCTGCGCATCAAGAAAAGGGGAGAGAACTGAGCATGCGTCTCCTCTTAGACGCATCCTCCTCCCTTTCCTCAGAGCCTAAGCACTCACATCTCCTCGTTGTGAAAATGAAGGATTTGAATCTGGAAACGGGAAGCTGTGCACTCCAATCACATGATCCGTAGTAGCCGTAACTAACTTCGTTCCCGAGATGCACCATTTTACTAGGAGGCTGTTGCTTCATTTGGAACCCATTGCTTTGTCCTTTTCAGAGAGGTTTTGTCACCCAGAGGATCCATGTCAACACCAATGCCAGAAACCCACCTATCCTAAAGTCACCTCACTCAGGCACTGACTTAACTGTCAAACAATCGTCACTGATTTTATCTAAGCCACTCAGTAGGACTCCCTCTAACCAAACTGTCCCATCCCCTTGCATTTTTCTTTAAAGGTGCCATTCATTCCTCCAAGAGCATGCAGCATCTCATATCCGTAAGGTTTCTCATGCCTAGGCTGCAGGGCTCCCTGACACTTCCAGAGGCAATTTGTTCTTACTCTGCTCTCAAAACCGAGACCCAGTTCTGCCTTCTTTAGCGTGGGGTGCCTGCCTGCACCTGTTCTATGGCTCCTAATTCTCCTGGTGCTCTGTGTTTACTTCTCTTATAATGTTGACAGTACAGTGATGTAACTTCTGGCTTGCTTGACTGCCATTTTACAGATGAAGAAGCTGAGGCTGAGGAGGGTAAAAACTCTACCTCAGGCTGGGCGCGGTGGCTCACACCTGTAATCCCAGCACTTTGGGAGGCTGAGGCAGGCAGATCACAAGGTCAGGAGATCAAGACAATCCTGGCTAACATGGTGAAGCCCCGTCTCTACTAAAAATACAAAAAAAAAAAAAATTAGCCCGGCGTAGTGGTGGGCACCTGTAGTCCCAGCTGCTCAGGAGGCTGAGGCAGGATAATGGCGTGAACCCGGGAGACAGAGCTTGCAGTGAGCCGAGATCATGCCTGGGTGACAGAGCGAGACTCCGTCTCGAAAACAGAAAAACAAGAAACCAAAAAGCCCTACCTCAGTACCTCAGTCACCAAGAGGTAAGTGGCCGCTGCAGGCCAGACACTTCTGTTTGGCTCAAAGCCCAGGACGTTTTTCCACAGTATGTCCTTGAAACGCGATAGAAGTGTCTTCCTGGAGAGGGCAGAATGGTAACAGGACACCTCAGACAGGGGGATTCTTGAGGGCAGGGACTGTATTTTATTTGTCTTCTAATTGCAGCCCCAAGCAGAGTTACCGGAAGATAGCTGACATGTATTAAATGTTTGTGGAATAAGGAATACATGAAGAAGTCTATCATTCAATCAAAGAAAACTAAGTATCATTGGAGGTCTTTCCATTTTGGGGTCCAGTGGGTGTCCTTTGAGTCAAGAGCATGATCTTCAATAGACTTGGGGCCAGAAATGTGACATGTGTCTGAATCCAATCAGATCCAGTTAAGATCCACAAATGCTAGTCACTGGAATCTGCAGCCCTTGAATTAATTCTGTCCTTAGATTTGATAAGCCAATGTCAGATTTATTGTTGTTATTTATTATTCTGTCCCTCCAGGATGACATTAGGAACATACTGTCAAGAAAAGGATGATGCGTGTGCTGCAAAATGCAGGACAATTCACTTTCCAGGTGGGGTCTGGGGCCTGTGGCTTCTCTGTGAACTTTCTTTGTGTGCTGTGGAATATTTTCCAGCTGCAGCCTATTGTCCTGTGATTAGACTCTGGGGCTCCACAGGTAAGAGATGAACAATTCTAAGGGTAATTGAACACTCCACAAATTTTCACAGTGGATCAGCACTGTGCCATTTAGCCCAGGTATTTCTGTGATTGCGATGCTGAGAAAATGTACACCGTTAAGTGGTTGTCAAATCACTCTTTCATCTGAGCAAAACAGGACTTGTTATTTGCAGTCTAGGTCATAAAAGCAAGTGGTTTGGGGAAAATGGCTGCTTAGAGACTAAGAAAAAAGTTTTTGTTTGGAAATTTGAGTTCTTAAAATCCAGGCATCAAAGATTTCAAGGAGTAGAAAATACTTAAAAGTCTTTGCATTCTCTTCCCCTTTATTTGGTAAATACCATATAGATTGTTAGGGGCATAGCCAGCCTGGAACCAGGAGTTATAATGATATTATTCCCATTATACTGATGGAGAAATTGAGGCTTGTGGTCATATAGTTTTAAAGGAGGGACTCTGGGAGGCAAACTTGGGTCACCTGATTTCAAGCCTTATGTTTTCTCCAGACAAGTATGTCACTTTGTTTATTCTTGGGTTCGTTTAAAAATGCAAAAGAAATGTCATGCTCCTTTGAGAGCTTACAATTCATGACGGGATGTGACAGGCTACAACAACTCATGGCTAACTGCAATAACAGGCATGAAAGCCCTGACCAAGGAAAGAAGGTCTTTGCCCAACCTTGGTTGAAACAGTATAGGACAGAAAGGGGGCACCCACACCATCTGGAAGTTTTCACCAGTTCTTTGTCAAGAAAGAACATAATTTTGGTATTAAAACTTGTCATGGTTTGGTGGAAGGAACAACAGTACAAATGCATACCAAATTCATACTATGAAATTTGCCCATTTTGAGTATATAACATTGATTTTTATTATGAAAATATCTTAGTCAGCTTGGGCTGCTATAACCGAATAGCATGGACTGGGTGGTTTGAATAATAAACATTTATTTCTCACAGTTCTGGTGGCTGGAAGTCCAAGATCAGGATGCCAGCATGGTCAAGTTCTTGGTGAGGGCTCCCTTCCTGGCTTACAAACAGCCACTTCCTTACTTGGTAGAGAGAGGGAGCTCTGGCCCCTTCATCCCTTACAAGGACACTAATTTTCTTCAGAGGGGTTTCACCACCATGACCTCATCTGAGCCCATTTATGTCCCAAAGTCCCCACCTCTAAATACTATTGCATTGGGGATTAACTAGGGCTTCGATATGTCAATTTGGGGGAAACACTAATATTCAGTCCATAGCAGTAAATTATACCTTAATAAAGATTTTAAATATTAATTAAAAAATCTGCATTACCTACAGTTCTCATTCCAGAAAATGAGTCTCCCATTACTCAGTTGAGTCATTGATCAGCTTCATGAACTCCTGACTTAACAAATCCCTCTCTAGGTTTTTCGAGATGGATACCTGTGTTGGAGAGGGTTGACAGACCATTCTCTCCAAGATTCAGAGTATGTAAAATCAGAGAAGCAGCCGTCTTATAGGATGCTCTTTTAATAAAGCCTCATACATTTCTCTTTCAACAAATGTTTGTTGAGCATCTCCTCACTGCCTCTGGGTAATACAATACGGTGGCCAGAGTAAGAGCTCTGGAATCTGACTGTCTGGCTTCAAATTTCAGCCACTAACCTTGTAGATATGCAGCCTCTAAAGCTTAGGGAATGCCAGTACATGTTTCTAAGCCTCCAATTCCTCATCAATATATCAGGTGAAGGGCCAGCTTCTACTTCATTGGATAATTGAGAGGATTTAATAAGATGACGCCTGACAAATATTTAAATGAATTAGATGTATAAACAATATCTAAAGTAAGTTTTAGATACTAAGTGTTAACCACACAGGTGATAAAATACTTAAAAGTTTGTGCCCTGAACTGTAGGGACTCCTTGTTTAGAAGGGAAATAGGCAAATAAGCAATTTCAGTTCAGTGTGAAAAGTGCTCAGATAATGAAAAATACATTTGCTACAGAAGGAGAACCCAACCCTAGAAAACCTTCTGTGGAACTCTGAGTCAGGACAGTGATGTCTTCTCTTAAACGGTAAGAAATGTGCATGACTGAAGAAAGATAAGAAGTGTAGACTAGTGAAGAAAGGAAGAAAACATGTTAAATGTTACATGCAGCAAGGTACGTGTTTAACGTGAAACGTGAAACATACATTCCTGTGAAATGATGGTGTCCCAGTGACGGCAACAACCTAGAATTTTCTGAAAAGAACACTTTTCAGTTTCCCCATCTCTAGGTGGAAAAGCAAATAGCCCGAGTGTTTTAGGTTTACACAATCTAAACAATCCAGAGCATGTGAGCTGGAGGAATGCAGATGCTGGAATAGGTAAGCACTAGTGTGCTTTGCTGAACCCTCACCTCAAACCATGTTAAACAGTAGATATTTCATGAAGATAAGCAAGATAACCTCCAGCCATGTTAAACAGTAGATATTCCACAAAGATTAGTGTCCAGTAGTTTTTTGGTTTTTTTTTGAGACGGAGTCTCGCTCTGCTGCCCAGGCGCCATCTCGGCTCACTGCAAGCTCCGCCTCCTGGGTTCACGCCATTCTCCTGCCTCAGCCTCCCGAGTAGCTCGGACTATAGGCGCCCGCCACCACGCCCGGCTAATTTTTTGTATTTTTAATAGAGACGGGGTTTCACCGTGTTAGCCAGGATGGTCTCGATCTCCTGACCTCGTGATCTGCCTGCCTTAGCCTCCCAACGTGCTGGGATTACAGGCGTGAGCCACCGCGCCCGGCCAGTTTTTTTTTTTTTTTTTTTTTTTTTAAACTTATTTGATAGCAAATACAGCAGGTGTATTTCCTGCAGGACTTCTCAGGATGTCTCAGGATCTCTAAGATGCCAAGAAGCATCATGAAACTCAAGAGAGTTTGAGCTGCTTCCCATAGTATTTGGTTATGAAACAACTCATTTTATTCTTTTGCAGAATCTTGATGACTAGCATTTGGAGGAACACACCTTGGGAAATGGTGATTCTGTCCAAACTTTTTGTGTTATGGCTGTGAGAAATAGACTTACAGAAGGAGATGTCCGCCCCACATCTCTAAACTCATGGGTGGAAACTCAGGTTGAACTTAACGTTTTCTCGATTCTGTTTCCCTGATTTCAGAGACAAGAGTCTGGGATGTCTTTCTTGGCAGTTTCCAAGGACAAATTACATAGTTTTACTGGGCAGTAGAATAATAACCATCATGGTATTGTGAATGTGAACCCATCTTTCATTCCCAAAGCTGCAGGCAAGCCAAGATCACAGTAGCATTAGCTCAGAGATGCCTTTGATAGGAAGATCTCTTGCCCATGGTGCTGTAAAGCCATGCAGGATTTTAACAGACCAATCCACCAGGCCCTGTGGATGGCTGGCAAGATTTGAGCCTTGCTGTGACAGGGAAACATTAGCCGATATAATTGAAAGCAGAGCTGTCCGCCACTCTGCAGAGGGAGGTGTTTGGCGTACAAAGGCAGAGAGAGGGGGCAAACATGACAGGCTGACACCACGGGGAGGTTATTTCAACAATTTGTGTTTGCTTTTCTCACTGCCTCTGCCCTGAGCTTGGCCCTTCTGGGCTTGTTGCTCTCTTTCCAACAGACTGGTCCCCTTAGACCCAGTGAGATCATCAATAGACTTTGGAAATAAAGAGTGCCAGATGGTTATTGTACTACAGGCGTGTGCAGGTGCATGTGCTTGTGTGTAAGAGGGAGAGACAGAGAAGGACAGACACAGAGAGATACAGAGAGACAGGGTCAGAAAGATAAAGAGACACAGAGGTAGAGAGAGGCAGAGACAGAGATTAAAACACAGAGAAAGAGAGACAGAGAGAGAGCAACAGAGTGACAGAGACAGACAGGCAGAGATAGAGAGAGGCAGAGAAACAGAGACAGCAGGAAATAGAGAGACAGAGAGTGACAGAGACAGAGGCAGAGATAGACAGGAAGAGACAGAGTCAGAAAGCAGAAACTGGTTCTGTTACCAATCAAACTCCTACTGATGCATCTGAGGCCAATGTAGCTCAAGGCTGAGGGTTCTCATATGGGGAAGGAATTCTCTAGACTAGGGAAGGAAGCCAATGTGTTATGACCTTCTCTGTAGTGGGCACATTCATTTCAACCGTTCTTTTAATTTAACCTTCACAGAAACATTCGTGTGTGGAAATGATTCCCACCTTTAAGGTGTAGAGGCTGAATCTTGGGGGACATCCTTCACTCGTGCACTTTGACTGGTTGGGGGTGGTGCTGGCTTCAAACCCAGGTCTCCCTGGCTGGGGCTCATGCCTTGTCCACTGTGCAGTGTCCGCCTGCCCAGTACAGCTCTGCCTCAGTCCCCATAGAGCTGGGGAAGTGGCCTCAGAACCCTGCACCCCATTGCTGCATCTGTGGAGTGAGGTTTGCTCTGAGAGCAATGATCTGAGCAGCTTTTGTCACCAGGATGCCTGGATTTTAGACAGACAGTTCCTCTCTCCCCTTTTTGTTTCTCATTCATGCTCTCCTTCTCTTGCTTCTTTTTATTTCGTTGACCCACATCAACTCATCTGCCTTTCCTCTGATTCTCTTGAATGTCATTTATTCGCACCAAATTCTTTCTTTCCTGTAAGACAACTGGAGAAAGTCAGCTTCTCCCTCCTCACTTTCCCCTTTCCTTTCTTTTTTGAAATTTAGTTTTTAAGTTTATATTTATAGAATATTTTTATTACAAAATTAACACACGAGAAAATTGAGAAAAGTACAAGAAAAAAACAGGAAAATAAAAATCGTATAATACAAACGATATATTCTGGTTTGTGGCACACATATATGTAAATACTAATTTTTTGGTAAAAAATACATGCATTAGGATATATGCACTATGAGATGTACCTCCATGAAATCATATTTGATGACTGCATTACAGTTTGTAATGTCACTGTCATAACGTGTTTTAACAATTTCCCAAATTCACAGTTGCGGACATGTGTTTTAATGTCTGACATGGAGTGTCATGCCACGTGCTTTATGCTTCACTCCTGGTTCTGCCTTTCACTACCTTTGTGTTCTTTGAGTAGGCTGCTTAATGTCTCCCTACCTCAGTTTCTTCACCTGTAAAACAGGGAGAGATTTTGTGCCACGTTTCATCCATAGACTAGCTCTAGAATCTGGTTCTCATGATACAGCCAGCCTCTGTAAACTTCACCCAAGCAATTTGCTACATCAGCGAGAGGTCAAAGCGGTGTCCAGGGCAGCTTTCCCTTTAAGTCTTTCCAAAAGACTTAAACTTTCCTTTTTCTTTGAAGCTGTTGGCAGGAAACTTGATATCCATAGAGAATGGGTTCATTTTACTTGACGAAAACTGTGAGTTTTACAGACACCTCCCTGAGGGCCAGGAGTAGCTACAGACTGTGGAGGTGGAAGGTGTCCCAGGTGTTGGAACACAATTGCCACCTTTATGCAGAACAGGAAGCACATCCCACACACCTCAAAGCCTGGCCCTGCACCAGGACTTTAGAGCCTCAACAAAATGAGAATTGTCCCTCCCAAACTTGCCCTTTTCTCCCTCTGTTCTGGCATTTGGAGGAAACAATACCTTTAAAAAGCCATTAGCCACATAAGCTTCTGTATGGTTACTTATTTAATATCATTGGCATTGGTTTCTACTTAGTAACATAGAGTACTATGTTAGGTCTGATTCATTGATCCAAACAACATTGCCACTTGGAACCATGACTGGAGCGTAGTGGATACTGTCAAGGCCAGGGAGAGAGAGACAGAGAAGGACGGACACAGAGAGGGACAGAGAGAGACAGGGTCAGAGAGACAGAGCGTCTCTCTGTCTCCTCCTTCTGCTGCTGCAGGGTGATTGCTAACTACTCATGTTTTAATCCTTTTTGGGAGGATTGCCTTTGACTGACAGGAGCCACAGGGCTTGGTGATGTCTGAGAGGTTGGGTTCCCCACTCCCACCCCCACAGGCATTCTGGGCTACAGACTGCCTGAGCCCCTCACCTCTGGGCTTCACAGAGTCTGTGAAATAGCTCAGCTCCAGAACTTACTGAGAAATCAGGCTTAGGTCAGGCCTCCCCATAACACTTCTTCCCCCTTCTGTCTCCCTCTTTCCCCTGCAGGGTTCTGCTGCAAGAGGTCCCCGCATAATTCACTTGCACCAGAATCCAGGTCTCAGACTTTGCTGCTAGTGAGACCGCCACCTCTCACTTGGATAACAGCCTTTTAACTGGCATCCTGTGTAACCCTCTTGGCCTCCTCCAATCTGTTTCCAGAAAGCAGCCTATGGAAGCTTTTCAAAATGTGTACCTGTTTATATTACTCTAATGCCTAAAAACTTGTAACAGCTTCTTGCTCTTGGGACAGTGTCCCCATGGACCTATATGGTCTGGTCTTTAATAATCTTCGAAGGCTTATCTCAATGTTTCTCCCTCACACAAACTCCCTCACTGGCCTTTCATTTCCTTAAAAGGCTTGTTTAGTTAGACTTGTTTTTTTTTTTTCACTCTTTGCTGAAATTCCTAATTGTCCTTCAGATTTCAACTCAAGGCTACATTCAAAACTCAGATGAAATCAACTCATAGTAGTTTGCAAATATTCATTTATGAGATTAGTTACATTTTTCGGTCTGTATTGATGTTAACTTTGTCAAAGTCAGGGTCTGTTTCTCCTTTGCTCTCCAGACTAAGACGGCACCTAGAATGTGGTCCAGCACATTGAGAATAGAGCAGAAGATGAAAGCTGGAGGGGCTGAGGGGCCTTGGAGGCAGAGTTGGGCTCAACTTCTCATTCCCTGGGACGAACTGTGCACAGTAGCCTCTGCTCCTCCTTCTTCAGTGAAGACTGCGATGCCTGTGTTGGGGCTCAGAAACCGATACCCCAAAATATGATGCTTTGTACATGCTGAACTGAAACAGGAGCTTTAAGCTCTTTCAGGCCTCCCCACATCTTACCGTCTCTCCCAAAGTGTAGGATTCTCTGAAAGTCTTTGTCTGCCTAAAGTCCAGACCTACCAATGAAGAAAACAATCACCTCCTGCCCTTTGTCTGAGTTTTCATGAGCTGAACCCATATTGCAGGAAGGAAGGCTAAGATCTGTCAACACACCTGGGCAGACTTTTGTCACAAACCATTGTCTGCTCTGAGGACCCAAAAGAGCTTGTCCCAGATAATTGCCTGTTCTTTAAGGCTATTAAATTCTCCCTGGTAACCATTTACTGTCCTTCAACGGAAGTCCTCTTCTTCCCCCTCCCATGACCTGTATGACCAGCTCCCATGCCCCCATTCTTTCTGTAACCTCAAGATGGTTTATAAACTTCTGCGCCTCATTGAGGGGTTGGGTCTTCATTCTGAGGGCTCCCGTGTCACCTAAAGCTATGGTCAGATACATTTGTATGTGTTTTCTCCAATTAATCTGCCTTTCGTGAGTTGATTTATCGTGAAACTTCAGAGGATGAAGGAGAAATTTTCCCTTTGCACCTATGCCTGCCACCCTCACAGGCTGTGTGAAGGTCCTTCTTCAAAAAATACTGGCTATTCTTGGCACTGACCTGGCCTCGGCTTTCAGGAAGAGAGGGGAGGCAGGCTCCCTTTCCCAAGACATGCTGGCAGCCTGAGAGTCAAGGCCATGGGGTGTTCACAGATGAGGCCCCCTGATATTTACATGTCTTAGGGATCAGAAGTGGGCACAGCTGGGGCAGAGCGAGGAAGTGCTAACACCCACCAGGCATCTGCGAGGGGACGCCCACATCAAGAAAACCTCAGCACAAGGTTGAGTGTTTCAGCAAACCTCGGGGAGATTGCACATTTACTCATGAAGAGACCACATGGTGAGGTCAGCCCCAAAACCAGGCCAATGTCTCTCAAGCCCAACTAGTTTTCAAGACAATGTCTTGCAACTTATAGAGTTTGGGGGGAAGGCAGTGTGAAGTTCAGGGGGGAAGGCAGTGTGAAGGTGAGCATATCAGTAGCTACCCACCATGCTGGCTAATCACTGGGAAATTCTTTTATAAACAGCCACAGTCTCTCTCAAGTTTTCCAAAATTAGAACCTCTCCAAATTTATTTTTTTCAAGGCTTCAGAAATATCCCATAAATCTTTGAAAACGAAAATTTCTTCTCTCTCCTCAGTCCTCACCCAGGGCTTCTGATGCTGCCAGTCAATCCCAAGTCATGCTTGGTGTTTGGGGACCACGGCAGTGCAAAACCTCTGAGGGCCTGGGGAGAAGGAATACCTGCAAGACTAAGAATAATGAAGGGATATAACAGAGGATAGCCTCACTATGCTCCTACTCCAGAAAATTGGATTATTGTCTGCAAAGATTCCTCAGTCTTGTGGACACTGATGAAATATTGTAGACTGGAATTGAATCTGGCTTGTTGTCTGTTTGTTTATTCCTGAGCCTGATAATTTATTTGAACAACTTTGCCTTTCTATAGTACATGATGATCGGCAAGTTACTATGACACGCATTTGTACCCATTGGACTCTGTGACCATTCTGAAGATAAGCTCTTGTCACCCTCCTCATGGAAAAAAATGGAGATTCATGAAAGTCAAAGGACTGGCCCAGGCTCTCACAGGCAAAGCTGGGATTCCAACTTGTGTCTAATGAGCCAGAAGCTCAGAGTCGTTTCCACTCTTTCTGCTCACTCTACACCAAACTCTGGGCTATGTGTTGTGGATTCAAAAATTTTGGAGCCACTGTCTCTCCAAATAGGCTGTGAATTCTAGGAGGGGAAGAGCCAATAAAATTAATTATAGCACTATAGAGGGAGAGGGAAGGCTTATATACCTTTCCCCAAGTCCACTTCATTCCAATTTCCTATCTATCTACACCATCTGAGCATCCTTCTTTCTCATTCATTCAGTCATCAATTTTTAGTCCATCTTTTCATTTATTCATAAATTTGTACATTTCTTCAGCAATTATAACAATAAGCCATTACTTATGAGGTACTTACCACAGCCTGGTCACTGTGCTAGGTAGGCACCACTGCCCTATAGGTGTTGTGATGTCCATCTGCTTGTAGCAGGTAAGCAGGATTGAGGGCGTTTCTCTCATTACACCAAGCCATTTATCTCCAGGCGTATTTGCCAAATGAATAAATGGATGGAGAAATAAATAAGGGCTGTACTGATATTATTTACAGAATGTATGAAAAAGAAACACAAAGGAAGAGATTCCCTGACTTTTTGCCACAGACCAATGGCACCAAATGCCAGTGCTGCTTTACGGAATCAGCATTTCTGGATCCACTTGCATAGCTTAAAGAAAGCTTCTCTTTTGGCCTTCTGTGTCTCTCCTGCTCCTCCTGATGTCTAGCAGTCTTTGGGTAAATATGGTGAGGTCAGCCCCGAAGAGCTCTACAGGTTCTAGGCAGAGTCTGAGTGACTGCTGCCCAGAGCATATTGATTGAAAAGCACATTCAAGTGTCTAAGGTATGTGTCCTCTCTCATAAAGGCTGAGTACTCCAGCTGCCTTCTGCGGGAAGTCATTTAATGATGTTCTGTTCTAGGATAGGTGGCACTCGGTAAGTAGAAGGCTGGAAACCAGAGATAGGTGGGAGAGGAAATATTGCCTTTGCCCCAGATGCTCAGACCAAGAAAGAAAGAAATGAAATGACAGGGGAGGAAAGATCACAATTACAGGCAGCTGTAAGTTTTGCAGATCTTTGCATTATGTGAAAATAAGATGAGGACCCTTGGTGGATAGGCAGTTGATCAATCAGTTAATCTAGACATGTATATGCAATGGTCAGGAACTAGGGGTAAAGCAAATAATTTTAAACATTACAGAACAATTTCAGTAATCTTTGATTCGTGTCTAATATTAATTCATTCTAGCCTCATTACCAAGTAACCAAGATATAGAGGAGAGAAAGGGAAACGAACAAGTGAAAGGGAAAATATTTCAACTGTAGTGTCTGCCAATTAGAAAATGTTCTTTTTAGTCTCAAAGCAACTCTATGACATAGAAGTTACCTTTACTTTTTAGTGAAGCTCACACAGGCAAAAGGATTTTCTCAATTCTCCTTCAGAGGTCACACAGCTATTGGACAATTGGGTAAGGATTCAAATATGTCTTTTTTTGAGGTCTGTCTTTTTATTTAAACACCTACCCCTGTTTCTGAAATAGAAGGCTCAAGGTGCGCATTACCTGATTTACAGATTGAGTTGCAGTATAACATGGTGGCTGAAGGCATGAATAGCTCTTGTCTAGGGTGTTTACCTGCTATCTCTAATTGGATGACTGATAAGCATGTAAAATTTAAAATATCCAAAACGTAACTCTTAACATTCAAAACTCCATCTTCCCAGACTTCCTTGGTTCAGTGAATGGCAACTTCTTTTCCCCAGTTGTACAGTACGAGTGTCCAGGCATCGTCCTTGACCATCTCATGCCTCTGGACCAGTTCATAACCAATGCTGGAGATTTTCCCTCCAAACTATCTTGAGTCTTTCCACCTCTCTCCATCTGACCTCTGCCATGTCCACCATCATCTTTTTCTATCTCCAAGCCCACAAAATGTGAAGACAATGTCCTTAGCCCTTAGCAGGAATTCAACAGGAATACATCAGGAGAGGGGGAGGGACTTCTAATTCTGCCCAGGCAACATGCACAGTATCCCACGCATATCAGACTATACAACTTTCATTTAACATCTACAACCTTTGTGTGACTATTTGTGGAATATTCATTTCCTGTACTAAGTTGAAATGCCACAAGGGCAGGGTCATCTTTTTTTGTGCATCATTGTACCCCTAGGTCTAGCCTAGTGCCTGACATTCACTTCAGCTCATCTCTTGCTAAATGCCATTGGTGCACATTGCCCCCCTTTTTAAACACAACAGACTTTCTCTTTGTCTTCAAGAATGTTCTTACTATTGAAAAGATCATGCCACACACCCATGTTACCTTTGTCATTTTTATTCAGTTTTCACAGAAAAATTCTCAATTTTCATTTGCACAATTTTCAATGCTCTCACTACTTTTGCATTCGTCATGTATTAGGAACTAAATACTATTTAAAAATACCTCAAAATTGGCCCAAATAAGCAGATGAGGCTGCTAGCTAACTCATAACAGAAGCATTTTATCTTATTTTGAGACAGAGAAAAGATAAGCATTTTATCTTATTTTGACTGAGGCCTGTCAACCAGGCCAGAGTGCAGGGGCGTGATCTCAGCTCACTACAACTTCTGCCTCCTGGGTTCAAGCAATTCTCCTGTCTCAGCCTCCTGAGTATCTGGGATTACAGGCATGTGCTACCACACTAGGCTAATTTTTGTATTTTTAGTAGAGATGGGGTTTGGCCAGTTTGGTCAGGCTGGTCTCGAACTCCTGACCTTAGGTGATCTGCCTGCCTCGGCCTCCCAAAGTGCTGGGATTACGGCATCAGCCACCACACCTGGCCTGGAAAATTTTAAATTTGGAAATTCCTTTCCCTGCTAGAATCAAAGCTAAAAGTTTTTAAGTTTAGAGAATGTGCATTCTCTCAAGTCGACAGCGTTATTCTTTGTGCATGTGTTACCATCTTCATCAGCTTTGTTGCGACTGATGGGCTGCAGCTTTCCCAGAGCATCTGATGCAAGCACAGATTTATTGAACGCTTACTCTGTGCCAGATGATAGGTTAACGCTTCATCTACATTCTCCCATTTAATTCCCATTCCCTATATGGTGAATTTAATTGTGATCATGGTTTGCAGGTGAAGAAAACGAGAGACGCAATTTGACAGAGACCCATGCCTAATCCAGGAACATCTGAGCCTAGAACCAATGCTCGTAGGTGTCTATCTGCAAGGTCTCCAAAGAGCAAGAATTCTGTCATCCTTGTACTTCACTCATTTATAACTGCTCCATACCATTCCAAACAGTACAAATGTAATTTGGCTGTATATACAGAAGCAGACAGAATCTGTCACTCATAATGGTAATAGAATTGGCAATCATACTATTGCCATAATCAGTGCTAGATATTGTTATGCACTTTCACATACAATATTTCATTTGTTCCCTATATCAGCCCTTTGTGGTTGGTTGTACTGGAAAAGGCTAAACAATGTTGGGTGCTCAGTTGCATAATGGTAATAGCTATGCACTGAGTTCCCATTAATACTTAGGCCAACTAGTGAGGTCAGAATGAGAACTCCCATTTTACAGACAAGGAAAATGAGATTCAGCATAGTTAAGCCCCCTGTATAAGATCACACAGGTAGAGCTGGGTGCAGACTGATGGGCTCACCCTGAGCCATTCCCTTTGTCATCATGTTGAAGTCACTCCCCTTGGATAATACTTGCATTTTTAAGGTGCCAGAGCTCAGAGAAGAGAAACAGAGTCCATCAGGGTCATTAGTAAGGCCCATAAGAAGAGAAGGGGCACAGAGTAGAGCCTAGGGGAGGAAGGTTAAATATTTGCCCTGAAAAAGTGGCCTTTTTCCAAAGGAAGTTTTGGATATAAAAGGAGACACCTGGGTGGTCATTTTGGGAGGTGTCCCCCACGTTAGCACCGAGTCAGTGGGCAAGGCTGGAGACCCCACTGTTTCCCAGCTTCCCAGCCAGCTTGCTGTGTGCGCTCGGCTCTTCATAATCTGGGGAATGAGGCTGAAGTTAATTAGTTCTCTTTATTTCATTTGCCTGTCATTTCCCTTGCAACTCAAGCTTCATGCTTTCTACCTCTCCACATTTGATCTAAGGAAGAGCAAAGAACCCAGCAGCCTGGATTCTGCCTACTGGGCTTACACTGTGCACCGAAAGACTGAATTTTTAGCGCTAATTACTCTAAGTACTTTCAGTTGCCCTATTGCTTCTCAGAGGCACCTCTGCATTTCCAGCTTTCCCAGTCTAACTTCGGTGTTTTGAAATACCTGTCACTGCTCAGGCTTCTGAAGCTTTTTTGCTTCCCTCCTATGGAAACCTCCTGGAGAACAATTTGGCTTTTCCCTTCAGGTTCATTCAGATTAGTGAAAGTCATTAGAGGTGAGGAAGGATCTGAGAATATCATTGCTGGAAAAAAAATCTTTGGTAAAATGAGCAGTTGGACTGGGACTGGGACTTCTGGGCAGAAACTGAGGACCAGAGAGAGAAAAGGCCTCTCCCCCTTGCATGGCTCCTTAGTTGAAGAGCAGGTGGGCATCCTGGCCCTCCTGATTCCAGGTGTAGGGCTTTTCCCATTATAACAGCCCTTTGGCTATTTCCCCTTTCAAAAGAGATAACAATCTTATGAAGCATCTTCTAACCTGGTTTCTAGATTGATGACATTTTTACTAACTGGTCAAGTGCTATATTAATTTACTTATTTAAGCATTCAGTATTTTGACAAGAATTTAGTGAGAGAATTTGGATACTACAACAGGTTTATGAAGCTTTCTGCTTTTCCTGAGTTTCCGACATTCCGTATTAGACATATGTTGCTCATTTTGACTGCCCCATTGTGACTGGCAACTTCCTCAACTGGTAGGGCTCTCAGTCACATGTTCTGCCTCTCCTGACAGTGAAGTGTCAGGAGATCCTGCCTGGGTAATCAGATTGCCCCGTTTCCTACGGCAGAGACTGATCGACCCTGTCCACCTCTGACACTAATCTCTTGGCCAGAATTTAGCTGTACAGTACGTGCTCTGGCCAAGAGAGAGGAGGCCTTTTCTCTCCTTGGGATAGTATATTCTCCCAGTGATATATACTTAGATACTCTCCACCATCTGTGCTGGATGTGGAAAGCGACTGTCTGAAAATAAAGCTGATACTGCAGAGTATCAGCAAAAAAATGGAAGAGAGCGACAGAGGGACCTGCTGATGTCCTTTAAATCTTTGCATATTGCTCTGTATGAATCTAGATACATTCTAGACTATCTCAGTTTTCTAAGCCAATAAATTCCTCTCATGAATTAAATGGGTTGGATTGGGTTATTATTCCATCTCAAAGATGAAGACATGAAAGAGCTTATAGGTTAGATACCTTGTCCAAAGTTACATGGCTAGGAGATGGCAGGTTTGGGGTTGAGAGGAATGCCTGTCTCCAAAATCCGTGTTCTTTCTTCTAGACTACGCTCTTCTGCACAGCATCAGGCATCGTGAAGAATGCTGCTAGAGAGATGCAAATGGTGCATAAGACGCGTTCTCTGCAATTTGCTTTTCTCACAAAGTGGGAAAGAGAGATGTGCAAACCACTAACTCCTGCCGTGGAACAAACACTATACTCAAAATAGACGATCTATGATTAATAAGGACAAGAGGTGGGAGGGAGTAATTCTGCCTGATGGGGGCTGGGTAGACTTACAAAACACTGTCAAGATTGAGTGGTGTCTTCCAAAAAGATGTGTTGGGAGTCCAAACCCCTGGTATTGTGAATGTGAATTTATTTGGATATAGGGTCTTTGCAGAAGTAATTAAGATATAAGTTCCATTCATCTTGGAGTAGGGTGGGTCTTTAATCCAATATGACTTGTATCTTTATAAGATGAGAACAGACACAGAGAGAACCACACACAGAGCAGGGAACACACGTGAAGACACAGAGAGAAAAGATGGCCATGTAACGATAGAGGCAGAGATTGGAGTGATGCAGCTGCAAGGGGAGGAATGCCAAGGACAGCCAGCAAATACTGGAAGATACGAGAGAGCACATCGCCCTGCTCACAACCTTGATTTCAGACTTTGGCCTCCTGATTTGTAAGAAAATACATTTCTGTTGTTGTAGGCCACCCAGTTTGTGGCTATTTGTTATGGCAGTCCTAGGAAAACATATAAGCAAATGAATCATGGGACCTGAGTGGTCTTGGGTAGAGGGGAGGGGAGGAGGGAAGGAGGGTGTAGCAGAAGGAATAGCAGCACGCCAAGGCATGGAGACAGCTCTCATACCGTGCACTTGGGAATGTGTCTGGAGCTAGGGTGTGCAGGCAGGACATTGTATCTGTGAGGTTGAAATGCTTGATTGCAACTGAATTTGGAAGGATGGAGGTTGCCTTCTAAAGGTGCTGTGTGGTCACTGCTCACCCACTTTGTCCTTCCCACCAAAGCTTTTGTAGGGGAGGTCTTTTAAGTCTTCCCAGTTCTTCAGAGTAGAGCATCTATCATGACAATATATCCCTCTACTGTAAATATCTGCCTCCCTCTCATTCTTTGAATTCCAAGTACACTTGTGACTCTGAGGAGAGAAACCCCAGGGGCTGGGCACTATGGCTCTGTGCACACAGGTGTTGCAGTATGGAGCAGGGCCTCCCGAGTGCCCATTGCAGATAGACTGCAGAGGCTGCTAAGAAGGACACGAGAAGAGCAAATAAACATGTTTCTATCATTTTCTGGGTTCTGTGAGGTTGCTCATCAAAGACATTTATTGCTTATTGAAGACCCATGTACTTTCCCACATTTCCCAGCCTCAGGCAAGGCCATGCAAATAGTTCCAGACAATGGGGCTTGAGCAAAAGGGAGTGTATTGTACCCATCACTCCCCAGCTCTCCATCTCCAGCCTCAGATGCCTGTTCCAGATGGGGAAGCTACAAGATTGGAACCTTTGTATCACTGCTTGGAAGATATCTGCCCTGGAGAATTGCTGTACTCACAAAAAGCTTTGTGAGAACAAAAAATAGACCTTTATGTGATAAGCAACAATAAAAAAAGTTTTTTTTTTTTTTTTGGCAGGGTTGTTTCTTACTGTCACAAATTAATACATACTTCAGATGTTTTGGAGCAAAACATTAGAATCACATGTATGTCCTACCTCTCCAAAAGACTCCCAGCTCCTGGAACATGCCCACCATTCCTCTTTTTTTTTTTTTTTTTTTTTTTTTTTTTGAGACGGAGTCTCACTCTCTTGCCGAGGCTGGAGTGTAGTGGTGTGATTTTGGCTCACTGCAAGCTCCGCCTCCTTGGTTCATGCCATTCTCCTGCCTCAGCCTCCCGAGTAGCTGGGACTACAGGTGCCCGCCACCAGGCCCAGCTAATTTTTTTTTTTTTTGTAGTTTTAGTAGAGATGGGGTTTCACCGTGTTAGCCAGGATGGTCTCGATCTCCTGAATTTGTGATTCACCCGCCTCAGCCTCCCAAAGTGCTGGGATTACAGGCGTGAGCCATCATTCTGCGCCCGGCCCATCATTCCTCTTTTATTGCCTACTCTCTTAAAGAGTCCCTTAAACACATTAAGTGATTATTGAATTAACCAGAAAATTAAAGCTGGAGTGAGCACAGGGTCATCTAGTTTAATTGTCTCATTTTACCTATGCTCCCCCTGCAAGCCAGTGGCAGGTCCAAACCAAGGCACTGGTCTCCTGAATGTAGCCCCGAACTGTACCATGTTTTCTACACCACGGCCTGACATTCAGCCTGTGTCTGCACCCACAGGGGTGCCTGTGAGAACACCGACTGCAGAGAGACATTTCCTTACCATACTGACAGCCACTATGCTCTACTCAGGATTCGTAACCACCCTGGGAAAACTTTCACTATTAAATGTAGCTTATATGTAGGATGCCTGTGTAATAAATTGTGTGCATCCAGATGCTTTTGAGAGTGAAAGGGGGCTCTACTAATAATTACTCTGGGAAAACAGCATGCACATGAACAGCCTTAGGAAAATTGGGCAATATGGTCACCCTGAATCAAAGGTGGCTTTGGCGAAAAGCAGATATATGAAATGATGACATGGAATTTGCCCAGGATTGAGGAGTCTAGGAACTAGAATTTGTGATTCGGCTTTATTAAATATAGACTCTGTGAACTTGAAAATGTGTGTGACAGTGGTATATTAATTGTGAAAATCTATAATGCTTTCATTTTTTGTGGTTGTTATTGACACTGGTGTTACTATGATTGTCATTCCTTGATGAATTAAAGCTAGAGTTGCCCACCTGTGTTTCTTGCTAGAATCATTTGGAGAGATTTATCAAATAAACACTGTATTAGTTTGCTTGGGCTTGCCATAGGAGAGAACCACAGACTGGGTGGCTTAAACAAGAGATATTTATTATCTCATGATTCTGGAGGCGAGAAATCTGGGATCAAGGCCATTCTCTTTGGCTTGTAGCTGGCTGTCTTATTTCTGTGTTTTTACATGGTCCCCTCTGAACGTCTGTGCCCAAATTTCTTCTTTTCATAAGGACATCAGTCACATTGGCTTAGAGGCCAACTTAATGGTCTCATTTGAAATTAGTTACCTCTGTCTCCAAATGCAGTCACATTCTGCGATGCTGGGGGTTAGGGCTTCAGCATATGCATGTTTATGGGACACAGTTTGGCTCATATCAGACGCCTTCCAGAAGACATCTTTTAAGACCCCAAATCATTGTACTGAAGTGGGCATTTCAGAATATTCTTTACCTGGCGAGTTAGAGACATTTCTGGCCAATACAGAAAGAGTCTAATGTCAAGTTTCAGGCCCTTTCTTGCACTGCTGAGTAAGGCTGCATGAAACTGACTGAATGGCTCTGAGTCTTTTACCCAGCCAGCCTCTCCTGCTGGTGACAGAAATTGTTTAGACAGGATGCCTCAGCACTGACACAATGAATAATGCTTTGTCAGTGGCTTTGGCTCATTGTGCAAAGCACTTTCTCTGCTCAGGCAATGATCAACTGGCTTTAGGGCTTGCATATGTCCTGCTGGGCTGGGTGAGAGGGGGCTGCCTATAGCTCTCAGCTTGGGAACCAACTAATGGCATGAGACACCCCTATGAGAGCCTAGTGGGATTTCCTCTGGGCCTCAGTTTCCTCATCCACAAAACGAAAAGATTTTCTGCTTTATATAAGTCATGGAGAACAAATAAGACCATGAATTAGCAGTTTCTAGATTTTTACTCTCCAATATGGTAGCCATGAGTTCATGTGGCTACTTAAATATAACTTAAAATTAATTAAACATTTAAAAATGAATAAAAATTAAGTTCCTCAGTTGTACTAGTCACATTTTTAAGTTCTCAGTAGCCACATGTGGCAAACGGCTACCATATTGGACAGTGCAGATTTAGAACATTTCCATCATCACAGAAAGGTCTGTTGGGTGGTGCTGCTCTGAATGCCTGACAAATATTCTCTTGTGAAAGAAATTACTGCATTGGTGAATCACTGGAGGCATTGCAATGTGAAGTTATTTCTTCCATGACGCACATAAAGTGGAATATAACTAAGACTCAGCTCCAGAGGTGCCTAATTTCTAATGTCTGGGCTTTGTTTCCCTAGACCACACTACTTTCTATTTTCAGTTTGATGGTGGATCATTGTTCTTCAGTCATTTGAATCAATAACACTACAGTCTAACTTTCAACACAATAAGTATGCTTCTTGTTTCTGAAGCCTCTGCCAAAGAGGTTATTTAGGGCATTGTTGCATGGAGGAGGACAATGGACTAACATTTTTTTTTTTTGTCTCTTTTTTTTGAGGCAGAGTCTTACTCTGTCGCCAGGCTGGAGTGCAGTGGCACGATCTCAGCTCACTGCAACCTCAGCCTCCTCAGTTCAAGAGATTCTCCTGCCTTGGCCTCCCAAGTAGCTGGGATTATAGGCATGCACCAGCACGCCCAACTAACTTTTGTATTTTTTGTAGAGGCAGGGGTTTCGCCATTTTGGCCAGGCTGGTCTCGAACTCCTGACCTCAGGTGATCCTCCCGCATCAGTCTCCCAGAGTGCTGGGATTACAGGCGTGAGCCATTGCACCTGGCCTGGACTAACATTTTTGAAGAGGTCTTAAAAGTATCTCTCTGTGTCACACACACACATAACACACACATACACCTTGTGTATTATAATTCTTCCTCTATTGCTAACTGCTGTGCAACATTAAGGAAACCGCATGAACATTCTTCACTTCCACTTCCTTAACAAAATGTGGATCCTATGGCCAGGCTATTACTCAAATCACCAGACTTGAGATGCAGACTAGGAAGGGCTGCACTAGTGTGAGCTGTTACTATTGTTCTTCCTCTTCCATCATCACACTTCTGCCTTCTCCCAAGCACCGCAGGCTTCTGCTTCCTTGCCCAGGAACTGTCCTTGTAGCAAGAACTATAAACAGCAACGTGAAACCTACTTATAGGCAGATGAAAAGCAGATGCTGGAAGCCAGCAGGAAGTGCTCACCTGGGAGCCTGTGTTTCAAGCTTCAGAGGCAGACCTTTGCTATAGCTAGAAGTGAAGCCACAGTGAAGGGGGCCTTGTGGTAGCTGCCTCTGGAAGCTTGCCCAACCCTCAACCGCTGAGCATGTCAGGGCTATTTTTCATGTAAAAAAATTAAAGCATTGGATCAGAATGTAGGATTTTTGCCTTGGGTGTGTTTTAGCTGTGGGAGAATACAGGGAGTCATGTTTAAAGTTTCTAGCATGATTTCGACCCTTAAGTAGAGAAGAACAGGCCTCCTGAGGGACAGTTGGAGGGAGGCTGGGAGTTTTGCTTGGGGTGTGGGGAGGCTTACTCAGTGGGGTTTCACAGGCCTCCTGGGGCTGGAGGACTGGTATGAAAGGGATGGGGAGTGGGAATGTTGTTACTGGGGTTTTGCTGGTTGAAGCAGTAGCCTCAGTGGAGGTAGAGAGACAGCAGGTGGTTCCCATCATTGGGGTTTCTAATAATCTGGGTCTGCACTAAGGATGCAGAATGACTTCAGCAGGAAGAGGAGCTTATGTGGAGTGAAGGGTAAACTGCAGAAAATACTCTCACTCCAGTGGAGACCCCATTGCCCTTGGGATAGAATCCAGACGTTATGCCAAGACTGTAGTGGATACTGTACTGTGATGTGCTGCCCAGAACCCCTTTGGGACTAAGAGATGTATTCCCCCAGTTGCTGGGAGTGCTGCATATAGACAGCTCTTAGCTTTCAGACCTCTTCTTCTGAATGAATAAGTGAGTAAACACATAAATGACAAAAATGCATCCTTCAAGTACATCATCCATTAACTTGGCACTCTCAAAAATACAACTCTCCTACTGATATGGTTTGGCTGTGTCCCTACCCAAATCTCATCTTGAATTGTAGCTCCCATAATTCTCACGTATTGTGGGAGGGACCCGGTTGGAGATAATTGAATAATGGGGGTGGTTTCCCCCATACTGTTCTCATGGTAGTGATTAAGTCTCATGAGATCTGATGGTTTTACAAAGGGTTTCCCCTTTTGCTTGGTTCTCATTCTCTCTTGCCTGCCACCATGTAACGTGTGCCTTTCTCCTTTCCACCAGGATTGTGAGGTCTCCCCAGCTATGTGGAACTGTTAGTCCATTAAACCTCTTTTTCTTTATAAATTACCGAGTCTCGTGTATGTCTTTATCAGCAGTGTGAAAATGGACTAAAACACCTACCTAATGTATGAGAAACAAACTGTGTAAGTCAATTTCAATAAAGGCAAAGGCATAAATCAAAGTAAAAATAAATACACAAATTGGACATACATAGCATCCTTTACTATTTTCAGCATACACTGCCATACACACTCTTACTTCATCTCCAGTTCCACCTGCCACATGTCTGACAAGTCTCAGAATTGTGCTGCATCATGCAGAGATGGCCGAGATATTGCACTTGCCCTCAGGGAGCTTCTGATTGAAAGGCCAAGGCAACAGGAAACAATGCAAAGGAGAGAAAACAGGCACAGAGAGGATGTTCCTTGAGGTTCAGAGAATAAGGAACATTTTTTTTCTGGAGAGTCATTTAATTTATACCCTAAAGGTAGACCAGTTGGGGAGAGGAGGTCTTTCTAGGCAGAGTGGACCATAAGGATAGAAGCAGGGAGGAAAGAATGAGGAGAGAGAAGACAGAATGAGCATTAGAAAGAAAAACCTGGTCATCTGTCTGTGCTAGTGCATCTTGGACCTGTATGCATGTGGGTAAGTCATGAAAACTTTGCCCTGCAGTTTCCTCATCTATATGCCAAAAAAGGGGGAAAAATAAAACAATGTAAACAACAATGACCCAACCTAACTCACTGGGTGCACTGTCATTTAATAGCTGGGTAGCTGGGAAAGTCATCTAACTTCTTTAATCCTCCATTGTCTCAACTCTAAAATGGTAATAATTATGTTTGCCCTAGAATTCCTTTAGAGCTTCTGGGAAGGGTATGTAAAATAGTGAACACTGATGGTCATTTCAAATGTTAAATGCTTCAAAGCCATAAGTCGCCATTTTTTAATGCTTATCTTAGTTGGTATTTGGTAAATCTGTATTGATGGATGACAGATGCATCTACCTAGAACAAAACAGGCTATATATACGCACACATACAGACAGACAGACAAATGGAAAAATAGACATGATACTTAAAACCGTGCGGTTCAGTTTCAGGATGTAAGTGTTCTGGGTCTTGGCTGTGTGTGACCCTCGCCTTCACGTTTTGTCTGCTGGCTGTGTTTCTAAATTATGTCACCTGGAAAAGAATGAATCTTCCTGGAAGTTACAAATAGTTCTTTATATTTACTCCTCCCTGTGATGGCTGCAGAGAAAGAAGCTCATATGACTTCACACTCATGAGATACCATCTTCAGTTTCTGTTCAACTTTTAATCAATTGCTCTAGCAATAATCAATTAACAGAATGTCTCTTGGATGTCTACTCTGAACCGGGGTTGGTGTTATATACTTGGGATGCATAAAATAATGACCAAGAGAGACACAGTCCTTGTCCTGATGATGCCTACAGTTCAGAAGTAAGAAAATAGTCTATCATGGTTGCCTGATAGTGACTGTTTTCCTTTCTTTTGCCTGCTGCTTCTATCTCATAACTTCCTGCTTCCACAAGGATAGGTGCTGAAGTGACAAAGGAGAATACACTGGGAAGAAGATATGCAGCCACGCTCAGGCGCATAATAACAGAGGATTGGTACAGGGTGGATGAGGGAGGGGCTACGCCAGTATCCCCACTCTCACACATGAGACTGTCACACTATCACACTTTCTAATATACCCCCAGTCAGAGTTCAAAATTAGTTTATGCCAAAATACCAATTCAGTTGTAAACTCTCAGTGTCACAAATACATGTCCAAATGTCCCAGAGGGAAATTCCACCATGACATCTTTGGGCCCAAACCACATCAAATATCTTATGTTCCTCAATTATTTTATGCTCTTAGATGGTTTATAACTGTAGTTCCCTAGATCATGTTACATGGAAATTCCTTTTCTCTATTGTGAATCTCAGTGAGCTTGCCTATGCATGCAGGCCTGAAACTGATTTTTGAAGAAAGGGCTAGAGAAAATCAAAGTGTTCTGCATAATATGGAGACGAATTTGGGCAACATGGGGCAAGGGGGCAAGAAGGATACCTAGTGAAGGGAGAAAGGGGAGCCCGTGGAATGTCAGGAAGCTGAGTATGGCTCATACTGAGGGGCGGAGCCTCGTGGGAAGTAGTCACAAGGAATGAATGTGTCTGTTGGGTGATTTAAGTTGTTTCAGGTGTAGAGCATATTTCCATTCAGTATTACTCCCAAATCTTCAGGCACAAGCTTTGCTTTATATACAAAGACAAAGCTTTGCTTGTCTTGGTTATTGCTATAGTGGGAGGGGAGGACAAAAGAGCAATGACTGCTCATATTTATTTAGGTGCCTTCATAATAACTGACAACTGTTCTTTCTAGGTGTTTGGTTCTCTCCTACCACATTCCATGTATGGACTTGGTTAAACCTCACAACTGAAAAATATGGTGCTGTTATTATCTCCATTTTATAGATGAGAAAAGTGAGACACACTGAGGTTTGGTCGCATGTAAATTCTTTCCCAGCTAGTAGAAGGCAGAGCCTAGGTTTGAGCTCAGGTGGTCTACACTGTGCAACCCAGAATATAGTAGAGGCTCAGGCAGAAGAACAGGGTGAGACACATGAGGCCCTTGCATTGATAGCAAAATTTAAGAGGGCACCAAACAATGTCAGTAATGAAAATGAATGCAATATTTAAAAAATAACATTAATGCAAACAATTCATAATAAAAATCAAATTTTAAAACAAAAACAGGATCCGTATTACTGATTTTCCTTTTCTCACTGACTTCATTATGGCTCAGCAAGAAATTGAGTGAAGTCAGTTTTTCTGCTGCTTCTCAATTCCTGCCCTGCACTCTGAACCAGAGATATTTATAAGAGGATACTTATGCTGGGGATTCATATACTTCTTAAGTAGGACTTCAAATTTCTACAAAGAATGAAAAGGGCGTTTATGCCAATCTTAGCTAGATCTCAAGGCTTAGAAGATCCCAGTTCATAGCTGGGTAAGCATCCGGTGTCTTCCTGCACTTGCACATACTGTTTGCTCTTTCTGTGATTGAATCTTGAAATACATTTATGGGTTGACCTGGAGTCATTAAAGGAAGTGGGGTGAATAGTGAAAATAAATACTTATTCCAAAAAGCCTTCCCTGATCTCCTTCCTCTCTGGGATTCCACTCCAGCCTTAGGTAGCTGTCCCCTGCAATGTCAAGCATCCATCTTATGTCTCAGCCTTGAGCTTCGCTGCCTCTAGCAGCTAATAGTATGATGTGAAGACATAAATGAATAATGATGGACAGAGGGAGACATTTCATGTCACTGTCCCCAGAGTCTAGTCATTGCCCAGCCCATACTATAGAGCTCACTAAATGCCTGCAAAGTGAATAAATGTGCTTTAAGAGAACTTTTAACCCTATTGTTTTGAGATTCTATACTCATCCTGAAATATCCATTCCTCTCCTTTCGGAGGGTAAGAACCTTATAAATCTCCATGCTTAAATAGAAATGACACAAGTGCTTAAGTCAGATAGACAGGAATTTACATACTTAACTGCCTAATCATTTACTTTAAATATAATAATATATTTAATCTTATTCAATATTTAAGATTAGCTTATACCATAATATATGTACCAGGTACGTAGTAGGTACTTACAAAATGGCACATATGCACACATAGATAAACATTCATTAAAACTGTATGTGTAGACACCTCCTTTGAAGAGAAGTTGGTTAATGGGTACAAAAATACAGTTAGATAGAAGAAGTAAGTTCTAGTATTCAAGAGTACAGTAGGGAAATTAGAGTTAACAATAATTTATTGTATATTTCAAAGTAGCTAGAAGAGAAGAATTTTAATGCTCCCTACACAAAGAAAAGATAAATGTTTGAGGTGATGGATATCCCAAATACCTTGATTTTTTAATGGGCTTGTGAATTCTATTTATGTATCCAAGTAGATGCCCATTATTTATTAAGGAAAAAGGGCAGCTACAAAAACATATGAACAGTAAAATCCCAATTTTGCAAAATATGATTTATATATGGGGGTAATCTAACATTATGAATGGAAGAAAGCCTGGAAAGAAATAACACCAAAATGTTAACAATGGTGGGTGAGCAAGTTATGGAGGAATTTAATTTAAATTTCAATTTGAGTGTGGGTATGTGAATTACCTTGATTTGACCATTATGCCTTGTATACCTGTATCAAAATATCACCCATACTCTCAAAATATGTAAAATTATTATATACCAATTAACAAGTTTGAAAAATTTTCAAATTCTAATTTCATTTCCATTAACTTGAACGCTTCTTTTAAATAAAACACAACCCAAAAGAGAACTAAAGGCTGAATTTTGTAAGGTTAAGGTTTATTTTTAAATCCAGAGAGCTTTGGCATTTTAAGGGTCAGTCTATGTTACTTATGTGTCAGCTCAGGAAATAGACCCAAGATTTGATGTGCAAAGAGAAATGGCCTGATAACGGGTTTCCAAGACATATTATCAGCTTTGGAGCAGATGCGTCCAAGAAAATTCATTTTGCCAGGAAGAAATTCCTCAGTGCCAGTGAAACTGGCCTGTGAAAGACAGAAATGGAGAAGACAGAAGTGGGCCACCAAGCTGTGTGCTTCTTGGCACAGAGTGCGACGTCCCAGCCACACTGCAATCAAGATAGAGAAGGGCTTTCTTCTCTCACCTGCTCTTTTTTTTTTCCCTTGTATGTAAGCCTGAACATAATCATGGGTAAATGTAACTGCCTATATTCCGCAGGAGAGCAAACACCCACATTCAAACCATTATTCTTAACTATTCATTATCCCTTAAGATCAACTTTATGCACATGTTCCTAGAGCAACTCTGTGAACAAACTGTGCATGATTTCACAGCCATAGATTTGGCAACAGGAAGAAATTGCTGAACCAAGACTTTTGCTGTTAAGACTCCACTGAAGAAATATGTGTTCAAGACAGCCTATCCTTGGGTAGGTTTTTGCCACATTCTTTTTGTTGCCATCACTGAACATTGTATACATCTCTATCCTTGTGTTTCCCAGGCGATGCTGTCATTTGTGTGCCTTCCAGACCCCCATAGACTTTCATATACTCAGGGATAGGGGCTGAGTCTTACTTCATTAACCCCTACTAAGTGGGTCCAGTCTCTATGTGATACAGAAATCATAGCTCATCATAGGCTGGCCCTGAAGTTACCACAAAAACTTGTTATGTATCAAGAGATCATTCATTTTCTCAACCATTTCCCTCTGTGACTATCTGGTGAAAAGTGGGGACTTAGTACCTGCTATCACAGAATCTCAGGCTTGTTGGAGGTCCTTGGACATTTTCAGTTTCTGTCTTCTATATTATTACTTTTTATGAGGCATCTGAGCTGGTGGATTTTGAAGTCTTTGAAGACTGGGAAATAGTTATACATGAGTCTCCTTTGGATTTTGAGTTCTGCCAGCAGAATCTGTTCATTTTCTTTTATTTGTTGAAATTAATTCCAGTGAAGAACAAGAAGGGAATTTAAGACATAGCTTTTTGGAGTTGGAAGAGCACTTATTTTATGGACATATGATTGAGCTCTGACTTGTAGAAAAAGAAGTCATATTAAATCCACCTAGGATACAGATATGAGATTCTTATTAGCAGTTCAGGGAGGGAAGTACTCTATATTAAGTAACCACTATGTCCTGGGTGAGGCCTTTCCTATATATCCAAGTAATTCCAAGAGGTAGGCATTTTGATCACTATTTTACAGAGGGAAAACAAACTGTAAAAAAAATGTTTCACTTGTTCATTCAGCTGACCCATGAAAGACACTATTGTAGGTGATGGCTATGCAAGACCGATAAACATAGATATATTATGCCCTAAGTCCCATAGATGCTCCTCCTCTTATCCTCAGAAAGTTGCCATAGATTCTGAATTGAAACCGGGATTTCCAGATTCTAGGTCAGTGCTCATTCCACTACAACTAATTGTGTCAAATCCACTGATTTCACTGTGACTCATCTCTGGACACTAACAGACCCTGAAGATTCACCTTCTACATAGGCTGGAAACCAGAAAAAATTGGAATCATGCCTCGTATTTCACTTGCATCCTGGTGTTATAGGACAGACTCCCTATCTTTTTACTGATATTCTTAGCTAAATATCTCAATGTACAAGTTACCACGTAATGAGATACCTCATATTTATAGTCCTTTTGAAGTGATTAAGACCTTTCCCATGTACTATCTCAAGTGGCATCAGGGGACCAGTCTTGTGAGACATATATTATTATCTCTTTTATGTAATAGATGAAACTGACCAATTTATCTGTGTCTCAAATGCTATTATATGCTGGAGCTGTTATTGTCTTAGGACTCCAAGATCAAAGAACTAAAAATTAAGTGTCATGCAATGCCACATATTTCTCATGTGCTTTACATACATTATATCATGTAACTCTTATCTAGCAGAGAAAAGATTGGAACTGTGGTCTGGTTTATTTCAAGGCTTAATCTCTTCTCACATAATCTCTTGTCACAGCAGCCATAGTCATCTATCTTCATGATCAAATGTTCTGCTACTTCAAGCATGGTCATATGAAAGATGGTGGAGAAAATTGGTAGAAGTTATAGTATTTCTTTTTCCGATGAAGAAATCCAAGGCTTACAGAGTAAAGGTTTTGCCTGGGTTCACAGAGCTTGTGAAAGGTGGAGAGAAAATGAGGGCTCTGGCTTTCTGGTTCTGAGTCAATGGTTTCCCCTTTGTTCCATTCTTCTAGACATTCATGCCCAAAGCTTGAAAGAACACAGAAGCTCAGTACTAATAAAATTCTTCTCAAAGTTATCTCAATCATCTCATGCATCTTATCGACTTCACATTTCCCTGACAATGAGAGGGTCAGTGCTCATTCCACTCTTTCATCTCTCAAACCAGGGAGATCTGGTTTTTGCATCTTAATATATAGATTAGCCCTTGAATCCTTTATCTCTGAAGATTAAATCTATTGAGATAATGTATTTGAATAGGAAGAGCACAAAGTTTGGCATGCAGTAAGAGCTTAATTCATGCTCGTTGAAGGTGCCTTTGTAAAACGTTAGTGAATCACGTTAAGCAAAGAACAGATGTGTTACTTTTCTTTACGTAAAAATAAGAGCACCAATGATTGAATGAAAAACGTAAAATCCTACTTCCTTCTATTTTAACTATAATTTTATTAAAATAAAAAAATTGAATTCCACAGGGAGAATATTGTTTATTTCTTGTAGCATAATAAACAGATATCATGATTAACCTTCAATAGCAAAGTTTTTTAAGCAACTAATTTTCAGTTAATAGATGCCAAAAGCAGGGACTATTCAGAGAGAGTCCAAAATCTAAATGAAGGTGAATAAAGATGAGAACCTAGAAAGAGAAGCAAAGAACTGAAATCGCTTTCTCCTTGGTTGCTTTGCCAACACAGAGGAAAATGGCCTTTAATTTTCATGGCCTGGCAGAACATGGGAGACTTGATACAAAGCTCACATATTCTACACTGTGGAATAATCTAGCAGAAGAGTGACGGAAAGGAGTCTAATAGGAGGCCCACCTGTGTGTAAAACTGGCCCCTAAAGAGCTGCTCTCTCAGGGTAAGGGTGAACTAGAAATAAGCCTACCTCTCTACTCTCAAACATTGATACTTAAGGGACAAAATTTCCTCCTGAGAATTAACAAATATGCATGGGATTCCAGCCTAGATTGTCTAGAAACCTTCAATCTGAGTAATGTAAGGAAGGCCTGTTTTAATAGTTCCTTTAGGCACCCCAAAAAACAAATACAAATTTTCTCTGGGGGAGCACAATTTCAACCCAGGCCTCAAAGAATTCCCATGGGTTAATTTGTAAGAAATATGAGCAGGCAGACAAAATAAAAAAAAAAATGCTTCAGATAACAGCAGCAAAGTGAGAACTAGAAGAAATGACAGACAACAGGATTAGCTGTTCAGTCTAGATATTAAAACTAGTGGACAAATGTTACAGCCATATATCCATTAGTGGACACATGAACAAAGTGTACATATTATGTTTAACTAAGGAAAAGGAACTTTCATATAAAAAATAAAAATGAGACATAAAAATGATCAAGTAGATTTGTGAAAAAAATTATATTATAGGTTTAATACAGTTTAGACACAAATAAAGATACTTAACTCATTAACTGATATGTAAATCCTTAAAATGCATCATTCAGCATTCAGGCTAGAGTGAAGAAATAGAAACTCTGAATGAAAGGTTGGGAGATGAAGGCTAAAACGTGACGGTCTAGTATACATCTAATCAAAGTTTCAGAAAAAGATGGGAAAGAATGAGAGGAAAAAATACTCAAAGAGATAATGACAGAGTACTGAGAAATAGTGAAAAACAACAAAATAGAGAATCAGGATATCCAACGTATCCAAAGCAGGTTAAATAAGAAAAAACTCACATCTATCCATATTATAGTAAAACTACAGAAAACCAAAAAACATAGAGAAGATTTTAAAAGCATCCAGAGAGAAAATAAATATTGCCTTCAAAAGCTTTTATTTTTCATTAATACCTGTTGTTTGCCAAAGGGAATAAGAAATAAGTTTATGAGTCTGAGAGAAAACAACTGTCAATCTGAAATTATATGTCTAATAAATTCTAATGAAGTTATCATTGTAAGAAAATAAAGGCTTTTTTAGCATTAAAAAGTCTTTTCTTACTATATGCTTTCATTTAAAAAAAATTCCAAATTTTGTTCTTCATACTGAAAAATGCAATCCTCAATGGAAGGTTTGACATATAAAATTTGCAATCTATGCATCTGGCAAAAGGCTAATATCCAGAATCTACAAGGAACTTAAACAAATTTACAAGAAAAAAAAACAAACAACCTCATGAAAAAGTAGGTAAAGGATATGAACAGACACTTCTCAAAAGAAGACATTTATGCGGTCAACAAACATGAAAAAAACCTCATCATCACTGGTCCTTAGAGATATGCAAATCAAAACCATAATGTGATACCATCTCACATCAGTGAGAATGGCGATCATTAAAAAGTCAGGAAAGAACAGATGCTGAAGAGGATGTGGAGAAATAGGGACGCTCTTACACTGTTGGTGAGTGTAAGTTAGTTCAACCATTGTGGAAGACAGTACGGCAATTCCTCAAGGTTCTAGAACCAGAAATACCATTTGACCCAGCAATCCCATGACTGGGTATATACCCAAAGGATTACAAATCATTCTACTATCAAGACACATGCACACATATGTTTATTGCAGCACTATTCACAATACCAAAGACTTGGAACCAACCCAAATGCCCATCAATGATAGACTGGATAAAGAAAATGTGGCACATACATACCATGGAATACTGTGCAGCCATAAAAAAGGATGAGCTCATGTCCTTTGCAGGGACATGGATAAAGATGGAAACAAACATTCACAGCAAACTAACACAGTAACAGAAAACCTAACTCCGTATGTTCTCACTCATAAGTGGGAATTGAACAATGGGAACACATGGACACAGGGAGGGGAACATCACACACTGGGGCCTGAATTTATGATTTCCTTTGCCAGTTTATTTAGAATAAAGTTGCATGTGCTTTAAAAAATAAATAAATAAAATAAAATATGACCAAAGACAAAGAGTATGCTAACTATTTGGGTAAATATTTAAAAGTATTGACTGTTTGAAACATTAATAATAAAAATCTTTAAAAAATTAATTAATAACAGAATTAAAATTCATGACAGCAGTAGCATATAAATTGTGAGTGATCAGAATTCAAGTGTTGAAAGTTCCATTATTACTCTACAAGACTGTAAATATATCATTTAGCTATAGATGTTGATAATTTACTTGTGTATTAAAATATCTATGGAAATCACAAAATAGTAATAGAATATATAATAAACATAAGATAAACTGATAGAAGTAAAATGGAGTTAGAAAAATACACATACATATATGCACACAAACAACAGGAGATCAAAAAAAAAGAAACAAAAAGGGGGGTCAAATAGAAAGCAAAAAATAAAGTTTAGAGATAAATGTCAGTAATTTTAGTAACTGTAAATGGAGAAAATTATCTAGTTAAAAGACATTTGAGGCCAGGTGCAGTAGCTCATGCCTGTAATCCCAGCACTTTGGGAGGCCAAGGTGGGTGGATCACCTGAGGTTAGGAGTTTGAGGCCAGCCTGGCCAACATGATGAAACACTGTCTCTACTAAAAAATACAAATATTAGCCTGGCATGGTGGCGAGCACCTGTAATCCCAGCTACTTGGGATGCTGAGACAAGAGAATCACTTGAACCCAGCAGGTGGAGGTTGCAGTGAGTGGAGATCGCGCCACTTCACTCCAGCCTGGGTGACAGAGCAAGACTCTGTCTCAAAAAAAAAAAAAAAAAAAAAAGGAAAAAAAAGACATCTGTTTCACTAGATTAAAAATTCTGTATGTTTTTTATAAGATATATACCAAAAATGTAAGAATAGAAAAGTGTCAATATAAAATGATATAAAAGATGGAGCATTAAAATACTAAAAGAAGCTTGCTTGGTTATTATATTAATGGCAGGCAAAATAAACTCTTCAGGAAAAGATGTTTTTCCCAAGCAGGTCACTACATTACAACATAAAAATTAGTTCACCAGGAGGGAATAATAGTTTGAAAATCCTGTTTCAATCATACATGTATTTGCAAATAACTATCAGGAAACAGACAAATTCACAATTACTTTAAATGTTTTTAATGCCTGGTCTTTTAATAATTTACAAAATTCTTGTTGATATTTCTATAACACTGCATGCAATTATGGTGGTATCTACCTTCTTTTCATGCACACATGGAATATTGCAAAAAAATGCCCCTTATATCATTCTACTATAAAGACACATGCACATGTATGTTTATTGCGGCACTGTTCACAACAGCAAAGACTTGGAACCAAGCCAAATGCCCATCAATGATAGACTGGATAACGAAAATAAGGCACATATATACCATGGAATACTATGCAGCCATAAAAAGGATGAGTTCATATCCTTTGCAGGGACATGGATGACACTGGAAACCATCATTCACAGCAAACTAACACAAGAACAGAAAACCAAACAACACATGTTCTCACTCATAAGTGGGAGTTGAACAATGAGAACACATGGACACAGGGAGGTGAACATCATACAGTGGGGCTTGTCAGGAGATGGGGGGCTAGGGGAGGGATAGAATTAGGAGAAATACCCAATGTAGATGACAGGTTGATGGGTGCAGCAAACCACCATGGCATGTGTATACCTATGTGTCATGGGTATACAAAATGTGCAGACAAACCTGCACATTCTGCACACGTACTCCAGAACTTAAAGTATAAAAAAAAAGAACGTAAAATAAACTCTCAAAAAAAACTCACAAAATAAAGCTTATAGACTATTTTTTACAACTGCCATATGATTAAGTTAGAAATCAGTGACAAGGTAGTAAAAATGCTCCAGAATTTATTTATAAATCAGCAAATTATAATTCAAAGAATAAATAATAATGGGAATTTAATATTTAAAATTAACAGTAATATAGAAATACATAACTGAAATATTTATAGTAGAACAGGATGGCTAAAATTTAATTAACAAAGCACCTAATTTGGCGAATCAATGAAATAACAAACTCATATTGCCAAGAACACAGACAGAAGGAAATAATAAAAAGAAGTTACTCGTATCAAAAATGAAATGAAAATACAGAGGACTACTGAAATTTATTAACCTTTGGCAAGCTTAATCAGGAACAAAAGTGGAGACACCAACAGACCAAGTAAGAACTGAAAAAGGGAACATCATTATAGGCACAACAGACTTTAAAATGGTAAAAGAATATTAGTGAACAAACACGTATGTAGAAAAATATCTAGCAACAAAAATTACTCATGAGGGAATAGTAAAACTGACTATCTTTCTATAACCATCAATGATATTGAACCAATAGCTGAAAATCTTCCCTCAAGGAAATACCAATTCAAGATCAGTTTGCTGAGAAAGGTCCAACGTATTCCCCATTACATAGTCTCTTGTCCAGAATGGAAAATTGGGAAATACACTGCAACTCATTTGATGAGGCCAGCACAAATGTGATGCTAACCAGCAAGGAGAGTGAAAGAAAGAAAATTACAGGCCATTCTCATTAATACTCATTAATGAAACACTGCACTAATGTACTAACAAATAATAATATGTCATGACCAAGTTGAATTTATCTCAGAAATTCAAGTTTCGTTTAACATTACCAAACCCATTAACATAAATCTTTATATTAACAAAAGCAGAAGGAAAAATATATAATCACTTTAATAAATAAGGAAAATATTGATTAAATATATAGATAAATATATATTGATTAAATATATATATATATATATAGAAAGTCTCTTGGCAACCTAGAGTCTTTAACCTGATATTCAAAGCCTACCTAAACCTGAAAACAAGCTTTGCATTTTGTGGTGAAACATTAGAGCATTTACCTCAAGATTTAGAACACAGGTGCCTGCTATCACCACTTTAATCTAGCCTAACCAGTGTAGTCAGGCAAGAAAGAAAAAAATGTAAAGGAAATGGAGAGGAAGAAATAAAATTTAATTACTTATAGATGATATAATTATCTATATAACAAACATAAAAGAATAAACAGATTATTCGAATTGATAAAACTTTTAGGAAGCCTGTTGTCTGCATCCCATCAAAAATATACACTACCAACAGACATGAAAATATGAAATGTTGATATCTTAGCATTTACAATATCATTAAAATAAGTAAAATGTCTAAAAATGATTTCTCGGCCAGGCGTGGTGGCTCATGCCTGTAATCCCAGCGCTTTGGGAGGCCGAGGCGGGCGGATCACTAGGTCAGGAGATCGAGATCATCCTGGCTAACACAGGTGAAATCTGTCTCTACTAAAAATATAAAAAATTAGCTGGGCGCGGTGGCAGCGCCTGTAGTCCCACCTACTAGGGAGGCTGAGGCAGGAGAATGGCGTGAATCCAGGAGGCTGATCTTGCAGTGAGCCGAGATCACACCACTGCACTCCAGTCTGGGTGACAGAACGAGACACCGACTCGAAAAAAAAAAAAAAAAAAAAGGATTTCTCAAAAAGATGTTAAGGTCTGGTCTTTTGGAAAGAAAATTATGAAACATTGTGGCATTATGTTGAAGAAGTTCTCTCTGTCTCTTGGTCTCTCTAGAGATATATAACATGTTCGTGAACTAGAGAACCCAACGTCATAAAGATGTCATTTATCTTCTAAGTTATCTGTAGATTTCAAAGTAATTCCGGCCTAAAACCCCCAAAGACAGAGAGAGAGAGAGAGAGAGAGAGAGAGAGAGAGAGAGAGAAAGCGAGAGAGTGTGTGTGTGTATCCTATATTTACATGAAAGAGCAGACATTCAAGAGCCAACGTCCTGCTGAAGTGCTAGCTGGGGAATATAAATTCCAAGATATCATGAGCTACAACAAAGTTATACTAATTAGGACATGTGCATTGACATGGGGCTGATAATGTATCATGGCAAAGAAAACCTAGAAAAGATCTACCTAATAAAACTTGGTTTACGACAGAGCTGGCATTGCAGATGAGTGGAGGAGGGATAGATAGCATTTTTTTTTTTTTTTTTTTTTTTTTTTTTTGAGACAGAGTCTTGCCCTGTTGCCCAGGCTGGAGTGCAGTGGTGCGATCTCGGCTCACTGCAAGCTCAGCCTCCCGGGTTCACGCCATTCTCCTGCCTCAGCCTCCTGAGTAGCTCGGACTACAGGCACCCACCACCACGCCCAGCTAGTTTTTTGTATTTTTAGTAGAGATGGGGTTTCACCGTGTTAGCCAGGATGATCTCGATCTCCTGACCTCGTGATCTGCCCGCTTTGGCCTCCCAAAGTGCTGGGATTACAGGCGTGAGCCACTGCGCCCGGCCGATAGCATTTTTAATATATAGAGCCGGGTAAATTGTTTATCCATGCGAAAAAGAAAAAGAGAGAAAGAAAAGATCCCCAAACTCCTCCACACTATACACAAATTAATCAATTGCAGGCTATTAAAGATTTAAAAGTGAAAGGCAGATTTTGTGATGTTTGGAATTCAACGTAGGAAGCTATGATCTCATGTTAAGTTTCTTTAAACAATACACAAAATGAATGAATCATAAGGAAAAGTTCGCTATGACTCATTGACCTGAAATTACGGTCACCAAAAGGAAATATCAAAAGAGAATAACAACTCAAGTCACAAAATGAGAAAAGTGTGCAGAATAAATAAATAATGCATACAAATCAATATGAAAACGACAAATGCCTGACCAAAAAAAAAAAAAAAAAAAAATCTTTTGCCTGGCAAAAGATTTGACAAGCATTGTGTGCAGACGAGAAAAGCTTAATGGCTAATAAATATCTGAAAGGATGCTTAGCTACACCATAGTCAACAAAATACAGATTAAAGCTATACTATAGTCAAAAAATACAGATTAAAATCACCCACTGGTTTCGTAAAAATTAAAACTGCCAGTATGGAAGGACTGGCATGACTTTGTCCAAAGTCATGAAGTAACTGGGTCACATAGGCACACTTGTGGGTAGAAAGCATAAAATGACCTGGCTGCTTTGGTAATTGTGACATCGCCTAGTAAAATCAGAGGTGTGCATACGCTGAGTCTCAGAAATTTCAGTCCTAGGAATATACCTTCTGTACAGATACTCCTGAATCTATGCTTTAGGACATGTAAACTGGATTGTTCTTAACAGCACTTGTATTAGCAATATTTAGGAAACAACTCAAGTGTCTATTGACTGGAGAGTGTATAAATAAATGGTATTATATGCACATAAAAATATTATATTTCCATAAAATGGAAATAAATATGGCTATCCACAATAGCATGGATTATCTTTGGAATGTACATTGGGGCAGTCATAAAACAGACTATAGAACAATCAGAACTAAGATTTACATAGCTCACATTATGTTCTAGATGCTGTTTTAAATGTCTTATACAAATTAGCTCATTTAATTCTCACAAGAATACTACAAAGTACACACTATTATTATTTTAATTTTGCAGATGACAAAACAGGTACTGAGACTTCTTAACTTTCTCAAGAACTCATAGCTCGTAACTGGTAGAACCAGTTATCAAAACTCGGCAGTCTGGGTGCAAGATAAAATCTGTAACATGATTCTTTTGGCAGGAATCTCAAAACCCAGCAAAACCAAAGTATTTATAATGATATAAACTAAAGATAAAAGCAAGTGAATGATTAACCCACACTTCAGGATAGTTTTTGCTTGTTAGGGGTGAGGAGTTGTGAACATGAAAGGAGGAATGAAAACATCAGAATTAATGGTAATTCATAAAAACTGAGAATGCATACACATATCTAATATGTTTTATTGTTCTTTATGCCTTATGCATATTTTATAAGTATTCCTTTGTATCTAATCAACATTTAAAGCAATTGAAAACATTAAAAGAGAAAATGAAACCTTGACAAAGATGGTAGAGAAATACTTCATGTTTCTTCATCATAAAACTCCTCGAATCTTTGCAGATAGAGTTCTTAGAAAAATCTACAGAAGATGAACTGGATGTATAATTTCCGTTATTCACAGAATTTTTGTTCAAACAGACAACAATGGGAACAAATGGCAGCACAAATGCCTCTAATTGCAGCCTACCCAAAAGGAGGCATTTCAGGGCAGCAGAATCCAGACGGCCAACACAGGATTTTAAAAATTGTCAGCCAGATTCAGGCCTTTATTCTCCTTCTGATTTTGCACTGCAGCTTCTTCTTCTCCCCGCCAATCGAGAGATATGAAAAATCAAATTCCACCATCTATCCTAAGTAGTCAAATTATCTTTCCAATTACTTAGAATCAGCTTTTGAGCAACAGAAGTCAAATTATCAGTCTTAATGTTATTCTTTACATTAAATCTGGGTAGAAGTTCTCCAGCTGCTGTAATTACTTGAGGAAATCTATCCCCACTGTCTCCTCCATTTGCTGCTTGGTAACATCCCATTGTTCCTCAAGGTCAGCTCACGTCACTGCCTCTGTGAGGATGTCTCCTCTAATGCCACCACACCCCTTCCCAGGATTTGCTCCAAGTAGAATAACCACTCACTCCTCTGTGTCCTCTTAGCACTTTGCACACACTCAGAACAGAGGACCTCTTATTAGCATCCTGCTCACCCACTATCACTTGCTGATTTATTATTATTCTCACTTACAATGAATGTTCTTCATGGTGGAATATCAGGTCCTATGAATCTTTAAATTGTATCCTGAATATCTAACAGCAAAGGCCCTTGCATGAAGCAATGATTGTGATGATGATATAGCCAGCCGACAGTATCTGTTCCAGTCATCTGTTGCTGCCTAACACACCACTCCAAAACAGTAGCTTAAAACGACGGTTTGTTTTTATCTCTCCTGGTTCTCAGCTGGGGGGTTTCCTCTAGGGGTCTCTGGTGCTGTTTCATTCAGATGGTTATTTCAGGGCTGAACTGAGCTGAACGCCCAGACTGGATCCCTGGTTCTCAAGGCGGGTGCCTAGTGCCCCAGCCTCCCTATCTCCCCAAAGGGTGTCTCCCCAGGGCTTCTCCGCAAGGCTTGGGTGTCTACAGTAGAGCGGCCATAGCATATGACTTTGGAGGAAGGTGGCTTCTAAAGGCAGGAAGCAGAGCTGGCCAGACTGTTAAAGACTATGCACGGACCCGACACAGTGTCCCTTCTGTCACACTCTGTTGGTCAAAACTGCTGTAGGCCCATGCAAGTTAAGGGAGGTGGAGAAATAGATTCACCCTTGAATGGGAAGTGTCAGCATACACTGCAGAAAAGCATGTGGGGTGGGATACGTTGTTGTAGCCATCTTTGGAAAGTATTAGATTGGTGTAAATGTAATCACAGTTTTTGCTATTAAAAGAAATTGCCAATTTGGGAGGTGAGGCGGGTGGATTACCTGAGGTCAGGAGTTTGAGACCAACCCAGCCAACATGGTGAAACCCCGTGTCTACAGAAAATACAAAAAATGAGCTGGGCATGGTGGTAGGCACCTGTAATCCCAGCTACTCAGGAGGCTGAGGCAGGAGACTTTCTTGAACCCGGGAGAAGGTTGCAATGAGCTGAGATCGTGCTACTGCACTACAGCCTGGGAAACAAGAGCGAAACTCTGTCTCAAAGAAAACAAAACGTAACACACAAAAAAATGGTAATTGCTAAAAGTGTGATTACTTTTGCAGCAACCTGATTCAATTGGCTACAGCGCCTATGGCATGCTCCCTATGTACCAGACACGGTGCTACACACACTGTATACATTAAGTCGCTTAACTTTCTCAACAACCCTTTGAGATAGTTACTATAACGATTTCATTTAATAAAGAAAATGAGACTCAGGGAGGCTAAGTTCCTAAAATGTCACGGCTCTGTTGGCACATGGCCAACCAATATTTCTGTTGGATTATTGCAGAGCTATACTTCTATTGAAGTATTTGTTCTCCCCAGTATGGGAGACAGATAAATATTTGACTTTATCATCTCCTTTCACGGATTACCTCAACAGAATCCTTTCTAACCTCTCTCAGAAAAAATCCTCCCCACCCCCATAAAAAATACAGAGAAGAATGGAAGTCAAGAATGAAGAACCAAGCTGGAGGCAACTGATATCTGGCTTATGGCAAGTACTTCTTTCCTCTTATTTGTGACCTGATCTCTCTTTACCAGGAATTCTGAAATTTTACACATCTAGATCTCCAGGAATTCCTTTTTTTTTCCTTTCCAAGGGATACATTTTCTAGGACTTCCTGATATTGGTCCCAAATCATATTAATTAAAAACTTTTGGCAATCATTTTACAATTTTACTGTCAGGTGTACTTGAACTTAACAAAATTTTCCTGAAGTCAAGTTTTCTCCTTTCTTATGTCTCATCTGTAGGGGAATGTTGGGCCAATGCAAATTATAGACATGCAAATGACCAGTGTTTTGGACTTCATGGCTAAAATAGCAATCATAAATGCTGGACTTTATTACTGATTTCTCTGTATGTTTTTATAATCAAATACTATTCTGTTATAAACTATCATCATGGATCAGGTTCTCCAAACACTGGTTTAGTTCACAATATTTCCTAGGATGATTGTTTTTCCTTATTTCCATGTAACAAAATGCAGCCTCTTAATATTTGGGCATGATTATGTTAATTGAATTTGTCAAATTAGTTCATGAGTTGTGTTGTTTTCCTGCAGTGGAAGACCATAAAATATGGGATGCCTAAGGGATTGAAAGATTGCATAGCTATAAAACGACTGTAATAACATTGGGAGACATTATACATATGATACTTCAAGTTAAAAACAAAATAGAATGGATAGTTTTATTGGAAAGCCTAAAAGGAAATATCCAATACCATTTACCGTTTTTCAATGATTCATTTAGTGGTAGTTTCTCTTTATGTATATATTTTTGTATCTTAAATGTTTTACAAAGAATTACATTACTTACATGATAACAAACTCATGCATTAAGTACATCAGAGCCTTTATTATTCTTTGTGACATTTTCAAAGACCATAATGATGAAAACTCTAACCTTGTGGACAGTCAGTAGGAGATTTTGTTCAGCTGGAAGTTTCCCAAGTGGTGATAAGCTAGTTAAGTCAACTAGTTCTATCAGCAGCTGGTAATCTTGCCAGTAAGAGAGAGAGAAGACTATCTTGACATCCTCTATTCCCTCATCACCGACCATCTTTATTGAGTCTCGAAGCCAACCACACCTGCTGCTCCTGCAAAAGTATCACTGGCCATGTCTGCAACCTCTGGCAAACTCTATCTCTGGATTTCAGCTATGTTCCCTCACAGCTTGCAGCTTTTTAATTACTAGCCAACCACGAAGCTGAATCCTACCTATATGACTTTGATAGCATCAGAGGACAGACCCAGTTGGCCCGAGAGTTGGTTCATAATTACTTCTGGGTAACTAGGAGGGCAGCCATACTGACTACACAGCTGGGTGTAGGACTCTGATCTCAGGGTGCCAAAATTGCTTGTTCTCATTTTCTCTAGATTCAGTGGGATTTACACTTATTTATTCCTGCAAATCAAAGTGAAGGTGCCCCTGGAGGTCGAAAGCAGGGGTTGTTCACACATGTCATGAAGGAAAATAATGATCTGGAGTTTACATGGAGTTTTATCATTCATACACACGAGAGAAATATCATCTATTGGGCAGCTCCTGTGTGCCAGACATTGAGCCCTCTCAAGAGGAGCTGATACACATCACCACCTAGGAACTGAATACATTTTATTGTGCAAGGTTTCAAAGAGAAAATATGCCTCTAATGGGCAAAACAGTCATTCACTCAGGTGATGTATCCGTGATGAGAAATACACAAGCATGATGTTCTTAATCACTATGTCTTATGATATAAGATCACGGATTTTGGAGTCAGAAATATGTCAGTTTTATTCCTGAATCTGAATTTGGGAAACTTGTTCTTATGTGGCAATATGGAATGCTGTTTTAGTGCTGAGCCATCAGAAAGTATGACATAGATCCTCATGGAGAATGACTAGCACAGTGCCTGGCGTGTCAGGGAGGGTAAACAATTTTTGTATCATTTTTACTCTTTCAGTCTTAAAACTAGACACTGCATTCAAGTGAGAAAAGTATTGCAGAGAAATATCACTATTTTTGCTTAGGAAAATGCAAAATGTCAATGATTAACATTGACTTGAAGGTGACTTTGTTGATGTCAATACAAAGAGGAATTTTCTTGCTGTTTCCTAAGTCATAGGCTCAGAAGGTAATCAGCTCTTTATCCAGAAGAGTGTTTGAGAAGATTCTCAATTCTGTCTCACACAGCTATTGCTAAGGAAATTATAACCATGTGTGGAAGGTAGAATTCTATACCTCTACGAATCTCTCCACCTCTAAATATCTATCTCTATTTTATTGTTTTGTTTACCATCAAAACTCTTTCCAAAACAAGCAAATAGGAAATACATATTCCCTATGCAAGAAAAGAACTGCTAGGTTATTACTAGATAGTATGAACTTGTGTTCCTACATAATATTAGACTATTATGGTAGAGTTACATAATGTATGCAGCATACACAGTGTTGTCTGCTGGGGAGCATCACAACACCGTCTGCTCTAATACTCCTAGAGTATATAGTGTTAAGTTTAATCTTGGTGATAAAACTGCCTCATAAAACTCTATAGGTAGCAACTTAAACGTCCAACACCAAGGGCAAGATAAAATAAACTGCCAAATAAAATACAGGTTCGCCATGCTTGATCTAAATCCCCTGGGGCCAGGAATTCAGAATATGGTGGATTTTAGAAAAGTAACACAGTGCATGTGCTGTACACTGGAACAACCTCTGGTTATTAAACACGCTAATATTTCTGTAGTGAAACATGTGATGGTTGGATTAATTGGGATTAATGAAGAACATACATTACCTCGTTGCATGTCAGGTTTTGCTGTCAAATTAGCTACAAAAACCTTTCAGTATTTCAAAGCCTTTTGACTTTGAAATTGTGGAGAAGGGGTGAGAAACCTTATTTAAGTCATAGCTCAAAACACCATGATTTTAAAGAAAATTTAATCATGTAAGACAATGTTCAGAAAAGGAAACATTGTTATTAAATGAATGACTTAAAACAATGAGTTTTAAAAGTAGATTTTCTAAAATTTTAAGATATTACACATAGATATAGAAAAATAAACTAAGACAACTGTAGCAAGTTAGTGCTGGGTGTTAGGATAATTGGCAATTTTCATTCTTCTTTGTAATTTGTATATTTTCTAAAATTTCCGTCAATACTGGAGACAATTTCACCAATGAACAAAACAAGCTTAATAACTGCTTAAGCCTTATTTCAAAGTGGACACTCTGGAGACCTTTGCTCTCTGATCTATCCCCAATCTGGGATGTGCAAGAGTGACTTTCACCCAAATTCCCAAAAGAGCCTGGGTGGCCAGTGCAGGGCATTGGCTTACTGGAAAGAGCCCAGAAGCAATCACTCAGGTGACTTTGTCTCTTCCAAAGCACTCAGAACCACAGCGTCAAGGTTCTTATCAGTCCTGTCCAGAATGATGAAGAGGTACTGGAAACCAAACCCCAAGATGCCCTTATCTAGCCCCAGCGGTGTAATGGGGCCGCTAGTGGGTCTGTCTGCTCTTCTCTAATAGCACCGAGGAATGAGGCTTTCTGAAGTTTAATGGATTGCTAGGGAAGCTGCAAGTTTTGTTGCAGGGAAAGTCAATGAAAAATAGCCTGCTAATTTCCGAAGCAATTTAGAATCATGACATCCGGATCCCTTCTTAGTACTTGTGGAGTTTTCTCATCACTCTCTATGTAATACGGAAATAATTCTCTTTACATATGGCTAATGCTCTTTGAGGGCAGGGACTAGATCTTATTCAACTTTATAAATGAGGTGTGTGAAATGTATACTCAATAAATAAATTTGTATATGATTTATGTATACTCAATAAATGCTTTTGACTGAACTGATACAATCATATAAAAACATATGTGTGCATGTGCTTGTATTGTATGTCTGCATACATATACATGCATATATACCCATAGGTTCACATACACATGTACATATACAATATATATTTCTATATCATCCATTCATTTATACTTATAAAATTTTCATTGTAAAAGTGCTTAGTGAGAGATAGTCCTATGATTTAAATGTTTGTGAACCCCTTAACTTCATATGTTGAAAGCTAATCACCAAGGTAAGGGTATTAAAAGGTGGGGCCTTTGGGGGCTGATTAGGCCAAGAGGGCAAAACTCCCGTGAAATGAGATTAGCACCCTTATAAAAGAGGTCCCAGAGACATTCCTTGCCTTCTTTACCATGTGAAGACACAGCAAGCAGACGGCTGTCTATGAATCAGGAAGCACTCTCACCAGACACTAAATCTGCTAGCCCCATGTTCTTGGACTTCCCAGCTCCCAGAACTGTAAGAAATAAATTTCTGTTGTTCCTGAGTTACCCAGTCTGAGCTATTTTGTTATAGCCACCCGAGAAGACTAAGGCAGATAGTAAGGAATTAGTCATAGTTACAAAGTCTGCTTAGGATTCCAGGTTATAAAATTGTAAGAAATTCCAGATTATAGAATTATGAGACATTATTCCACAAAACTGGATGTAGATTACATTCAGTTGAGCATTAACAAGTAAAAAAAAAAAAGGAATGATGTCTGACTATTCTGGTTTCTTTGCTTTGGGGAAGGACACTGAAATTGTTTTTGTTTAAAGCCTCCCTGATGATTCTAACGCTCCTTCAGGTTTAAAATCTACTACCTTGAATTGACTGGGTTAATAATTTTGACAAAGGAAGTGAGAACTACCCCACAAGGCACAGCAAAAGGAAAACCTCTGTGTGTGTGGTGATGGGGGGCACACATTTCCAAACTACACTCACACCCAGCCTGACATGTGGCTCCTTCTCTGAGTCATGCCTTGGCGACTGCTGTGGATAAGTTCTCAAGTGTGCCAGGAAGGAAACGGTGCTGGGAACTCCTGTTCTAGTTCAGCACTTCTCAGGCTTTAATGTGTCCAAGAATCAACCGAGGATCTTGTAAAAGTATGGATTCCGACTCAGCATGCCTGGGCTGGGCTGTAGCAGCTGAGATTCTGTGTTTCTAACAAGCTCCCTGGTGATGCTGACACTGCTGCTGTGCAGCCTGCCCTTAGATCAACAGCATCTCCCAGCTCAGGACACCCTGGACAGGAAACCCGAAGGTGGAGAATAAAATGTGGAGTGTACTAGGGCATCTTACCTTTCATTTGTGTGGTGCCAGCTTATGCATTTCTCTTTAATGTGTAAGCGTACTGATGGAGGCGTTCTAATTTTAATATTTACTTTTTACTTTGGGGCAGGCCAGCAGCAATCCCATACGGATTGACTGGCCTGAGGGTGCACAAGAGGAAAGAGTGAAGAAGAGTTTGGGACTAGGGGAGGAAAAGGATGCTCTGAGCTTTAGGAAAGAAGAAGAGTTATTCTTCAAGGCAGGTTCCTAATGTTGAGGTGTCAGATAGTCAAGTGTGAAGGCTCCCCGTGGACTCATCCTAATGGGAGGAAGCTAACATTTGTGAAATGGTGACGGTTTGGCTGTCCTCTGGCCTACGCATTGCCAGCTTCAAATCTAAGGTGACTGTAAAGCTGAAATCACAAAGTTTCCCTTTGGAAAGCTTGGTGAGAAGCCATGTTCAACAGAGACCAACTCCCTGGCTAAAAGACAAAGCCACTGAAAGTCCTCATAAAAGGGGAAAACCTCTCCTCTTACAGAAGAGGCCCTTGGCATAGGGTGGAATCATTAAAAGACATAGAGTCGGGCGCGGTGGCTCACGCCTGTAATTCCAGCACTTTGGGAGGCCGAGGCTGGCGGATCATGAGGTCAGGAGACCGAGACCATCCTGGCTAACATGGTGAAACCCTGTCTCTACTAAAAATAGAAAAATTAGCCAGGCATGGTGGTAGACACCTGTAATCCCAGCTACTCGGGAGTCTGAGGTAGGAGAATCACTTGAACCAGGGAGTTGGAGGTTGCAGTGAGCTGAGATCATGCCACTGCACTACAGCCTGGTGACAGAGCAAGACTTCGTCTCAAAAAAAAAAAAAAAAAAAAAGGCACAGAAGCAGAGACGGAAAGGGTGGAAATCTCAGCTGCAAAGCCAAGCAGATGCTCATGGCAAATATTGACAGACATTTCAAAGCCATCCCACGTTGCCCCTGAAGAGGGGAGTGAGTGTGAAGATAAAGGCTGCTGCCCTGGACTGAATGGTGGCCCTACAACATATCCACATCCAAATCTCCATCGCTTGTGAATGTGACCCTGTTTGGGAAAAGCATCTTTGCAGATGTAGTTAAGGATCTTGATAAGAAATCATTTCTGACTATCCAGGTGACCCCTAAATCCAATGGCAAATATCTTTATATCAGACAACCAGAGGGAGATTTGAGGTGAGATGAAGAAAAGAAAATATGGCCAGAGAGGAGAAGGTCATGTGAAATGGAGGCAGAGAGGAGAGTGATGCGGCCACGGGCAAGGAAAGCCAGGAGCCTCTGGGAGCTGAACAAGACCAGGAAGTATTCTTCCCTTGAGCCTTTGGAGGGAGAAAGGACTTGCTGAACCCTTAATTTCGAATTTCTGGCTCCCAGAACTATCAGTGAATAGATTCCCAGTATTTGAATCCATGCAGGTGGTGGTAATTTGTTAGAGCAGCCCAGGACACTAATACACCTGCTGTGCTGTGTATGCCATCAGCACAAACCTCCAATTTGTCTATCCTATAATGAAACTGCCATTTGCCACGTTTATCCCCAGTGCTAATTTGGGTCTGAGAGTTCATCCCCTTTGTGGTGCAACCACAGGTTAACCAGCTCACCTGGATTGACATCAGCCCTGACTCCCTTACTGGTGCCTTCTCCATTTCCCACAGTCAAAGGAATAATGGAAGGAGCACTGAACTGGGAGTCAGACAGACTTGAATTCCAGCTCCATCTTCATCTCAATGCTCTGAGCCATCTCAGACAAGTCATTTAGATGAAGAAGCTAATTTTCCAAGAAGAGCTAGTAATACCTGCCACCCAGTCCTGCTGTAAGGATCGGGGAGGAAAAGGAGGTCACAACTCCTGGCAAAGAAGGGATGCTTGATTAGCTTAATTCTCACTCGGGTGAGGAGCCCATCTGTGGACTACGTGCCAGGGAGCTCCTGCTGTGCTTTTCATGGCAAGAGGAAGAGCAGAAGCTCCAGCCTTCCCATCCCATGGGCTTGGCTGTGAGTCAGGTGGCTCCACCTGGACACCTGTGGGCATCCATGGGTAGCTGAGATACCGGGGCTGTCACAGCACCTGCTACTCTCTCTGTCTCTTGGACCAGAGCCCTCCAGCCAGTGCCCACCTGCGAGGTACAGTCATTGCAGTCCCCTAGCCTCCCGCTAGGATCAGGACATCCACCCAGAAACCAGGCAGTCCTCCTCCCTGAGTCAGATTCTGCTTTTCAAAGGGTTAAGGAACTTCTTGCATATCCAGAGGGTAAGGATATCATCATTCTCCAGTATCATACAGATGTAAAATGACAGGGCAAGGGAGTTAAAGTAGGTCTGGCCTACCTAACTCTGAAACTCCTGCTCTTTCTAATACTATCACTCTGCTTTTCACACCAAAGAGGAATAACAAAACTACCTTTCTGACTGGTAAAATAAAGCAAATAAATAGATAAGGAGATTAATTTTAAAACTGGTCCACCAAACTTTGCCAATTTCAAAGTCTTTTTTTTTCACTATAAATATTTCTTAAACTTTTGAGTCCTGCTAATTTTTTTTTTTTTTTTACTATACTATAGACATCAGGGATGGCATTTTTTTTTTTAATCAGGCACAAATTTCGGTGTCTCAGACTGACCACACCACTTTTGGTGTCCACAAAGAGAAAGTTGGACTCCAGGCTTTCTCCTGTGGGAAAAAGCACACAAACCACTGTCCTTTTACCTATTCCTTCACACCCATGGGTGGAAACTGTCTGGGTGCCCTTCTAGCATCATGGTGCTCGGATATCTTGTCCCTGCCCACCACACACCCATGCTGGGTGACAGCAAATGCTCTGTCCATGGGAAAATGCTGCTACTGGAAAGAGGAGTGTTCTGAACACCAAAGCCCACAATCTCAACCATGGCCTCTCAGGAAATCCCTTTTCCATGGGCGGCCACATTGGCATCATTTCTCAGTTCATCTTCCAGAAAACACCTCCTGTCCCCACCAAGAAAAGGGAACTGGGGCTCACAGTGATCCCACGGTACTTACTGCCTGTTCATAGTTCTTGGCACCTGGCGGGTAAGAGGGATCTTCAATTCAGCCTGTGGAAACAAAAGCAAACGCGTTACTGGAACTTCCACATCATGTTTTAATTCTGGGGAACAAGCCACTGTTGCTGCTTGTTAAAATCGGATACAGGTGCTGGTTTAAAGGAAATGACAGAAAGAGAATCAATCCAGGTCAAGAATTGGCTTATTTCTGGAACACAGTTGGGGAGGGGATTTCTTTCTCTGACAGGCTGTCCTCTTTCTGTCAGCATTCATCCCATCTGCCCCCGGGAGCTGAGCAAACATAAACTGAGCCTGGTTTTCCCTGGCGTGCAATTGTGTGCTTCCCCTGGGCACCGAGGGCACGTTAGCCAGGCTTGGCTGGCTCTCCTCTGAGCCAGAGCATGCAGAAAGGGTGCTTTTCATTTCCAAATGTGGCTTTACCATAAAATATTTATTGCAAGTTACAGTTCTATATCACTTTACGTAGAATGCAACATTTTATTTGAGCCTTGTATTCACCCACATAGTAAAGATTATTAGTGTTATTTACCATATAAATTAGCAGCAGAGACCCTGGGAGTATTCAGTAAGGGCTTCGTATCAATGATCTCATATAATCTACTCAAAGGCCCTGAGAGGTGTAAAGGATATCAGCTGAGGTTCCAGCAAGAAACAGATGACACTCTCAAATTGGGTAATTTGAGAACAGCTTAATAAAGAGACCATTTAAAAGGTGTGGGCAGGGTAGAAGGAATCCACAGAAGACAGTGAAGTATCTGGGAGTGGTAACAAAAGGGCGCTGTCACATGCCTGGGCTTGGAGGGATTTGGGGACCAGGTAGGCACTGGGACACAGAGACAGGTCTCTCTTTCTGGGTTGCGGGTAGAGGAGCTGTGGCTTTCAGTTGTGGGACCTGCAGGGAGGGAGCTGTGTTGGGTGGAATGAAAATCCCCATCTCACGCTCCCTCTGCCCTGGATCTCCTGATGCCATCTCCCATTGGCCAAACTCAACAGAAAGCCAAGGGCGAGGAGCTGTTAATATGGTTTTATATCTATCAGCTTCCCTGGGCTCCCAGATGAGAGGAATAGGGTAGAGAGTGGGTTTTACAGTTAGACAATGATACCCAGGAAGATTTAATTATGTGACCGAGAACACCCATCCCGCAATAAGAGCTGAGGTCCAGAGGACCCAGAAATTTCCATTTCCTAACCTGTCAGCATATGGCACCCCACTGAGCCTTCGGCATTTTTAGTATATTCTGCCATTCATCTATCCATTCATTCACTCATCCATCTGGGAAACTACCATTTACTGAAAATGTACTTTGTGCAAATATTGTGCCCAGTGAGACACAGTCCCTGCCCTTAAGCCACTTCTAAAACTAAGTATAGTATAGTTCCTGCATCCCTCCGTGACATCCCTCCTCTTATTAAAATGTTTTGCAAAAAACAGATAATTGTAAAACAAAACATAACAAATCCTAACTCTGTCTTGGAGAGCCAGCCAGGGTGATCTTCATAGAGGAGATAATACTTGAGCTTTGTCTTGCCAGGTAAGTCTGGGTCTTCTGGGCTCAAAATTAAGGGAGGTGTTCCAAGCAAATGGAGCATCATGCGCAAAGGTGTGAAGATGTTACAATGTATATTGTGCCAGAGTGGCTTTGCACATTTTGGTGAAACTGGAAGGGTTGGTAGCTGGGATGTTGGTAGTACATGAAAAAGAATGAGGGAAGGTCCCTTGGATTGAGATGATCAAGGATCATGCATGCTAAGGGATGGGATCTGAACTTCAACTGTGTGATCTTCAACCCATACTCATAACCCATACTAAAGAACTTGAACCAAGCTCTATGTCCTCTGATACCCTGTGTATTTTCCTCTGCCCTCACCCACCAGCCTCATCCCCTCGTCTTATGCTTGTAGGTCAATATTGACAGCAGGGAAAGGGGAGGCGGCTGTTAGGCTTTCATTCACTGATGGCCCACTGTGGCAGTGTGTAGAGTGTCTAGTCCATGGTCTCATTTGGAAGTCATTTCCATCATGGCAGTGGGGAAGGGGACTTGAACTTTCATCAGTGTAATACAAAGAATGCACATCAAATACTGGAAGGGTCCTGGACTGGAAGTTGAGAGACCTCTGTTCAGTTCCAGTGCTGCCATTAACTAGCCGTGTGGCCTTGAAGGAACACTTGGACCCTCCTAGTTTATAAATAGTAGTATCAATATCTTTCTTTTACAGCATGTCTTAAGTGTGAAATAAACTGAAACATATGAAAATGTCTTACAAACTATGAAATGTTATGAAACACGGATATGCAATTACTTGCATAGCAAAGCAAAGTTTGCAAGTTGCTTTAGCATCAGTCATGTTATATTTGGGTATGTGGGGTTATTGATGACAATTTTTGAATATTAGTATTTATAGAGATTAAATTACTTGATTACAGTCATACAGGACAAATCCATCCCCCATCCCTTAAGAGTATCTACCACTTAATGATAGCTGCTTATACAGCTACTTCATTCTTCAGAATGCATTAAGTAGCATCGAAATGGGACAAAATAAACTAGTCTTTACGGACAGCTCCCTGTGTGCCTGGATCTTGGCCAGTTCTTGTGTACAGAGTAAGGGGACCACAGATGCAGAACAGTTCCCTGCAAGGCTTATGCCTCAAATCAGAGTTCTGGCAAGGTGGCCAATGAAGCTGCTTTCCAGCCCCAGCCCTGCCATGCACTGTGCAGCTTTGAGTAAGGCATTGGAGCTTTCTGGGCTTTCGTTTCTTCACCTGAAAAATGAGCAGCTTAGGCCAAATAGGTCTTTTTCAGCTCAAAGAAATGGAAATAGTTTCATTAAAAAAAAATACAATCCATCAATATTTGGTGACAAAAATGGTTTCAAAAGTTAGAGTATGTCATTACATTTCTTATATTTTATTGTCTTCTCCAATAGAGCTCTGTGCAGAGCCAAATTGCAGGAGATTCTGCCAAATTGCTAACACCTAGGATAGCAGGGATGGAAACGCAAGGGATCAGGGAGGAATCCTTAATTTTTGCCTTATATGTAAACCTCTGTATATTATTTGATTGGTAATATCAGTGCTTATTAGACTTGTATTTTGAAATTTGAATAAAAGTTAAAAATATTAGTAGCTTTTGAGAGATGCAAGCACTTTATTGTATAAGAGTTTAAAAATATTATAGAGAGATCCCAAACTCTTCTGACATTTTAAAAAGCAGAATTTGAGGCCAGATGCAGTGGCTCACACCTGTAATCCCAACATTTTGGGAGGCCGAGGCGACTGGATCACCTGAGGCCAGGAGTTCGAGGCCAGCCTGGCCAACATGGTGGAACCCGTCTCTACTAAAAATACAAAAACTGAGCTGGGTATGGTGGTGGGCGCCTATAATCCCAGCTACTAGGGAGGCTGAGGCAGGAGAATTGCTTGAGCCAGGGAGGTAGAGGCTGCAGTGAGCCAAGATTGCACCACTGCACTCCAGCCTGGGCAACAAGAGTGAAACTCTATCTAAAAAAAAAAAGAAGAAAGCAGAATTTGAGGCCTTGGCAACCCTTACCAGAGACTGAGTTAGCCACAAAGTGTCATCAGCAAGACAGAAGAGATGGCATTCTACAGGGGAAACAGCTGTGCTCTACTCAGAATGGCTGACACCTTGAAAGCACCATACTCTGATCTAATCTTAGCCATCGTGCAAAGGATGTGGTGAAGTCAGTCAGAAAGAGTCTTATGTCCCCTGGCTTTTTGAAGGTAATAAATTATAGAGAATACAAGGCCCTTCCCTTCCTCATGTGTGCATTTTCAAAGACAAGGCAGTGAACACAGATCACCTGTTATATATCCCCCATCTCCCCACCTCAGTAACCTCATAGGGTCTGTTTTATGATCCTCATTTTATACAAAACCAAACAAGTTTTAGTTATAAAGGAAATAATGTATACCCTGATCCATTTCCAAGACGAAGTGCCTTGAATTGGCTTAGGTCAGCAAACTATAGAAGAAACAGCTTCCCCCCAACTTAGTTGCCCTCACCTGAACTAAAGAAGCTTAGTCTAAGATAAAAGTTTGCTAGTACGCAAAATAGCTCGCTTTGTCTCTTCTTATCAGCCTACGCAGCTACTTAGGTCGTAAGTCAAATACTTAAAGAGCCCCTAAGCTAACTAAGATTGCAATGCATTGTGGGCTGCGACAAAAATGCACCAAGACAACCCTAAAAAAACCACCTAAAGTTCCTGCCTAACAATCAATAGGCAATGTCAGGGAAGATTGTGACCCCATAGTACTCAGACTACGAGGAAGTGGGGGAGGGAACTGCGCACTATGGGATAAATTGCTTGTTGAAACTGTGCTAGGTGTGAGTGCATGCCAGACACTGGATCTTGCAAGACTGCCATTGAAAGTCTCACTTTTGCGTTCTCTGGATCTGTGAGTCCATTCTCTGGGTTTGAACAGGTGAGTTTGTTTCTCACAGTTATGCTTTGGGACAACTGTTTAACCATTCTGAGCCTCCGTGTGCTTATCTGTAAAATACGGGTAATACAACAGCTACCCTTAGGACTCTTATGAAGATTACATGAAAAAATACCATATCTAAGACATGGGGGAAATAGTGGTTAATATGAATCTGAACTTGAAGATTAATTAAATGCCTTATATCACTTTAAGTGCCTTAAAGTGGCACTTAGTTAGAAATGAAAGATGCTTAGGTAAGCATTTTTAGGTAAGCATCTGCTAATAACCACTGATGTAATCATAGAATCTTGTACCCGCCTATGCTTTGGAATTATCTGGAAACCTTAAAAAATATAATGTCCCAGAAAGTTTGATTCAATTGTTTTAGGGAAAAGCCCAGGTATGGACATTGTCTAAATGTCCCAGATATTTTAACAGGCAGGGAGGCAGAAGGGAGTGGACTTGAGTGTCAGTCTATTCCCATCTCCATCTACCCAGCACCACTGACTGGCAGCTTGTCAGTGAACACACCGATTTTTCTCATTCTTATGGAAAGCACCAAATAATCACATGTTCATTCACCTTGCTGTTCCAAACACATCTTAAATAGACATTTAGGAACTGGCACTGCTTGTAAATAATCCTCCATACACTTAGAATTATTTCTGAGTCAATTTTTAGCGGAATGTTTTTAAAAAACCTATCACATCCAAAGATTTTAACAATTTGATCATGGAAAAGTTTTCTAATCATGTCAAGCATCAATTTCTCTCTCAGGTCTTATTTATAGGCAGTGAAGAAGTAAAGTCCAGGCTCTTGCAATTGTACAGGGTAGAGTTTACTACTGTATCTGCAACTATTTATGAGGCTTTACAATGTGCCAGTCACGTTCCAGATCCTAGGAATTAGAGAGCATAGAGCATAAGGTATTATGGGAACACAGGGAAAAATATGCCCCAGAGGGATCTACACAGCTTTCTATGGAACAGGTTCTTACCCAGCTTCACCACAACTCCCCTCAGAAGTAACCCCAACTCCCCTTCTCTTGCCTGATTGCCCTGGACAGAACTTCCAACACTACGTTGAATAGGACAAATGTCCATCAGTGATAGACTGGATTAATAAAATGTGGCACATATACACCATGGAATACTATGCAGCCATAAAAAAGGATGAGTTCATGTCCTTTACAGGGACATGGATGAAGCTGGAAACCATCATTCTCAGCAAACTATTGCAAGGACAGAAAACCAAACACTGCATGTCCGCACTCACAGGTGGTAGTTGAACAATGAGAACATATGGACACAGGGAGGGGAACATCACACACTGGGGCCTGTCAGGGGGTGGGGGGTCTGGGGGAGTGATAGTATTAGGAGAAATAACTAATGTTAATAAAAAAAGAAGTAACCCCAACTCCCACATGGACTATGATAATGGAAGGGGAGGCAGGACTTGTAGGCTGTGGAGCGTCAGCCTTGCAGGTCTTTCTCCAACAGGTCTTACTTCAAGATCTGACCCAGATCAAAGAGTATGCAACATCTTCTTGCCTTGATTCGGAGACCTTGAGAAGCTGGAATGCCCCAGAAATGGAGCACAACTCATGGTGTGTGTGCATTCACTTTCTGTAGCAATTATTTCAGTTTCTCTTCCTGGTTAGCCACAGAAATAAAGCCCATGCATAGCTCTCTCTGTCAAAGGAATGACACTGAGGTGTCATCTGTCAGTTTTGCTTGTGGAACCCGGAGTCACAGCAGGGCACTTGGCATGGGTGATATTAATAGGTCCAGAGTCGACTCTGCTGTGGGGAAGCTGAAGGAAGCTCTGAAGGTATCAAGAGGAGACCACACCCTACTTTCAGGGACTCACTGTCAGGGAGGGACCAGGCAGAAGGAGACGTGTTGGGTGGAGCAGTGTGGAGGTACAAAGGAGCCCAGGGTCCTCCAGGAGTCCACAAGGAGAGGCTGCCTGTTTTCATGATGCCAGCTTATTTCTCCAACAAGAAAAAACACCACTGTACTGAGTGCTAGACGCCAATGCAAATCTAATTGCAAATGCCAACATGGGCAATAAAATTGCCTGAGTGTATACCAGGGCTTAAAGCCTAGGCAAAAGGGCCAGAATATGCTCATAATGAATTTACTTTGGGTTGGAACTCTGTGCTTTCATTTCATTAATACAGTTCCCATATAATTTATTAACCCTGACCTGGAACTCTTTGGGGATCCAAAATGAACCCCAGTTTGAGAAATAGTGTGTGTTGTCTCCCTACGGGGCTCACTGTACTCTCCTCCAGGTATAAAGGGGACCATGTCAAAGAGAGGTGCACAGGGTGGTTCACATCCTGAGTGGAGAGACCCCTGCCTCAACCATCTATTTGGACCAAACAACCCCACAGCTTTGGGGCGGATGGTCTCAATGATTATATTTGATTAGCTCATTAAGTAATTTGTGGTTTGAAAATGCTTTGTAAAGATAACGGATTTGATTTCATTGTTCAACCCCCATTTATGAGTAAGAACATGTGGTGTTTGGTTTTCTGTTCCTGTGTCAGTTTGCTAAGAATGATGGCCTCCAGCTTCATCCGTGTTCATGTTCATGAGAATACATGGACACAGGGAGGGGAACATCACACACTGGGGCCTGTTGGGGGGTTTGGGGCAAGGGGAGGGAGAGCATTAGGACAAATACCTAATTAGGACAAAGCATGTGGGGCTTAAAACCTAGATGATGGGTTGGATGGATGCAGCAAACCACCATGGCACATGTTTACCTACGTAACAAACCTGCAGGTTCTGCACATGTATCCCAGAACTTAAAGCATGAAATAAAAGATAATGGATTTGAGGGTTAAAGAATCACACCTATATTTTAGAAAACTAAAATAAAGAAAACAGGGTTCTGCAGATGAAAGTATCTATAAGATTTCCAAAGAACATACATTCGATTTGGGCACTAAAACCAGGATGCCTGCTTCTGAGCTCAGAACCCACCTGGGGTCTGAGTGAATGTTTTAAGAAGCAGAGACTTGTTTTATAAATAGGCTGGATTTTCACGTGTCTTAATTCAAAAATAATTAATATCCTTATGGTATCACAAGCAGTTTAAACAATTAGAAATATGTAATGCAACAATCGCATTTCCTTGTTACCCTTGAGAACTCTTGTTCTCCACTGGGAATTCACCAGTACTACCAAACTGAGCTTGCAAAGAGACATTTATCATAAATATTGCTGCTGCATTTCACCTGATCCAAAATTAATATTTCATGAAGAAAAAAATGCTTTTAGGGTAAAGAAATTGTTTTGTTCCCAAACATTAGTTATTTATTCCTAGAAGATAATGCTTATGAAAATACTGGCCTCTATTTATTTAAAAGCTTAGGAAATGTCATTCTAATAATATCTACAAGATACCTTCTAGATATAGGAAATGACCAAAAGCAAACTGTGAACGGCTAAAGAAAAGCTTTGAATGAATCGAGAAGGTAGGAGGTAGTTGTGCAATTAAAACTGGGTCAAGGCTCAAGAATAAGGTCTATATTAAGGCTTAAGGCTTTCTTTTATCATTAAAACAGGAAAAAAGGAAAAGAATATAAAACCCACACAATACACATCTGACTTTTTCTGCACAATCACATCACACATATCCAAAATGGTGAATGATTTTTGGAATTGAGAAAGGGAGCATGTGTGTATATTTGGAGAAGAGAGCCAGAAGAGTGTGTGTGTGTGTGTGTGTGTGTGTGTGTGTCTATGTGTGTGTGTGTTTGCACACACATAGGAGCTTTGAGTAAACATGTCGAAATCAAGATTTCTCAGATACAGATGATATTAATTTGGTTCCAATTCAGAGTTATATGTATTTTCTTTAATTTTCATATCAAAAATGAGAAAGTTACATTTTAGAGATGCTCATACTTAGAGGAAAATATATGCTGATTGGATTTCTAATTCTATACCCCAGTCAGATCAATCAGCTCAATTTAATTAAATATAACATTTAATTTTATTGGATTTCCATTGAGTGGAGGCCTTTGAAGTCAAATGCATTGTTATTATAGATTTCTTTTTTTTTTTTTTTGAGGGGTAAGGGAGAGTGCTTTCCTAGTTTTTCTGCTATTATGTATGGCACATTTTTATAAAATTTTGCAACTGTCCTGGTAATGAGTAACTTCCCTTGAGTATCTCAAGGCAATGTGACTGTGCATTCATTTTAATTTTAAATGATTTTGAAAACACTCTTAATGAACTGATGCAATCTATAGTTTCTGAATTTATTATTCCTGTTGAGTTTTGTTTTTAAAAACCATTTCCTTTTTTCTCTTCAGCTGCCTGATTCTGCAGAAAGGGTTTCCTTCCTTTAGTGGTAAGATTCTTTCTCTCTCCTCTTATTCCACTTTGTGGTGAATAGACTTTTTATCCTTTTTCCTGTTCATTTAGCTTTCTCATGTTCCTTTCCTTCCTCTATCCTTCATTTTTCTTCCTTCTCCTCCTTCTTTTTTCTTTGGCTCTTCCTTCTCTCTGCTCTTATTATTAAAGTGATTTTTACTGTTCACGTAAAGTGAGATTGTAGAAAAATAGTCTCCAAGTTTGCCAAAATCCTAACAGATATTTTATTTTATTATTTTTAAGTTTACCTCTGTCTCGCCCCTATTTTTTTTTTTTTTGGCTTCCATAAATGATGGCAGAACCACATTGATTAGAGGCAGGCACTTCTAGGCCTGGATTAAATCAGAACTTACCCAACTGTGATTGTTTCTCCATTGCTTGATTAATGCATTGAGATGGTACTGAAGGCAAATTTTAGAGGAAAAAAAGTATAAGAAAATAAACTAAGATTTAGGGATTGCTATATATTTACCACCATTTACAGGTTGGCCCTGCGGTGAAGATAAGGGTGAAGATAGATCCAGTAAACCCCACCATTCCCATGGACGTCTAAAGGCTAATGGCAAAAACACTGTAATTTTTTTCAACATTCATTTATTAAGCACCTGATGTATGCTGGTGATTTTCTGAGGAGCTGTTTTATGATCAGGAGAGCCTGAAAAATTTGTGAGGGAAATTTAAAATCCAAAGGAGAAACACAAAAGCCCAGGTAGTCTAAACAAGACTGGAAAAGAGTAATACAACTTAGAGTAGTAGTAATATGGTTTAGCTGTCTGTCCCCACCTAAATCTCATCTCGATTTGTAATCCCCAGGTGCTGAGGGAGGGAGGAGGTGATTGGATCATGGGGGTGGTTTCCCCCATGATGTTCTTGTGATAGTGGGTGAGTTCTCACAAGATCTGATGGTTTTATAAGGCAGTTTTCCATGCTCTTCTTCACTCTTCTCTCTCCTGCTGTCTTGTGGAGAAGGTGGCTGCTTCCCCTTCTGCCATGATTGTATGTTTCATGAGGCTTCCCCAGCCATGTGGAACTGTGAGTCAATTAAACCTCTTTCCGTTATAAACTACTCAGTCTCAGAGAAGTGCTTTACAGCAGTGTGAAAATGGACTAATAAAAATAGCAATAATAATAATAATAATAATAATACCATTTACTGCTTACCAGAACCGTATGTAGGGCATTTTGTTTAATTTAGTTTCCGTTATACAGCAACAATCCAAATGACCTAGATTTTTCAGCATTGAACAATCCTGTCATTCTGTGCAAGAGACTTCTTCTGAGCCAAGCTTGTCCAGTGAACAAATGCACAGTGTGGATCCAGATGAGATCATCATTTCATCTGTAACTTCGAGTACATTTAGAACCTAACTCCTGAATTAAACTTCCCCTTGCATAATTAACTATTTCTTTTTCTCTTCTTTTATTCAGGATCACTTATCTAGCAAGATGGGAGACAAATCTTTCAACCCAGGTATGCTGAATTATACAGTGAATTGTACAACTTGAGTCTCAGCTTCTCTAATCTGAAAGATGAGGCTATGAGTGCTCATCCTTCTTTGCTCATAGGATTATTTTGAAGACCAAGTAAGATGATGAAAGTGAAAGCACTCTGTAAAGTATAAACCGCTATGCAAGAATAGTTCCACAGATAATTACTGAGTAATTTCTTTGCATCAGTGCCGTGAAAAACTCTGAGGATTTGAAATTTGGCTAGGAAGGTATTCCAAAATAATTTCTATTATTTTTCATTAAATCTTAATATTTTCAGAGGATTAGCACATTTGAGGAATTGTAAGACACCCAAGGCTTTGATAGATGAATAATAAAAAATAAATAAGAATATGATGAAATTAGTTTCTGTAGAAATCACCTTAAAATAGAACTTCTTCAGGTCAAATATCTAGAAAACCCCATCATCTCAGCCCAAAATCTCCTTAAGCTGATAGGCAACTTCAGCAAAGTCTCAGGATACAAAATCAATGTGCAAAAATCACTAGCATTCTTATACACCAATAACAGACAAACAGAGAGCCAAATCATGAGTGAACTCCCATTCACAATTGCCTCAAAGAAAATAAAATACTTACAAGGGATGTGAAGGACCTCTTCAAGGAGAACTACAAACCACTGCTCAATGAAATAAAAGAGTATACAAACAAATGGAAGAACATTCCATGCTCATGGGTAGGAGGAATCAATATCGTGAAAATGGCCATACTGCCCAAGGTAATTTATAGATTCAATGCCATCCCCATCAAGCTACCAATGACTTTTTTCACTGAATTGGAAAAAAAACTACTTTAAAGTTCATATGGAAGCAAACAAGAGCGTGCATTGCCAACTCAATCCTAAGCCTAAAGAACAAAGCTGGAGGCATCAGACTACCTGACTTCAAACTATACTACAAGGCTGCAGCAACCAAAACAGCATGGTACTGGTACCAAAACAGAGATATAGACCAATGGAACAGAACAGAGCCCTCAGAAATAATGCCACATATCTACAACTATCTGATCTTTGACAAACCTGACAAAAACAAGAAATGGGGAAAGGATTCCATATTTAATAAATGGTGCTGGGAAAACTGGCTAGCCATATGTAGAAAGCTGAAACTGGATCCCTTCCTTACACCTTACACAAAAATTAATTCAAGATGGATGAAAGACTTACATGTTAGACCTAAAACCATAAAAACCCTAGAAGAAAACCTAGGCAATACCATTCAGGACATAGGCATGGGCAAGGACTTCATGTCTAAAACATCAAAAGCATGGCAACAAAAGCCAAAATTGACAAATGGGATCTAATTAAACTAAAGAGCTCCTGCACTGCAAAAGAAACTACCATCAGAGTGAACAGGCAACCTACAGAATAGGAGAAAATTTTTGCAATCTACTCATCTGACAAAGGGCTAATATCCAGAATCTACAATGAACTCAAACAAATTTACAAGAAAAAAAACAAACAACCCCATCAAAAAGTGGGCAAAGGATATGAACAGACACTTCTCAAAAGAAGACATTTATGCAGCCAAAAAACACATGAAAATATGCTCATCATCACTGGCCATCAGAGAAATGCAAATCAAAACCACAATGAGATACCATCTCACACCAGTTAGAATGGCGATCATTAAAAAGTCAGGAAACAACAGGTGCTGGAGAGGATGTGGAGAAATAGGAACACTTTTACACTGTTGGTGGGACTGTAAACTAGTTCAACTATTGTGGAAGTCAGTGTGGTGATTCCTCAGGGATCTAGAACTAGAAATACCATTTGACCCAGCCATCTCATTACTGGATATATACCCAAAGGATTATAAATCATGCTGCTATAAAGACACATGCACACGTATGTTTATTGCGGCACTATTCACAATAACAAAGACTCGGAACCAACCTAAATGTCCAACAATGATAGACTGGATGAAGAAAATGTGGCAGATATACATCATGGAATACTATGCAGCCATAAAAAATGATGAGTTCATGTCCTTTGTAGGGACATGGATGAAGCTGGAAACCATCATTCTCAGCAAGCTATCGCAAGGACAATAAACCAAACACCGCATGTTCTCACTCATAGGTGGGAATTGAAGAATGAGAACACATGGACGCAGGAAGGGGAACATCACACACTGGGGCCTGTGGTGGGTTGGGGGGAGGGGGGAGGGATAGCATTAGGAGGTATACCTAATGCTAAATGATGAGTTAATGGGTGCAGCACACCAACATGTCACATGTATACATATGTAACAAACCTGCACGTTGTGCACATGTACCCTAAAACTTAAAGTATAATAATAATTAAAAAAGAAGACAAAAAAGGGACAAAGGCCAAGAATCTAAGGAAGGTTTGTTTAAATATAAAATAAACTCATAATAATAATGCTAAGAATGATGATAATAGCCACTACCATTTACTTTGTATTTAATAATTACTAGTCACCATGATATGCATTTTTATGTACTGAATCTCATTTCTCACCACAAATTCGAGCAGTAGATATTTTTATTCCATTTTATAAAGGATAAACAGAGGTTCTGAGGAGTTAAATAACTTGTCTAAAACCATATTGCTAGGAAGTAACTGATTTCAAACCCACACTATCCATGTCTCAACGACTGGATGGCGTGGTATAGTGAAAACAGCATGTATCAGAAGTAGGAGTTTGGGATGGGGACTGTGTGGAGGTGTCCTGTGTAAAGAGTCCAGACAGATAAAGCTGATCGGGAGATCCCTAGACTTGCCCATGAGTGAGGACGTCCTGATATATATATATATATAAATTTCTACAGGTAACCATGGGGCAGACTGGCTTTCCAGGTGCCTGCCAAGGCATCAGACCACCCATAGCTCAGCAAATCCAGCTTTTGAAATTACACAGCTCTGACTTAGTGCTCAACAAGCTACTGCCCAATATCAATTTAGTTTCCTGTGTACATTTGTCTCCTGGGAGGGAATATGCCAATCATCTGAACTTATAATTTGAGTACACTTGAACAAAATCACCAAAGATGGATACATAGGTCAAAGTACCAGAGTGAACTGACCTCTTGAGCTCCATCAACTCTGTGTGCCTTGGATACAATTAGCTTTCTGGGTCTTCAAAACTGATGGTGAAATGTGGTCCTTAGGCAGTCCACAAAAATTCAGCCCTCTCAGAGTTTGGGCCTAGGCTATTAGTCAGCCCTTATCTTTATCTTACACGAAATTGAACACAGAACCTACCACTGTTAAAGATTATCATCCAATCACATGGATATTAAATTTTCATGTTGTATCTAGACCTTTTGGCTCATCTTAGTTCAAATGACAAACCACAGTACCATTTAAACACAATAGGATTTTGATTCTCATGCATAAGTGTTTAGGAAGCAGTGTTTCAATTAGTATCACCAATGAAATTTAAAAGAAACAACTAAAATACATATTTTGCTAATGCTTGTGGTGTATCTGGGAGTTCCTTAAATGCTGTTGACTAGTTTGGAAGACAGTGATTGATGCCCTGATCATGAACCTGGGAACATCAGCAGGGTACTCATGGAGCACCATGCCGAGAGCAGGAGCTCGGGGCTCGGGTGGACCTGGGTCTCATTTCTGGCATATCCTCCTATTCATTGCATGAAATGGACAATGCATGGAGCCTGCCTGAACTTCAGAATCCGTTTTGTAAAGTAAGAATTAAGTACACCTACTTAAAAAGTGAGAAATGATGAGCGTTTCTTGTCTATCAGCAACACTTAAATGGTAACCTGTAAGTCATTGCTCTTTGGAAGACATGATTAAAATTAAGCAGAATAATCACAATAATGATTCCCAAATATTCTGCCCATAAGAGTAACAAAAAATAAATAATAAACACAAAAATTGGTCCTATGATAGCTCTATTCCACAATTCTGTTTGTGTGTGTGTATGTGTGTGTGTGTGTGTGTGATTTTTTCGTTATTGCTGATATCTAACCTGATGCTTCTCAGTTTTATTGGTAAAATCGTGAATGTTTGGTTTAATCTGTTAAAAATCATAAATAGAATTTAAATTCAGGTATTTATCTCTCTGGTTAGTAATTTAGCCGCTTTGAACACTTTATGTTTCTTTGTCATGCTAGGAGGGTAGGTACAGCCTAGAAGAACTCTGCAGAACTCAAGTCTTGGCAGATGTTGGCAGTAGCTTATGACAGTGGATATAACTGCTCCATGTACTAGGATTCAGAAAAGGATGCTTCTAGATCTCTGTCTGCTACTCTTCATGTGAAAATTTAGCCAGTTCCTGGCTATCTCTTCTGTGTCAGACACTGTGTGCACATTTGCTCTCACTCTCGAAGCAACACACAAAATGTATTCTTCCTCCCAGTTTCAAATTACACAACTCCAACAACAGCTAACTAAAGATCAGAGAGGTTAAGCTACTTACCTAAAGACGAACAGTAAAGTCACACACTAGATTCATGTCCATTTTTGACAATCTCAAAGCCCTGTTTCTTTCCATTTCACCATGTTGTCCTTCCTCATCTTTTCTAAGCCCCAGTTTCACCTTTTAAATGCTCTAATACGTGCTCTGCCTACTTCATTAAGCTGTTAAGATCATTCAAGAAGAAAATATGTATTCAAAGGCCTACATTACATAGGGCTATACAACTGTGGAATATTACCATTCTCTAATGAGATTATTAAAATACAATATTTGTAAACTTATGTGTATTAATCAATTCTATGTTGATTGTGGTCATGTTTTAAGAATAAAATCAGAACTGATTTGGAGTGAGGAAAGGAAAGTAATGGAGAAAGAAGTCAACACTTACTGAATACTTGCTAAGTGTTAAGAATGCACCATATTTCACGTAATATAAATATTATATTATTGAGGCTAAATAATTGTCAATACAAGTCTTATGAGATCTTACTTTATTAAAAAGGGGGAGGAAATGAGGATCATATATGAAACAACATCCCTGGTCCAAGTGGCAGAGTCAGGATCCTCACCATTTTGATCAGGCGTCAAATCCTACAGTCTTTCTAAGACAGCACCTGACTCATGGCAAAGTGATCGAGAAACAGAATCCCCTGGTGTTCAGGCCAGAGCTGGCCAGATGGTACAGAAGATTATAAGCACTGGCTTTCAAATGGTCTTGCCTATACAGTCATCTGAGAGGGCTTGTTGGGAATAACAAAGAAATACTACCATTTAGATGGTTGGTGTCAGAGACCACCCAGGAGTGAGTTTAGGGATGAGCTCTGTGAAACTGCAAACTAACACTGTTCACCATTCCAATCAGTCAGCCAGGAAAATCAGTTTCCTTCTGAATTCTGTTACTGACATTAGTGACTGAACAACCTTGCACATATTACTTAGAGAACTCAAGTTCTTCACCTGTAAACCAGGGAAAGTAATAGCCAGCTCTCTAGGTCAGCAGGAGCTGAAGGTAAGTAAATGCCAGTTGCCATTCCTACTTCTCTAGGGCATACTGTATCTTAAGCTTCTTAGAGGATTTCTGAAGCGCTGTCATTTCTCTGGTAGGCCTTCAATTAACCAGCTCTACCATCGTCTTCTTGATATTTGAAATGATTATTCCTGGTGGTTTGGGAGGCCCCTGGAAATCCAAAGAACAACACTATTGAGGAGCTGCGCCACAGTATAGACAGAGACAGCCAGAGAAATAGCCATGTAGGTAATAGACAAGTAATACTCATAACAGAGAAGCCAAATGAGTAACACTGGTGTAAAGTAATAAAAACAGTATTGATAAAAAGTTCAGGCATATCGACACCTTTTAAAATCAAAGTATCCATATTTTGATGATAGTTATTTTCTTTTCTGTCTCATTCCAGTTTGTTTGCTTTATCCAATAAAAGCCTGGTAGAGATGACTCCCGGCACTTTTCAAGAGTAAGAATTTAACCCCAACTTTAACCTCACTTTTGAGCTCCTTACTCTTGTGAGTGGAAGGATGTCTGCGTGATTCCAAAGTCTAAGTCTCCTCTACACCAAAGCAGAAAGAAAATCGTATTACTTTAGAAAATGTTAAAAATATATTTCCACAGGGCTCCAGGAGTTAACTTATACTTTGAATGACCTACTTTGAATGGAGGCTTTCTTTCTAGAGGGCTTACTTAATGAAGGTCAGCCAGGAAAGCCAGCCATGGGGCCTGGTCTTTAGATTTCAGTTGCAAACAGTCGGGGAGTCCAAGCTCCAGGAAAAGAAGATTGAAAACATTTAGTCTTTTAATTTTCTGTGGGTAGGTATCCTGATTCTTTCTCCCAAAAGAATGAAAGGATCTTTAACAATTGAGTTAAGGGCTTTCTTCTTGCTCCTTTGATGCTATATATAAGGCCCAGACTTCCACTTTAGAAACACATTTTTACTTGCTGCTCAGGTCTTTCCTGATGATCATTTATGACAAGGAGATGACCATGAGATCCTCACTCAGAAGAACTGGCCTAATGAGTTTACCTGAACAGCGTGGAGAGCACCAAGGGATCTAGGCTGAGGTGTCCGTCTCCTGTGAGGAGGGGCGGCAGTGCAGAGACCTTGGGGCACTGGAAATTAGTAAGGCGGTGGGTTGAATTCTTCTCGATGCTAAGCAGTGCCCTTCAGCAGAAAACCTCCTGATAGGTCCGTTTTAGACTTGGTTTCCTGTGAAATGCAGCCACAGACCTGAGAGGTCTGACCTGAGGGCTGGCAGGACTTCCTCTTCTTAGGCTGGAGTGCAATACGTGAAGCTTTCAGAGGCTGAAATCTTCCAATGCAAAGGGTGTTTTTAAAGACACACGGTGTCCTTATGTGGCACTTCATAGTTACCAGAACACAATAAAAGGAACTGCTGGGCAACACTCAAGCATGGAAGGTGGGTTTTGCGAGTCTCACTTTATATGAATAGTGGACATTAACTATCATCTTTTGGCTTAATTTTGCAATGGCTTCCTGAGACCATCCCAGACACATGGACCAGGTGTTAAGGAAAGAACCTGGGAACTAAAGGAGAAATGCCTGCCTCTTATTCTTGCTGTATTAATTATTAGCTATAGGATCTTGGGCACTTTGAAGTTTATTTCTCAAGTAGTTTGAGTGATAATAATATTTGTATTTTAGAAACTTTTTTAAAAAATGAGGGATAATTGAGGATTATATTTCCTTCATTGAGGAAATGATATTTCCTCAATTGTGATGGAAGGATAATATTTATATTTTAGAAGTATTTCAATAAATAAACAAAATATTGTAAATAAAGGCATGCAGTAATGTTTGGGCACATATCAGTTGCTTAATACATTTTCTTTCGGCCTTAATCTTGGTCCATTTAAGCTGATCTTGCCGAGTGCCTGTTTCCTCTTCTGGAGACTTGACATTCTAGTTTTATATAAATTGATGTTGAATTCCATAACAAACTCCAACATTATTTACAATAAATTCAAAGGTAGAAGTTTATATTTTCTTGGGTAAATAACTCTGGTTTTGACTTAACAGACACCCCAAGGAAAACATGAAAATAAGCACTCTTTGAATGCTAATTGTGAGTCAGTTACATTGCTAAGCAACTTGCAAGCATTATCCTCCTTAATCTTACTAATAACCATGTAAGGAACATATGTAAAATCCCATTTTGTAATTGTGAAAACTGAAGACTAGGGAGACTCGAGTAGTTTAACCACTTTATTAATTAGCTTTTGCTGCATTAGGGGCTTAAAGCAGTAACCACTTTATTTAGTTCATAATTGTGTGTGTCACTTGCTCACTTCTTTTGGTCTGGACCCATATTAATTTTCTGGGGTTTTCATAACAAAGGACTGAGCCCTGAGTGGCTAACAAAACAGAAGGTCAAATTGTATTGTCTCACAGTCTGGCCTCTGGAAGTCTGAGATCAAGGAGTCGGCAAGGTTGGATCCTCCTGAGAGCCATGAGGAGAAGATCTGTTCCAGGCCTTTATCCCCGGCTTGTGGGTGTCTTTGTATCCTTGTTTTTGTGTTTACATGGCATTCTCCCTGTGTCTTTGTCCAAATTTCCCCTTCTTATCAGGAGAGGAGTCACAGTGAATGATGGCTCACCCTAATTACCCAATTTTAACTTGATTACCTCTTTAAAGACCCAGTCTCCATGTCAGAAGGCATTCCAAGGTAGTGGGGGGTTAGGACTTTAACAAATGAATTTTAGCTGGGACGTATTCGACCCATAACAAGACCTGATCATCTGGTCTGTGCTAGTGGGTTGAGAGGCAGTTGGATGATCTAAGATTATCACACTCATGAATCTGTTTGTTGGCAATCATGTCAGCCAGGTGCCTCTGTTCTCCTCTGCATAGCTTCCTGTTATCTAGTGGCCAGCTAGGCCCATGTACACGGTGGGTTTGGGGCACTAAGGGCAGTGGGAGAGGGGAAACTCCAGCCTCCAGCCTTTTCCAGGCCTCTGCTTGCATCCTAGATGCCATGGTCCCATTGGCCAAAGCAAGTCACATGGCCAAGTTCAGAGTAAATGTGGGAGAAGACTATTCAAGGGGTGAATGAAGAAAAGTGAATTATTGTGGTCTTCATTGGCAAATAATCTAAAAATGCATGTTCACATCCAATTGGTGGCTAGACTGCAATAAGAACCCAAGTCTAATGATATGAATATTTCTGCTTTTTACTCATGAAGAATTGAAGACAATTTGGTTTAATGAGAAAGCTGATAATAGTGTAGGTGATATTTAAAGCTTTTTTTCTTGGAATATCATTCATTAATTTATTATCTATTGAATATATACCATGCATCAGCAGCTCTATTAGGTGCTGAAAAATACAATTAGATAAGAGATATACCTACTCCTTTGATGGAGCTTACAGCCTAGAAGAGGTGAAAATAAATGAATGGACTTCAGATATATATAAAACTACAATTTGTGGTAAATGCAATGAATAGTGCCTGATCAGACATGTATTGATTTAACAAATAGATATTTACATCCTCTACCTACTACTATCAGCCACTGGGCAAGCTGTGGGGATATAGAGGTGAAAAAAAAAAAAAACTTGTCCCTACCTTCATGGAGTTTCGAATCTAATATAATAGAGAGGTATTGAACAAGAAATCAACCATCAAGATGATGTATTCAGAGACAGGAACAAAGAGGGCTCTGAAACAAATAGGAGGCGAATGTGTTCTACTCTGTGAATTCAGACCAGATTTCCTCTGGGGAAGTGACAAGAGATCTGAGGTGTTGACAATAGGTAGAAATTTGCTGGAGCAGAAATGGAGAAAAAAGAGGAGGGAAGAGGAGAGAAGGAAGGAAGGAAGAAACAAAAGAAGGCTTCTAAGAAAGAAAGAAGCAGGAAAGGGAAGAGGAGGGAGGGGAGAAGGGAAGGAGTAAAGGAGGTGTCCGGGATCACATTCAAGGCCAAAGATATTGTCAATCTGGATGCCTGGGTGGGAAAAACAGCATAGCTCACTAGAGGAGCCTATACAGCGAAAGGTGGCTAGCATGGAGAGGGAGCAAGGAAGAGCGTGACACAGAAGCAACAAAAGAGGCTCAATCTCAGGCCAGCTGCAAATTCCAACCTGCATGTTCTTGCTTCCTGTCTCACATTCCACAGTTAGAGGGACTCCCTTGCGTTCATCTTCTCTTTGGGTGATAATTCATTTTGTGTTCATTGCTTCACGAGTTCTTGCCTCTTATCCCCCATATCCCTCTTGCATAGTTTATTGGGTTCATGGATCCTGAGTCTTAACAAGAAGTATAAATCCAGAGAAGTTTGGGTTTTGCCAACTAGGTTACAGTTATCCAGATGTATCACACAGTGGCTGCCTAGATCTGGGCAAGGAATTTGACTGTTCTGGGAGCCATATGTAACTTGAGGATGATAATACTTACTCAGAGGAGTGGCTATTAGGATAAAATTACTTACCTCCTGCAATGGGCTAGCATGTGCCTGGCTATAATTAGCATTAGCCCGCTTGGCTTTTGTTGGGCCTGTCTCACAGTGCCACTGAAGTGTAGTATGGGACCACCAGAAATATTGAGTTGTGGGTAAGTGATTTAATAGCGGATGTGCGGTGTGTGTAGAGCTAAATCTATGTTCAAATGGGACATTTCTGAGTCAGTGCTTGACCTAGTGATTCTGTCAAGTTTTCACTTTCTGAATAGTCTACTCAAGGCATGAAACTCTTGGGTAGATCATGTGGAAGAATTACAGGGAGAAAAAAAACAGGGGGAAAAACCCAAAGAGAACTTCTAAGGTCAATCATATTCAAGGAGGACCATGGTGCCTGGATGGCTGGGAAAGAGCTTTTCCTGGTTCTTGCATGGCCTGCTGGGAGGCTAATTTGCAAGGCTGTCAAGTTTTGGAGTTTCACTGGCTTAGGTCAAATCCCACCCAGTTACACTAATTGGATAAATGTAGATGAGTTATATAACCTGACTGATTCTCTCCTTTCTCCCCTTTAAAAAGAGGTATACTACTACTAACCTCTTGGCATTGTTAATGTATAAAATGATAAAATTCTCTTGCAAATACAGGCAGGTAAGAATACACAGGTGTAACACATCTGTTAACAACCTGAAATCTATTCAAAGAGAAGATGTTTAAAATTTTTTTGAGCTTCGGCTATGCATTTAGTGCACATGAAAAGAAACTGACATTTTTATCTCTGCTTTAAATATCATTTTATTATTTTAACCTTTTAATTTTGAAACAATTATAGACTCACAAGAAAGAAAAAAATAGTACAGAAGAGTCCTATGTAGCACCTATCACCCAGTTTCCCCCCGAGAAACAGATTTCTTATGAATAAACATTTTGTGCAGAAACAGATTTGATTCTTAATTCACTTCCTCTTTCTAAAATTGAGGCAACGTGCTGGGGGAAAAATAAAAGATGGCAAAACCTTACCTAACCTTACCACTTTCTCGCTGTTTTTGCTATCTAAGGTTTCTTTTCCTTTCTTTCTTTCTTTTTTTTTTTCGGGGGCGACGAGGTCTTACTCTGTCACCCAGACTGAGTGCAGTGATGCTATCATAGGTCACTGCAGCCTTGAACTCCTGGGCTCAAGTGATTCTCCTGCATCAGCCTCCTGAGTAGTTGGGACTGCAGGCACAAGACACTGTACCAGGCTAACTTTCTTTAGTTTTGTAGAGATGGGATCTCCCTATGTTGACTAGACTGGTCTCAAACTCCTGGTCTCAAGCAATCCTCCCATTTAGGCCTCCTAAAGTGCTGGGGTTACAGGCGTGAGCCACTACACCCTGTCCTTTTTTGAAATGTTTCCAACAAGACAAATTTAAATGAAGAAAGAAGTCTTTGGTTTGGGTAAACACCCTGACACTATTCGGTGTTTGGTTTCATCCCTTCAGCTGGTCGTGACTGCCAAGTTCAGGCTCCTGTCAGGCAGCTGGTCTCAGGTGGTATCAAGGCCTGGAGTAGCACCTTGCAACTTACACAAACATAGACCCTCAAAACACAAAACAGAACTATTGAACACAACCAAAGAAGGGTGTGTTGTTTGTTTTAAAAATTCCTAGTTCAGAGTGCTATCTCCTGCAATGGATCAAAACCCATGCATTTTTTTTTTTTTTTTTACAAATTGTGTGAGTGGAAACCTGTGTTAATTAGTGCCAGCATCTCTGATTTATTACAGTTTAGCACCTGTTTACATTGGTGCCTTGGGCAGTTTGACTCCAGGCCCTTGAGAGGAGATCAGCTCACACTAATTGCTGTTCCCTCTCATCTCATAGCCTGTCTCCTTCAGGACACATGCTATGAGCCTCCCCACAATTAGCTGTGATTTCTGTTTCACAACGTGCTAAAACTTTTGAAAGTGGAATCTCCATGTGAGCTGAAGTCATGTCCTCTGCTGGATTTCAGACGCGCTGAATTTAAACTGCCATGGTCTATGGCATGAGTTAGACAATTTTCATGGCTGCTAAGAAATAACTCCCTGGTCAACACCTCAGTAAATAAACACGGTTGGCATTCAAACACATCTGGTCAAGTCCGGGAACTATGTTGGGGTGGGAGTGTTCCTACTTTACTCTCTCTAGCAAGGCCCTGCTTCCTGGCCCAACCACCCTGACTAAACCATCCCACAGGACAGAAGAACCCAACATGGGTAAATCCAGGGCTCAGTATAAGAGCTCATCCGGCAGAGGCAAAGGGGCATTTTGAGGATAACACGGTTTCTGACTTTGTATTGATTTCCTAGCCTCGTTTTGTTGCATTCGTGTCTAAGTTCTTTGGAAACCACAGAAGCAGAAGTGGTATGTGAATGTAGAAAGAGCTGTTTTTGAAAATCTCTGGCATGGTTTCTTTACCTCTCCCAATTCTTCTTTAAAAAAAGATAGAAGTTTATCAATTAATAAATATCCATTAATTACAAATTCATTGCTGAGCTCACACTACTTTTCCCCAGAAGGACCTCATGAGGCTAACATTAATTAAGACCTCAATATATGCTATAATTGTGCTAGGCACTTTGCATAAATGCATAATTTAATCATTACAATAACGCCTCTGTGTTAGTATCATTATCGCTGTTATACTTTTGACTATACCAGTCTCGGAGTCACCAAGTTCTCACAACACTGGTGAGAGATTCATTCATGTCCCACTGTCTCCATGAGTCCCCTTTCAGCTTTGGCACCATAAGGGCTCTCAGAACATTGGTAGCTCTGTTCTACGGAGGCCATGGGAGCAGGTAGAGGCAGAGGCTACTGTACCTGGTGAAACACCAGTAATAAATAAATGTGTAAGAGAAAGTGCAGTGCAACAAAAGAATGAAACAGGATAATGAAATGAAGAGTGTGGGGTGGGAACTTTATATATGGAGGTCTAAGTCTGCATCTCTGCAGAGGTGAAGTTTGAGCTGAGGTCTAAGTAATGAAAAAGACCCAGCCACGTGAAGCTCTGGAGGGGAGAGATTTCCAAGTAGAGGAAACCCATGAGAAGTTCCAAGGAAGAATTAGCTTTGGGGGTCTAATATGCATTAATAGGTATTGGGATATACATATATATAAGTTTTAATATGTATTGGGGTATACATAATATGTATAATATGGGGGCATAATATGTATTAATAAATTACAAACTCCTTGAGGGTGGCCACAGTTATTTCTCATCTTGGAATCCATTGCAATACTAAGGACCCACCTTGTATCACCCAGCAATAGTTGAACTGAAATGATGATAGTCTAATCCTCACATTTTCAAATGAGAAGGTGGAGTCCTAACTAGGTGAAGTGACTGGCCACCAAGGTGAGTAGGGAAAAGAACCAAGACAGAGACGTAAGTTCCAAATCTTTTTCCAGCTCAGCATAGCTATGTTTCTCAATTCTACATTTAAATGGCATCCATTGCTAGCAATTTATCTTGAGCAGAGCCTTGTTTAGACAAATCTGGCTGGGAGTGTGACATTATCCATAACAGCAAAAAAAAAAAACTGCTTTGGGTTATTTGCCGGATACTTTTCCCCAAGGTTAAAAACACTGTAGTATTTTTAAATCATGCTGGCAAAATTATTCCCTGTGCAGAGGCTAAATTGTTTCCAGGGTCTCCAAATTGGCAGGACAAAGGGCCCCATACCATCTGTCCTCAAACTGGTTGAATTTAGGCCTTGAAGCAAGAATCAGATTAGGAAAGAAAAAAACAGCATGAAACACCGCCGAGGAATCTCTTGATGAGCTTCTTATTAGTACATGTGATTATTAATCTATGGGTGGGACAAGGAGACTCCTAGAATAGAAGATAAGAGAAATGAAGCCAATTTCAACACTTGAAATAAAATTAGATCTTTGACTTTTTTACAGGGACAGGACTTTTCAACTTTCTCATTCTCTCTCCCTGCCTCTCTCTTTTTAAATGTTTTTTTTTTCTTTTCTTTTCTAGAAAGAATGAGAAAGGAACCAGAATCACTTCCCTCTCTTTAAGGCAAGTAGAAATAATAATAGCTGGTATAAATAGAGTAACTGACGCTTTTTCCAACATTTTCCTGTACTTTGTTTTCCTTTATTTGAAGTTTAGTCTACAATGTACAAACTCCTCAGCATAATGTTTTGAGACACAAAGAGGTTAAGTTCCAAGTCGTGCCTGGATCCTACAGCTCATAAACTACTGGGCAAGGACAGGCTCAGATCTTTAACCCTCAGATCACTTGCCCTTGCCAGTATTTTAACAGAGATATAGCAAAGTTGAAAGTGAGGGCCGCATTCACAGGCAGCAGTTGGTGATCCCGTGACTCAGGTTCTAAGCCTGAACTTCTTTGCACAGCTTCATGGTCTCCTTGAACGCGAACGCTCTGAGACTGGGGTTTTGAGTGGCAACGTGGCTCCCTAATGGTCAGATCCACTCATGGAAAATTCTCAAAATATTTTATGACAGACTAAGATCCTAAGAAGGAGATTATACAAATGCAAAATGTGGAGGAAAGAATTCTAAGGCACAATAATGAGAAAACAAGGAAACGTTTTCAAAATGCATGCTACGTGAGAGTGGGGTTTTGTCTCACTTGAAATCTAACATGTAGAATATTCTCAGCCACATAGTAGGTGCTCAGTGAATATTAATAAAGGAATGATAAAACCTCCGTGAGGCTTGGGATTTATCTGTATTGTTTATGCTCTCCTCCCAGCACCTACAAGAGCACTTGCTCAGCCTTGTAGATTAGCAGATGGAAAAGAGGAAAAGAAAGGGTTAAACAGACTTCCCAATTTATGCCATATAATTTGACCATTAAGCCAAACTGGTCCATACTAAGTCTTAGATCAAGGTATGGCTCCTGCATTGAGAGATTGTTTTATGTGGATTGAGCATGTATGCTGATCAATCTGGGGACATAATTTTCATGATAGGCTGGTTAGTGTATCTGTAACGCACTTCAGCTGGGGAAGAAGCACTGATTCTGGGCCATTCGGGAACCAGCTGGACTTGCAAGATAGCTGTTTTATTTGGTTATCCTTGAGCCTTGTATAAGGAGCCTGGTAACAATGAATGTAAAAGGGATTCTTAGGTGTAAAAGCAATGTGAAGTGATTCTGATGTTGCTGATGGGAGAAAAGACTCTCCTAAAGAAATATGTTGGAGTCTTAACTCCCAGTTACATTAGAATGTGACCTTATTTGGAAAAAGGGTCTTTGCAGATGTAATCAAGTTAAGATGAAATCACTGGGGTAGTCCTTAGCCAAGATAACTCGCACCCTTAAAAAAGAAGAGAGCTGTACAGAAAAGAGAACCCCATTTGAAGAAACAGAGACACACAGGGAGAAGACAGCCATGGGAAGACAGAGGCAGATATTGGAGGTATGTGGCCACAAGCCAAGGAATGCCTAGGGCTGCCAGAAGCTGAAAGGGGCAAGGAAGTGTCCTCCCCTAGATGCTTGGGAGGGAGCACAGCCCTGCCCACACCTTGATTTAGGACTCTGGCCTCCAGAACCCTGAGAGGACTCACTTCTGTTGTTGTAAACCACCCAGTTGGTGGCACTTGTTCCAGCAGCCCTAAGTGCCTGATACAGAGCCATACATTTACAACTCTGATGCATCATTGCTTTGAAAATTCCTATAGAAAAACAACATTTATGCCTGAAGAGTACACATTTCTAGTTCCCTATCCCTTTTAATCCACAGTGAAACAATTGTTTTTAATAAATGTGATCTCAAATTAAGGATCTGAGATTTCTTAGGGATGCATATGGACCATAACCATGTGTTGCAGAGTGAGGAGATCGCAGTTTGAAACCATTTTGCAGCTCCAGTGGCCAGAAATCCTATGAATAGCAGCTATAATTTGTTTAAATAGCACTTGAGATAATGCAGTCAAATATTCTAGGCTTTTCAACAAAAAGACTGTCGTATCTTCTGGAGATGGTGTACCAGCTTCTTCAGCGTTTGCTATTGGTGGTGGTAGAGGCGAGGAAACCATTCCTAGGCCCTGTCCCTAAATCACCCCTGAGGATCCTACAATTGCCACGTCAGTCTTTTCAGCAGCAGAAGCACCAATGACATAAGTACAGCCAAATATACCGCCTCTTTTGCTGATTCATACTAGATTCCCAAATTCTATTTAATTTCTATCCGGCCAGGTGGGACCAAGTATGGGCCTTCAGCTTAGTATTCACACCTTTAGACACCTTGAGCCTGAAGGTAAGGAACAAGGGCACTCACACACAGTGGCTGGGGATGGGCTTAGACCCAGGAACTGTGCATGCACAGTCATGCACTGCCTAAGGCTGTTTTAGTCAATGATGGACTGTATATACAACGAAGGTCCCACAAAGTTATAACACCATAATTTTACTGTACCTTTTTCATGTTGGATAAGTTTAGATACACGAATACTATTATGTTGTGATTTCCTACCATATCCAGTGCAGTAACATGCTGTACAGGTTTGTAGCCTAGGAACAATAAACTATACCATATAATCTAGTTGTGCAGGAGGCTATTGTTTCCTAGGTTTGTGTAAATACACTCTACAATGTTTGCACAACTATGAAATCACCTAACGATGCATTTCTTAGAACTCACCCGAGTCACTTAGTGACTCATGACTGTATTATGTTATGGTGGTATATACTACCAACATTTCTCAGGGTGGGCATGATTTCCATTTAAAAAGAAGGAGATCATGCAGCATTTGTCCTTCTGTACCTGGCTTATTTCACTTAGCCTTATGTCCTCCAGCTTCACTCATGTTGTTGCAAAGATAGAATGTTCTTTTCTAACCCTAAATAGTGTTCCATTTATCCATTTATCTGTTGATGGGCAGTCAAGTTATTTCCATATCTTGCCTACTGTGAATAATCATGCAATGAACTCACGGAAGTAGAGAGTAGCATGGTGATTGACAGAGGCCTGGCAGGGATGGAGGAGTGGACTGGGAAAGGGGAGATATTGATCACAGGATACAAAGTTTCAGTTAGACAGGAGGAGTCAGTTCTAGTAAGCATGATAACTATAGTTAAGAGTAATGTATTGTATATTTCAAAATTGCTAACAGAATACATTCTAAATGTTTCCATCACAAAGAAAGGATAAGTATGTGAGTTGATGGATTTGTTAATTTGCATGATTTAATCATTCCACAATGTATACATGTGCCATAACCTCACATTGTACTCCTTAAATATATGGACAATTATTATTTAATTGAGAATTATTATTTCTCAATTTATAATTTAGTTGACAATTATTATTTGTCAACTAAAAATAAAAAATGAATAAAAGGAAGGAGATTGAAGCTGTGAAAGCTTGAATGTTATAAAATCAGAAAGCAGCTGGGTCTGTGCTTTAACTAGCTCATCCCTGGCCAACTCCAAGCCCTTCCATGCTTCTCCTTTTCTCTCAAGCTAAACTCAGTGGCCCTCTCTGTGCCTGCTTCTCTTTAACCCTGTCCTGGCCCGTCAGGGCCTCCCAGATCTTATGATAACAGAAGCAAGTTATGAGAAGGGGGATGAAACCCTCTCTTCTGAGTCATATTCTTGGAGTTTGCTTCCATATCCCCACAGCCTGGTCAAGGTCAGCTTTCCAAGTACATGGTGCACCAGGCTATTTTGTACAGAGGTAAGCATAATGAAGACGGAAGAGGAGAGGCATTTCCAGCTCAGAGTTTCATTTATTACCCCTATAGAGCATTCAATTCCCCTGCCTTGTCTTTGAGAATCTCATCTTGTCCTCGATCACAATTAGAGCTTTTTTTTTTTTTTGACAGGGTCTTGCTCTGTTGCCCAGGCTGGAGTGCACTGGTGTGATCTTTGCTCACTGCAACCTCTGCCTCCCGGGTTCAAGCAACTCTCCTGCCTCAGCCTCCCGAGTAGCTGGGATTACAGGTGCCTACCACCCTGCCTGGTAAATTTTTGTATTTTTAGTAGAGATGGGGTTTCACCCTGTTGGCCGGGCTAGTCTCAAACTCCTGACCTCAGTTGATCCACCCACCTCGGCCTCCCAAAGTGCTGGGATTATAGGCTTGAGCCACTGCACCCAGCCCAGAGCTTCTTATCTAAGTAGATGGCGTGAGGATGAGGTTGAGTCTGGAATCTGTATCAGATGGGTCTCGTGTGCCACCACAGGTCTTTTTTGGCCTTGCCGTTCTTTGGTCCTAGGTCATCTGTTTAGACCTAGCTCTGGCTACAGACACACTCAACATGGGCTTCATCTGCCCCCTTTGCTGCATCTGCTCCATGTCTACTTTGCAACCTGCCAGCACCCAGCCTGATGTCTACGCCTTAAGCTTCCTGCTGCAGCACTGAGCAACCCAATTGCTGCTAAGGCATGAGATGCTTTAGGGCTTGCTTGCGGCTCATGCACCAACCACACGGCAGTCTAGGGGAGCTGAAACTCTGTGGGTTTTAACATTGGAAGATGTAAGCTGGCAATAAACTCTTTGCCCTTTTGTCCTCCAGAGAAACTCCTCAGGACACAGTGGGCTGTAAGGGCTGTAGGAGAAGAGCACCACAAGAAAGTGAAATGGAACACTCCTTGGGCATGATACAAAGCACTCAATAGCCGAAAGTCTTCTCCTCCTGTTGGCTCTCCTTCCCAGCCTGCCACTTTCCCATTTGCCCTCATTCCAGCCTCCCTAGGATTGCCTTCTCAAATGAAGTAGTCAATCATAAATGCTTTAGGTTCTGTTTTCTGGGAAACCCATGTCAAGGCAAGCTCCCTCTAAGATTGAGTTTACAGTGTTCTCTCTGGATCAATCAGGATATTTGTTAAAAATGCAGATTCCAGGGCCCTTCCCCAGATCACTGATTAAAATCTTTGGATTTCAAATGCAGGACTGTGCATTCTAAACAAATTCTCCTGGTGATTCTTATGCACATTATAGTCTGAGAACATGCAGTCTAGATAATCAATTTTTGGTGTCCTCTTTCTTGGAACAATTGAAAGATCTCCAGCTATGAATAGCAAACCCAACTGTCACCCCTCAACCTTTCTACATTTTCTGCCACAGGTGAATGGTTCCAGACACTCATGATTGCAAAATAAATATTAAAATCCCTTCATAAAAGTCAGTTGTGCACCTGGACTCAGGGTTACCATGGAGATTCAAGGCAGCAATCTCACTGACACTGGATCCGTGCCTTCTCTCACCCCAAAGTTACCTATGAGGAATTCCTGAGTTTTACTGTGGTTCATTTAACATCCGGAGTTCAGAGACATGAATACTTGAGCAGGCCGGGGCTTCGTGAGAACTAAAGCAATGTTAGAAGAGCCCGCATGACTGCCTTAATGAGGAAGACTCTGCTGGAACTGGGGTCAGGGTCTCCAGGAAATTCCAGTCCATCATCTCCCTTGGTGAGCAAAAGAAGCCACTGGTGGTCCTTGCAAGTAGAAGTGCAATGAAAACAGGATTATGGCGATGGATGACAGTGTGAGAGAGAAAAGAATTATCACCTTCTTCCCCTTTCCCAAATAATTCATTCTCTAAGTTCAGCAGTCCAACAAGAATGGCTTCTCATGCCAGAGTAGACTCTTCTTGTATTTAGGACGGCCACTGGGTGTGTAGAGAATAAATTTGCTTTTAATTTTCTGTCTGCTAGCTCCTCCTTGGTGAAGCTGCCTACTGGTTCCCAAACCTAAATTGGCTCTTCACTCTCCTGGGAACATTGAACTGTAACCAATCCTTCTACATTTTGATCTACTCATTCGAACAATAGCCACCTTGCCTTTGCTTTTTTGAATTGTGAGAATAAAACGAGGCTCATCAAAGAATCATGACATATAATATGAATCCAAGAAATTGTAGATACTAATCTTCATCCTCTCCATCATCATGATCATCAAACAGAACCATGAAGACCAGAACAGGATATATGTCTATGGAAGTGCTGACCGTTTTGTGTTAATTTCTGTAACATAAGTAGGTATGTGGGGGTAAAAGCTGCAATAAGCAGATTGTAGTTCGGAATTAAGACCTTTATGAGAGGTGAACATCCATGAACTATTAACTCAGGAGGTGGTTTGTAAATTCCTTGTCTATATAGTCATGTGTCTGTAAATTGGAAGCCTCTGGTGGTGAGAGTGGTGTCATTGGTGGTGGTGATTTTACACTAGATAACATTAAAGACAATTTTCAAACTAGCAATTATAGGGTTTTATTAAACATTATTCTTAATACATTTATAAACATGGTTAAGTTTACAGGAACACTCTGAGGGCAAGGTCCATACTATAGTTGAATCTTTGACCCTTGTACCTGGTGAAATACCCATGCCATTATTACGCCCTTAGTAAATGTTAATTGCTAAGTGAGTACATAAATAAATAAATGGGTGACTACTGGAATAATAAAATGTGACAATATATATAAAACAGGTTTGTTCATATTTCTGAAAATCTGTGAAGCTAATTTTGTTCTTGGTGCTCTCTGCTTTTTCCTTTCATGCTCAGATCCACCTGTCCCTTCTGTCTCTTGATAGAGCTCCTTCCAAAATTCTCACATTTCTCAGATATTTTCACCCCCCAACCAAAATCTTCAAGGAAAGGTCAGGGAACATCTTTCAACTTAAGTAGTGAAAGAGCTCTTGTGAACCCTAATTGCAGCAGTTAGTTTTATGTGTCAACTTGACTGGGCCATGAGGTGCCCAGATATTGGGCCAAACTATATTCTGGGGATTACTGTGCAGGTGTTTCTGAATGAGATTAACATGTGAGTGAGTAAAGCAGATTGCTCTCCCTGCTGCAGGTGGGTAGGTCTCATCTGATCGACTGAACACCTAAACAGAACAAGATGGCTGAGTAGGAGGGAACTCTTTTTGTCATGGCGGCTTGAGTGGGGACATTGGTCTTTTCCAGCCTTCAGACTCAGACTTAAAGTTGACTCTTTCTTGGTCTCAAGGGTGCCAACTTTTGAACTAGCACTTACACCATTGGCTTTCCCAGTTTTCATACCTTTGAACACACACTGGAACTACACGTCAGGTTTCCTGGGTCTCTAGCTTGCTGATGGCAGATCCTAGAACTTTCTCAGCCTCCATGATCGTATGAGCCAATTCCTTACGTTTCTTTCTCTCTCTCTCTGTCTCTTAAACACACACATACACACCACATATGTGTGTGTATACACACACATACACACCACGTATGTGTGTATACACACACACACACCACATACGTGTATACACACACACACCACATACGTGTATACACACACACCACATACGTGTGTGTATACACACACACACACACAGTCATCCTTCCTATTTGTGAGGATTGGATATAAAAACCCATGGATGTTCAAGTCCCTTACATAAAATGACATTGTATTTGTATATAACCTATGTACATCCTCTCTGTCTCTCTCTCTCTCTCTCTCTCTCTCTCTATATATATATATATATATTTTTTTTTTTTTTTTTCTGAGACGGTTTTGCTCTTGTTGCCCAGGCTGGAGCACAGTGGCACCATGTCAGCTCACTGAAACTTCCACCTCCCAGGTTCAAGCAATTGTCCTGCCTCAGCCTCCAAAGTAGCTGGGATTACAGCTGCCTGCCACCACACCCTGCTAATTTTTGTATTTTTTAGTAGAGATAGGGTTTCACCATGTGGGCCAGGCTGCTCTTGAACTCCTGACCTCAGATGATCCATCCGCCTCAGCCTCCCAAAGTGCTAGAATTATAGGCATGAGCCACGGCACCCCGCCACTCCATATATTTTAAATCAGCTCTAGATTACTTATAATACTTAATACAATATCAATGCTATGTACATAGTTCTTATACTGTATTTTTATTGGTATTATTTTTCATTGTTGTACTGTTATTTTCCTCTAATATTTTTTAATCTGTGGTTGGTTGAAACTTGTGGATATAAAGGACTGACTGTGTGTGCATATGTGTGTGTGTGTGTGTGTGTGTATATATATATTTCCTATTGGCTCTGTTTGTGTGGAGAACCCTGATACACTCATGAAGTTTTTGCATTTCAATAGAAATCAGAGAAGAAACAGGTTTCACAAAGGGAAGAATGGCTAGCTATGGAATAAGGCATAATGAGATGAAGAAGATGCTGACTTTGGGGGTAAAGAAACTGAGAATTACAATTAGGATAAATGAAATAGGCTACATAGTACATCCAATATTAGAATTATTCAGTAAATGCTTTGGGAGCGATATGATTATTTTACAAGAAACTGAAGGTCATTGTGGTTACAACAATAGCTAGCAGGAGGAACGTGAACCTTGGAATCAAAGCCTGTCTAACTCCAAAGCCAAATATATATCCAGGCTGACTTTACAGAGATGTTGGAATTATTTATTATTTTGCAAGACAGACTTAGGTGGGTTGTTATTATACATTCACAGGGGTTCACAGTTTCCAAAAATCTTTACCTCATTCAAATCTCAGAACCCAACTTGTGATGTAGGTGACATTTATAATTTTACAGATAAGGCAGATAAGGAAACTCAACACATAGAAAAGAGAAGGATTTCTTAGTTATGCAGCTCAAATGCAGTGGTCGTGCTGGAGCTCAGGCCTCAGGACTCTAAGCCACGTGACCCTTTATTTGGTGCAGGTGGGTCGTAAAGGAGTTTACATTCTTCTGTAAGCTGCTAACAAGCATGGGTGGGGAAAATTACCTATAAAAATCCCTATGTCTTTCATACAATGAAAGAAACATGGTTTTGTGTAAACAATGGCAAACTAATACACAAGTGCCGTTGTGAAATGACAATATTGATTATATATATGTACATCTTATACATGTACAAAATGATGCACATATAATTACACAGATGTTTTGTATTCAAAAATAAAATTAGTCAACTGTTTCACTGCTTGAAACATTTCAGCAAATTGTTACGACTAAATTGCTGGAAAATCGTGATCACCGTCTGCACCCGTAAAAGCTTTTACCAGCTCTCTAACTTTTGCTTAGTCAAATATCTCTAAGCCCTCAACTTCTTCTTCCAATTCTTCCATAAAGATGTCCATGGAGCTATCACCATCCAACCTTCCTAGCCATGAATGAGATATAGCTGTTTCATTTGTTTGTCAATATTTTGACAAGGAAATACTTAAACTCATGCTACAGATTTTGCAAGCAGACATTGTCAATTTCAGGCTTGGTTGCATCTATTGCCTGTGAATGTAAAATGAAATCTCCCGCTTAAAAGTATTGTCTTCCTTGCCTCTCTCTTAGCCAGTGTGGTTGAAGGTCCCCCATGAAACATATGTGTCCTGACCCCCCTTTATCAGACTGTGTGTGCGAGACCACAGCTGAAAGCCAGCATTATTTGCTGCTACTGCAAACCTTCACTGAATTCCTAGCCCTTGCCATGTCCTGTGCTAGACTCTGGGAGGAAAAATAAAACGCAGTCCCCTTTCTCAAGGAGCCTGTTGTGCTGTGAGATACTGAAAATAAATAGGCAAGTTGTTAGGTGAATGGAAGTGCAGAGATATGCATAAGGAGCTGGGAAGGAACCTGATAATATGCAGGAACTGATCCTAAGAAACACTTAAACAGTGCTTGCCACACGCCACCATAGAAAAGGCTTCACATTTATTAGCTCATTTGATCCTTACAATTACTCTGTGAGGTAGATGAATGATCCCCAATTTATAGACGGGAAAACTGAGGCACAGAAAGGTGAGGTGATATGGGGTCGCCAAACAAGTACAAGTACTTCTACTTAAAGTGAAATCCAGGTAGACAGACTCCAGAGTTCATACTCTTAAGAGGAATCCCACACCATCTCAGTAGTGGTCAGTGGGAGAAAGCGTGGTTAGGCAGCAAGAGGAAGTGGGAAGCACATTCCATGCAGAGACAGCTGCCTATTCAGAGGCAAAGGCACTGAGAAGACATGGCAGGGGTGCAGATTTTCCGCTTGGCACACAGGTGTGAAGACACGAGAACCAAGAGGTGAGGCTAGACAGGTCAGCATATTTACCATGCTCCTTGCATGTAAAGACGTCCCTAGTTTATTCTGAAGACAATGAGAAGCCATTGAAGATGTTTTACATACAGGAATGGCATGATCTAATTTCCATTTTCCATGAGGTCATTTGCAGGAGCAGATTTGTGGGTAAAGACCTGAAGCAAGGAAGGAAACAAGCTGAGAGGCTCTCACAGGTGTCCAGATACTAAGGGAAGAAAGGACGTTGCAGGCAGGAAGAACACTCAGCTGGGAAATATGCACAAAGTAGACTTGAAAAAAATGGGCCATAAAGTGAAGAAGAGGAGAGTGCTGAGGACTATGGCCAGTTTAGATGGGCTGAAGGAAACACCTAAGATCAAGCAGGGAGGAGGAAGTTAGTCAGTCCTATTTTGGATATTTAGGACTGGAGCTACTTAGGAGATCTGCCGAGAATGATGCATGCACATCACAGGATGGATAGAGAAAGAAGTGCTGACAGGCAGCAAATCTGGGTAGAAGCACTAACTAAGAGCATCTTACAGCTGTGCTTATAGAATAGTGACATGTATATTTGACTATTTCTCAGGAAAGAGCATTCTGGAGGAGGTAGTCGCGCAGTCCAAGTCCTCCAGATGCCATTTTCTTGCACTACCATTTCTTGGATAGGAGTCTGGAATTCTGTCTCTAGTCAGGCTTACTCCTAAGTTGTAGAAGTTATCAGCCTTAAATGAATTACCATTTATGAAACACCTAGAATACTGCCTGGAACTTGCAAGTGCTTATTAAACAAGTAAAATAAGCAGATGGACCCCCATTGAGATAAGAGCTGCACTTTCCCTTCTCACTTGATTTATGCTGGTCTTGGGTAGAAGAACAGAGGGAGAAATCTGAGGAGCCAGCACCTTAGAAACGGCCAAGGATGACTGTGAGAAGGACCACTAAGAGACGAAGAGGAACTCCAGTGGAAGTGTATGTCATATGAGGTGCGTTTCTTTATGGAGGTGGCATCAACAGGGCAGCATTCAGCGCAGAGGACAATTAAGTTAAAAATAAAAACTGATCAATTAGATGTAGTATGCACCCCAAAGATGAGAGTAGGCATGGGGGGCTTTGTGGGATTGTTAGTGATAACAGTCTAAATGTCTAATTTTTAGACCTATTGGGTTCAGCTTTGAACCTGGAGTCACAGGCTAACTACACTAACGTAGTTATGAACACTAAAGAACACTAACTACAGTGTTCATTCAGATGCCAGGAATCGGCTACTTTTTGTTTAAGTGACTCAATAACCATTTGTTGAGTACATAATATGTGACCAATACTGAGTCAACTGGTAGAAGAAACAGAAGAAAACACATTTCTCAGGAGAAACACGTTTTGGGGGTTGTTTAATGTCTAGGCACGACTTGCCTGCACCCTCTGCTATGTGCTCCTGGGTTTCTTGTCTCAAAGCCATTTGTTTGCTGGATTCTGCATTCCTTAGTATAACCGAGAGGTACAGAAACTGTCTCACTGTAAGCTCTTAGAGAGCAGAATCTTTTCTGGGTCTATACAGTCATGTGTCACTTAATAAGGGGGATATATTCTGAGAAATGTGTCATTAGGCGATTTTGTAGTTATGCAAACATCATGAAGTTTACATATACAAACCTAGTTGGTATAGCCTACTACACACCTAGGCATATATAGAGTATAGCCTATTGTTCCTAGGCAACAAATATGTATAGCATGTTACTATACTGAACACTGGAGGAAATTGTAACACAATAGTAAATATTTTTGTATCTGAACATATTTAAACACAGAAAAGGTACAGTAATAATACAGTATTATAACCTTATGGGACCACTGTTGTATATGCAGTCTGTTGTTGACCAAAATGTCATGTGGTGCATGATGTATTTCATTATATCCTGAGCACCTGTCACATAAACACAGACAGAATAATAATCACATTTTCAGTAAGTGCTATGAAGAAATAGTACAATATTATTTGAGAGTGTATGGTGGTGGAGGGGATCTTATTTAAAATAAGGGGTTGGCCAGGGAAAACCTCTCTGATAAAGTAATAATTTGAGATTTGCAAGAATGGTAAGTAGCTAAAGAAGGGAGGAAAAAAGAACATTCTAGAGAGAGAAAAAAAGAGAGGAGGAGAGAGAAAGAGAGAGAGCGAGAGAGACCCTAAGTCGTTGCAATCCATCTTTCTCATGTCAAATAGTGGTTTCCTTTAAGCTTCTGTAAAATGCCATTTCGGGAAATTATGTTTTCTGCTTTGCAAAATGACTCATGTAAAAGTGTTCTTATGTTGTCATTGGGGTTAAAAATAAACTCAGGATATAATAACTTAGAATCATTTTTATTTTCATTCTTGATATTTTTTATAGGAAACAATGGAACTGCAAACTTAATTTTTCTTTTGCCATTTGAAAAATATTTTTTTTTTCTTGCTGGCTGATGCCAGCTCCCTACTCTGAACCCCTGGGGATGCTGCAACCTCCAGACCTCTTCCCTCCCTCCACTTGGATCAACCATATGCTGCAGTAGGCCCCTGTCTGCTCCTCTAGGTTGGGCAGGGTGGAGCTGCTGAGACAACACACAGCCTCTAGGCCCAGGACATGGCAGCTCTGCCCAAAGCAGCTGGTGTTGATAGACTCTTTGTGCCCACAGGGTCAAGCCCCCCTGTGCTCAACATACTAGGCAGTCTGCTTCCTGGCTGTGGAATCAGGGAGTAGTTAACACACCTCTGAAGCTCAGAGCCCTGAACTTGGAACAATAAATGACACAATTTTATAAAGTGTCTGGTGAAATGCCTGGCACCCAATAGGTTTGCAGCACATGTTAATCAAAGCAGACTTGGTTCCTGTTGGCTTGACTTCTTCCTCTCTTAAATTCAGTCCTAAATGTGTCCAGTGGTACCAATGTGGTCAATTTGGCATCTGAGTGCTGAGAGGCCAGGATGGTATGGCCCAAGCGTGGGGCATGGGTGCAAGGGAAGTAACTTCATTAAGCAAAAAAGGTCATAAGGGTAGTTTTGGAAGTAGGCAACAGTAAAGAACTAGAAGAGAGTAGGAAGAATTTATCTGAGGGCTCATTACCAACATTTGCATATAAGCTTATGTAAAACACTCTTTGGGAACTACCAGTGATAATGGGGTGGAAGGAATGGAGTCTGAAGGCTGCATTCCTTCTGCAGTAAGTGGAGAGAAAGAGGGAACAAAATACACGTTTATGCTGTTAGAACCCATTTGTCTTCACCAATTGGTGTGACCTGGGGAAACACTGGTTACACTTAGATGTTATTATTATTTTTTTGCTGCTATAACAAATTGCCAAAATCATAGTGGCTTAAACAATACAGTTTTAAAAATCTTATATTTCTGAAGGCCAGAATTCCAAAATGAGTCTCACTGGGCTAAAACCCAGGTGGAAGCAGTGCTGTGTTTCCTTTTTGTGGCTCCAGGGTCCAATTCCTTTCCTTCTTTCTCCCACTTCTAGAGGCTGCCCTTGTTCCTGGGCTCATAGCCTCATCCTTTATCTTCAAATCCCACAGTGTTGGGCTGAACCTTTCTCATGTTGTATCACTCTCACCCCCTCTTCTGCTTTCCTCTTCCACATTTAAGGACCCTTGCGATTGTATTGGACTTGCTCAGACAAGCCAGGATAATTTCTCAATCTTAAGGTCAGTTGATTAGCACCCTGAAATCCATCTGCAACCTTAATTCTCTTTTGTGGTGTAGCATAATACATTTATGGTCTCTTGGATTTAGGATATAAACATCTTTGGGGACTGCTATTCTGCCTTCCACAGGCACTACGCACAAAATCAAATGTTCTATCTAAATCGGGTAAAGAGCACGGGAAAAGTGTAAGACACTGGACTAATTTGAGAAGCCCATAGGCTCTGGTTTCAGCATCACTGCTTAAATATGTGTGATCCTGGAAAGGCATTTTGACTCAAAGGTCTTCTGTTTCTTTCCCTGTGGATCAGCAGCTCTGTCTGAAGACAGAACAAATGTGTGGAGAAGAGGAACCAGAAACAAGGTGGGTCTGTGCTAGAGTCTTGCTTTGGGGTCACATACTTGCATTTTACAAAGAGATGCTAAACATTGCCCTCTGACAGGGAATGTGGGAATAGGTGTAGTGGAAATTCCACCTGTCTCAGCAGCTCAGAGTCTCAGCCCACATGTGTCCTTGGGCAAGTCACCTCCTTTGTTCTTCTCAGTTTCACCCTCTGAACTCCTAAACCTCCCGTGTCCTTCCAAGGGCTGTGCTGCTATTACTATAAATTTAGGGCTAAAGGGATTTATTGGGGGAAATTTTGAGATAGTACCAGGCTTTGTTTCTATGTTAAACTCACTCCACACAGAAGTACCCAGCCAAGAACCACATGTCTGGATTTCCTGGTGTATAGATAGAGATGCCAAAATAAACACCACAGTTTCACTGGGCAAGGGAAATACTTCATTTCAATTCCTCCTGAGGCAATCTCTGAAGAGACCCATATCTGTTTGATATCAGCTGTGAGAACTTCAGGAGAAGAAGAGGAAGTATGTATCTGTCATCTGCATACATCTCCTATGGGTGTCCTGAGCTGCCCAACTATTTTTCTCATTGAATCCCTCCCTCACATCTTGGAATATTGGGAGTTCTGTGGTCTACACAAGGAGAATTCTGTGGTCTCCTTTGTGCAGGTAAAGTGAAGCGTGGGCCACTCAACAAGGCACTGACCAGGCCAAGCCACCCTGCCTTGCCTTTCCCTGTATGATGTCTATAAACAAAAAATAAAAGACCCCCAACCAACTGAAAGGACCACCCTCTTGGCCAAAAGGACCCCCAGAAACTTGGAAAACTAAATTTCTGGCCGTGATGGGAAGGGAAGTTGAACATGCCTCATCAGACCCCCCTCCCTTTTGGTGTTTAGGCATGACTTTTTAGTACAGACAGGGTTTCACCACGTTGGCCAGGCTGTTCTTGAACTCCTGAGTTCAGGCAATCCACCTGCTTAGGCCTCCAAAGTGCTGGGATTACAGGGGTGAGCCATCGCGCCTGGCCCCTACTTATCTTAACTCAAGCGTTTCTTGATAGTGACGTCAAGTCTTTAAACCTGGGGTGTCCAATCTTTTGGCTTCCCTGGGCCACATTGGTAGAAGAATTGTCTTGGACCACACATAAAATATACTAACACTAACAATAACTGATGAGCTAAAAAAAAATCACAAAAAAACTCATAATGTTTTAAGAAAGTTTACAAATTTGTGATTACATTCAAAGCTGTTCTTGGCTGCATGTGGCCCATGGGCCATGAGTTGGACAAGTTTGCTTTAGACAAAGCCTAACTCTTTCAATCAATTGCCAGTAAGAAAATCTTTGAATCCATCAATTTCTTCATAAATTGTCTGAACTCAGGTATTCCTTTATAGTAATGCAAGATAGACTAATGTCAGTCACTTCAAGATATTCCACCTACCACTTGTGGGTATTCCCCCTTTTTAGGCTGAACCAATGTATACCTTCCATGTATTAATTTATGAATGTGCCTATTATTCCTGTAACCCTAAAATGTATAAAACCAAACTGTAACCTGACCACCTTTGGCATACTTTCTCAAGACCTTTTGAGATGGTTCCCTGGGCCATGGTCACCCATATGGACTCAGAATAAACCTCTTTACAGTTCAGTTTTTCCATTAACAGTTCTCTGAGGCACCCCTTCTTGTGCCAGGGAATCATAGACTTTTCTTTAGGACATAAGTGAGGTTCATTCATTTCTTTATTCATTCAGAGGATAGGGGTGTAAACAAGACCCAGTGGCCACTCTTGCACATCTCACAACATAGAGGTAAAGAGGCGATGATGCCACAGTGCAGCATGGATCACAAAGGAGGAAAGTGCAGAGGATGTCTTAGACCCAAAATAGTCACCTGGAGAGAGCTAGAAGTTTCCTAGGGAGGAAATGATACTTGCACTGAGCGCTGAAAGCAAAGTAGACCTTCACTGGACTAAGATGAGATAGTGGGGTTCCAGACAATGGAATAGAGACAAGAGACAAGGCAACAGTATGAGATTCCCAATGACAGGAGGAAGTGGCAGGAGGAAGTGGACAGTATTCAATATTGAAGTCAGAGAGACTGGGCTCAAATCCCATCTATGTGACTTCCTGACGCTCCTTAACCTTTCAGAGCCCCAGTTTTTCGCATCCGAAAGTAGGAGTATAATTTTTATGTCAAAAGACTTTCATGATTATTGTTTTGGATAATAATATAAAAACTAACAATATTTATTATTTCTAGATACTATTCTGAGTGCTTTATGCATATTAACTTGTTTAATCTTCTCAGCCCTTTGTGGTGAACACTATTTTTTTTTTCTATTTTACAAATGAGGAATCTGAATGCAGGAAAATAAGTAACTTGCCCAAGGTGACATGCCCATCAGTGGCAGAGCTGGAGTCGAGATGCACCTCTTAACCAGTGTACATAGATAGCATATACAACAGCATGTTAGCATATCTAGAGCACCCACAGAAATAAGCACAAAGTAGGGCTTACAGGGCATCATGGAGCTGCAGAGGAGAGCAGAGGCCAGAGGTGAAGGGCTCTACTTATCTTTTATCCTATAGACCATTGATAGTTCAGGGAAGGCAGGGCACATCATGGTCAGATTTTCATTTTAAGATAACCACTCTGGTGGTAGGGTACAGGAAGGCCTGGAGTGGATAAAGCAGAACATTGTTTTTGCAAGACATTAGAGGACGTTTCATGCATGTTGAAAGGAATTGAAGAGCCTTCATTCATAGCATTTACAGTGTCACAGAAGGAGCACGGAATGTAAAGGGAAAAAGATCAGGATTCAGTTTGTGACTGCCAAAATGCCAGAGACTACTTCTATGATTACGCTATAAAACTTTCTTCTTTTGATTTTTCTAGAAAATGAAGAGATCTATTGAAAAGCCTGGCTTAACAAATCAATTGAGATGGACCTACCAAACAGCATTAAAATACTCTACTTAAGCAGGGAGACTCACTTAATCATTTTAATAAAAGCTTCATATTAATAAGATTCTATGATTTGCAGATAGTGGTATGGTATCAGACATGAATCAGGGATCTTGAGTTTCAGACCTATGCTTATACTGACTCTATGTTCTTGTCTGTAAAATACAGCACTTGAAAGACTCAAAAAACTTTTTCAGTGGAATGTACTTTACATAGACTATCTATAAATTTCATATTTACTGAGCACCCACTATAATACCCAATAACTATCCTTTTCAAGTGTTCAAGGGCCAAACGTGTCTGGGCACTGTACTCAGAGTGACTTTCTTGTTTAATCATTAGCACTGCCATGTGAGGTTGGTGTGATCACTGTCCCCATTTTATGAACGAGGAGACAAAGTCTCGTGGAAGTTAAGTCATTTTCCTAAGATCTCACAGCTAATTTCAATGAGTCTTTCTGATTCTAAACTCCTACTTCTGGTACTTTGGACACGGAGAATTGATAAATTAATGGCAAAAAATGGCCATAATTCTCTATTCCTCTCTGTAGCCAGGTTCTTGTAATATGATATCCTAGATCTTCCATCTGGAGGTAAATTCCATTTCCCTCCTTTGAATCTAGATGCCTTGTAACTTGCTCTGGGCAACAGATTGTGGCGGAAAGGATGCTATGCCAATTTTAAGACCAGGCCTCCAGGACTGCACACTTTTCTTAGCTCACTTAGAACCCTGTTAAGTAACCCACCAAATAAACACCAACAGGCTAGACTGCTGGAAGATGAGACACACAAGGCCCAGTGGCTCTATCACCCTAGCTGACAACTGCAGACATGTGAAGCCATCCAAGATCACCCCATCATGGGCCAACACCCCTGCTGACATCACTGATGCAGGAGGGATCCCAGCTCAAACCAGCAGAGTTTGGACCTGACCATAAGAACTCCCCAAGCAACCCTCAGTTACAAGCTCAACAATTGCTTACTGTTTCAAGTCTTTGATATGGTGGTGTTTGTTAGGCAGCATTATTGATAACTGATATGATAATCATTTGATTGCAATATTCAGATGGAAACATTTCTGTAAGGGAAAGGGGGTTCTGTTAATAAGTACAACAAAGTAAGAGGCAAAAGGGAGCTACCCAGGTTGCCCTCTCTGTGGGGATCCTAACTCAAGCAAGTGCAGAGATCTGGGCTCTGGTCAGAAACACAGCCTTTGTATTTCTGGGCAGAGGAGTGAGGCATTAAGAGTGGTTGGTTTTCCGTGCTTCTCAGTCTGGGAGTGATGAGAGACCAAGAAAGCAGGAGTCACACCAACCAGCGCTGGGGTCCTTCAATCACAATTAAAATATAAAAGGAAAAAAAGTGGACTAAGTAAACTGAAGCAAAGAAACCAAAGGGTACCAGCCTTTCTGAGTTTTTGTTTTCTGGAATGCGTTCCTTATCATAGCCCTCTCTAATAATAAGAACCAGTGTTCTTCAAGAAGTGATTATGTGCCAGACACTGTGTGGCTAGTTTAAAAGCATGAACTCATTTCATTGTCATGATTTCTTGAGGCAGGCACAGTTCTTGCCCCCATTTGACAGTGGAAGAGACTGTTGCTTTGAGAGCAAAGGAACTTGATTGGAAATGGAGCTGTGAAGTGCTCAACTCCAAAGTCAGAGGCCTTGTTTCTCCCCTGAGCCAGCCTCCCAGAGGTAATTCCTATTAGATTAGGGTAATTAATACTACAGACATTACCTGTTCATGCCTTGGTTATGTCTGTCTCCCTTGACATTGTCATCTCCTCACACTCAGGTTCTGCCTGCAATTTTTTGTACAGTCCTCTTCACATATCACTCCTCCATAAAAGACAAATGAAGAATTTGATGAGAAGCATTGTGGAATCGGATAGGTAGAAGAGCCTATTTGCTTTGACTTTGGAACCCAAAGCTGTAAGCATGTTTCCTTTTGGGTTTGAGGTGTTTGACCCTGAGAATAAGATGTGTGCTATTTATACTTCAAGAGTCTGTCTTGACTTCAGATTGGTTTCATGCTTAAGGTGTGGTGGTTCCAGCTTCTCAGCAAACAAAAATTTGTAGATCAATATGACAGATGCAGAACGTGTAAGCAGCATACTCCTCTGTCTCTAAAGTTATGCGCTGGTGGCCAAACCTATGTCTGGAACACTAAAGCATCACTGATCTCAACTGACTCATTGCACTAAGTCATGGGAATTAGGAACAGGGAGACCTCTGAGGTCCTTTCTTCATGGAGTACAGGGCCTGGTGTCCAATACAAGCATAAGAAACATCAATTTCCCTTTGCAAAAACAAGTGCTTTCTAACTTGGGTCTTCAATCTCACAGAAGACCTTCTGGTCCAATACTGCAGAGTCACAGAACATTCTCTTCCAAGAATAGCTGCCAAATAATTTTGAAATATAAAAAGTATATATTAATCCATAAAACAAAATGTCTCAGAGAACACTGAGAGTCTTAGAAACACATAGTGTTTATGTTTTCTTCATGGAGTCTTATTGTTTAGAAACACTGGTTTAGCCCAATTAAAACTGGAAAGATACTTTTATTCTCCCTAAATTTATAAAAAAACTTAAATATTGAAGCCTGTCTTTTTCCTGAACATTAGTGGTGGAGGAGTGTCCAACTCAGGGCAGCTGGCTTTGTTTCAGCTCTCCCAGAGAACCTGGGTGACTTGACTTTGCCAATAAACTTTGTGAGTCTCAGATCATCCACTTTACTAAAGAATGGAATTGAAATAGATTATTTCTTGTCTTGTCCAATGCCAACATTCTACTGAAGTATTTACAAGAAGAATTCCTGACTACTCCTGTGATCTGCACCATAAAAAGAAGGTTTGAAGTTGGGAGAAATTTCAGAAATACTCTTGGGGATTCCAGAGGTTCATTAGCATATTCAACAGAACCTGAACATGGAAATATTGGCTGGGGCACCGGGAGACAATGGATATCGCGTTTCAAAGGAAGTGCGGCATCTGCTAGATCACATGCAGAAAGTTCAAAGTAGGTGATCAAAAGTGAGTTAGATGTCTCACCCATGTCCAAGGTATCAAAAGGGGCATCAGAGGAGAGTATAAGGAGAATTTTTTTGAATATATATTTTTGGAAAATATGTGGCTTTATTGTGAGACCTTTACCCCTCATAAAGAGAAAGGTGAGGAGGTGCCAGTCTGTCACCTCAAGCCTGGTGATTTGTGGGGGCAGGTGGTGGTCTTCAGCAGGACCACTTAGAGAATTTTGCTTAAGTCCCCTGCAGTGGAGTATATGGATCAGGGGTGGGGTGGTGGTGGTGGTGGTGAAACTGCCTTTGCAAAGATTATAACAATAACAATGAGAAAGATCTAACATAACTGACTTCATCTTGCTTCTAACCTCATTAGCTAACCACCCTGGCTCATTTCTGCAAATAGGCCAAACTAACAATGGGAGGAATTTAGCTTATAGTTTAACTTTAAAAAAGAAAAGACAATAACAGCCCTTTCCTGAAAATAAACCCCTCCATGCTTGGGGACTAAAATAGCCTGTATAGCATTAATGAAAAGCCACAAGTCTGAAATTATAGTCAAGGGTGGAATTCTGTTAAGGCATAAGCAGAAGTTAAATGGCAACCAGCCACTGTTTCTTAGCTTGCTTTTCTATAATTGCTCACTTTACTGCTCACAGAGTCATGTAGCCAGGGACAGTGGGAGGGACAAAATTTATAACTACCCCAAATTGCTTCTATAGATAACATCACTATGGTGAAACTGAGGACTGGTCTTTAAGATATTTTTCAGAGTTTACATTCTTGTGGACCAACTGATGCCCACCAGACATGTGGCCCATACCAAGGAAAGAGGTGACTAAACTGGTCCTATGACCCCCACCAGAAACTGACTTAGCTCATGAAGTTAATTTCAACATCTCAATGATTTCATTCCCAAGGAATCAGTAGCCCCCATTCCCTGGCCCATTGCCCACCAAGTTATGCTTAAAAAACGTAGTCTCTGAGATCTTGGGGAGGCAGATTTTAGAGACGCCTTCCAACCTCTTTGCTTGTCTTCGCTGTGATTATTAAATTTTTTCTCTGCTGCAAGAGCTGCTGATCTCAGTGCATTGGCTTTTTTCTGGGCAGTAGGAAAGAAGAACCCATTGGACTGTAAAAGTGGTGGTCACAGAGATCTGGAATCTGAATCATCCCTGACACAGCTAAAGAATAAGACAGAAGCTGACCAGTTGTATGTGGATAAACTGGATTGGATGGGGGAGATGGTGTTGTCAAGTGTCCCACACTCCACGAATTACTCTGGGAAAAGGATGTGTGAGTGAGACATGGACGAAATGAGTGCCATGAACAACAGAGAACTGGGGTGGATTAATCTTAACTCCTGTCCAAGATGGTGCTAGGAGGAAGGGGGAACAACCTCAGCCAAAAGGAGGTGGAGGAGATAGAGGAAGGTGCAGGGGAAGATGAGGTCATGGCCCATATCACATAGCTGTAGAGAGAGACCTGGGGGTAGTGAGGGGGTTTCTAAAATTTATCCTTAATATGGTTTGAATTTTTGTCCCCCCAAAATCTCATGTTAAAATTCGATCTCCAGTGCTGGAGGTGGGGCCTAGTGGGAGGTATTTGGATCCTGGAAATGGATCCCTCATGGATGGGTTGGTGCCTTCCCTGCAATAATGAGTTCTTACATTCTTAGTTCATGTGAAAGCGTGTTGTTAAAAGGAGCATGGCATCCCTCCCATTCTTCCCTTGCTCCTTCTCTCATCATGTGACAACCAAGCAGATGCCAGCACCATGCTTCTTAAATAGCCTGAAGAATCATGTGCCAAATAGACCTCTTTTCTTTACCAATTGTCAGATCTCAGGTATTCCTTTATAGTAATGCAAAATAGACTAATGCAATCCTTTTTTAGACATTTCATGGGCCTTTTGAAGCTGCCAAATCTGGGCAGCAGCTCGAAACATTATCGGCCAAACAAGAATCTTCCTGTCATTCTCTCCTTTCCTGCTTTCTTTCCATGTTACAAGCCTAGACAGGCAGATATTGTTGGGGAAGAGTGGTGGAAGAAAGTGCCAGGGAGGAGAAAGAGCTGCAGCCAACCAGAGCCCCCTTCCCAGGCTGTGGCTTCCACAAACTATAGACCTTTCCAGGAGGAGAGGGGCTGAGACTCAAAATCAGGTTTGTGATTTTGCTATTTAAATAGTAACAAACATTTTACACAGTAAAGCAAGATTATACTTGTGACTTAAATTGAGTAGAATATTTCGTGTTACTTAAGAGAGGTTAGGGCAGGGAAATAACTACCCTCCATGAAAAACTTAAACAGTGGGAAATAAAAGAAGCAAGTTAATATCTGCAAAGTCCTCCAGTAAAGAATCTTATTAACTTTGACCTGAGTTTTCCAAACCTATTTTCCTACAAACTTCTTTTTGTCACAGAAGAACAATTAATATGCCATGGAAAGGAGAATCATTTGGAACATACTTAGGTATATAGTGTTCAAATGGCTAAATATTTTCTTTTAGATTAATATGCAGAAAGTTATTGTTTTGATTTAAACAAATCATAGATCAAAAATCAGGACAGCAGCTGGTATATATATTCTGTGGTCCTTAGATCTCTTTTAATCTAAAATATCTTAGATAATACATTCATTGTGGTGTGTGTGTGTGTGTGTGTGTGTGTGTGCGTGTGAGTAGCTTATTCTCATATTTATTCCATGACTTTAAGTTAAATATTGCAAATCTCAGTGAAAAAGGCACTCTAGTTAACAAAATCCTGATTTCATTTGTTAGTCTTTTGTCAAGCCACTACATTATACATTCTGACATCAGTGTGGCTAAAGAATGTTGAAAAATGCTGGTAAGAGGTAAGAATTTTTCTTTTTTTATTCAGCATTTTGCTTTTAATGTATTTATGTACCTTAAGTTTTTTTTTCCCCTACCTTAAATCAACATCCTTCTTTGGTTTCAGTATCAGTAATAAAATGATCATGTAATTTTTATGACTATATTTTATTTTTTAAGGGGAACAAAAACAATAAATTGCCTCAAATACTTTCAATTAAAAATCAAATTCATATTATTGTCCTTTATATATTGTCAAAGTGTGTCTTTCAGGTCCGTGCTATTTAAAATGCAGTCTGTAGACCAGCAGCATTGAAACACTGGGGACCTTGTTAGCAACACAGAACCATAAGCCCCTCTCTAGACCTACTGACTTGGGAGTCAACTGCCCAACAGTGTTTGAGAAACACCTTATTATGACATTTACCATGGGGTTTATTGTCCGTGTGTTTAATTACACCTTGTAGCTTCCACCCCGCCCCATCATAATAGAACGGATAAGGGCAGAATTGAGCTGAATCCAGACCTGGGCAATTCACTTAAACTTCCAGCCCCAGTTCTCTTATTTTCAAAATATGGATAATAGTCTTTGCCACAATGTTGCAAAGTGAGACTTATTCAAAATAATAGGATCTGTAAGGGATCCAGTGTACTCTTGTGATTCAAACTAACATTCCACAAATTTTATTTCCAAAAGGAAAATTTCTTCTTCCTTCTTTCTTTTCTTCTTCTTTATATTTTGTTGTTGTCTTTGTTGTTTGTTTCTTTAACATCTACTTGTTTGGCAACTTCAGGTACATAGATTATAACTAAGAATATTAAATTAAGTTTACATTACTTAAGTATCACTATAATTATTATCAAAATCACCTGTGTCAAAATCCCTATTGGTTGCTTGGTAGGAGAAGCCCTGTGTCCTCAGCGCACTACTTCATCAGGCATGGTTATCTCACTTCCAATTCCCCAGAACATTACGGGCAGGAATTAGGGATGTGGGGCCTGCAGATGTAGGAAAATGCATTAAGAGCTCGTAGCTGCTTGGCAGAGAGAAAACAAACTGCCCCAGCTGCTTAGAATTAGGATCTGAGTCATCAAGAAGAGGTGAATTCTTTTCCTGAGCCTCCGCTGTTTGAGAAGGTAGGAAAGTTTTTTAATAATATATAACGAAGGCTGAACATGCAAGATTATTTTTAAAATTGGGATTTCTAAGTGAATGCCACAGAATTGAGGTTTCAGCAATATTAAATCAACAATAAGCGGTTTCTGAATTAATTCTCAAGAAGTTTCTTCTTTCGAACATTAACTCTCTCCTAAGCCAGGAAAATTTGTATGACTTTTTTCTTTTTCCTTGTTTTTTCACCTTTTGTTGGCTTTGAGGTTGAGGATTCTGATAGGATCAAGTAAATAGGATAATAAATAAATAAATGTCTCAGTTAAGGTAGGCATGTAAGCAATTTAATATTTCTAAAAGAGAACCATGAAGAACAATTGTGACCTCTGCTGAGAAGACAGAGTAGATGTACTTTTACCTACTTTTTTCCACTAAATACAACTAAAAACCCTGGGCATACTTTAAAAAATTTGAGAAAGCTTAATTGTGGGGAGAAGGTGACAGACTGGCTAGGGACCTCTAAACCTAAAAAACAACAAGGTGGTGAGTTCCCTGAGATTTCTTTCTGTTTTACGTGTCCCAAACTTCAGTTGAATAATTAACAATCAACAAATACTGATAGACACAGATGAGAAAAGCCTTAATGAAAACTTTCCCTCTCTACCAAAAGGAATAGGAAAGAGGCAGGCTGGCAAGACAGAAAACTTTTTTTTTTTTTTTTAATTTTTGGAGACAGAGTTTCACTCTTGTCACCCAGGCTGGAATGTAATGGTGTGATCTCGGCTCACTGCAACCTCTGCCTCCTGGGTTCAAGCAATTCTCCTGCCCCAGCCTCCCAAGTAGCTGGGATTACAGGCACACACCACCATGCTCAGCTAATTTTTGTATTTTTAGTAGAGACAGGGTTTCACCATGTTGGCCAGGCTGGTCTTGAACTCCTGACCTCAGGCAATCCGCCTGTCTCAGCCTCCCAAAGTGCTGGAGTTACAGACAGAAAACTTTTAGACAATAACTGTCCTATCGTAGCCAAACGCCACAGAAAAAAAAAAAAATTATATTCCACCCACACTGGCCAAGGATGAGTGGGAAACCTAGATGGTCACTTTGCTTGTTTGAAATGAGGGGCCCCAAATGCCCAGCTGGGGTAGTGTGGGAGGAAGCTGAGCAGGAAACTAGAGCTTTCCTCCTTGCCAGGCAATAAAAAGCCCCCTCTCCATGTCAGTGTCTGTAAAGACCATGTAGGATACCTAGACTTTCAGCCTCATTGAACAGTGATGTGTTTCTCTCCCTCCTCATTGGGGTAGTATCAGAGGGGGTGGAGTAAAAAGCCGTGGCCGGGTGTGGTGGCTCACGCCTGTAATCCCAGCACTTTGGGAGGCCGAGGCGGACAGATCACTTGAGGCCAAGAGTTTGAGACCAGCCTGGGCAACTTAGAGAAACCCCGTCTCTATTAAAAATACAAAAATCAGCCGGATGTGGTTATGCACGCCTGTAATTCCAGCTCCTCGGGAGGCTGAGGCAGGAAAATTGCTTGAACCCGGGAGGCAGAGGTTGCAGTGAGCTGAAATGGCGCCATTGCACTCCAGCCTGGGTGACAGGGCGAGACTCCAAAAAACAAAACAGAAAAGCTGTATGAGGCACTCCCACCCCACTGGTAAAGGGAGGTATCAATGGAGCCAGGTGAGAAATCTGGACTTCAATACCCACACTATCCCTGGGAGCCTCTTTCTTTCCCTTGTCAGAGTGGTATCAGTGGAAACCAGCTAAAACACGAAGTTTAAGTAAAATCCAGAGTCTCATAATATAATACCTGGAATATGCAGTTTTCAATAAAAAAGTCATTATACCAAGAACCATAAAATTTCAGTTGGTGAGAAAAAGACAATCAATAGATGCCAACAGAGATGTAAGACTTATCTGATGAAGATTTCAAAGAGTCATCACAAAAATGCTTCAATGAGCAATTACAAACATGCTTGAAACAAATGAAAAAATAAGAGTCTTAGCAAAAACAGCAAAGTCTTATAGAAAATAGAATAAATAGAGAAGAACAAATGGAAATTTTAGAAGTGAAAATACAATAACCAAAATTAAAATAAAACAAAATTCTATACAAAACCTCAATCTATGGGCTCAACAGCAGAACGGAAGAGTCAGAGTAAAGAATCAATGAACTGGAAGTAGAACAATTAAAACGTGTTGGATCTAACATTCATGCCATTGGAGCCCAAGAAAGAGAGGAGAAAGAGGGAAGGGTTGAAAGAAATACTCAGAGAAATAAATACTGACAACTCTCCCATTTTGTAAATACATAAATCCACATATTCAAGAAGCTAAATGAACCACAAACACAAAAAACCCAAATAGTCATTTTCTGAAAACTAAAGACAAAGAAAAAATCTTGAAAGCAGCAAGAGAGAAACAATATCATATAAAGAAAAAGTACGTTGATTGGCAGTGAATTTCTCATCGGAAACCATAGAGACCAGAAAAAAAGTGGCACAATATTTTTTAAGTCCTGAAGAAAATAAGATAACTGTAAAGCCAGCATTTTATATCTAGTAAAATATCTTTCAGGAATGAAGGAGAAATTAAAATATTCTCAGATAAAGAAAAACAAAAAAAAAACTAGAAGAATTCGTCACTAGCAGAAGCAGACCTGTTTTAACAAATGGCTAAAGGAAGTTCTCTAAACAAAACAACAAAAAAAATATGTTAAGAAATCTTGGAACATCAGAAAGAAAGAAATAACACAGTAAGCTAAAATATGGATAAACAAAATAGATTTTTCTTGTTCTCTTGAGTCTTCAAAATTATGTTTAATGGTAAAGCAAAAATTACAACCCGTCTAATATGTTCTAAATGTATATAAAGGAAATATTCATGATAATTATATTATAAATGGAAGGTGGAAGGAGAGATGGGAAAGGAGGTAATTTTTCCATATTTTATTTGAACTGGTAAAATGACAACACCAGACTGTGTTGACTGTAGTAAATGTTGAATGTATAATGCTAATACCTAGAGCAAGCACTAAAAATAATAAATAAACCTCTTCAAAAAGATACAGTCAAAAACTCCATAGATAAATCAAAATGTAATTCTAAAAAAGTTTTTAAATAACACACAGGAAGGCAGGAAAAATAAAACAGAAATGAAAACAGAAAGAATAAACAGAAAACAGAAAATAAAATAGCAATCTTAAGCCCTAACGTATCAGTAGTCATACTAAGTGTAAATGGTCTAAATACACTAATTAAAAGACAGATATTAGCAGAGTGGATTAAAATATATAGGCCAACTATATGCTTACTAAAAGAAACTCATGTCAAATATAATAATACAGGCAGTTTGAGAGTAAAAGGATGGAAAATGTATAAATCTTTTAATTTTAATTAATTTACAAAGATTAATCAAAAGAAAGAGTGACTGTATTAACATTAGATAAAGTAGACATCAGAGAAAAGAAAATTACCAGAGATAGAGAGGAACATAATATGATAAAAGGGCCAACCCACTAAGAAGACTTAACTGTCCTAAATGTGTGTGCATACACACACAAAGAAACAGAATTATAAAATATATGCACTGAAAATGGATAGAATTAAAAGAAGAAATAGATGAATTCACAATTGCAGATGGAGACTTCAATACTCTTCTCTCCATAATTGATAGAAAAAACCCAAGAGAAAACTATCAAGGGTATAGAAGAACTCAACAAAACCATCAACCGTAGCATCGAATCAACCTTTGTAGAATACTCCATCCGATGATGGCAGAATAACATTCTTCTCAAGTGTCCATAGAACATATATCAAGACAGACCACATCCTGGGACATAAAACAAACCTTGGCAAACTTAAAGTATTTAAAATCATACAGAGCCAATGTGGAATCAAACTGGAAATCAGTAACAAAGATACCAGAAAAATCCCCAGACACTTTCAAACTAAGCTACAATTCTAAATAACCCATGGGTCAAAGAGGATGTCTCCGTGGAAATTGAAAAAAAAATTCATTGAGTTGAATGAAAATGAGACTGTAACATAAAAACTTTGTAGGCTATGACTAAAACAATGCTGAGAGGGAAATTTAGAGCACTAACTGCAAATGTTAAAAAAATGAAGTCTGAAACCAATAATCTAAGATCCTACTTCAAGAACCTAGAAAAAAATAGCAAAATAAATCCAAAGGAAGCCGAGAGAAGAAAACAATACAGAACAGAAACAAATCAAAACACAAAATATATTACAGAAAAAAAATCAATGAAACAAAGTTGTTTGTTTAAAAAGATCAATAAAATTTACAAGTTTCTCTGAAAAGGCTGACAAAAAACGAACACAAATTACCATGACTAGGAATGAAAGATTACTAGGAACATCACTACAAATTATTTAAAGACTTCTCAAAACCCGATGAAAAAAATTAAATTAGAAAGTAGGCTAGAGATACGAACAGATATTTCGGAAGAGGATACGCAGATGACAAATGAGCGCATGAAATGTTCAACATCATTAGGTATTAAGATAATGAAAATTAAAAAACTGCAATGAGTTATCCCTACATACCTATTAGAATGACTTTAAAAACCTCCGCAAAACGTGTACCATTTACTTTCTACTGTACTATGAAAACGTAATGAGGTACAGAAAAACCACAAGAGAGATGAAAATAAAGAACTGAACAAAAATGCATACAAAAAAAAATAGTGACACCACCAAATGCTGACAAGGATATGTTGAAAATGGATCACACATACATTGCTGATGGGAATGTAAAATTGTACGGGGACGCTGGAAAACAGCTTGACAGTTTCTTAAAAAAATAACAACTAACAATTGCACTCCTGGGCATTTATCCCAGAGAAATGAAAGCTTATGTTCACACAAAAATTGGTACACAAATTAATTATAATATTAAAAACTGGAAACAATGCAAGTGTCCTTCAGTGGCTGAATGATTAAATAAACTGGTACATTTGTATCATCACATACTACTCAACAATACAAAGGAATGAATTGTTAATACATACACAACTTGGGGGACTTTCCAGAGAATTATGTTGAGTGAAAAAGTCAATCAAGAAAAATTACTTATATATGATTCCATTAATATAATATTTTGGAAATGAGAAAATTATAGGAATGGAGAACAGACAGGTGGTTGCCAGGGACTGAGGAGGGAGGTGGGGGCTCTGAGGAGGGAGTTGGGGGCTGGAGGGAACTGGGTGTGGCTATAGAAGGGCTGCATCCTGGTGATGATGGAAAAGTTCTGTATCTTGACTGTATCGACTGCATGCCCTGATGGTGATATCGTATAATAGTTTTGAAAGGACTACCACTGGGGGAAAATGGGTAAAGGGCACACAGAGATCTTTGCTTTATTTCTTAAAACTGCATGAGACTCTACAATCATCTGAAATTTTAAAAGTTTATTGAAAAATTAAAAAGGAACACATTGACATAATTCTCTCCCCAAGAATATGGGCTACTTCTGAGTCATGTTGTAGTGGAAAGAAGTGTAGAGAACATATGGTATGTGTAGGTAAAATCTACACTCCTTATAGGGAAAGATAGGGTAGAATATTGATACATTTTCTTCTTTTGTTCATTTGCTGATGAAGTCAATTTGTCCACACATTTATATTTTCATACATTCATTCATTTATAAACTTATTAATTCACTTGTTTGCTTTATCTTTCATTTAAACAGTAATTATCGAGTTGTATGTTAGGCGTTGTACTAAGCACCAGGAGAGGGAGAAGGAGCACGGCATGACCTCTGCATTTAGAGAGCTCACATTTATTTACACATTCATCAAGCAAGTACCAATCCAACCAAACAACCAAGGTTGACAGGTGCATATTGTATTGCCAAAGCCTGACATACTGCTTGGCATAAAAATATGAATAAACAGCCAGGCAGTGGCTCATGCCTGTAATCCCAGCACTTTTAGAGGACAAGGCTGGCAGATCACTTGAGGTCAGGAGTTTGAGACCATCGTGGGAAGCATAGTGAGACCCCATCTCTACAAAAAATACAATTAGCCAGGCAAGGTGGCATACGACTGTAATCCCGGCTACTCGGGAGGCTGAAGTGGGAGGATTGTTTGAGTCCCGGAAATGGAGGTTGCAGTGAGCCCTGATCATGCCACTGCATTCCAGATTGAGCGAGAGAGACCCTGTCTCAAAAATAAGTAAATAAATATGATAAGGTAAACATGCAAGAGGAAAGGAGGGAGAGCAACTCACCAATTTGGTGAAGAAGGATGTACCAAGTCACAGATTCAATGGGATTGAATTTTGATGACCCCCAGTATAAAATCCAAGCTCCTAAGCTCCTAAATATGAAACACAAGGCTCTCACCAACATGGCTCCAACATCCCCTTCCAGCCCCATCTCCCGCTAGCTCAGCTGGGCTTTATGTGCTTTCCATTTTCTCTGCGTGTGTTCCTGCTGTTTCCTCCACAAGAATGTCCTTTCTCCACTTGTCAACCTAGTGACCCACTATTATGCAGCTTTCGATAACTCTGTTTCTCCATAGCAGGGGGTGAATGACCTGCTCTTCTCTGCTCTCATAATGTTACCAGTTGAGGGTGTCCAGGTTTTTGGCATTCTTAACAAAGAATTACACAAAACACACAAACAAAGCAAGTAAAGAAGGAAGCAACAAAAGCAGATTTATTGAGATCTGCTATTGTACACTCCACAGGGTGGGAGTGGGCCCAAGCAAACAGCTCAAGAGCACCATTACAAAATTTTCTGGGGTTTCAATACTCTCTAGACGGCAGGGCGTGGTGGCTCACGCCTGTTATTCCAGCACTTTGGGAGGCCGAGGCGGGTGGATCACCTAAGGTCAGGAGTTCGAGACCAGCCTGGCCAGCATGGCAAAACACCGTCTCTACTAAAAATACAAAAATTAGGCAGGTGTGGTGGTGCATACCTGTGATCCTAGATACTTGGGAGGCTGAGGCACAATAATTGCTTGAACCCGGGAGGTTGCAGTTAGCTGAGATCACACCACTGCACTCCAGCCTGGGAGACAGAGCGAGACTCTGTATTAAAAAAAAAAACAACCCCTCTAGACATTTCCTATTGGTTACTTGGTGTATGCTGTATGTAAATGAAGAGGGTATAGTGAGGTTACAAAGTTCTTTACTTGGTATACAGGCTACATGCAAATGAAGAGGATGTTTCCTGTCATAGCTGCAGTGAAGTTACAAAGTTATTTACTTGGGCATAGAAAGTTGGGGGTTTTCCCTTTGATTTAGTTCCAGGAAGTGCTTACGATCCGTGCTTCCAGACCCTATTCTCTTGCCTCAGTAACACTTATGTATACATTTGGTTCAGGTTCTAATTATGCTAGTGGAGTATATTAAGAAGTTTAGGGATCAAATGGATAAAGACTAAATTCTACTTTTCCCACTTAATAATCCTTTTAACTCAGAGGAACTTGTGGGTCTCTCTGAATCTCTCTCTCCTTAAGACTTTATGGATATGAATAGGCTCTTGTCTCAGAAGTGATGTGTGGATTAAGAGAAATAACACTAAGAAAGTGTTTGGGAAACTGCCTGGAATGTAGGTAGCCTTGAGGAAATGCTGGCTCTTATGGTATTATGGGAAATCATTTTTGCGTTTCTATCCACTTCTTTGAGGCAGGGACTATTTCTTGTTCATTGAGACCCTTGTGCGGTAATAACAACATTATTAGTAATAATCATGCCTACCCCACACCATATTACTTAACTGTACATAGTAGATAACACAGGTTTGTTGAAACAGCTTGTTCGGGAATAACTAGATTGCAGGATTTCTTGTGTCTCTTCCAGTTAGATCACATTAATCTGTGTTCACTGAAATGCTAGTGCTCCCTGGAGAGGTCTGAGAATAACACAGGAGTCAGAGAGAGAGAGAGAGAGAGAGAGAGAGAGAGAGAGAAGGCAGGGCAGCGTGGCTTTGGTAACTTTTATGTGTGGGTGGGATATATGAGTTTGCCCAGGGATTAATAAGCAGCTATTTGAGCAGGAAGTTCTTCCTTGTCAAGAGCATAAGATGCTTTGCGCGATATTTCAGACCAAGAGTCGACGGGGTTGGGGGATGCTCTCAGCATAAGTCCTTATTATTGGACTAAAGGAACTGTATAAGGGCTTATACATTACTATATATTTAATATTTATACATATTTAACATTATACAAATATAATGTATGTATGCACACAACACAGTCCCATCTTTGATCTTTGTTTCACCGTTTCATCTGCCCAGGATGCTTTCTGCTGGATACCTGCATGGATAACTCCCTCGCCTCCTCCTTCAAGTTGTTGCTCACATGTCCCGCTCTTGAAGAGGCTTATCCTGCCATCCTATGTAATTCTACAACCCGTCTTCCCTATGCTCAGAATTTGAATCCTTCTCATCCTTCTCTACCTTTTCCTGTTGTTATAGCTTAAGTCATTTTCTGGAATACTATACGCCACTCTTGATATTACATTTTTAGTTAGTTTTTTTTTTTCGTTGCCTATTATAATGTAAGTCCAGTGAGGGCAGAAAGTTCTTTCTGTTTTGTCCACTGCTGTATGGTAAGGGCTTAGAACAATGGACAGCAACCCTGTATGTGTCCAAGGTCGTGTGAATAAAAGAATAAATCAGATGGGGCTTTAGAGAGGAAACAGCTCTTAGGAAGAAGAGAGGAATGAATGAATGAATTTATTTTACGGCAAACACTGCCAGATAAGAAGAGATGGATTTGCTTAGAGATCATCCATAAAAAGCAGGAGCAGGTACAGCCTGGGGCTCATGTTGTCCCATTGTTTTATTGCTAATCCCCTATCCCCTTTGTGGGAAGGGAACTTCCCCTTCTCCTAGTGATCCAGCAGACCTCAGAGGAGGCTTAGTGACGGGAGAGAAGAGAAAGCCTATTTAATCTCAATTATCTGAGACTGAAAAATTCAAAGACCTAAGAGGGCAGTGGTGGAAGAACTTATTTGTGAGGCAGGGAAGAGGGCGGAGTCACGGACACCTGTGAAGAAGGGGTGAGGAGGAGAGGCCTGTGGGTTTGTCTCTGACCTTCTATCAGTTGAGCTCACAGTCTGTTTTCCTTGCGAAGGAGAGGGCCCAGGAGACTAGAAAAGGTGCATAATGCCTCCCCAGGTCCCATAGCACCGTAGGGATAGAACTGTTTAACCAGGGGTTGCTCACTGTAGCCCGCGGGGTGAGATGTGCCTTTAAAAGGTCACTCGATTTAATGCCTTGACTGGAGCACACCCTTTCCACTCTGCCAGGGTCCCCTCTCCTCTGGCTTTGCACCAGGCCAGGGCTCACATCTTTGCATTATCATTTGTTATGTGTACCAGATGGCCTGGGCCCTAGCCTTCATTTGGGTGGAGTGTGAATTCTAGGTAAAGAAGTGTGGGCAAGATATTTTCTGGAACTGGAAGCGGAGGGCACCCACCCCTCCCTAGCCTCCTCCTTCACAGCATCTGCAAGGACGCCCGTGCAGGTTCCTCGGCCATCAGAAGTGACTACCCCCCCATAAATCCAAGCTGTAGAAAGAAAATGCTCCATCCCCATTTCCCCTCCCCAGCGAAAAACACATTCTGTAGGACATTTAGAAATAAAAGTTTACACTTTGGGAGGCCAAGGCGGGCGGATCACAAGGTCAGGAGATCGAGACCATCCTGGCTAACATGGTGAAACACCTTCTCTACTAAAAAAGTACAAAAAATTAGCCGGGCGTGTTGGCGGGCGCCTGTAGTCCCAGCTACTCGGGAGGCTGAGGCAGGAGAATGGCGTGAACCCGGGAGGCGGACCTTGCAGTGAGCCGAGATGCGCCACTGCACTCCAGCCTGGGCGACAGAGGGAGACTCCGTCTAAAAAAAAAAAAGAAAAAAGAAAAAACGTTTAAAAGGAGATTCCTATAAATGCGGTATTGCAGATCTGTTAGTTTGCCAGGCATGTTGTATCAAAGCAGCACAAACAGAGTGGCTGACACCAATAGAAATATATTGTCTCACAGTTCTGGGGACCAGAGGCTGTGAGCAAGGTGTGGGCAGGGCTGGTTCCTTCTCTGGACTGTGAAGGAGAATCTGTTCCAGGCCTCTACTTGCTCCTGGGGTTTCTGGCAATCTTTGATATCCCGTGGCTTCTGCTAGCATCACCCTAGACCCCCACCTTTACCTTCACATGGCTGGAGTGCAGTGGTGAGATCTTGGTTCATTGCAACCTCTGCCTCTCGGGTTCAAGCGATTCTCCTGCCTCACGCCTCAGGTAGCTGGGACTACAGACGCCTGCCACCACACCCAGCTAATTTTTGTATTTTTAGTGGAGATAAGGTTTCACCATGTTGGCCAGGATGGTCTCGATCTCTTGACCTCGTGATTCACCCGACTTGGCCTCCCAAAGTGCTGGGATTATAGGCGTGAGCCACCATGCCTGGCCCTATGTGTGTATCTGTGTTGAAATTTCCTCTTTTTGTAAGGACACCAGTTATAGTGGATTAGGGGCCCAACCCACTCCAGTATGCCCTCATCTTAACTAATTACATCTGCAATTGCTCTGTTTCCAGGTAAGGTTACACTCCTAGGTCCTGGACATTAGGATTTCAGCATATGAATTCCAGGTGGACATAATTAACCCATAACAGGGTAGAGCGAAGATTTCAGTTGTAGAATTATTATTAATGAAGATTAAAACAACCTTTTTAACCTTTCAATTATATAATTGCAAGAACTGAAGCCCAGAGGTTTTAGGGTAGTTTGAAGTGGGAAAGACATGCCCCTCCACCTCCACCCATGATAAACCACATGGTTTAGAATCCCTCTTTGTGAGCTGCATCCTTCCCGTGGGTATGACAATGCCTGCTTGCTGTTACCTAGCAGGAAGGTTAGAGATCAAATGGAACTGTTGCTATGAAAATGTGTTGTTACCTGTAACAGACATGTATGTGTAATACGTGTTTCTTTAGGGCCAGATAGCAAGTGACGGGCCAAAATGCAATAGGTATCTTTTGAGCATCATCACATCAAGTCTGGAGTTTGTTCCTCAGACACAGCAGTATCCCAGGCATTCCTTTATGTAGTGGTCAGTGCAGAAGCCTGAGACTCACAAGCAGGCACAGGGGACATGTGGCAACAACTCATTCTCAAACCGTAAAAGTATTGAAATTTGACCCAGGAAATCCAAGTCAATTATGTGGGGAACTCATATAGAGCAAGAGCCATTCTCTTTTCACTTGCAAAATTCTCAGCAAAATAACTGATCTTTCTGCCCACTTAAGGACATGAGTAGGAGGTTAAACAAGCACAGTTTGCAGGTGGGGCTCATACTGAAGGTCAGCTTGAGAGTCGTGGAAAATTCCGTGGTGGAACACAAGGCCACTGAAAGATCATTTCGTCAGTTACCAGCAGGGTGGAGTGAGACTGGGGTTTCACCAAGACATTCACTCACTAGCTGTGTTAATGGTGGAATTGGAGGGGGTCAGTCTAATTAAATTCCTGCTTCATAGTTTCCTCCTCTGTTAAATGGGGATACAGCTATTTATGCATACCTTGCGATCAGCTATTCTAAAGTGTGATCAGACAGCACTTATTGAAATAAAGCATCTACACACCCTATGGGCCTGCAGTGCCATTCCTGGGTATAGACCTAGAGAAAGTCACACCCCAAAGGGTGAGGGGACAGTCATCAGAATGCTGACTGCAGCCTTGTTCGTGAGAAGAGGGAAGTGGAGACAGCCAAGCTGTCCAACACTAGAGCAACGAATAAGTAAAATACTGGAGATGTAAATAATGGAACACCAGGCAGCAGAGAGAAGAAATAAACTAGAACAGTGGTTCCAGGACCAGTGACATCAAAATCATCTGATAACTTATAAGAAGTGCATATTCCTGGGCCCCAACCAGTTCTAGTGAATCAGAAAATCTGAAGATGGGGCTTAGCAATTTTTTTTAACAAGCTCTCTAGGGGATTCTGCATACTGTGCTCAAGGTTGAGAACCACCAAATTAGAGGTACACATGGATAGACACGAAAACAGTCTTACGTTAAAAATATTTTGCCTCCTAGAGGGTATCGTACAATGTCTGGAGACATATTTGGTTGTCAGAACTGGGGAAAGGCTTCTGGTATCTACTGATGGGGCCAGGGCTACTGCTGAACATCCTACAGTGCGAGGGGCAGCCCAGGGCAGCTCAGCACAACAAAGAATTATCCAGCCCTGAATGTCAGGAGTGATGACACTGAGAAACCATGATGCAACTCCTTCACAAAACCTCTCTTGTCTCCCCAAAAACAATATTTGCCAAACGTTTTTAGAAGAATACACAAATACCATGAGTTTTTAATTAGGTGTTCCATTGTTCTATTGTGAAGAACAAACAGGAACAAAGCAACATTTTATTCTAAAGAGTGTGTGTGTGTGTGTGTGTGTGTGTGTGTAGCTAAAAGCATTTATAATAGTTGACCTTAGTGTTGAGAAATAACATGACATGATGCCTGAAGCAAAATCTCTTGGCTTCCCCTTGGTCAACAGGTACCTTTACCAAAGAACTGCTGCAGGTTTGCCATCACCTCAGTGGTCACTGATCTGTGTGTGATGTATCCTTTCTTTCTTTCTTTCTTTCTTTCTTTTTTTTTTTTTTTTTGAAACGGAGTCTCCATCTGTCACCCAGGCTGGAGTGCATTGGCGCCATCTCCCACCTCCCGGGTTCACACTGTTCTCCTGCCTCAGCCTCCTGAATAGCAGGGACTACAGGCGCCTGCCACCACGCCTGGCTAATTTTGTTTTTTTTGTATTTTTAGTAGAGACGGGGTTTCGCCATGTTAGTTAGCCAGGATGGTCTTGATCTCCTGATCTCGTGATCTGCCCGCCTTGGCCTCCCAAAGTGCTGGGATTACAGGTGTGAGCTACCACACCCGGCCCCTTTCTTATATTTTTAGCATATACCTTTGATATTATTCTTGACTTGTATGTTTAAACGTATCCAAGTTTGATCACTTTATACAGCAATTAATTATTCTGTGGAATCATATCTTTTGCCATGAACTTCAACCCAGATGCATGTTTTATATGATGATTTCTGTTAATTTCCTGATAATATATAATCCTTGTTAATATCTCATACTCAAATCTTTGGATCATTGCTAAGTGAGAATGGCTGCTTCCTCTTCTGAATTTTTCTCTTTGTGTCCTGTTTGGCACTCTGTACCTTTTAATTTAGGGTCTGGATTGTCTTTTACTGGTCTTACACCAGTCAGAATGGCTATTACTAAAAAGTCAAAAAATAACAGATGTTGGAGAGGGTGTGGAGAAAAGGGAAGTCTTATATACTGTTAGTAGCAATGTAAATTAGTACAGCCTCTATGGAAAACAGTATGGAGATTTCTCAAACAACTGAAACAAAACTACCATTTCATCTAGTAATCCCACTACTGAGTATCTACCCAAAAGAAAATAAATTGTTATTTGAAAAACAGGCCCTCACTTGCATGTTTACTGCAGCACCATTCACGAGAGCAAAGTGTCAACCTCAGTGTCCATCAAGGGATAAATAAAGAAAATGTTACACACTCACCCACACCCACACATACCCACTCACACACTGAAATACTATTCAGCCATAACAAAGAATGAAATCATGCCTTTTGAAGCAACACTGATGAAACTAGAAGCCATTATCTCAAGTGAAACAATCAGAAATGGAAAGTCAAATACTGTCATGGTTTGCTCTTGATGTCCCTTAAACCTCTATACTGTAAGAACTGTAAGGAACGTTGCAAAAGTTTGAAACATATAATTTATGTATAATTACCTGCCCATTAACTTTTTCCCCATGATATTTACTTGACCACGTTTCATTAAATGTTTAAGGTATAATTCTTGCAAATATGAAAGATCACAAAAGATGCATGTTGGAAATTTTCCAGAACGGTTACTATATTCAGTATCAAGACAATACTTTTACTGCCATTTGTTTTTGAAAAACAAATGGATTTGAAATATAGACACTGATTTATATGAATCAAACCTCTAAGTTTATCCAAAGAAACCAACAGGATGCTGAGTAGCACAATGTGAGGTGATGATTAAAAGCCAAAAGATATGGCCAGTGGCTGTGTTGGCAGTGGCTGTGGGGCCCTAGTCACGCCACTGCATCATGAGTGTTTCTGGGCACCTACCTGGCAAGCTCACGGTCTGCATAGCCACCATCTGCGGCCACCCTGGCTCATCACTGCACCATTGAACCTCACATTGTAAAGAATTTCCTTCCATGGTGTGGTGCTCCTGCAGTTTTCCCCCATTTCACTAAGTGATACCAGCATGCCCTCAACTCTGAGAGTCATTATATGACTCATCTGTTTCCCTCACCTTCAATGTTGGTCTATTGTCAAGTCGTACTGATTGTGCTCCCTCCAAAATATATCTGAAAATCTGCCTACTATTCATTCCCATTCAGCCTTCATTGGTTCTTGCTGGATAAATATAATGACCTTGAACTCTACATTGAATTTTTAATCTTGCATTTGAATACATTTCTGGGTGGCTCCAAATTTCCCTTTCCCCTACCTCAAAAGGGAGTTGCAACTACAAGTGAAGTATGTCCTACTCTATAGATTTAGAAATAGAACCACCGCTGAAATACATGTTCCCAATCTCCCAGCACGTTGAGATCAAAGGGAAAAAACCCAACCGATCAAAATCGTACATGCCTCATGTACTGGAAACTCCAGAACTACTGAGAGTTTCATATGGGTCTATTCTTACTTCATTGTGGTCACCTCTGGTTTACAACTCATATGTACGTTTAACCATTTCAGTGTATGAGGGTTTTTTTTAACCATCACATGCATACTGTATCTATTCCCCATGGTACCATCTCAAGCATGGAATTCATTCGCTTAATTAATTTACACTCACATGCACACATACACACACACACATCTTTTTGTGTGTGGACTTTACTAAGGTTTAGTTAGGAAGGAAAGCTACAGATTTCTTAGGTACACGTGACATTGTGATACACGCATACAATGTGTAATAATCAAATCAAGGTATTTAAAATATCCAGCACTTCAAACATTTATCATTTGTGTTGAGAACATTCCATATGTTCTCTTCTAGCTACTTTGACATATACCATAAATTATTGTGAACTATAGTCATCACACAGTGCTATCAAACATTAGACCATATTCCTTCTATGTAACTGTTTTTTTGTACCCATTAACCAACTTCTCCAGAAATTTGCACAATCATTATGTATTAGTTTTAGAAAAAGAATTATTTACTTCTCATCAACAAAAACTTCAAATGAACTATCAGATATTCTTTTTCTGAGACAGTCTCTCGCAATGCAACCACAGGGGATTTCTCCCCGGGTGGTTCGGGGCTCCCAGTCCTCCAGTCTCATGCCACCGGGCTACCCATTCCTCTCCTCTCATGCAGGGGTTTTTAGCCACATCTTTTGTTCCTTAGTTTCTGGTAATCACAATTCTCAGGCTTTTTCTATAACCTCAACTTATGAATGTTACTTCAAAGAAAGACAGATTCTTCCTAAGAGGAACTCTCTTTCATCTGTTAAGATATTTTGTTATTCTCTCTTAAAAGGGGCTGAAGATTTCCACTCATGTTGAATGTTTCTAACAATTTGAGTTTGATATTTACCCTACAGTTATTAACCAATAATTTCTTATGAGTGTGGCATCCTTTTTGTTGCTGCGATATCATCATGGTGTGCAAAATGTGTCAAGAATTCTGCTCTCATGGAGGGCAGAATCCATACATGTAGTAGTATCAGTTACTGTTAAAGTGTAACTACAAAAAGAGAAGGCTTTGCAAGAAAGGAATTCAGTCCTGTGAAATCATACCACATGCAAATCTAACGTAGTCTGAAGTTTGGTGAGTTTGAAGCAGTGGTTTGTTCCTAAAGGATTAGCAACGGTCTCTCTGAGTGGTGGGGCAGGGGACAAGCCCTAGTGAGTAGTGTTTGCTGATTTTCATGTTGTAAATGTCCTCATTATGGCTGATTTCAAGCAATCAATATGAATGTGGAATTGGGAAGACAAGTGCAGTAGCCACCATCATATAGCATTTTTATTATACAAAAATGACCTCAAGATTATAGAGTACAATGTGGTGAAAATAATTAGAAAGTAATGAGTTTTGCATATTTATTACCTTTGCTTTTAATATATTTATGAGTTTATGTAATTTCATTTTTAATAATAGCTCTGTTGAACAATCAGCTCATAAAATGTCTGAAAATTTAACAGTCAGTCTTTGTGAGCTCATTTAAGCTACATCTGGCACATTACTGAAGGTTGGGCGGATTTAACAGGATTTGAGGAGCACACAAAGCTAGCAGCCCCTGCAAAGGCCCTGTGGTGAGAGAGAGATTGGCAAGGCTGTTATGGATTTTTGAACTTCATCTTAATGACAAGTGAAAAAGCTACAGGTTTTTAAGTAGGAGTGAAATGGTATGACTGAACTTGGAAAAGTCCTGTGGTGAGACGAGGGGGTTTTCCACTGTCACTGAGTGGTTTTGTTTGAATTTGAGTAAACACCCAAGGACAGGGGTTCAAGCTCTGAATGGGGACTAGCCTTTTACATTCCATCTAACTCTGAAGTTCCATGGCAATCAAAGACTAAACTTGTAGAGGAGAGGCAGAAGAGGTGAGAATTGATGAATTAAGAACCTAGAAGAGGTGTGTTGCACATTATAAATATATATATGACAGCAACTCGAGGACCAAAAAAAAAAAAGCCTTATCTTTAAAATAAATAGCCACAGGAAGCCAAGTGAGTCAGGTGTTTTTTCTCTCTCTCCCTCCTCATGGGTTCCTATTTTTAAAACATCACTTCCTTGAAGTGTCAGACAATTATATCTGCTAATATATTTTTGCCAACATGATCCTAAAGAGAATAATATGAATTATTTATGCTGCTCCCTTTTGGCGGGAGTGAATAGGACAGTAAAGGCTCTGACATTTCATTTTAGGAAATTTCTAGTGCAGGAGATTTCAGAAAGCACAACCCAAGATTAAGAAGACAAATGAGCAGCTTCAATGTAGAGGGAAAATAATCCACCAGCAATTCCAAGCCCCCCTTTCGGTTATAGCTGTCAATTATGGCATTGGCTTTTATTTCCCCTATCCCCAGGTGATAGCCACAGCTTCCTGTCTCCTCAGCTGCCTGTCTTGGGGGTGCCTCTGCCAGACCTCTTTCATGGCAAGAGCCCTGATGCCACTACAGCCCCCACGTCTGCCCATAAACCCTGTGCCACAATCCACCTCTTAGTCACCAAACTCTTCAAGTCACCACCACCCCGGACATTCATGACAACAGCCCACCTTCCCCCCTTCACTGCCCGTTCAGATCTTGTCCCCATCAGTCCTGGGCCAGGTGAGTCTTAAGAAAAACACCTTTGGAGACAGTCAAGTTCCTGCTTCATTATGTATTAACCATGTTATACTTGGTAAGCTGGAGAAACTCTCTTGGTCTTAGTTTTCTGATGTATAAAATGGGGACTTTTTTTCCAAGTTAGGTATTGAGAAAATGAGTGTTTCAAAGTGCCTAGCACCTTCAGTGAATGATAGCACATTGCTTTCTATGATTATTAATTTTATGCACTACCTGGTTTGCCATGCATCTGTGTGTTTTTCAAAGTCCTGCTAATTTATTCATTCTGAGCATCTGCCATATGCCAGGCACCATGCTGTCCATCTTCTTTTGCTGGCTGTAGTTGATAGGAGCTTGTTGTATTTTGTCCAGAGATGCTTTTATCACTTTTCATAGAATATTAGTTCTGTGTTGCTGCTGAACTAAGTGCTAGAGTTCTACAGAGAATGCAGCAATGTGTTCCAGCCCCAGAGAGTTGACATTCCTGCATATCCATCATACATAAGTGCCATTCTCCTGAAGAGTCGTTTCTGAATATATATTGCTAATGTTTACTTCCTAAGAGTGCATTTTTAAAGTTAGTCTATGGCCAGCTGGCCCATTAGAGATACATATCTTTTTCTTTTCTTTTCTCTTCTTTTTCCTTTGGAGTGGAATAGGAGAAGACAAACCACTACTCAATAAGCATCTACTATGTGCCTGCACTTCTGTGAGGTTTATAGTCATTATCTCATTTTTTTCCCTAGAACAACCATATGAAAAGCCTTTCTTTACGTGGTTTTATAATCAAGTTAGCCAAAAGTCAGAGAGGTTAAGGAACTGATTCCCAATCGTAGGATTTGCAAAGCCTGAACCTGGGCTTCCTGACACCAAACCTGGGCATTTTGTTGCATGCAATGCTATAAATCTACGATTGATTGCATAGTTCCACCATTCTGGTCTTGGGCCCACACATATCTCCTCTCACAACATTATGGCAAAACTAGTTACATTGTACTGTCAAGTGAGACAAACCTGGCATTACCCAGCCGAATCTTTCCCTCTTCTTTATCAGAGAATTCAGGTCACTTTTACTCAGGACCAGTCTGTTGAGAAGTTTGTCCTTTTCGTGATTGAGGGAAGCATAACAAAAGTAAAGTTGAACAGACTCACCATTGAAGACACAGCAATTTAGCAAGAAATATGACTAAATGACTTGCAACTGTATTCACCATGTGTCTTCTAGATTATGGCCAAATCCCAGCTGCCATCACAAAAATCTTCTTCGATGTCAAAATTCCTGGTATTTTACATCAGTGCTTCTTCAGAAAGCTCATCCCTTTCTGGCCCCCTTGTAAGGATCTTGGACTCTGGGGATCTTGGTCTATTTGATGAGTACAGTGGTCAAGGAGAGCCAGATCAGACAGAAGCACCTGCCTGCTACCCACGGGGACATGAAGTTGTTAACAGCAGCCTGGACTCTGCTGGCTCTAGGACAAAGCAGGTGAGCTGAGTTGAGGTGGGTGGCGGGGGCGGGTGGCACATAAGCCTGACTCACACCTGCTGTTGACATCAAACAGTCACATGTTCCTATGGTGCCTGTTGTTTATGTCAATGAAGGGTAAGCCCTGAGGTCAGGAAACTCAAGATTTCTCCCATCCGAATGTTCCTAGAGTGAAGACGGCAAATGTGCCATCTCTTTTCTTTCTTTATTTAGAGGCATTCTATGTAAGATCAGGATGCTAATGCTTTGTTATGTCCATTGAAAATATCTTCTCCCAAGATGGGACTTGCCTTCTCACTGTTTTCATGGAATCTTTTGATGAAAATAAGTTCATATTCCATTTCACATTGATTGGTGGTGGTTGCCTGCAGCATAACTTTACAAAGAGTTCTGAGATCCTGGGCTGGCTCAGTAGGAAAGAGAACTATGATCTATTAGAAATGTCTGACAACCATACAGGCCCCTGGGACTGTTGTTTTATAGCCCTGGAATAAGCTAGCTAACTAGTCAAATGGATTTCAGCTCACTTTCCTGCCAAGGTACCCATTGGATAGAACTCTGGGAGCATGCAAATGCAAAGACAGAAATTCATGAAAGAAGCAGAGATAGTGCAGACTTTCAGTAAATAGTAGACACACACACGTAGATCATTTCTCAAGGAGAAAGGTACATTTTACCTTCCTAGGGGAGGTGAACTAAGCTCTAGATTTGAAGGATGAATAAGTTTAAAAAGTAGAACAAAATTGTATAAGTTTTCATATATGCAAGACTAATAAGTTCTAGAGATTTTTTTGTACAGCATAGTGCCTATAGTCATCAATACTCTAGTACGAATTTAAAAAATTAATGTCAAGTTTTCTTACCAAATAAACAAATAAGCAAATAAAACAAAAAGAACACAAGAAAAATTTAGAGGTGCAGGATATGTTTATTGCCTTAATATTGGTGTTTTTTTTTTCTTGTTATTGTTTGTTTGTTTTGAGACAGAGTCTCGCTCTGTCACCCAGGCTGGAGTGCAGTGGCATGATCTCAGCTCACTACAAACTCCGCCTTCTGGGTTCAAGCAATTCTCCTTCCTCAGCCTCCCAAGTAGCTGGGATTACAGGTACTCACCACCATGCCCGGCTAATTTTTGTATTTTTAGTGGAGATGGGGTTTCACCATGTTGGCCAGGCTGGTCTCAAACTCCTGACTTCAAGTGATCTGCCTGCCTCAGCCTCCCAAAGTGCTGGGATTACAGGTGTGAGCCACCGCACCCAGCCATTGCCTTAATATTGTGGTGATGGCTTCACAGGTATGTCCAAAATCATCACATTGTATACATTAAATATGGGCAGTTTATTGTATACAAATTAGGCCTCGATAATGCTTTAAAAAAATCTCAATAAATAAAAATGGGCAGTGGTATGAACAGCATGGTGCATCCATGAAAATTCAAGCTGTTTTGTGGGCCAGGGTCATTTCAGGTCGGCATAGCCTGTGACGGGAAGAGTGAGGCTGAAGAGGTTGCTGGGGTCTATGTCATCATGAGCACACCTTCTCTATGTTAAACAGTTGAGATCTTATTCTGCCAGTTATGGGGTTCCTGGTCTTTGTCCTATTTATTAGCATCAGGGTGAAATGTGAGATTATAAAATAAGGCTTGGCAGACAGGAAAGACAGAATAACAAGAACATGAGGGAGGACAGGCTTAGAAATTAGTGGGTGGCAAGTTAGCAGCCTCAGCTCTTTCATCAAGGAGCTGGGCTCAAGCTACATGTTTGGCTTTTGCGGAAGCTTCTATTTGAGGATAGAAGGATAGCCAAGAAGGAAAGTTGGGGGCTCAGTCTTTGAAAGATTGGGGATCATGGGAGTAATGGGTTATTAAAAGAGGCTTGAATCCAAGGGTTGGGGCAGCAATCTAGTTATCAATCTTGGAGCACAGGGGACAGGAAGGAGACTCAGGCTTAGAGCAGTACTGGACCATCATGAGAGCAATTGTCCAGCACCTGGCAGAAGGTTGGGTAGCCAGAAAAAAGCTGAATTGACACTCAGAACTTGCAGCTAATACATTACCTGTAACCTTAGCAGAGCAAAGGGGCACACATTATGCCACTTCAGAGACCTGAGTTTCAATCCCCACCAGGCCCTTTGTGCCTACATGAGTTTGAATACATATGGCTGTGCCACAGGAGACTGAGCAGCCGATTCAACAAGATGAGAGTAGAGACTGGTGAGCAGCAAGGGCAGAAGAGCCCCTCCAGTGGCAGGGGGAGAACCTGCGGTTGTCTTGCCAGCTTTGCCTGCTCTGTGCTCTTGGCCTCTCCCTCATTCTCATAGCCAGGGCTTTTGGAATTGAAACAGAAAAGTGGGATTTAAGCAGTTCCAAAATGACAGTCCTAGGTTCACTATCAGGCAAATCTTGTGAGCTCCAGTTTTGATTAATACAGCATCTGGCCCACGTCCCCAGCCTATGTCCAAATGGTTCAGGTATTGCCCAGCCGAACGACCTTGGCAAGTGTCAGGAACTCTCTGAGCACCTAATTCATCATCTACAAAACAAAGAGAATAATTCCAACTTAATAGAGGTGACATAAAGCTTTCTTAAGGATATTGGTGAAATGCACATACCACCCACTACACATCTTTACTAAATGCTCAACCAACGTGATGGTTGCTACGGTGACAATGATGGTGATTATGATGTGTGCTGACCTCTTGTTCTCTGTGAGTCAGACTTTGGTAGCCTCCTTACTTGCTCCACTTGCTTCAGAGAGAGAAGTGCGGGTTTGCGGTTTAGTGAAGGAGCAAGGCTCATGTGAATAGAAGAATCCAAGGTAGAGCAGGAAGAGAAATCCAGCTAGAGAAAGAGGTGGAAGTCAAAATAAGTAGACTCTTATTTTAAATTTTTAATGGCTTCTTGGTGGCTTCAAGATAAAAGTAAGTATACAATTACAATGCAAAGATAGTATTCAAATGGGGAGTTGAATGGGGAGTTCATTAGGTAAGTTGAGTTAACTCACAGGATTGATTCCTTTTCATGACATAAAACCATCTGTGTTTTGGGTAGTGTGAATTGTGAATTGAGAACTCCCCCTCGCCCTTCTCTCAGCCTGTGTTACTTTTTCTTTATCTTTGACTCTGTATCATTAACATTTCACATATCTGATTTTATTATAATTTTCTATTTATCTCATTTTCCCACCAGACAATGAATTCTTTGGAGGTGAGCACTACATGTATATTTTACCTTTGTTTCTCTGCACAGGATAGACAATGAGGAGCTTTGTGTTTGGGAAAAGAATAAAAGTCAACTGTAGCAAAACCTCTCAGAAGTAGGATTTATAAACAGTTCTCAAAGGATGCACATGAAAATGTAATTTCTTGGGAAAGTGGCAAACAGAAAAGAATCAAACCGCAGTTGTGTGTGGCAAGGATAAATATGCAACGCACCATCAATAGGATTTGTTGGGTGAATAAAAAAGCCTTTTAGCCAACAATATGTAAGCAGAAGAATGGAGCAGGAGTTAGAGAGAACCCTCAAGCAATAATGGAGGCCACTGGAGAGGCAAGACTGCCAAAGGCTAAGTTATTGACCCAGTATTTTTAAAACTGCCTCCGAAAAGAAGCCTGAACGAAAGAAAATAATTTGTGCTATTAGAATGTATTTTTCCTTTGTGTTCCTATCTACTTCCTTCACAAGCTATTTTTGGTAAGTTTTCATTAACCTTCTAACAAAATGCCAATTAAATCATCTTTTAATAGGCTGTGTTTAGAAGACCGAATCCAAAGAGAAAAACGTGCTAGATCGACACTTCAGTGTAGAAACCAGATTCTTAATCCTACTTGGATAACAACTGACATTCTCAGTTGTTTTCACCTGGGATAGCAATATATTACATGAAAACACAAATTCTCCAAGCAGTAATAAGGAATACATAATACAATACTAGTGCTGGGCTGACTTTCCTGCTTTGTTTCCTGGTATCTATTTTTTGTTTGTTTGTTTGTTTATTTTTGCCTTTTTCCACCAGTTGGCTCTGTTAACAGTAATTTGTTTTCCACATATTGCCAAACAACCTCCCGGGTTTGTGTTTATCATATAACCTGACAATATACTCAAGTCTGTGTTGATGTTTGAATGTTTTGCATGACATCAGCATTCTCCTATTTCCGGGAATGTGAATTAAACCACACTGCATGTTTATGTTTGGATTGTAGGTGCTCTGGGTGGAGTTCCAGTTACATTACATTTATGTCTCTTGTTGAGAAGCAAGCCCATAGTGAGATGAAGCAAAAATTTAACTTGGTCCTACACACACTGATACGGTGTGGTTTTGTGTTCCCACACAAATCTCAGGTCGAATTGTAATCCCCACATGCCAGGGGAGGGACCTGGTGGGAGGTGATTGGATCAAGGGGGTGGATTTCCCCCATGCTGTTATCATGATAGTGAGTGAGTTCTCATGAGCTAGTTTAAAAGTGTGGCACATCCCCCCTTGCTCTCTCTCCTGCTCCACCATGGGAGATGTGTTTGCTTCCCCTTCACCTTCTGCCGTGATTGTAATCTTCCTGAGGCTTCTCAGTTATGCTTCCTGATAAGCCTGTGGAACTATGGTAAGCCTGTGGAACTATTAAATCTCTTTTCTTCATAAATTACCCAGTGTGAAAATAGACTTTATAGCAGTATGAAAATGGACTAATACAGACAACTTTTCAGATTAATCAGATTTTGACTTTCCTTTTACTTCTGCACATCATGATGCACCCTATTCTCTCTGCATTCTGTTCCTCCTCCCTTCCTTGACTGTTTAATTCCTATCCATCCACCAAGTATCCTTCAGACATCACTCCTTCATGTCCCCACAGCACCATGTGCTGACTGCGTGAAAGAGTTCATCCCACTGAAGTGTTATTAGGGTCACTTGTCAGTCTGTCTCCATTTAACTGTAAGCTAATGGAGGCCAGGTGTTTACATTATTGACTATCATATCCCTACTAATAGAGGGACTGACTAATAACAATAAGTGCCCAATGTATGCCTGTAAAATAAAGAAAATTTTAAAATAAGAACAGAGAGTCATAAGAACAGAGAGTCAAATGAGCAGATACCTACATACACATTTTAAAAATTGATATGGATGGTAAATGACACATACATGTAAATAGAAAGATAATTAGAGGGATAAATACATAATCAATTGGAGACATAGGTAGATTATGGAGACAAAGCTAAGAGGAGGAGGGACGTGAGGATGCCAGGCCCAGGTTGCTCTCTTGTCTCATTGCTTTTTAATGCTTCATACCCTTCCCATTCAATTCTTTGGAAAGTCCTAAGCAGTGTTCTATCATATTCATATTGAATTAGCTAGTTTCCCTCTCTACTCCCTTCATGAAAAGATGGACAACAAAATTTTTGTTGCTGCTGTTAAATTTAATAAGCACTCAATTTTTCAAAGCTGTCTACAGCTGATCTAGTTTCCTTTCAAACTAGTATAAGAAAACAATGTTTTTGCCAGTTATACCTGACATAACATGCATGAGGTGTTTATGTGGTAGGAATCTATCTACTATACAGATAAGAAAACAAAAATGAGCTGTGTCAACAGGAATCGGCTTTAGTCATAGCAGGGCTAGAAGTGGTGGCTCATAGGGACAGAAGGGGTCTTTTCTGCTAAATGAATTCCAACTGATGAATACAAGATGTTGTCAAGAAGAAATTCTCTGACACTCTGTTTGTGGCTTATATGCTGTATGTTTAATGTGAAGAATGGATTACTCTTATTTCTGATTTCTAAGGTGAAAGTTGAGTTAGGCTCATTTGTTGGAAAAACTCTCTAGCCTGCAGAGTTCAACGTAGCAACCTAAGCCTAAAGGAAGTCCTGTTTTCTTTAGGAGTAAAATGTAGTTTTGTTTGGAGGGCTAAGATGCAAAATTGGGTTCTTTCTGTCATGGTGGCTGCCCTCCTAATCAGATATGGAATTCGGAGTTGGAAAAGTAAATAAATCCCAAGATAGGAGAGGAGTATGTGAGGTTAGTACAGCTTAAGCTTCATCATGTGTGGGACTGTGGACAAGTCATTTTTAGTTACCTTTGGTGAGAACTAAATCTTCACCAAATATTCTTAGTGATTTTTAGAATGTTTTAAGATCCTGTGAAGAAAAACTAAACATTTTAATGTTTTTTTTTCTTGAGAACTATAAATTTTGCTTTATGACAAATTGCTATTTTGTGGTGCAATATCACCAACGAGGCATGCAGGAACCACATTCTTCTAGGTCTTCTCCTCTTCCTGTCTCTTAGTTGATCTACTATTCCTCCTCTTTCTCTCCCAAGCTCTAAACACAGGTTTCCAGTTTAGGTGTTACAGAGGTATCAGTTTATTCCTTATAGACAAATTCTTAGGAGTTGCTAGAATTTGTTCATAAACCTGGGTGAAGTAAATTGGTTTTAAATATTTATACTGGAGTATGGTAATATTTAAAAAGAAATGCAGAATATTAGCATGCCCACTCCCAAGCCTCACCACTTCTTAACTATAACACGGCTAAGTTGCCCAACCTCTCCTGGTCTCGGGTTTCACAACTGTGAATCAAGATGCACCTGATTGTTTAAGTTCTTATGACCTAATCCAAAGAAAGTTTGTATCCAAGTGTCTAACATACGGTAAATGCTCAGAAGATGTCTGGTATTATTAAAATAAAATTTGAATTTGTCTTACCTGTTAAGGATCACTGACAGTGCTGCCCCTGATAGTTTTGTGTTTCATTGGTTTCCTGTATCTCACCTAGTCAAATATACTTCTTAAAAAATTCTGAATATTATCAGTGCCTATGATATGTATAGAACAGGAAGACATTTGGAACAGGAAATATGAGCATCATATCATGTATTTCATGTAGTGATGTAGTGTCCTCCGCAAACCCTCTGATTGCCACACAGTCAAAGTCTAAGCTTGCCAGCATGGCAACAAAGACGACTCCCAATCAACTGTCTTCAGCTTCAATTTCTGTTGCTTCTCTACACGAACATTCTCTACATGAGCTGGCCAAGAATACCTCTCCTCAAGCATCCCTGGTTACCTGCTCATGTACTCCTTCATTCTAGGAGCATTTGGCCAGAGTGATCTTTCTGAAATGGAAGACTCATGTATTGTTCCTGTGAGTCAGATGGGAAGCTGATGGAAAGTCTTCAGCAGAGAAAAATCCAAAGTGACTGCAATGATTTACGTGACTCTACAGATCCTGGCCCCTGTGGGTATCACCTCCCACCTCTCTACTCTTCACTGGCTGCACTCCAGCCATATTGGTTCCCTCACTTTCTTCACACTCAGTAAGAATGCTCTACCTCAGGGCCTTTGGATATTCTGTTTCCTCTCCCTGGAAATGCCTAATTCACTGGTTTTCACATGTCTCCCTGCTTTTTTCCTACTATGGGTGGCAGGTGGGATGTCACCTTCACAGAGAGGCTGTTTTCTGTGTGCACTTTATTACATAGCAACACATCCTTTGTCTGTTTCAGTTTCCTTATGCTGCTTTATTACTTTTTTCATAGCACATCTCTCCACTAGACAAGTCTGTCTTTATTTTTTTGTTGTTTGTTATGTAAGGTCCATGAGAACATGCAGTTTGTCTTATTTTATCTTCATTGCCCAGAATAGTACATTGGGTAGTATTAACCATTACCTCAGAATGACTGAACCCCCCACCAAGCTCTCTAGTGTTGTTCACAGTTTCCCCTTGTCTAGAGTTCCTTGTTACTGTGTTTAAATTTGGCTCAGCTTTTTTCAGCTTACTGAAATCTATCATCTCTTTGAATCCTTCAGTGAACATCCTGGTCTATAGTGATCATCTGTCCCCCTACATTTCTGGAGGAATAAAAAAATTTACTTGTCTATTATCATCTGTGACTTTGTATGTGCGAAAGAGGTTGTTGGTTAACTAAATATGTCCTGGGGTCAGATTGCCTGGGATCAAATCTTGGCTTAGCCATTTATAAGTTGAGTGACCTTGTGCAAGTGACATAGCTCACCTGCCATTCCTTCACCTGTCAGAGAGAATAGGACTAGTGCCCATTGCATTCATTTGCTGCATGACTTAAATGAGTTACATTCATCAAAGCATCATCCCTGGCACATGTAAGTGCTCAGTCAACGTTTGCACTGATTTTTATCACCTACATACATTGTGTCCTCAGCTAGATCAAAAGCTCTGTTCTATGTGCCATAACATCTGGCAGAGTCTTCCACACAGCAGGTGCTCAATAACTCTATTGACTTTTGGTAAAATTATTTCCCAAAAGAAATGTCAGAAGAAATGCTTAGAAAAATTATGCCAAAGCAATTATGTTTGTAAAGCTGTTTTGAGACTTAGAAAGGGTAAAGGAGAGTTTCAAAAGAAATTCCCTTTACATACTCAGTTGGAAAACATTTTCTAAGCATGCACTAAGGGCTAGCCATTGTGCTCCATGCTCTAGAGATGCAGTGATGAAAATGGCATGGGTCTTTTCTATAAGAGTTTGTGGGGACAAATATGTGAGTGAATGGCTGTAATAGACTGTGAAGAGGGCTGAAAGGGAGGTGTGTGCAAAGCATGATAGTGTCACAGCGGTCATTTATGGATGGGGGATGTACTGGATAGTTGCTTTTTCAGCTTGACTTTGGTAGCCTACATTTCTATTTCTGTGTGCTGCATGAACGATTTTGAAAATGAGAATGGTGTTAAGATTGAAAATGAAATAGGGTCCCCAGGGAATAAGAGCAGAAGTGGTTTGGGGAGAATATACCAAAACTGTGTAAAACAAGAAGCACAGATTGAACCAAAATTGTTTATTTCTTTAGGTTTCGCTATAACCTAGAAAAAAAACATTCTGAAAACAGCACATTGACTAAGACTTAAGATTTGTTGCCTTATTGTTCTAGCATGTTGTTAAGTAATACAATTGTTTCTGTCTTCAATGTTCTCTAATTGCAAGAATAATATGAAAATGGCATAAAACTGTAGGGTAACTGTCAGGGCCATGAAGAACAAAGCATGTTCAGGCCTCCAGGACCATGGTTTATGCCACCTGTTCTCGTCTGTCTGCTCCGACCCATTATTCTGATTTCTGTCTTATCTGACAATGTCTTTCAATGACAAACACAAAATTAAGATAGGTTGAAAATGTAATTCTAAGCATCACTTTTAAGAGATAAAAGAAAAAATAAGCATCTTTTACTTGAGAATTTACCTGTTCACAAGTAAATTGAGTTTTCTGTTAATCTTTGTACATGTGTGGCCGGTGTGCCTACTGTTAAATTGATACAAGATCAAGATATAAAATCAATTACATTTCTATATACTAGCAATAAACAATATGAAAAGTAAACTAATAAAACAATTCCATTTACCATAGCATTAAAAAAGATTAAAATATGAAGAAATTAATTTAACAAAAGAAGTGCAGTACTTATACATGAAACTATAAAACATTACTGAAAGAAGTTAAAGAAGAATCTTTAATTTAGGGAAATTAAAGAAAAATCTTTAATAAAGGGAAAGCTATTTTATGTTCATGCATCAGAAGACTTAATATTGCTAAAGTGGCAATACTCCCAAAATTGATCTACAGATTCAATAAAATCTCTATCAAAATCTCAGGTAATTTCTTTTGAAGAAATTAAGCTGATTATAAAATCTATATGGAAAATCAAGAAGCTCAGATTGGAAGAAAAAATTCTAAGTACAAACAAAGTTGGATAACTCACATGTTTTGATTTAAAAACTTACTATAATTCTATGGTAATCAAGATAGTGTGGTACCGGCATAAGAATGGAAACAGAATAATGGAATAGAATCAAGGATGCAAAAATAAACCCTTACATTTATCACAAAATTAAAAAATTATTCTTCAAAGGACACCAGCAAGAATGTGAAGAGGCAAACCACAAAATGAAAAAAATGTATTTGTAAATTATTTATCTAGTAAGGAATTTGTATTACATAAAAAAATTTTAACCCAACAATGAAAAGGCAAGTAACCCAATCAAAAAAATGAGCAAAGGATCTGAATCGACATTTCTCCAAATAAATATTAAGTATTTCTCCAAGGAGGATATACAACTGGCCAATAAACACACAAAAATAATACTCAAACATCATTACTCATTAGGGAGATGTATATCAAAATCACAATGAGCTACCACTTCACACTTATTAGGATGGTTAAAATAAAAAAGACAAGTACAAATAAGGATGTGGAGAAAATGTTAAGCAGAGTTATCACCTACAAATTCCATTTCTGGGTATAAAACACTTGGACATAAATGTTCATAGCAGCATTATTTGAATTAACCAAAAATGGAAACAACCCAAATGTTCATCAGTTAATGAACGGACAAACAAAATGTGATATATTCATACCAGGGAATGTTATAAAGTCATAAAAGTGAATGAAGTACCCATGCATGCTACAACATGAATGAACCTTGAAAACATGTAAAGTGAAAGAAGCCAGTCACAAAATATCACATATCATATGAGTGCATTTCTATGAAATGTCCGTAACAGGCAAATCTATAGTCAAGAGGTAGATTGGAGGTTGTTCAGAAGAAGAAGTTAGGGGAAATAGGGAGTGACTGCTAATTGGTATGCGAATTTTTAAGGAGAAATGAAATGTTTTAAAATAAAATAGTCATAATTGTTGCACAACTCTGAGTATACTAAAAATCACTGGATTGTACACTTTGACACAGTGAATTTTCTGACCTATAAATTGTACCTCAATGAAGCTGTTATTTCAAAACCCTACATAAATTGAGTTGAAAACAGTGGCAGCATTAGAATCCTAGAGTCCTAAGATCTGAATGAATCTTGAGCATGTTCTAGGACAATGATCTTCAGTTTGCTTGAATCCTCTCCTGAAAAATGTTTTCATCTGTGTTAGTCTCACACCAAACACAGAAATCATCACTATTCTTTCTCTGGATGAGTTTGTTTGCATGTTAGGAAGCTTAATAGCTGCTATTATCATTGTATTGTTACATTATATTTTTATAATACATTGCATTTTGTTGTGTTTATTATGACCTAGGCACAAAGTGCTTTATATCACTAAGTATTTAATAACTGTGTCATAAATTGGTTTTGAGGTTATGGTGGGCTCCATTTTACAGAAACAAAACTGAGGCACAGGAAGTAAAAAAAATTCAAAGTCACATAGCTCATAAAAGAACTTGAACTGTGTTTGACTTCACAGGCTACTTTTAACTAGTATTTCATATTGGCCTAAATCTAAACTAAAATGCCTCCTTGCAATTGCTAATCCTTTCTTCCTGACTCCTTCGTGTCACCTGTAGAAGTCTATTCACTTACAGGAAAATGTTTTCATATCCCCTTAAGTCTTCTACACATTGAGTATCTGGATTTACATCACTTCAGTCAAGGGTTTTCAAGTTATGGTCCTGAGACCTTTCCTACATTTGTCTGAAAGTGCGGTGTACAGAGGTCAAGAAACAAGATGCAATTACTCCCAGCTGTGGTGTCCGAGGCACCTTGAAAAGAACCTCTTGCTCCTTCCAAATAACCATAAAAGTTAGGCAACATTTTGCATATTTTACAAATGAAGCATTGAACACAGAGAGGCTGAGATCTTGTTCAAGATTACACAGCCATGAAGTAATGGACCCAAGATTTGAAACCACGTCTGGTTGTATTTGTTACTACTGACTTGAATTAGTTAATAGACTAGAAATTCCCCATTTCCTCAACATTGTAGACATACAAAATCAACTACATTAGCTGGAAGGATCCTACTGGAGAAGTAAAATCCTCCTAGCAGCTGGAGGCTGTAAATCTTAGGTCTGGAAGTTAGTGTGAGGCCAAGCTTATTAGTCATAATTAGAAGTCCTTAACATTTCAGAAAGGCTCTTTGTTTGTTGAACTGGACACTTTCTCTTGAAAGGAATAATGCAAATCTTTCAATTTATTTATTTTATTTTATTCTGTTTTTCCTACCACAGTGAGGTAGTGTCTGGGTGAGAACATTCCTTTGCTTCTCATTTCTTCTCCCAGAGCACCCTTTTCATAGAATGTTTTTAACTTGGCAGTTATTTTGATTAGAGTATAAAATTCGCCTTTTATGCTGAAGGATATTTTTTCCAAAAGCTTCTAGAGTCATTGCAGCTATTTGGCAGCAGGTCGAGGATGGGGAATGTGTACCCACCCTTGATGAGGAGGCCCAAACTTTGGCTGCAAGCACTGGTAGAATCTAGGGAGTGGCTAGCAGTTCTTTTTATGTGCTAGGCCACTGGCCACTGAAGGTATAAAGAGGGCTTTATTTTAATGAGGCAGCTGGTAGGAGGGCTGCCTAAAGTCAAGCTATGGCAACAAATAAGACTGTCGGAAATGGTAAACAAATTGCAGCCCTTTTCTAAAGACTTCTCAGAATTGCCTGGGAGGTGTGAGCCTCCCCCATCCCAACAAAGGAGACTGTGACCCAAGGGACTTTCATCTGAGGGACTACTGTCGGTCTGCATTTTTACTTTCAAAATGAAAAGTGAGGACCTGAGGCTTTAGAAAAGGATGGCGATGCAAGTGTGAGCGGCTGTATCTCACTTCTCCAACGGGCAACTGTCCTGCTAGAAGAGGAAGCAAACCCAACCACCAGTCAAACACCTTGAGGGCTGGACTCTCATTTAGGAACTTTGCACACATCATCTTTGTTAATACCCATAGGAACCTTTGGTGGCAGCTAATCTTCATCAGTATATATATATACATACATACATACTTTCTATATAAAAAGGTCAAATATTAAGAAACAGACCCGGAATTTGAATTTAGACCCGTATTACTCCAGGCACATGCCATTATGTCTCGTAGCCTCACCAGAGAATAGAAGAAACATTTTATTTGACAATTCTGTTAGAGTTCTTGGCACAACTTGGAGCTAAAGAAACAGTTCAGGTTCTAACGAGAAAATTATTTTTTCTTGGTTATCTTTTTTCTTTTCCTTTCCGAGGCTCCTGATTTAACCCATTAATGGGAGGTAATATGTTATCTATTTAGCACCACTGCTTGACTTCATTCGTTTATTCACTGAACAAGCACCTACTAAGCAAACCAGATATGTTTATCAGAAGTGTGGATATAGCAGTAAAATCATAAGCAAAGTGTCTGACCCCACAGATGATGTATTTTAATGAAAGGGAACCAATAATAAAACAACATTTCAACAATACAACGGGAGTTAGTGCTAAGTGCTTTAAAATATAGAGTAGGGTTGTTAGGGAGACAAAGAGTATGCCTACTTAGGTCTGCTGGTCAAAGGAGGGTTCTTTGAGGCAATAACATTTGAGCAGAGCCCTGAATAAAACTGTACACCATACAGATATCTGAGACAATATTACAGGTGGAAGAAACCCATTAGTATCGCTTAAGCAAATGTTCCTGTAAAGGAAGGTTACTATTAGAAGCATCAATATCCTTTAACAACTTTGCATGTTGGAGAATCTTTGTCTCGGTACCATGCTAGTAGTACCATGGTGACAAGATGACTCTACAGCTGCTCCAGAGAACCCAAGAGTGACCCACAGAAGTGAGTTTAATCTGATGAATGGGAAAAAATATCCTTGTAACATGGATTGTTCTGGAAAAGGGCCTATGTTTTTAATAAAAAGTCATAATAGATTTCATACAAATTTCAGGCATTATGGGCCTTAGGCTCTCTTTCACAACAACTCAACTTTATCATTGAAGCAGAAAAGCATCCAAGACATAGGTAAACCAATGAGTTCCACTATGATTCAACCAAATGGCACCAGCACAGGCTGGTTGGGAACTCCTCCCCTGGAGTTACACTATTTGAAATCTGGACAGATGTCTGCCCTTACATGAAAGATGGCCAACTGTTAGGTTTTTTTATTTCTTTCTGGTTCTTCTCTTTGCTCTTCTCTCTCTGCCTTCACTGCCTGCTTCCTGCATCGATCCCTCCGAGACCTCATTTGGTGCTTTGCCTGTGCCATGGGCTGGTCAACCCATTTATCAATCACGTTACAGTTCTACTGAAATTAAGAGCAAAAAGGTTCTAAGTTAGGAAAAACTGTGTAAAGGGACAAAAGGGAAATATAAGTCAGCCACCAAGACAATTTGCCAATGCTTCAGAACATGAACTTTCTGAGAGGTGTTCTGGAGGCTCTGGGATCTTTGTCTTTTCCTGTGTTGTTTGCTGAAATCTGGAGGGCTCAGGATTCTGGGTAAGGAAAATGAGATAGGACTGTAACATGAAAACCCATTTAATTGGATCCTACTAACTGAAGCCTCGAAATAACTGTTACACTTTGCTTTCCTCCACAGATTGATTTTTCTGAGAACAAAATAAATATCCACAGTGAGTCACAAATGTAAATGTATTGAGTGCCCAATGTATGGAGCCCTTTCTCCAAGACCTCACTGCCGTAAATACAAATATAACTGAGAACTGGTGATTTGAAGATGATTCTTGGGATAGCGGGCTAGGCGGCACTTCACACTGGCTTTTGGGGCCACATAGGGGTGTAATCATGTTATCACCCTGCACAACCCCAGAGGGTACCATACACAACCCATTTGACCAAACATGGCAGTCCTGAAAGGAATGATGATTGAAAGCCAAGACTGAGCTTTGGCAAGGAAACCACCTCTGAATTACCAACTCATTGTCTATAATGTAATGATAGCATCTACCTCTTAGTAATTTTGTGAACATTAAATGAATAAAGCATGACAAAAGGCCTACCTCTGTGCTTGGTACATAGTAGGTACTCAGTAAAACATTTTTTCTTCCATTCAGAAACAGATAAATGAAGGTATGCAAAACAATAGTTCATGACAAAGAAATTGGTCTCAGAAAATTTTATGTAAACCATAGAAAATTGGGAAAAAATAGATTTGATACCTTTTCTCCTAGAAATCCAGAGGCAATGGGATTTTTTAGCTTTTGTTACCCACAGATATGTGTTTCCTACAACTCACTGACACCTCCTTTCCTCACTAAAGCAAAGGTCCTCTTCCCCAAGCGCTCTTGCTAAGTGAAGCTGGACTGTATTAACTTCAAAGAGTGAATTCTTTCACTATATTCATGATCTCTTGCGATATTTTTAGATGATGACCACTTACTATACAATAAACTGTTGGTAAATTGCAATACAACTATGTAGACATTGAAGATCTTATAAAACAAGAGGGCAGTTTCATTAATGACAAATTTTCAAAACACGAATCAGATTATGCAGTTAATTTCCTCCTCCTTAGCCTAGAACCTGATGTTCACTTCATGTAGCCTTCAGATCATGGTCCATTCTGTCTCAGAAAGCCCCTCCTCACTTGCTGCTCAGCAAAGCCTTCTCTGATAACCATAGCCCAATGTCCCTTAACAGAGTGGAGAGACACATAACCCCTGACTTGGTCATTCTCCTTGCCACACCTGGAAATCTGCTTTATTACAGCATTGGGAATGTAGTTGATTCCCAAACTAGGTACTCTTTGCTTTCCTTTCCCCCACATTACATTATTAGTTCTTGAATTGCAGAAAGGGTATCTCTATCTTAATTCAGCTTTGAATCTGCAGCATTCAGTCCATTGACCATGACTCAGCAGGCAAAGTGACAATTGTTGAATGAATGTTTGATGTACATAGGATGATAGCTGTTCAGTGTGGCTTCCTCACTAATGTACAGACATCTCTGGATTTTTCCTGAGGGTAGACTTTTAAATGCATTTCTGGAATTTTCTTTCTCTGTTTTCCCTAACTCGATTAATTTTTATTCCTAGGTAATTCAAATAAACTTGGCGATTTGTGATTTCTCAATTCATGGCAGATTAAAAGATAAATCAGAATATGGCATTCTTTAGAAGTGGAGCTTAAACATGAACGTTTACTTTTATTCCCTTTGAAGTTAGAGAGGGAGAGGGGATGTTGTCTGAAGAAGGAGCAATCTCCCCTGTCTCAATAGCATGAGGTGGGCTCCCGAGTGATGCGATATCCCCACAGGAGGAAACCGAAGGGAGACTGGTGAGCTGCTGGCCAGTGGCCACCAGGCTCACAGAGCTGGAATTCAAACCCATGTATGGAGAGCCAAACTCTGTGTGTGTTTGGCCCATTATGCTGTAAGTGAATAATAATGACAACATAGAGAATAGGGAAAGTTAGACAGATGTTTCCGAGACTAGAGAATTGTTTGTTGGCAGCATGTTTTATAAAATCCTGGGTTTCATAAAAAGTATTATGAGAGTTTGCTGAAGAATTTTGCTGTTAAAGAAAGCTTTAGGTGTGTTTATTACATTTCTGAGCTTAAAATGATAAAAGTTCATTTGGACTATAATTTCTGAATCTTGATTGTGTTACATGCCTCTAACATACACTTCATCCTTTCTGTGCATCTCAGGTTGGTCCCGGACAATCAGAAACCAAAGAAGAAAGCAAACAGTAGGGTTCTGCTCCTCATTAAAGGTCTCACTTTTGGTTCCTTCGGAGAAGAATGTAGGAAAACTCCTAGCACAGAGGAAATTCTGATGTATTACTCACAGAGTTTAATCAGACCATATCGCTGATATTTCATTTCAATTCTTGATATCAGGGGCGTTCCTTAAAATAGAAAATTTTAATTTCTAAGCTTTAGAATCAATAGATTGCTCTGCAATTTCTTTCACTTGGCATTTAATAACAGCACTAAGTAAATTTCCAACATATGACTGAACTCAACCCATACTGTTGACAAATTGAAAGTTTAATTTACCTGGCAGGTTAAAAAAAAGCCAACTTTTTAATTTAATTACAACACTGAAAGAACTCAGGAAGTTGAATTCAGATGTTTTAATCACTGCGATTTTTGAAGCCCTACACTAAGCCTTGTCGGGGGGATAAAGGGAGACAAATATTTAAACACAAGGGCCCTTTTATGAATACAAATATAGTTGTTCAAAGGATAGAAATGATAAAAGGAGGAATGTATAAGTTCTGTCTAGAAGATGCATTGAAGACTTTACTCTAAAGGGGATGTTTCAGTAAAGTTTTGACTATTAATAATATGCAGGAATTTGTGAGGTGTATACAGGTCTGGAGAGGGGGTTCAAACAGAGGCAACTGGAGGTGCAAAAGCAAATGGGCATGGATTTATTAGCCTGATTTGATCATTCCATAATGTATACAGGTATTGAACATTACATGGAACCCTATAAATATATACAACTATTATTTGCCAATTAAAAATAGAATCACGCTTAAAAAATACACAAATGGGCACGGACCAGCATGATGTCTGAAGAAAGACGACAAAAGGAATTGAGCAGTGCTGCAGTTGAACATGAAATGGGTGAACAGGTTCAGCCTCTACATTTTGCAGTAGGGCTGCAAAACAAGAGATGAGACAAGGAAATGAATATTAATGTTATTGAATACTGAGGTGGGATCAACACAGACACTAGAAAACACTCAAATACCTAAGACTTATAGTTAAGCTTGGCTTACTCCAGTTCATTACTTTGGGATGATTTAACTAAATAAACCATTTAAAAATCTTAAAACATTTTTAATTAATTTCCAGAGGCATAGTGGATGCACTTATATATCCCCTATCCAAATATTAATCCCCACTCATTGTTAAGTCTTGAAATAAATACAGATACTTTAAATCCTGGATTGGTAAAGTTAACATTCATTCTTTGAAGAAAAAAAGCAAAAAAACTCAACACTGTTAAATCATACCTCTAATTAAAATTAGGAAGAGATTTAAATTAATATCCAGATATAAGCCAACAGCTCAAAGAAATTAATACAAATGTCAGGAAATGGTTATATTTTCCAGCAAATACCATTAATATATTCTAAACACACCTGCTTCAGACTGCAGTTGACCGTGCAGGACGTCACTCCTGTAATCACTTAGAAAGGGACTGACTGAGCAAAGACATTTCAATTCTGGAGACTTATTCTCAAAACTTGTATTTGACGTTTTCAAAAATGAAGATAGGTTAAATTAATGGCCCCAGCTGTATCCCTGAAATTCCTCTCCATGTGTGCCAAAGATCTTTTTGTTTGTTTGTTTGTGTTTATTTTAAATGGAGTCTTGCTCTGTTGCCAGGCTGGAGTGCGGTGGCACGATTTTGGCTCACTGCAACCTCCACCTCCCGGGTTCAAGCAATTCACCTGCCTCAGCCTCCTGAGTAGCTGGGACTACAGGAGCACGCCACCATGCCCAGCTAATTTTTGAATTTTTAGTAGAGATGGGGTTTCACCATGTTGGCCAGGATGGTCTTGATCTCTTGACCTTATGATCTGCCCGCCTTGGCAAGATGTCTTTTTAACAGCATTCAAGATATTCATCAACCTGGCAGAAATTCTGGGGACAAGTTATGCTTTTTGCCATTAAGGCATGCCTCATTTGCAAACCTTGAGTCCACAGACTGCCCTGGATGGACAAATTGGGATTGTGTCCAAGAAGGCCGGAGGTTGGCCCTAGGATAAACCATACCTCCTCTTCCTATCTCTAAAGTTGAAATTGAATTGTCATGAACATTACTTCGCGTGGTGGCCGTGTGTGCACAATGTATACGGAGCTCTGTCCTCTCATTTGATTCTTTCCCTGCTGCCCAGGAGAGGGCCCACCTCCATTGCCTTTCCCTCAGACTCTCACATGGGCTTGTTAGCTCATCTTCCCCTCTCCGGTGTGGCTCTACTCCAAGTCCTTCTTTATGCTGCTGAACTATTAACTTGAATGAGTATCTGAATAATCTTTTATGAACTTCCTGTTGGCTGTAGGATAAATGATCACATGCTTTAGCTCTGCATTCATAATGAGACCCAGCATCTTTTTCCAAAAATGGCCTTCTAGTCAAGCTGCTTCCAGCCTCCAGGCCATCCCAACTCTGTCCCTGCTCTGTCCCTTTGAGCATGCTGACTCTCTGCCTGATAGTTCACGTTGCTGTTTCTTGCTCAACTCAAGAAACAAAACAAAAATGCTTCCATCGAGAAACTTCCCAAGATTCTCTGAAAGGTGGATAGCCTGACCCTTGCCTCCTGCATAAGTGGCCCTCTCTAAATTGACTGGGGACTCCTTGAGAAAGAACCTATGCTTTATTATTCTTGGTCACCAGAGTGAAGCCTAGAACCTGGCATGAAGTCCATGTTTGGTAAATGATGGCTGGATTCCACTGGAATTATGGGCCAGGTGTCAACCACGCTGAGATACATGTGAGTGGCCTTTCCTGTTTCCTCCTGGCAATTCTGAGAGGCTTAACTGAGCTGAGCAAGAGGCAGAGTTCAGTTAATTTTGTTCCATGATCTGCAGGCATGTGATAGGGGATGGAAGATCACAGTCATTCAAAGAAGGACTCGCAGCATGAAGCTTAAAGCCATGCATATGGGCTGCATCATAGGCTGATCCCACAGGCCCTGGGGATTTTCTCCTCTCAAGCTGTGAGTCTCTGTGGCAACCACATTTCCCAAAGCTTCTTTCAGGGGAAAGAGACTATTTTAGGTAATGAAGACTTTGGTCACATTTCAAACATACCATTCTTAGGGAAAACAAAAATTGGAGTCTTTCTTCCTAAAAACTTTCCCATTCTCTTTACTCCTCTTTGTACTTAATCCAGTACCTCTGTGCTGAAGGAGGCTGCTGGAGCCAGGAAAGGACTCTCTCTAACACCTGGAAATGCTCCAAAATGCCTATGGTGGGTGAAGTGTAGAGCAAACCCCCTCACTTCACTCCCAAAGCCTGTCTCATTTTGGCATTAGGCTACATAACCACCCTTTTCTCTCCCTGCTAAGTCAAAATGTAGCACTTACCGCTCTGCAAATTTGTTACGCAAATATTCTTTTTAGTGCGTTTGATTAATAATGGTAGCACACTAAAGTGGAGAATACAAAACACTAAAATGCATATATAAATGTATATACATATGTATATACAACATATATATGGAGAGTGAGAGAGAAAGGGGAGAGAGAAAGGCAGAGAAGAAAAAAATTGTCTTGAAACCTTTTGAAGGCTGTAAGGCAGGTGCTGTTTACCAGATTGTACAAGGGGGGAAACTGAGGCTCAAAGGATAAGTTCATTTCTCATGAGTAGTGAATGAACAGGCTGGATTTGAACTCTAGTTTGCAGTACTCTTAGTACTTTCTGTAAATGGCCCTGCCATGCATCTTCTCCAGAAAGCACAACTAATTATACATGTAAGGCAAAGTCCAGAAAAAAGAATTTGTGGTAAAGAAGCAACGCAAGTTTCAGTGAGAAGTTGTTTTCTCTGCCATTTCTATTCATCATGCTTTCAGCTTTTCTTGGGTTATTTCTGCTTAGTGAAACATCAATATCTTTATGCTTCACTATTTTATTAACTATATTAAACAGGGGAATTGCACTCACAAAATGTACTTTAAAAAATACAAATGTTCTGCAAACAGAGGCATTGTTAGAATTGTTATCATTGTTATGAACGTTTATCTTGCTGTAGTTTGTTGGTTTGTTTTTTCATCTAATCTTTTTTATTGTACATATATTGGGTGGAGCCTACTAATTGCTTCCTCAATATCCATTTTCCCTTTCTTCTTAATGGATGAGGCTTCTTGTGTTTGCTCATTGGCAATGTTCTCATCTAAAAACTACATTTCTCATCTTCCCTTGTGGTTAAAGATGGCCATGTGACACACTTTGGGATAACTTTGTGTAAGCAGAAATCATTAGGCAAACTCTTACAAAAGACCCTTAAAAAGTGGACTTGGCTGGTCAATATCTTTTAACCACTTTCCTTTCCATATTTGCTTTTCTAGAATGCAGAAATAGAGGTTGAGATTGTTGGGATTTGAGTATCCTGTGACTATACAGACAGTGCCTACCAACATAGACACAAGGACTTTGTTCTTAACATCCTCAAGCCAATGAACCATAGCCAACAAAACACCTACTCAGTAACTTCTTATGTGAGAGAATAAAAATAAACATCTAACTTGATTAAGCTTCCATTATATAAATTTTCTGTTGTGTGTTGCTAAACTCAACCCCTCAGTGAAATAGCCATCCAAAAGAAGCAATATATATTGTAAAAGTCCCAGACTAGAAATCTGAGATCCCTTCATTGGTCTTCCAGCCACAGTTCTTTTCTTTACGCCTAGCTAGTCTCCACATTTTAGCCAGATCGGTCTTTCTACTGCCTTATACTAAATATTACAACAAATTTTCATTGTTTAAGGACAAATTCTGAAACACTTGTAATTAGAAGTCACTTCTAGATCTGGCCCCTGCCTACCTCCCCATCCTCATAATTCATTTCATTGCCACTCTCTCTCCCCTGCAGCCACAGTGATCTTATTTCCCCAGTGCACTGCATGGTTATTTGGTTTTCCATTCTGATTGCTATTCCTTTTGCTCAGAGCATTCTCTCGATCATGACCTTCTCTTTAAATATCAAAATAAATGGAACTCTGTTCACAAATACCTTTTATGTCACTGTGGCTATCCCCTTTAGAAAAATTGCATTTACTTTCTCAATGTCTTGCTCACTGGACTGTTGACTGTTCCCAGTGTCTTGCCTACTAGACAGGTGATGATGACAGAAGGGACCCTGAGGTGTCTTGTTTATAGTAATATCCCTAAAACTTATTCTAGTGCTAGGCATAAGGAAAACACTCAACTTATTATATGAGTGTAAACTTCAGAAAGTCATCTCTCTTGTCTCAGAGTTTTGCTTCTGGGAGAAACCTAAATTAAGGCTTCAAATGCAAATTTATTTAGAAGGTGATCCCAGGAAAAACTAGAGGAGTGAGAAAGTAAGGGACAGAAAAAATAAGAAGCTAATAAGGAAGATATTATTATATCAAGCAATGTTTGATCATGCACATTTTGGCACTGCGGACAGCTTATTCCACTGAGGAATTTTAAGAAACAGTGGAGAACAAATCTGAGTTATATTGCCAAGGGGCGAGGGAGCTCTGGGGCATTAAGCAATCAGCTCCAACCAGGCATTGATTAAAGGCTGTTGGGTAGTGGTGGTAATAACACTCCAGCACTGCTGGCCTGCCTGGCAAGCAGGTAGGCAAAACTTGTCTTCTAAAGAAAACCAAACTTTCTAGGGAGACAGCCTGGATTCTGGCAACTGGCAACGAGGGAGTATGAATGGATGGTAAATGCTGAGGGGATACAAATGAACACCCACAGAGCCCCTCACATCACTACACTTATCTCAGCCAATACTCCTCATCATAAAATGGATTTGGCAGCCACCTGGAATATTTCTGCAGATTGAACTATTGAATCTATTTGAAACATGAATCTTCTGATCAATCTTTAATAGAATAATGTTGTTCCACACAGGCTTATTTCCTTGGAAAATGGAGAGTCATTTCTTTTTATGGTAAACTTAAGTTGAAACATCATTTTTATTATATATTATATCGGTCTCTGTCAAGTCACCTAGACCTAAGACTTGATGGGGATTTTAAGATAGGCATCGCTTTGTCTACTAGTTTGTAGTTGTAACAAATAGGAAAAAATCTAGCACAGGCTGGTTTGCTGAGCGGTGATGGGTGCCATGGACAGAGGCAAGGCTTCTGCCTGGAATAGATCAAACTCTCTTCACCTGGCCTAACCATAAACTTGGGTGAACCTGGATACAGGTAAATGACCTTTTCTCATCTATAAAATAGGAATGGTAACTTATATAATGCATATTTATTATGAATATTTGTGACATATATATATACATATTCTATACATAGAATAGAAATTTGGCATCACATTATATGGGTTTTTATTCCAGCCTCACCACATTGGGAGCACCTCTTAATCTAAGTTTCAGTTTCCTCATTTGCTTAATGAGTGTTATAATGGTATGCTTCTTATTTTGTTTTAAGAATTAATAAAGTACATTTTAAAAGTTCCTGGCATTCAGAATGTGCTCAATACAGGCTAGTTACAATTATTTTATTGGCATTAATATTAATAATAATGGCATTATTTTCAAGCAATTATTGCTGTGTAGTTTTTACCAGCCTTGCAACTTTGTACTTGTGATGTTTATAAAAAGTGAACATATCTTTTGATGGTAAGCTTTGACTAACATTTTTTGCATCAAACTCTGTGTGCAGATCATCATTCAAGTATTTGGAATTTTTTATCATGTGGGAATTTTTAATTTAGAAGGGAGCCCAGGGCTTCAAATGATCCATGCAGAGAGAATGGGTGATAATTTGGTATTCAACCTTAAAGAAAACTTTCATTCATCTCAGATCTTTGCCCCTTGTCTCTCGTCACTATCTTGCTGATGGCTGCTTCTAAATGAAGCATTGCCATAAATTGTAATGGGTAACCAGGAGTCATTAGTCCTCTGTTGAGGGTCAAGTCACTAAATGGTAAAATTGGTAATAATCTTTTCTCTCTTTACCCAAATCACTACTCCAACTCCAATAAGTGTTGGTCTAGCACATTTGCACGTCACCCTGAAACACCTCTAGGGTGCTTTAGCCTTAAGGTGCAGAGCTGATACATTAACAAGAATGTCTTTTGCATTGAGGCTATCAGAAGATTCCCTTCAACCATGACTTTAATTGCCAATTACAGATGGAAGTCAAATTTGCAGGGAGCAGAACGTTCATGCATAAGGAGGGATGAAAGTTCAATGTTTTTTCTGTGAGAGGCACAGTGTTACTTTTAAAGATCAAACTCAGCTCAGATTTGTCACGGCATTTTAGAACTTGAAGGCATCCAAGGGGCCTTCTGGTTATAATTGCCTTGTTTTACAGATGAAATCAGGCTCAGAGAGGTTAATTACTTGCTCAAGGTCAGCTATGGCAATGCTTCTCAAACTTTGATGAGAATAGGAATCCACCTGAGTGGATCTTGTAACAATGCAGTAGGTCTTGGGTGGGATCTGAGATTCTGCATTTCCACAAGCTCAAAGGGAATGCAGCTGCAGCTGCTTCATGGGTGACTTTAAGTAGCAAGGGAATTCTACGACAGCTAAATGAAAATGCAGACATTTTTGACACCTCACTTATTATTTTATTTTACCTACTGAATTTTACCTTGTTGCTGAAAATGGAATGTCCAAAATCACCAAGGCTTAGAGTAATGACTGTCATTAGTCACCTGGGGAGGAGTGGTATACTTTTTAATTAATCAGATTAAACATTTATAAAACATTTAAGCAAATTGTCAACAAATCTATTGGTTAATCCATTTGAATGCCATCAACATGCCTAAGTATTGTGTGGTGGATGCTATGATGTGTCACACAGAACTTCTTTTAGGATGACAGGATGGAGTCTCCAGCTGTGAAAGTGTTGCTGCAGACAGCCCTCAGCTTCCAGTTCTTGTAAAAATGGCCTCAGCTTCAGAGAGCTCCATTACCCAAGCTCATTCATTTCCTGGGGTGTTCTGCATCCAGTGAGTGTTCTGTGGACTTGCCAGGTAATCATTCTTCCTGCTCCCCAATTATGTCATTGGAATAAACATTTGTTACAGGATTGCGTTCCCTCAAATTTATATGTTGAAGTCCTAACCCCCTAGGACCCAAGAATATGACCTTATTTGGAGATAGCCTTTTTAAAGAGGTAATTAGGGTAAAATGAGGTCATATAGATGGGTCCAAATCCAATATGATTGATGTCTCTATAAGAAGAGGAGATTAGGTTACAGACACACACAGAGGGAAGGCCATGCTAAGATGCAGGGAGAAGATGGCCATCCGTAAGTCAAGGAGAGGGTCCTTGGGAGAAACCAACCCTGTCAACACCTTGATTTTGTACTTCTGGCCTCCAGTATTGTGAGAAAACAAATTTCTGTCATTTAATCCCCTCAGTCTGTAGTACTTTGTCATGGAAGCCCTGGAGAATGTTTTACAACATCCTTGGTGGTTGTCACAACTCTGCAGATTCCTTGGCTTAATAGGTAAGAGCTTTTGTAATAAGGAAGGCCAAGCAAAAGTCTCTGAAACCGGATGTCCCTTGGCCAAAGGAGTAAATCTAAATAATATTGAATACCGAGGGAAGTGGCAGAAATTAATATCACTCTTAAAGATTTAAAGTATGTGAGGATAGTGGTCTCCATTATTTTGTAATTTAATGTCTCAGTCTAGATCCTACAAAACCCACACGGATTCTGATGGACAATAAAAAACTCTTGCCAATTCATCCAAGGAGTGGCCCTGATTACAGATGCTAGACCGTGTGTGGGATGTTACTAGAGCAGGTTAACATGTTTCCAGGTACATTGCATGTGCACATCAATCTAGCAAGCCATTCTTTTAGATCCCTACTAGAAACAGGATAAAAGTTTGCATTGCTCTGGAATGAACAATAGCCCAACTCTGAACTGTCCTGCTTAGGGCTATATTAACTTGCCCCTGCTTTAATACATAGTCCTGATCTGAAGATTCTAGGAACAGCTGGACATTCTGCAGAACAGACGCCAGTCCGTGATGTTCATGATATTATCCTAGTCAGATAGAATGAGCAAGACGTGGCTAGTTCATTGGAAACTTTCATAAGACACATGCACACCAGAGGGCAGGAGATAACCCCTTCAAAGTTCCATACCTACAGGTCTTCAGATATTTATTTTCTGCCAGGACAGGGATAAAAGAGGCTGAAACATGTTTACATCTAGATTCTTTAGCCTCAAAGAAATTTTCCCATTGTAGATTTAAAAAACAGCTTAGGGATTTAAAAAATGATATTTTATGTTAGTGTCTGTCTTCCCATGGGCTTTAAACTATATGAGAATCTGACTGGCTATACTAAGTTAAACACTTACATTTTCTCCCTGTTACTGGGGAAAATGTTTGTTTTTGATGATGAAATGAAGCAATATATATGAGATACTTAGTACCTGTTATGTAATAAGCTCAACAGATCTTAGCATGTCAATTTGTTGTTAGCTATTGGTGTTCAATAAATTTTTATTGAATGTCTACCATGTTCCAAGCTTGATTAAAGAAAGCCATCTTATAATATCAGAGTTCAAAGAACACTTAAGTTTAATAGAGCTGTTTCAAGGATAAAATGAGTTAAGGTAGGTTAAATATTTAGAACAGTTTCTGGTACATATTTACTTCTCAAAAAAGTTAAATATTTTTAAGGTTAATTTTCTTTTTCTACAGGTAAACAAAGTAGGCTTATATATTGGGGCTTGATCTTCTAGAAAATAAGGAATCCTTGTAAGTTCTAGACTATCAGAGAAAATTTTAGGAAAATTAACCTGGCAGAGAACAGTGGAAAAGCATTAGGTCACAAAAAGGCTACAGCTAGACCAGCATCTCTCAGCCTTGGCACTGCTGCCATTTGGGCCACATAGGCTTTGTTGTGGTATATTAATCCAATTTCACGCTGCTGATAAAGACATACCCAAGTCTGGGCAATTTACAAAATAAAGAGGTTTAATGGACTCACAGTTCCACGTGGCTGAGGATGCCTCACAATCATGGTGGAAGGTGAAAGGCACGTCTCACATGGCAACAGACGAGAGAAGAGAACTTGTGTAGGGAAACTCCCCTTTATAAAACCATCAGATCTCATGAGACTTATTCACTATCAGGAGAATGCTACAGAAAAGATCCTCCCCATGAATCAATTACCTCCCAACAGGTCCCTCCCACAACATGTGGGAACTGTGGGAGCTACAGTTCAAGATGAGATTTGGGTGGGGACACAGCAAAACCATATCATGTGGGTAGCTGCCATTTGCACTGTAAGATATTTAGCAGCACCTACATCCCCAGTAGAAGCTCCGCAGTTGTGACAACCAAATTGTCTCCAGACATTGCCAAATATTCTTGGGGTGGGGTGGGGGTAAAGATGAATGTGGCTGAGAACTGCTGGACTAGATAGAAGGAGGGATCTGCTTGAGTTGGGGCAGGAGTCAAGGAATCTATTTTTTTATTTTTTTTTGAGATGAAGTCTTACTCTGTCACCCAGGCTGGAATGCAGTGGTGCAATCTCAGCTCACTGCAACCTCCACCTCCCGGGTTCAAGCAATTCTTCTCCCTCAGCCTCCCAAGTAGCTGGTATTACAGGCCTGTGTCACTACGCCCGGCTAATTTTGTGTGTGTGTGTTTATAGTGGAGACAGGGTTTCACCATATTGGCCAGGCTGGTCTCGAACTCCTGACCTTAGCCACCTGAAGTGCTGGGATTACAGGCATGAGCCATCACTCCTGGCCTGGAATTCTCTTGTTAGAAAATATCACAGGGAAGGGTCTGGGGGAACTGGATGATTCATTAATTAGGAGTCAAGGAAAAGAAAGAATTGAAGATGATTCCAAGTTTTGTGTTTGTTTCCTGAATACTTGTGAGTAACAATAATAATGTGTATAGAAAGAGGGAAGCTGACTTTTGGTAGAAATATGTGAGTTTTGGTTTTTTATGTTCTAGTGGAAAAGAGATGGGGGCTAATCAAGATTGCTTATTTTTGTGCAGATAATTTTGCATATGTTGTTAGTGCACTTAATAACCTGACTACCTGAGAGCAAGTCATCATTTTCCTTTTTCTGCATGTAATATGAGATTCCAAGACCAAATGACCTTTCTAAAGCCACAGAGATTTTAGGTGATACAGCAGAGGGTGCACCTATATTTCCTGATTCCAAACTCCATGTTGTGTCTATTGTCCTCCACTGCCTTCTTAGGGGTACAAAAGTGAGTTCTGGGAGGAGATGTGGTTTGTCCCAGCATAAAGGAAGAGAGAGGCTCATTTTTTCCCAGATGGTGAGTGTGTCAGAATCACATTGCCTTAAATGTGTCTAGAGTTAGCATCTGCATGACTGCACCCCCAACAAGGCTCTCACTTGCATCCGGCCTTTTCCAGCAAGCAGACAACTCCAGCATGCAGTTGGAATTTGACACCCAATGCACATACTGACACCACCAGTGAATCACATGCCTGTGTTTTCTCGGCTTTAAACAGAAGGCGGATTTTGACAGCGGGGTGCCAACTCACCTCTAAGGAGCTATTACTAATATGCTTTCTTTCAAAGCTGCTTTCTTTATGGCCATGTTAAAATTCCTTTTCTAGTATCATGGAGCATGTGAATCTGGCAGGGGGCAGCAGGCCAGAGATGGATATGAGGTCAGTGAGCAAAGCAATGTGGGCACCCTAGCTGCTAGAGTGAGGTAATTTTTCTTGAGAATTGTGCTGTGCGTGTTGGCTTCCAAAATGCCTAGCTTTGGTTTGCTGGTTTAGCGTAAAAATTAAAGGTAACAGTTAATCCAAAAACAACCTTTCTGCAGAAGGTGACTCAAAAGCCAACAGATATATACTGAAATAAACCAAAGATGTCTCAAAGGATTCACAATACATTGTTGACAGCAGTTGCCTCTGGAAAGAATCAGGAGTGAACACGTTCACAACAACTTACTTTTCACTGTATATGTTTATTGATTATTGGAATTCTTCGTCATGTGAATGCATTATTTGAAAAAGAAGCACATAGTGGTAGAAACTGCTAGAGTGGCAACTTTTGGGCTGTGAGTAGTGAGCAGAAGGAGACATATGGGGATTTCTAAAGACAATGAGAATGTTCCGCTTCTGGAGCTGGATAGTAACTTTGTGAACATTCATTGAGCTGTCCACTAAGGGTACGTGCCCTTCTTCGGAAGCACATTTTCATAAAACATTCAAAACAAAATTTGTTTAAAAGTTAAGCAAAAAAGCCCATTCCAGCAAATTTGGTAGACTGAGTGATTTATCCATTTATATATTTATTTAGTATTTTTAAAATTATCCTTTTTAAAACAAAGGTTTTTTTTAAACTTAAGATTATCTTTGTGTTTGCTTTGTGACACAAGCTGAGAATACAAAGGTGAGTAAGGAAAGCTCTTTATCTTTGAGAAGACCTGGCTTTGTGATGGGGAGAGAAGTTCTATTACAATGAAGCAAGGAGATATGTGTGTTCATCTCTTATTGCTGGTGTAACTAATTACCACAAACTTTGTGGCTTAAAGCAACACAATTATTCTCATACAGTTTCTAGAGGTCAGAAGGGCAACATAGTCTCATTGGGATAAAATCAAATTGTCAGTACGCCTGGGTTTCTGCATTAGGTTTCAGGGAAAATTCAGTTTTTTTGCCTTTTCCAGCTTCCAGAGGCCAGCCACATTTTTTTTGGCTCGTCATCCCCGTGTCCATCTTCAAAGCTCATAACTCCAACCCCCGCTTCTGCTGTCTCATCACCTTCTTCTGACTGTAGCCACTTGCTTCCCTCATTTCTTTCTCTCAACACAGTGGGTGATTACTTTAGCACTAACAAGATGATCCAGGATTATCTATCTCAAGATTCTTAACTTAATCACATTTGCAGAGTCCTTTTTGCCATCTAAGGTAGCAAATTCCAGGGTTCTGGGAATTGAGACAAGAATATCTATGGGATGCCAGTATTTCATCTACTATAGTGTATACTATCAGTGGCTTAAAGTAAAGGAAGCAGTGAGCATAGTCAGTGTGGGGCTTAGGTAGAGATGGGAGGCAGCAGGTAGCAGGTAATACTTCAAGTGACCTGAAGGAAGGGTAAGCATCAAATGGAAACAGGTGGACATAGGGCCCACAGGATGTCAGAGATGGGGAATTACATACACAAGCTGCCATGAAAGTGTTATAAGTGTTGTCTAATAGGCTTGCCCAGGTCCAACTCCCACAAAGGATTTTCCTAGGGAAGGAACTTTCTAACCAAATCTGCAGGACAAGTAGGAAATGAATGGGAAAGAAAGTTAAGGGTGAGCATTTCAGGCAGAGGGATCAGTCTATGCAAAATTCAGATGGCAGGAGGGGAGGAGCACTAAATGTCTTAGAAGTTGATGGGCAACAATATGGCCTAGCTCAAGGAGAGAGAGTTACAAGAAAAACCTCAGGATGAAGACCAACAAACTAAGGAAAGAAACCACAGCTGTGGAGCTTCAAGTAGCATCTTGCAGGAGGGAACAATTTTAGGTCAACATTGAAATCTCACCCATTTCTAGGCAGTTCCTCGTCAGCAGCATCTTTATGATAATAGACAGAAACACATCTGCTTTGAATTTTTAGAGGCATGAGAGAAAAATAATTTAACCCTCCCAAGTGCCTTTCACATTCTAAAAATGACCTTCAGATTTATATGAAGAGGGACTGCAAATTATGAATTATGTCTATGTCATCATCTTGATTCCTGCACAGTTAAGTTTCTTCATTTATTCTAGGTAGGCCCAGAGTTAGGGGTCCAAGGACATTACACACAGGACAGTTATAACTCGAATACGATTGCTACCCATTTTAGTCCTTCACAGCAGCTATTGTCCTAGCATTCAAGTCCTCCCTAAAACATGTCTCACACTCATTCTAGCTATGCTACCTATTCCAATGCTGTTTCCAGAGTAGTCTCTGTTCCAACAAGATTTTTTTTATTCCCCATTTCCCCAAATAAATCATCTATTTTCCCCATCTCCCTGCCTTTCCTTCTGCCATCATTCTACCCACCATCCCTGGAATGAACAACCCATTCTACAGGGTCTTAGTGTCTTCATCTTCCAGTTAAATTGTTCCTGACTGAGCCAAGACATGCAATGTGCATCTGTCTTAATTCTTGTGACATTATTGGGACAGTGAGGCATGATGGAAGACGTGAACTTTGAAATTCATGAGTTCAGGCTGACCATGTGATAGCTTGGGGGAAAATAATCCAATCCCTGGAATTTTCATTTTCTTTACTTTATGAATGAACAAACAAAAGCAAAACAAGAGTGTATTCAAGAGGGAAAACACTCTTCAACTACCATCTGCCAATAGTTTGTTGTGCCTTCTTAGGGATTGGGGAAAATATCCTCAGGGTTTGTTGGCCGTGTTTGCCGACATGCCTTGATAGGCCCAGTTGGATATGAAATATGATAACCCCTCTGCCCTAGAGCAATGTCAAAAGAGCAGTGCAAGGCCAGAAAAGGGGCATTAGTCAAGGTTCTCCAGGGAAACAAATAATAGGACACATACATACACAAATATATAAAGAGATTTATTTTTAAAAATTGGCTTATGCAATTATAGGAGCTGGCAAGTCCAAAATTGTCAGTATTCCATACTGGAAATTCTACCAAGAGTTGATGTTTCAGTCTTGAATCCAAAGGCAGTCAAGAGGCAGAACCCCTTCCTCATTAGGGACTTCAGTCTTCTCTTTCATTCTACTGACTGGATGAGGCCCATCCACACTCTGGAGGGTCATTTACCTTACTCAGAGTCTCCTGATTTAAATGTTAATCACCTCTTAAAAATACCTTCACAGTGACATTCAGTCTTGTGCTTGACCAAAAAGCCAGGAATCATGGCTTAGCCAAGTTGACACATAAAAATAACCATCACAAGAGGTGACCCATTCTAAGAACTTAACAGGATTTGCAGATATTTTTTCCTATTTCTTAGGTTGTCTCTTCACTCTGTTGATTGATTTTTTAGCTGTGCAGAAGATTTTAGTTTGACATAATCACATTTGTCTATTTTTGCTTTTGTTGCTGGTGCTTTTGGGGTCATATCCAAAATACATGTCATTGCCTAGAGCAATATTATGAAGCATTTTCTCTATTTTTTTGCCTAGTAATTTTACAGTTTCAGGTCTTATGTTTAAGTCTTTAGTCCATTTTGAGTTGATTTTTGTACATGGGATGAGATAAGGGTCTAATTTTAGTCTTCTGATTGTGAATATACAACTCTCTCAGCACCACTTACTGAAGAGACTGTGTTTTCCCATTGTGTGTTCCTAGCACTCTGTCAAAAGTCAGTTCATTAAAAATGTGTGAATTTATTTCTAGGCTCTCTGTTCTGTTCCATTGGTCTATGTATCTGCCTTTCTTTTCTTTTCTTTTCTTTTCTTTTCTTTTCTTTTCTTTTCTTTTCTTTTCTTTTCTTTTCTTTTCTTTTCTTGAGATGGAGGCTTGCTCTGTCACCCAGACTGGAGTGCAGTGGCATGATCTCAGCTCACTGCAGCCTCTGTCCCCTGGGTTCCAGCGATTCTCCTGACTCAGCCTCCTGAGAGTAGCTGGGGCTATAGGCACATGCCACCACACATGCTAATTTTTGTATTTTTAGTAGAGATGGGGTTTCACCATGTTGGTCAGGCTGATCTCAAACTCCTTACCTCAGGTGATCCACCTGCCTTGGCCTCCCAAAGTACTAGGATTATAGGTGTGAGCCACTGCTCCCGGCCTATGTATCTGCTTTTAATGCCAGTATCTTGCTGTTTGGGTTACAATAGCTTTGTAGTATATTTTGCCGTTAGATAGTGTGATGATTCCAGCTATTTTTGTTCTTTTTGATCAAGATTGCCTTGGTTATTCAGGGTCTTTTAGGTTCCATATGAATTTTTGTTTCTTTTTCCATTTCTATGAGATATGTCTTTGGAATTTTGATAGGGATTGCATTAAATTTGTAATTTTTTGAGTAATATAAACTTTTTAATAATATTAATTATTCCAATCTATGAACACAAGTTAGGAATTCCCTGGGGCGACTGGAGCCACTGGAAGTCTTAGTGGAAATGATACAGTAGAGGTGACAGAGCTCAAGATACTAGAGGTAGTTTTGAGGCAGGGAGTTCTTGAGCAACTTCGTACAAAGTTAGCAGGAAGAAGAAGTAACCAGTGACATTTCCCCAGTATTATGCAAACAAGAAACTTTAAGAATAGTATGTCTGAATATATTTTTTAGAAATATCATTTTATGGTATATGTTCAGTGATATGCTTACCTGCCAATCCCAAATCTTCAGGAATCTCTGAAAAACATTGCTTTTGTAGTTGTTTTGGAGAACCAAGGGCAAAGGGGTTGTCACGATGTTTGAGTTGTTTGAGAATAAATCAACTATGGAAGATGAAACACAGGGAGGTCCAGAATCTAGCAGAGGAAGGAAGGATGCTAGAACAAGAAGGGAATAGAAATGAAGTCTTCATGATCTATGGAGATTTACTTCCAAGTGGCAGAGAGTTGGTTCTCTCCTTTATGGACAATGAGGTTTAAGCCATTTTAAATTTAAATGTTCAGGGCAAATAGCCAGAAGACAAGAGCATTTAGAGATACTCAGGTGACAGTAGGGTTAAAGCATTTTGTAGAATTGCAGGGATGATTAAATTAGTCAGCATATTTTCAGGTTTAGTACAGTGTCCAGGACATTTTAGGTGTTTAATAATTGAAAGCAGTTGTTGTCTATACCATTGTTATTAACATATAATTGTTATTTGTGAACACGTCTTATCTACCTTATCACTGTGATAACTTTGTAATTCCTTGAATACAGAGACTGAGTCTCACCAATCATTTCATAAGGATTTACAGATACTTCCTACTTGAAAGCATAGCACAGAATACCTGGGAGATACCAAGGTAAATCCACTGATCTCATCTCAAATGAATTCATAATCTAAAAGAAGAGATAAAATTCAAACAGATAATTTCAATGCAAGCTACAAAGTGGCATCTCAAATGGTGGCCCTTGATTTTTTTGTTTGACCCACACAAAACTTTTTTTTTTTTTTAATTTGCTGCCAACATTTCAGAATCTAGAAGTTTTACACTAAAAAAATCTGAATTTCTTTAAGTTTCTCTTTAGAAGCTGGAAAGGGGCTGCGTGTGGTGGTTCACACCTGTAATCCCAGCACTTTGGGAGGCCGAGGCGGGCAGATCACGAGGTCAGGAGATCACGACCATCCTGGCTAACACGGTGAAATTCCATCTCTACTAAAAATACAAAAAAAGTAGCCAGGCATGGTGGCGGGCGCCTGTAGTTCCAGCTACTCGGGAGGCTGAGGCAGGAGAATGGCATGAACCCGGGAGGTGGAGCTTGCAGTGAGCCGAGATGGTGCCACTGCACTCCAGCCTGGGTGACAGAGCAAGACAGAGACACTGTCTCTCTTAAAAAAAAAAAAAAAAAAAAGCTGGAAAGGATACTTACTGCTGTCCCAGTACTAACTGATGATCAACGATATTTACTGGGTTAATGAACACATTAAGAAATACATGAATGACTAAGTAGAATCATCAGTATATCAAAACAATGTTTGCTCCAAGAGGGCAGGAACTCTATCTATTCTGTTTGCTTCTATGCCTACAGTATGTTAAAACCTAATATTGGCTCAACGAACATTTGTTGAATTAATGATGAGCCCTTCTATGAGGAACTGTAAATAATCTATGGAATTTATTGATTTGAAACCTCCAGTAGAAGTTCAAATGGGGAGTCTAAATGTAGTCTCCCGCCCCCTTGACCATAAATGACTAGAAATTGAGAGTTTATTTCATGCCATGGGCCAAAAGGAAGGAGCAGAACAAAGAAGAAAGGAGCATTATGAGCCAAATTCCCTAACATGCCTTCATGGAAAACAACCTGGAGCTATGTTAATAATTGCAACGATACCTGCCATTCATTGAGATCTCTGAGAATGCTAACTGCTGAGTTAAACATGCTCACATACAGTCCATTTAGTGCTCACAACAAACCTATGATTTCATGTATTAGTTATCTATGACCACAGTAGTACTGCAAAGCAAAAAACTGCAAAACCATAGTAAGTGTTAATTATTGCTCACACATCTGGGGTCAAAGCAGTACTGATTATCTGAGCTGGACTCACTCGAGTCCAGGGGTCAGCTGATGCTTGACTGACTTAGGCAAGCTTTGGCTACTGTGAGTCTATTCCACCTGTTTCTCATCCTTGGAGGTTAGCCCCAGCATGTTCTCATCCTGACAGCAGAAGTGCAAAAGCACAGCATCTCTGTGCAAGTACATTTTCAGGCCTCCATTTGCATTATATTTTTTTCATATCTCATTGGCAAAGCAAATCATTTGGCTCATCTATATTCCTGGGGTGGCGAAATAGATTCTGCTTTTTTAGTGAGGATGGTCAAAGCAGTATATGGCAAATGGTACAGATACTTGGAGGTTAAAAAAAATTATGACCATTGGCTGGGCACAGTGGCTCACACCTGTAATCCCAACACTTTGCTAAACCAAGGCTGTACTAAGGTATGTATATATATATCCGGGCATGGTAGGGATCCCCTGTAGTCCCAGCTTCTCCAGAGGTGACGTGGGAGGATCTCTTGAGCCCAACAGTTTGAAGCTGCAGTGAGCCATGATTGCGTCACTGCACTCCTGCCTGGGCAACAGACTGAGACCCTGTCTAAAAAAACTAAAGACTATTTGTAAAAGATATTTATAACAATCTGGTAAAGTCAATCCAATCCCTGTTGTAAAAGTCATTATATATTTGTTTTATCATGTAGGTGACTTTAATACCCTAATACTTTTACAATATCATGAATTCAGTTGAGCCTACACTTACTTGGTAGACTCTACTTTTCTGTGAGCTTAATGTTGATGGTATGTATTCACTTATAAATAAATCTCCTACCTGAATTTAACTTCCTTTTCAATCCAGTTCTCTTGGAGGAAGCATAGCTCCTTTATTGAAGGATCATTAAATACACACACCTCTTTCCAAGATTAATTAGGCAATCTCTCTGGGTCCATTCTATTAACCTGTAATTAGAATGTAAAGATACTCACGCTCCATGACACACATTTTAATTGCATCTCACCATGTGCTAGTATCACACACACTACTGGAAAGCAAGGCAGGAGGAAGAAGACTGGTTGCGGAAAAAAGTGGCTTTGACTCCTGGTTTCAGGGCTCCAAGCATGGGGTCCCTGGCTACCCAACTCCCTTTATCCAGTGCCTACTGGTAAACATCCCTGTGAAAGGTGGCGGGAGGGGAAATTCAAGCTTCTGGATATGTGCAAAACAATCTGGCCCAGGTTCATTAAACAGGCATATTTGTACCTTTCCTAAGTTCTTCCCCTTGACCTCAAAGCATATTTCCAGCAAGAACCAATGCCGTAGGGTGCATGCACAGTAATAATAATGGAGTTTTGGAATTCTAGGACAGGAATTAATTCCCCAATTTTCAGATTCAACTACTAGGACTTGGGAACAAGATCTAAATATGATTCTTTTGATTTCTAGTTCAATTCTCATTCTAAGATGCTGTTGTCCACCTACACCAAGCAGGTGAGTGTAAATCCCAGATCATCCCTTAAGAAAGAAGCTAAGTGGTGTTTATGACCCTTCCAGTCCTTCTCCCTCCACATATTCAAGGAATATTTCCTGCGTGTCAATGAAACACAGTATTAGGGCTAGTGCTTTGAAGAGGTTGCAGTTCCTGTCCTCATTGAGCTTATAGTCTCAAAATTAATTAATTACAATTTTGATGAATGTTATAAATGAGAATCATAAAGTTCTGTGAATATTTCAATCTGTCAAAATGTAAACGTTCTGCATCTCAACTGGATTCCCTGTTTTAGCTCTTACCCAAAACATGGATGATGGTGACATTTCTTTGTGGATAGAGCAAAAGATCCAGAAAAGGGGTCCAAGAGGAAGACTAGAAGGGAGGAAAAGAACTGTAAGGTGGCCTTCAAAAATGTATGAACATATCCTAATCTCTAGAACCTGTGAACGTGACCTTATTGGGAAAAAGGAGCTTTTCAGATAAAATTAAAAATCTCAACATTCTCAAGGTAAGGTCATCTGGATTATTCAGGTGAGCACTAAAGCCAATGGCAAATGCTTTTTATAAGAGATAAAAGAGGAGAGATGGACAGACAAACAGGAGAAGATGATGTGAAGACAGAGGCAGTGATTGAAGTGATGTAACCATAGTTAAGGAACGCCAGGTCTGGTGGCTCATGCCTGTAATCCCAGCACTTTGGGAGGCCAAGGCAGACGGATCATCGGAGGTCAGGAGTTCGAGACCAGCCTGGCCAATGTGGTGGAACCCCATCGCTACTAAAAATACAAAATTAGCTAGGCATGGTGGTGGGTGCCTGTAATCCCAGCTACTCAGGAGACTGAGGCAGGAGAATTGCTTGAACCCGGGAGGCAGAGGTTGCAGTGAGCCAAGATTCCACCATTGCACTCCACCCTGGGCGACAAGAGCAAAACTTTGTCTTCAGAAAAAAAAAAAAAAGAAACCAAACCAAACCAAAACAAAAATACCCCAACAAACACCAATAGTACCAGAAGCTGGAAGAAGCAAGAAACAGAGTCTTCTTTAGAGCCTTTGGAGACCCTTAAGTGAGGCCCTGCAACACCTTAATCTTAGACTTCTGACCTCTGGAGCTGTGACAGAATACATTTTTTGTTGTTGTTGGAATTCATCCAGTTTGTGGTAATTTTTAAGGCAGCCCTAGATATCAAATATAAGAATGAAGAGACAGGGCAAAGGACAGGCACCAAGGTGAGGCAGGGAAGCACACAGGACAGAATGTTTAATGAGGCACTCACTCTTGGGTTCATACAGGCACAAGGTCAGCCCTGCATGAACCCAAGAGTCGGCCCCAGGCACCTAGCTTGCCTCACTCCAGCTGTAACCTGGAAGAGCAGGTTTTAGAACAGAAAAACTGAAGCCAGCAAGACCAACAGAGAAAAGATATTTCAAGAAAAGAGAGATCAGTGGTGTCAAATATTAGAAAGACCAACAGACCACCACTAAGAAGTGAAGACAATGTGCACAAAAGGACCCGGACATAGTGCATGTTTAGTAGACATCTCTTTGAATTTTTATCTTTTTCTCCTTGACTTCCTTTGATGCCCATGCCTACTGCCTGATTATCAGAGAAGAAGGAAAACCAGCAATAATCAAGTGTCCAACTCTTAAACATGCTGTACTTCACTTCAATTCTGAAAGTAACTTCTGAGCTAGGAGACATAATTCTCTTTTCCTAGGTTAAAAACAGAGGTTCAGGGATAACCAGTGACTTTTCAGTGTCTTAAAATGAGGACTAAAACCCAGAGTTTTGTGACTCCAGCCCAGCCACACCACAATGGCTGAGTTTGTTGGTCAGCCCTTGACTCGTCCATAAGCTTTGAATTCCTGCTTTCTTCTAAGTACCTACTAATGTGCTCTTCATTATCTTGGGATCTGAGAAAGATTTATGCCTTCAGTTGGATCATGGTCTAGTAAAGAGGGAAAAGCTAGAATAAACAATTGATTATAAAGAAAGGAAGAATTAGGTGAGTAATAAGTGGAACAACAGGCAATAATGAGGGAACACTCAATACCCACAACCTTGAATCTTGGTAAATAAGAACACACAACACAAAATCAATATGGGAGATGCCCTCACTTCTACATGAATTCATTCAGTCTGAGGCTACTTCTACCTCTGTTGGACCAAGACACTTTCTTATAGCTCTTTTTCTGTTGATCTTCAGAGTTTAAAATACCTCCAGAGCAAGCTGGGAAATAACTTTCCATTTTTCCAATGTTTGCTTTTCAGTGTTTTGAATGAATCTTCTCTGCAAACTGCTAAGCTAATTGAACCACTACCATTTCAGCTGAAAAAACATCCTGTCTTGCCAAAGCACATTTGCTTGTGTACTCAGTGTTACCAACGAAGGGGCCAGAGCTGGGGGAAATAGTCGTTTATAGCCTGAAGACCAGGTGCAGAATGAAAAGTGTTTTGTTTTGATCTGCTCTGTTTTGGGAAGGATGGGTGCTGACATTTAAAGGGCTCATTTCACGTTCTTAATAGACATTGTTTTTTGGGGTTCAGAAATGCAAAGAATGAGTAGCTCAAAGAGGTCAATGGCTTGCCCAAGAATATAGACAGAGGGTGGTTCAGAGTCCCCATGCCGTTGTCCTGTCCCAGCAATGACACACTGACTCAGGTCATAGGCCAGCCCTTGAAACACTAGAGAAACGTAATCTCCTCCCTGATATTGGATTTGATTCAATTAAAGGGCTGGGATTTAAACTCACTTCTATATTGCTCCTGTGCCCTTATTTGATTATGTCTTGTGTTTCAAGTATGTTCTTCAGCCTCTCATGAGGGTGGGGCTGTTACCAAAAAATGCTTTTAAAAATATTTTCAAAAGGAGCATTAAAACTCTCCATGAATCAGATTTATTTGAACAAAGTATCATCTACTCTTAAAAAAATCTAACTCATTCTCTTGACAGATTTATAAGACTGGGTTATTTCATCATAGAACCAGAAACTGTATGTGTGATGACGTACAAGAAATGTGCCAATGAATAGTCAGATTTCTCCTCTCCAAGTTCAAAATGTAACTTAGGGACATAGGGAGGAAAAGCATCCACTGATGTTGCAAGGTGACTAGGGATAAATTGACGTGAAAGTCACCTTCAGAGAGAAGAGACACTGACACTTGGGAAACTTCATTAAAATTCTTAAAAAGGGAGAAATTGGATGCTGAACTGGAACTCACTTTGAATGAAGTACTTTTTAGTTTTCTTAATTAAAATTGTGTTCAGCTCAGGGCTGAACTTCTTAACAATTGAAACTTACCTAGGTTTGGGCAAACTTCATCTGATATTGTGATGTTACATAGACTGTTCAATAAATGGGTAGGTTTCCAGATATGAGTCACTGACTGCGAAATATCTGTGTCCCCACACTCAGCACCCAGCTTGGTATCTGGCATATAGAACATATTTAATAAAACTTATGACACAGAAGACAGGGTATATCTAAGTGACTGGGTACCTTAATACTTCACGAGTTTTGCCTTACATTTTTCCAAAGTCAGAAAACAGTCTTCTAAGGCCATAAAGGGGTATGCTGATATTTTTCTGCATTAGTGCATGGGAAATGCTACATTCCATAAATGAAACAAGTATAATACACTCAACCAACTCATTTATAGACAGAGACTCTGAAGATTATCTAAATATCATGCTTATCTCTGTAAAGCCCACTGGAGTCCAAATAAGAAATCACTTAATGAGTTATTATAAATTAAGTTGAATTATAAATAAATAATTGAGAGTGTGATAAAGAGAGTAGCTAACAGTCTTGTAATGGTTACTATGTTCCCTGCGTTGTTCTAAGTGCTCAGTGTTAACATGCTTAACATACACTTGCACTGCAACCCTTTCTCTATGTACAGATGGAGGAACTGAGGTACAGAGAGGTTAAGTAACTCGCCCAGCATTCACAGTACACAGCAGGGCTGGGCATCAGGACCCAGGCTATCTGATTTCTTCAATATTCCACCTGCTACTTCTTTACTTCCACACCAACTCCTGACATACAGCCCCAGCGTTCATCTGTCCAACTTCCTTTTTAGAAATTTAGGCCAGCGCAGTGGCTCATGCCTGTAATCTCAGCACTTCAGGAGGCCAAGAAGGGTGGATCACCTGATGTCAGGAGTTTGAGACCAGCCTGGCCAACAGGGCGAAACCTTGTTTCTACTAAAAATACAAAAATTAGCCAGGCGTGGTGACACGTGCCTGTAGTCCCAGCTACTCGGGAGGCTGAGGCAGGAGAATCGCTTGAACTCAGGAGGCAGAGGTTGCAGTAAGCTGAGATCCCGGGCACTGCATTCCAACCTGGGTGACAGAGCAAGACTCTGTCTCAAAAAAATAATAACAATAATAATAAAAATTTTAACTAAAATAATCCTGATGAGTGGATTTTATTACTTTTATGTTGATTTTTATTATTGGTATATTTATTTATTTATTTATTTTTATTTTTTTTATTTTTATTTTTATTTTTTTTATTTTTTATTTTTTTATAGTTTCTTTTTTTTTATTATTATACTTTAAGTTTTAGGGTACATGTGCACATTGTGCAGGTTAGTTACATATGTATACATGTGCCATGCTGGTGCACTGCACCCACTAACTCGTCATCTAGCATTAGGTATATCTCCCGATGCTATCCCTCCCCACTCCCCCCACCCCACAACAGTCCCCAGAGTGTGATGTTCCCCTTCCTGTGTCCATGTGATCTCATTGTTCAATTCCCACCTATGAGTGAGAATATGTGGTGTTGGGTTTTTTGTTCTTGCGATAGTTTACTGAGAATGATGATTTCCAATTTCATCCATGTCCCTACAAAGGACATGAACTCATCATTTTTTATGGCTGCATAGTATTCCATGGTGTATATGTGCCACATTTTCTTAATCCAGTCTATCACTGTTGGACATTTGGGTTGGTTCCAAGTCTTTGCTATTGTGAATAATGCCACAATAAACATACGTGTGGCATGTGTCTTTATAGCAGCATGATTTATAGTCCTTTGGGTATATACCCAGTAATGGGATGGCTGGGTCAAATGGTATTTCTAGTTCTAGATCCCTGAGGAATCGCCACACTGACTTCCACAATGCTTGAACTAGTTTACAGTCCCACCAACAGTGTAAAACTGTTCCTATTTCTCCACATCCTCTCCAGCACCTGTTGTTTCCTGACTTTTTAATGATTGCCATTCTAACTGGTGTGAGATGGTATCTCATAGTGGTTTTGATTTGCATTTCTCTGATGGCCAGTGATGATGAGCATTTTTTCATGTGTTTTTTGACTGCATAAATGTCTTCTTTTGAGAAGTGTCTGTTCATGTCCTTCGCCCACTTTTTGATGGGGTTGTTTGTTTTTTTCTTGTAAATTTGTTTGAGTTCATTGTAGATTCTGGATATTAGCCCTTTGTCAGATGAGTAGGTTGCGAAAATGTTCTCCCATTTTGTAGGTTGCCTATTCACTCTGATGGTAGTTTCTTTTGCTGTGCAGAAGCTCTTTAGTTTAATTAGATCCCATTTGTCAATTTTGTCTTTTGTTGCCATTGCTTTTGGTGTTTTAGACATGAAGTCCTTGCCCATGCCTATGTCCTGAATGGTAATGACTAGGTTTTCTTCTAGGGTTTTTATGGTTTTAGGTCTAACGTTTAAGTCTTTAATCCATCTTGAATTGATTTTTGTATAAGGTGTAAGGAAGGGATCCAGTTTCAGCTTTTTCCATATGGCTAGCCAGTTTTCCCAGCACCATTTATTAAATAGGGAATCCTTTCCCCATTGCTCGTTTTTGTCAGGTTTGTCAAAGATCAGATAGTTGTAGATATGTGGCATTATTTCTGAGGGCTCTGTTCTGTTCCATTGATCTATATCTCTGTTTTGGTACCAGTACCATGCTGTTTTGGTTACTGTAGCCTTGTAGTATAGTTTGAAGTCAGGTAGTGTGATGCCTCCAGCTTTGTTCTTTTGGCTTAGGATTGACTTGGCGATGCGGGCTCTTTTTTGGTTCCATATGAACTTTAAAGTAGTTTTTTCCAATTCTGTGAAGAAAGGCATTGGTAGCTTGATGGGGATGGCATTGAATCTGTAAATTACCTTGGGCAGTATGGCCATTTTCACGATATTGATTCTTTCTACCCATGAGCATGGAATGTTCTTCCATTTGTTTGTATCCTCTTTTATTTCCTTGAGCAGTGGTTTGTAGTTCTCCTTGAAGAGGTCCTTCACATCCCTTGTAAGTTGTATTCCTAGGTATTTTATTCTCTTTGAAGCAATTGTGAATGGGAGTTCACTCATGATTTGGCTCTCTGTTTGTCTGTTGTTGGTGTATAAGAATGCTTGTGATTTTTGCACATTGATTTTGTATCCTGAGACTTTGCTGAAGTTGCTTATCAGCTTAAGGAGATTTTGGGCTGAGACAATGGGGTTTTCTAGATATACAATCATGTCGTCTGCAAACAGGGACAATTTGACTTCCTCTTTTCCTAATTGAATACCCTTTATTTCCTTCTCCTGCCTAATTGCCCTGGCCAGAACTTCCAACACTATGTTGAATAGGAGTGGTGAGAGAGGGCATCCCTGTCTTGTGCCAGTTTTCAAAGGGAATGCTTCCAGTTTTTGCCCATTCAGTATGATATTGGCTGTGGGTTTTTCACAGATAGCTCTTATTATTTTGAAATACGTCCCATCAATACCTAATTTATGGAGAATTTTTAGCATGAAGGGTTGTTGAATTTGTCAAAGGCTTTTTCTGCATCTATTGAGATAATCATGTGGTTTTTGTCTTTGGCTCTGTTTATATGCTGGATTACATTTATTGATTTGCGTATATTGAACCAGTCTTGCATCCCAGGGATGAAGCCCACTTGATCATGGTGGATAAGCTTTTTGATGTGCTGCTGGATTCGTTTTGCCAGTATTTTATTGAGGATATTTGCATCAATGTTCATCAAGGATATTGGTCTAAAATTCTCTTTTTTGGTTGTGTCTCTGCCTGGCTTTGGTATCAGAATGATGCTGGCCTCATAAAATGAGTTAGGGAGAATTCCCTCTTTTTCTATTGATTGGAATAGTTTCAGAAGGAATGGTACCAGTTCCTCCTTGTACCTCTGGTAGAATTCGGCTGTGAATCCATCTGGTCCTGGACTCTTTTTGGTTGGTAAGCTATTGATTATTGCCACAATTTCAGCTCCTGTTATTGGTCTATTCAGAGATTCAACTTCTTCCTGGTTTAGTCTTGGGAGAGTGTATGTGTCCAGGAATGTATCCATTTCTTCTAGATTTTCTAGTTTATTTGCGTAGAGGTGTTTGTAGTATTCCCTGATGGTAGTTTGTATTTCTGTGGGATCGGTGGTGATATCCCCTTTATCATTTTTTATTGCGTCTATTTGATTCTTCTCTCTTTTTTTCTTTATTAGTCTTGCTAGCGGTCTATCAATTTTGTTGATCCTTTCAAAAAACCAGCTCCTGGATTCATTAATTTTTTGAAGGGTTTTTTGTGTCTCTATTTCCTTCAGTTCTGCTCTGATTTTAGTTATTTCTTGCCTTCTGCTAGCTTTTGAATGTGTTTGCTCTTGCTTTTCTAGTTCTTTTAATTGTGATGTTAGGGTGTCAATTTTGGATCTTTCCTGCTTTCTCTTGTGGGCATTTAGTGCTATAAATTTCCCTCTACACACTGCTTTGAATGCATCCCAGAGATTCTGGTATGTTGTCTTTGTTCTCATTGGTTTCAAAGAACATCTTTATTTCTGCCTTCATTTCATTATGTACCCAGTAGTCATTCAGGAGCAGGTTGTTCAGTTTCCATGTAGTTGAGCAGTTTTGAGTGAGATTCTTAATCCTGAGTTCTAGTTTGATTGCACTGTGGTCTGAGAGATAGTTTGTTATAATTTCTGTTCTTTTCCATTTGCTGAGGAGAGCTTTACTTCCCAGTATGTGGTCAATTTTGGAATAGGTGTGGTGTGGTGCTGAAAAAAATGTATATTCTGTTGATTTGGGGTGGAGAGTTCTGTAGATGTCTATTAGGTCCGCTTGGTGCAGAGCTGAGTTCAATTCCTGGGTATCCTTGTTGACTTTCTGTCTCGTTGATCTGTCTAATGTTGACAGTGGGGTGTTAAATCTCCCATTATTAATGTGTGGGAGTCTAAGTCTCTTTGTAGGTCACTCAGGACTTGCTTTATGAATCTTGGTGCTCCTGTATTGGGTGCATATATATTTAAGATAGTTAGCTCTTCTTGTTGAATTGATCCCTTTACCATTATGTAATGGCCTTCTTTGTCTCTTTTGATCTTTGTTGGTTTAAAGTCTGTTTTATCAGAGACTAGGATTGCAACCCCTGCCTTTTTTTGTTTTCCATTGGCTTGGTAGATCTTCCTCCATCCTTTTATTTTGAGCCTATGTGTGTCTCTGCATGTGAGATGGGTTTCCCGAATACAGCACACTGATGAGTCTTGACTCTTTATCCAATTTGCCAGTCTGTGTCTTTTAATTGGAGCATTTAGTCCATTTACATTTAAAGTTAATATTGTTATGTGTGAATTTGATCCTGTCATTATGATGTTAGCTGGTTATTTTGCTCGTTAGCTGATGCAGTTTCTTCCTAGTCTCGACGGTCTTTACATTTTGGCATGATTTTGCAGCAGCTGGTACCGGTTGTTCCTTTCCATGTTTAGTGCTTCCTTCAGGAGCTCTTGTAAGGCAGGCCTGGTGGTGACAAAATCTCTCAGTGTTTGCTTGTCTGTAAAGTATTTTATTTCTCCTTCACTTATGAAGCTTAGTTTGGCTGGATATGAAATTCTGGGTTGAAAATTCTTTTCTTTAAGAATGTTGAATATTGGCCCCCACTCTCTTCTGGCTTGTAGGGTTTCTGCCGAGAGATCCACTCTTAGTCTGATGGGCTTCCCTTTGAGGGTAACCCGACCTTTCTCTCTAGCTGCCCTTAACATTTTTTCCTTCATTTCAACTTTGGTGAATCTGACAATTATGTGTCTTGGGGTTGCTCTTCTCGAGGAGTATCTTTGTGGTGTTCTCTGTATTTCCTGAATCTGAATGTTGGCCTGCCTTGCTAGATTGGGGAAGTTCTCCTGGATAATATCCTGCAGAGTGTTTTCCAACTTGGTTCCATTCTCCCCATCACTTTCAGGTACACCAATCAGACGTAGATTTGGTCTTTTCACATAGTCCCGTATTTCTTGGAGGCTTTGCTCATTTCTTTTTATTCTTTTTTCTCTAGACTTCCCTTCTCGCTTCATTTCATTCATTTCATCTTCCATCGCTGATACCCTTTCTTCCAGTTGATCTCATCGGCTCCTGAGGATTCTGCATTCTTCACGTAGTTCTCGAGCCTTGGTTTTCAGCTCCATCAGCTCCTTTAAGCACTTCTCTGTATTGGTTATTCTAGTTATACATTCTTCTAAATTTTTTTCAAAATTTTCAACTTCTTTGCCTTTGGTTTGAATGTCCTCCCGTATCTCAGAGTAATTTGATCGTCTGAAGCCTTCTTCTCTCAGCTCGTCAAAGTCATTCTCCATCCAGCTTTGTTTCGTTGCTGGTGAGGAACTGCGTTCCTTTGGAGGAGGAGAGGCACTCTGCTTTTTAGAGTTTCCAGTTTTTCTGTTCTGTTTTTTCCCCATCTTTGTGGTTTTATCTACTTTTGGTCTTTGATGATGGTGATGTCCAGATGGGTTTTTGGTGTGGATGTCCTTTCTGTTTGTTAGTTTTCCTTCTAACAGAGAGGACCCTCAGCTGCAGGTCTGTTGGAGTATCCTGCCGTGTGAGGTGTCAGTGTGCCCCTGCTGGGGGGTGCCTCCCGGTTAGGCTGCTCGGGGGTCAGGGGTAAGGGACCCACTTGAGGAGGCATTCTGCCGGTTCTCAGATCTCCAGCTGCGTGCTGGGAGAACCACTGCTCTCTTCAAAGCTGTCAGACAGGGACATTTAAGTCTGCAAAGGTTACTGCTGTCTTTTTGTTTGTCTGTGCCCTGCCCCCAGAGGTGGAGCCTACAGAGGCAGGCAGGCCTCCTTGAGCTGTGGTGGGCTCCACCCAGTTGGAGCTTCCCAGCTGCTTTGTTTACCTAATCAAGCCTGGGCAATGGCAGGCGCCCCTCCCCCAGCCTCGCTGCCGCCTTGCACTTTGATCTCAGACTGCTGTGCTAGCAATCAGCCAGACTCTGTGGGCGTAGGACCCTCCGAGCCAGGTGCGGGATATAATCTCGTGGTGTGCCGTTTTTTAAGACCGTCGGAAAAGCGCAGTATTAGGGTGGGAGTGACCCGATTTTCCAGGTGCCGTCCATCACCCCTTTCTTTGACTCAGAAGGGAACTCCCTGACCCCTTGTGCTTCCCAGGTGAGGCAATGCCTCGCCCTGCTTCAGCTCGCGCACGGTGGGCACACCCACTGACCCGTGCCCACTGTCTGGCACTCCCTAGTGAGATGAACCGGGTACCTCAGATGGAAATGCAGAAATCACCCATCTTCTGCGTCGCTCACGCTGGGAGCTGTAGACTGGAGCTGTTCCTATTCGGCCATCTTGGCTCCTCCCCGGTATATTTATTTTTAACTACTATGTTTCTTGAACTTTACCTAAACTATCTCACAAAATGGCCATGGTAATTCTGGAACATGGTTATGTGAATTCCATTTTACACCACAGAACATGGAGACAGCAAGAGCTTAAGGATTCCACCCAAAGTCTCAAAGCCAGCAAGTGGCAGAGATTTGATTCAAATCATGTTTGTTTTCTGACTCAAGTTGAGTTTGTGTGTGTGTGCGCATGTGCACATGTTATGGTAACATTTAACCTAAAATTTCTTGCACAATTATTGCCTATCCTAAAATGGGAGTCGACGATGCTAAGAATAACTGGGCTCTATCTGGGGGTCCTTTGCTTTGCTCCAGGTTCTCCCACTCTGCTCTGTTTTCTTCCCTTCTTTAGAAGCAGCTTTCTGTTCCTGCATCTCTCTCCAGTCTCTTTTAAGAAGAGTGGTGTGTTAAATCGTGATTCTGTGCAGCTCCTCTTATTCTTTTCCTCTCTCTCTTATTTTCTTGCTTGGTATTTCAGTTTCTGTGAGTTGGCGTGAGGTGGGCTGGGGCGATCCCTGGGCGTGAGAGTGCATGTGCACACAGGCATTGCTTTGGAGAATCTGTTATTACTCAGAGCCCCTGTGGGCTGTTTCCTTGTTTGGCTCTCATCTTCTCATGGACAGTTTGGTTCTGAAAACCGTAGTCTTTGGTTTGTGAGTCTGTGTTTAGAGCCCTTAAGAAGTTCTGTGAACTTGCCCTTGCAAAGGAGAATGATGTGGACCAGAGCCCTGCCTGGGAAGGGCACTCAGGGTCATGGTGGCCCGTGGAAGAAGGAGTAACTTACACCACTCGAGAAGGGCTGCTGCATTCCAGAGAGCCTTGTTTAGATACTGGGCAGGTGGGAGTCTATGTTTCTCACCAAGGGCATCCATTGAGAGACTGCAGTTTCTCTCTTGGCAAAAGGGGAATGTATCCCTCTCTGTGCTCCTCCTGTGCAACAGCTATTTCACTCTGTCACCTGGCTGTTTGTTGTGGTCCTGTGACCCTCAAGGTCCAGAGAAGGCTGGCTGGATTTGGAAGCCTTCCCCAGGGATTCTGCAAATTCCCAGGAGTCTTGGGTCTCAAGGACACTTCTGGCTGCAAAATGCTGCATCTCCCTGGGCAATCTGTGCTGTTTCCTTCTGTTGATTTCAAATGTGAATCTCAATCCTTTCCTCAAATTGAACCCTGGATCCTTCCCATCAACCTGATGAAGATGAGTCCACCAATAGCGAATGCTCAGGCCGGCTCCTTCCCGTCCTTTGGCTGCATCTTCTATTGTCTGTGTGCCTCTGGTCCCTCACTCGGAGCTTATCTCATTGTGGAAGCTTGAAACATCTTTGTGTGATAAAAGGACCTCCACATTTTCACCATGTATATTTGGAGCCTGAATGCTAAAACAGTCGTTATTATTGTTCTCATATATGAACACCCACATGTCATGGCCCATGCAGTCAATGATTTTGTTTCATTTATTCTCATAACAAATACCCGGATGCAGGCTAGAGATAATGACTGGAGCTCTCTTGTAAGTATAACTATATTCCCCAAAAGGATTTGTTTAGGTCCTGGCCCCTGGTACCTGTGAATGTGAGCTTATCTGAAAATAGGGCCTTTTCAGTTGCAGTCAGGTGAGCCTCAAACTAATGACTGGTGTCCTTATAAGAAGAGGAGAAGACACACAGAGACACACAAGGGGAGCGCCAAGGACTGCTGGCAACCACCAGAAGCCAGGTGAATACCTTGGATCAGATTCTCAGAGCCTCCAAAAGGAGCCAGTCCCTCTGACACCTCAATATCTGGCTTCTGGCCTCCTAAACGGTGAGAGAATAAATGTCTGTTTTTCCAAGCCACTCAGATTTTGTTACTTACATTAATATAGCCCCAGGAATCAGAAACAAGCTCTGAGGGGTTAAAGAATTTTTATGTGGTCACAGTGAAGTCAGGGGCCTGGTCGGGATTTGGCCATCGATTAAGTCCAATTTCAGTTTTAAATGCATGAGCCCTTGCTCCTGGTCTAGCCTCTTTCCATTGGCTCAGGGTCCCCTTTTATAAATGTTCCCTGAGTGGTTGAGCTGCACTCAGCCTTAGAGCATTTCAGCTTGGTTTCCTGGAAATGACTGTGCTGCTCTTACTCATGGGAAAGTCATTTATTTACAGGAGCTAACTGTTCAAGGCCAACCTTTTCTTAATAAAGTTTGAAGATCTGGGAGACATTGCATGTATAGGCTGAAGACGAGTTGAAATGCAAAAGATGGATGTTTCCATGGGAGTGGGAGTGTTTGTTTGGAAGTATATGGGTTCTTTTGTTTTTCTTCTTTGTTTAGAAGCAAAGCTTATTTGTTACAGAGAATTGGGAATATGCAGAAAAGCAACTGAAACTGGAGGTGGATAAATATCTCTGCAGTTAACACCCTCGTTTAGGCTCCCAGGCCTGTTCCTGTCAGTTGTGCCTATATTTGAAAAGAAAAAAAAATCCAGTCTGTTTAAATGTTACATTTTTCCTGGATACAGAGAAGAACAGTGCAGTCCATGACAGAGAAGACAGGATGATCTCCTCAGAAGCAGGCAGGCACAGTGATTTTAAGAGAAATCAAGCAAAAAATCTAATCCACTGCTCATGGAGAGACAAAAGAGATTTTGCAAGACTTCCATTTAGGAGAGATGCTGGCATTCTTCGTAAATGTAACCTATGAACAAGCAAGGACACATTTTGGTGTCTCTCTGTGTGTATTTGGGTCTCCGCTCACCACTTTGGGCTCTCAGACTCTCTGTTTATTTTACAGATGAGGAAACCGAAGCTCTAAAAGGGGAGTAGAATGCACGTAGCCACATTGCCAGTTAGTAGCAGAGACTGTATGGGACTCACTTTCTTCCCTCTGAGCTGTGCGTGCCTTTTAGATTTTAGAAAAATCTTGCTCAGCCACCCAAACTGGAGTGCAATGGCATGATCGTGGCTCACTGCAACCACCGTCTCCCGGGTTCAAGCGATTTCCTATCTCAGCCTCCCGAGTAGCTGGGATTACAGGCACCTGCCACCACGCCCGGCTAATTTTTGTATTATAGTAGAGATGAGGTTTCACCATGTTGGCCAGGCTGGTCTTGAACTCCTAACCTCAGGTGATCCTCCCACCTCGGCCTCCCAAGGTGCTAGGATTACAGGCATGAGACACCGTGCCCTGCTGAAAAGTCTTTTTTTTTTTTTTTAATTACAAATGTTGTACATGCTCTTTGAAGACAAATCCAACCATGGGAGCACAGTGTGGGAAAAGCCCCTATCCCTCGCCTGACTTTTCTGTTTGCCTATGTTTGCTGTTATTGCCATGTTTAAGTCCTATTATTCACAGCTCATGAACATCTTTCCAGATCCAGTTCACCGCACAGGTACATTCACCTAGTTGGCCCTCTGTATCTGGGGTTTTGCATGTGGAGATCCAACCAAATGCTGAGTCAACTAACTGCTGAGTCAACCAACCAAAGTTCAAAATATTTGGAAAAAATAACAATACAACAATTAAAAATAACACAAATTTAAGAAATGATACAGTATAGCAACTATTGACACAGCTTCTACATTGTATTAGGTATTATAAATAATCGAGAGATAATTTTTTTTTTTTGAGACGAAGTCTCACTCTTTTGCCCAAGCTGGAGTGCAGTGGTGCAGTCTCAGCTCACTGCAACCTCTGCCTCCCAGGTTCAAGCGATTCTCCTGCCTCAGCCTCCCAAGTAGCTGGCACTACAGGCACCTGCCACCATGCCTGGCTATTTTTTTTTTTTAATATTTTTAGTAGAGATGGGGTTTCACTATGTTGGCCAGGCTGGTCTTGAACTCCTGACCTCGTGATCTACCCGCCTCAGCCTCCTAAAGTGCTGGGATTACAGGCATGAGCCACCACACCCAGCAGAGAGATAATTTAAAGTACATGGGAGATGTACATAGTTTATATGCAAATACTATGCTATTTTATATCAGAGACTTGAGTGTTCAGGCATAGATTTTGGTATCCACAGGAGGTAGGGAGAGGATCTTGCAACCAATCTTCAACAGATACATAGGGACGACTGTATGTTCATTACCAGGCTTTATAAAATAGAAATATAGAAGCTTGATTGTTAAAAACTGAATATATAATAAATATGTTTCCATATCAGTACATATATTTGTGCTTACCTTAAAACAAAACAAAACAAAATATATGAACAGTATTCCATAATAAAGATAAATATAATTTATTAGGTTGGTACAAAAGTAACTGTGTTTTTTTTTTGCTATTAAAAGTAATAGCATTATATGCTGACTAATGGGCATTTTAAAAGTTTCCAGGTTTTAAGGTATTGCCAGTGAGGCTTTATGACACCCCAAAACCTGCTTGGTGCACAAGATGAAACGCCTCTGTAAGACACCTCCTGAAAGAGCAATCATTGGATCAAAGGTTTGGAGGATATAAAAATTTCAGTCAAAAATTCCAAGTTGTGTTTTATAATTATGTTCGATAACTGTTTCGGTTTATATTGCTGAATCGTAATCTTCAACCATTCTATGAATTTTTTAAGTTGGCAATGATAATTTTAATCTCCAAGAATTAATCTTCTTAGCTGATTCTTTCTCTGTCTCTCTTTCTGCTTTTTGTGGCAGCCTGCCCTTCTGGGGATGCAATAGCTTAATAAATCTTTTGCTGGTATCATTTGGAAGGAGAATAGGAAAATGAAACAAAGTGTGGCCCTATTTTCTAATCTATCTTTTTTTCCTCATGTTCTGAATCCCTGTAATGATGTGGCTTAAGTTTGGATCCTGGCTCTGGCTCTCACTACCTGTGGGACTTTGACATGTTACTTAACCTCTCTGTGTTTCTCTTTCCTTATCTATAAAATGAGGTAGACATTGTACTTTCCTCATAGAGTTTTGTGAGGGTTAAAGGGTTAAATAAGGTGGTAGGTATAATGAGCTTAGATGTTGTCATGCTTATGGTAAGAGCTCAAAGTGAATTCTGATTGTTATTTGATGCCGTCTGTTGATTTTACTCAAACGTCTAGAGATCCCTGGACCTAGACTGCTATTGATGAGGAAATAACTAGAGGAATTATGGTAGATGGGTGCTGTGGGTTTCCTCAGCACTTGTTTTTTTTTTTTTTTTTTTGCTTTGTTCTGTTTTTTTTTTTCTTTTTTTTATTATTATAGATTAAGTTCTGGGATACATGTGCAGAATGTGCAGGTTTGTTACATAGGTATACACATGCCATGGTGGTTTGCTGTACCCACCAACCCCTCATCTACATTAGGTATTTCTCCTAATGCTATCCCTTCCCTAGCCCCTGACCACCTGACAGGCCCCGGTGTGTGATGTTCCCCTCCCTGTGTCCATGTGTTCTCATTGTTCGACTCCCACTTATAAGTGAGAACATGCAGTGTTTGGCTTTCTGTTCCTGTGTTAGTTTGCTGAAAATGATGGTTTCCAGCTTCATGCATGTCCCTGCAAATGACATGAATTCATCCTTTTTTATGGCTGCATGGTATTCTATAGTGTGTATGTGGCACATTTCCTTTACCCAGTCTTTCATTGATGGGCATTTGGGTTGGTTCCAAGTCTTTGCTATTGTGAACAGTGCTGCAATAAACATACGTAGCACTTGTTTCTTTTATCTGTATAGGAGTCTCCTCTATAAGGAGACTTTGGGCCATGTGGGTTGATGAGAGGAAAATGAAGACAGGCAGCTTCAGGGAGAGCCTTGGCAGGAAAGCCAAGGGCACCTCTGTAATTGACAAGGCAGGATTTGTAATTGACAACGTATGATAGCGCTACATTGTCAGCCAAGTCCTGTCATTACTTCTAGAGCACAGATGCTTTGCTTTCTTTCTGTTTTCTTTCTTTCTTTTCTTTCTTTCTTTCTTTCTTTCTCTTTCTTTCTTTCTTTCTTTCTTTCTTTCTTTCTTTCTTTCTTTCTTTCTTCTTTCTTTCCTTCTTTCTTTTTCTTTTTTCTCTCTTTTTCTTTCTTTCTTTTTCTTTTTTCTTTTTCCCATTCTCTTTCTTTCTGTTTTTCTTTCTTTCTTTTTCTCTCTTTTTTCTTTCTTTCTCTTTCTCTCTTTTTTCCTTTCCTTTCTTTTCCTTTCCTTTCCTTTCCTTTCCTTTCCTTTCCTTTCCTTTCCTTTCCTTTCCTTTCCTTTCCTTTCCTTTCCTTTTTCTCTTCTTTCCTTTCCTTTCTTTCTTTTCTCCATTCCATCCCCCTCAATACCTTGGTTTTCTGTGGAAGTTAAGACTTCCAAGGTCCTGCTCTACTCATCTCTCTAAAGGAAAGGGCTCTCAGGACATTCATTTATTCATGAAATACTTATGGGAAACACTTGCTGGTCCCTATTCCAGGCATAGATGATGCTATAATAAACAAATTGGCCCTACCCTCATGAAGCTTAAGTCTAGTGTTGGGCTGGGCATGGTGGCTCACGCCTGTAATGCCAGCTTTTAGGGAGGCAGAGGTAGGGGATAGCTTGAGCCCAGGAGTTTGAGACTTGCCTGGGCAATATAGTGAGACCCCATTCTCCACAAAAAGGAAAAAAAGAGACACACACAGAAAACATAAGTGTAAGTCTTGTGTTGGGGCAGTGGGTGGGGGGGTGAGGCTCAGGCAGACAGTAAACAAATAAAAATGTGGGTGAGAATGCACTGAATGATGCTTTGGTCTGATGTTTTATTCCCAATCGTGGAATAAATTAAGTGACTAGAGACAGGTGTGTTTTGCTGTGAGACTCAGATGAGCAGAACTGAGGAACGTCAGGATGGTTCCTGCCCAGGGCAGAATATAAGGGTTTCTAAGCCTCACTTCTAATAAGGACACCTCCTGGGTTTCTTAAAAAGCTGGAGGTGGCCAAGTGGTCTTTGTGGGCAGAAGTGACAAGGCTGAAGGCAGGAGGGCAGTTTCCTCAAATCCTTTATGGGCAACAGTGATTTCTCATCAGGCTTTGTTTGGGGCATTGCTGGAAATCTACACATGAGTTTAATTTCCAGCCTTCCTCCAAACTAACTGAGCTGCCAATATCCTTTTTAAACACCTTTTCTCTGTTTAAGCATACAGAGTCATCTTTCATTGCTTGCAACCAAGACCTCCAGTTAAGGAGCACACAGTTGAGGAGCACACTGTGTCAATCAAATATTGTTTCATTGCATTAAATTGCACTAAACCCTTCCAACTGGTGTGTGATAGAGGCTTATCATCATCATTGTAGAGGCAAGAACACTAAGATTGAAAATCACAGTGAAGGGCTCAGTGTTTCCCGGCAAGACCAAGCCAGAATGCAAATGTAAGTCCACTTGTCTCTCAATCTATGTTTTTTCAAATATGCCTTCCTGGTTACATGTTTTCTGCTTTAAGTCAAGACTGATTTTTGGTGCAGAACAAAAAGACTACAATGGAAAAATGAAAAGACTAGCTCTGGAAGGATGAGATAGAGAGGATATAAGAAACTTGGGCTTGGCCGGGCGTGGTGGCTCACGCCTCTAATCCCAGCACTTTGGGAGGCTGAGGCGGGAGGATCATGAGGTCAGGAGATCGAGACCATCCTGGCTAACATGGTGAAACCTCGTCTCTACTAAAATTACAAAAAAATTAGCCAGGCGTGGTGGTGGATGCCTGTAGTCCCAGCTACTCAGGAGGCTGAGGCTGGAGAATGGCATGAACCCAGGAGGTGGAGCTTGCAGTGAGTTGAGATCGTGCCACTGCACTCCAGCTTGGGCAACAGAGTGAGACTCCCTCTCAAAAAAAAAAAAAAAAAAGAAAAAAGAAACTTGGGCTTGACCTAAGGAAAGTATAAGTTTACACATGAAGGGCACCCAAAACAGTGTTCATATTGCTTCCAAACAAGTAGAAGGAATCAGTCAACATTGGACTTTCCTTTCCACTTGCCTTTCCCCAGAAGGATGTGCTATTTTCTTCATATCCATGCTGATGTAAACTAACACATGAATGTCAAACTTATTCTCAAATTTTAATTTTACAGCATTTTTCTCCATCCTGTGAAAAATTTCTCTTAGAATGTTATAATCTATTTGGCTCAGGTACATTCATACTGATTATTTAACCTTGGCTAATTTTTGAATACTTCTCTCCAAAGCTCCAGCACACATTCTGCAATAACACAGCATTTCAAGTGGAGTAATCAAGATTTCTTGTGATATGACATCTCTTTTCATTTGTTCCACTTCTCTTCATTATTTTCCCTCTTTTTCTTTTAGTAGGTGGGAGCAGAGGATTTAAACTAACATCAGCAAAGAAGAAAAGCTTAAATTCAGACTGGGAACAAATGTGCATTTGCCTGAGTGTGCCATAATCCTGGGAGAACAATAGGAAATATCTTGAATTAAAAAAAAAAAACAACTATGAACTGTGATCAAGAGGGAGAAAAATACAGGACTTAGTTGAAAAATCTCAGTTTTTAAACTTTCTTACTTTTTAACCTTGAGAAAGTTATTTAAGTGTTCTTAAACTAAATTTTTCTAATTTTTCACATGATCTCTAATAGTCTATTTAAAAGGTGAATAGTGTATACTTTCTTATTTACAGGATTAAAGAAGTACAAGTAACTCAGACAAAACCATGTGGTGCGTATTGAGAAATCTGGGCTTTGGACCCATATATATCCATTGTCAATTATGCTAATCCACAAAAACCACAGTTAGGAAGATTATTAGAAAGTAGAGGGCATCAAAGTTAAGATGGCCAATGGATCTGAAGCCAGGCAAGAGGACAGAAGTTGTGCTAGACACTAACTGGGAGAAGGGAGTTGTGAGGACCATTTCTGACAGTAGGTCTCATGTGGAAAGGGCCTAGACCTGGCCTTTCAAATCCTCAATTGCACTATGCTTCCTACTGTGTAGCTGTAAGACCAAGACTTAGCAGGAGAGTGGTAGGAAACCAGATGGGGGCAGGTGGGCATGGCCTGGCCATACAGACCGTGAGAAGGTTTTTGTATTTATCTTAAAAACACGGGAAAGCCTGGGAAGGGCTTGATGGAGGGTGAATTAATAATCACATTTAGATTTTGAAACAGTTATCTAGATTTTAAAGAGACTGATAGAAGAAGAGAAGTCATGGGGACACCAGTTGGTGAGCCATGGTATAGGCACTGCCATTGTGCCCATGGTCATGCCATTAATAAATAACACCCAGGGACTAAAATCTAAGGCTTACAGGAGGAATCAGCCTCTAACAATAGGAAATGTGATGGGAAGGATGGTGGGGAAAGAGAGGAGACAAGCCCTAACTGTGCACCAGCCATGCTAATGCTTTCCTACTCTAGTTTCCTGGGGCACAATGTGGGCACAAAGTTCCACAATGTGGGGCTTTAAATACAGAAATTTATTTTCTCACTGTTCTGGAGAACAGAAGTCTGAAATCAAGGTCTTGGCAGGGCTGTGCTCCCTCTCCCTGAAGGCTTTAGCAGAGATTCTGTTCCATGCCTTTCTTTTAGCTTCTGGTGCTGCCAGCAAACCTTGGCATCTCTTGGCTTATAGACATCACTCCAATTTCTGCTTGCATCTTCACATGTGTTTTCCCTGTATGTCTGTGTCTTTATAGCTGTTTCTTATAAGGACACCAGTCATACTGGATCAAGTCCCGCCCTAATGACCTCATTGCCACTTCATTACATCTGCAAAGATCCCGTTTCCAAACAAAGGATTCACTGGATCCTGGGGATTAAGATTTCAACATATCTTTTTGGGAATACAATTTAACCCAGAACAAGAACATTCTTATTCTTAGTCCTCATGATGATGTCCACATGACAAACACCTCCTCTTTGCCTGTGCTTTCTCCCAACTCCACCATCTGTTGGCATGCACTGAGTGTCCTTTTTGTGCTAGGAGTGCTTTATGACCAATGACCAATGCACCCAACAATCCTCTGGGGAAGGTAAATGGGGGAATGAAAATTTGATGAGGTTAAGTGAGTCTCCTATTTGCACAGCTGAGAAGTTGTAGGTTGGTATTTACACGGGAATTTAGTTTTGTTTTATTTTGCTCCAATCCCTAGCTCTTTCTTTTTTACCTCTCTGCATTCTGAGGGGGTGAACTCCTACCTTATGCCACCTCCTGCAAAGAGGATCTCAGGCAATCATTGATCCATCTAGAGGGGCCTCGGACTAGGGTCTTCAGGGGAACAGGTCAATGATCAGGCATTTTTTATCCCCTCTGGCTTTTCAACTAGCATAGTTTGTAATTAGTTTCTGAATAATACTCTGCCACATTGTAAGTGTTAATAATTACACAATCAAAATCTCCATTAAAATAAGTGTGCATCATTATTGGTGTAATTAGGTTTAAAAGACAAAGTTTTAGGAAAATGGGGTCTGTTATTTTCTTCTATCATTTTCTTCTTTTTTTCTCTCTCTTTTCCTTCCTCTCTCCCCCTCTCATCACCTCTTCCTATCTCTTGTATATCAGTGGTGCATGTGTGTGTGTTTGAGCAATGAAGAGAAATGCAAATAGGCATTCAGCCTTCTCATCACAAGTCTAATTTTTGATCAAGTGATTATACAAAGCTTTTTTCTTTGGGGAACTTATACATCAGAAATGAAGACTCCCCATTGTCCTTAAAACAATCACATGAAATTGTGGAAGAAAAACACATTGGGCTTGACTTTACATTGTCTAGCTCAGCTATATGCATATGTTACTTCATTTTTGCCTTTACTCTTTTCTTATGTCACCATTTTGCCTTTTATAAGGCAGTCGGATATGATAGAGAGAGCAAAGACTTTGAACTGAGAGACCCTGGTTCAAATCATGATTCAGGAACCTCTTAGTGGTCTCATTTTATGTTTATGTTTCTCTGGTCCTTAAAGTCATTCATTTATTTGAACCTTTCCTAAAACTTAAATGAACATCTTCTTAGGATGTGTTGAGCACTGTTCCAGGTAATGAGGATCCAACCATGAATGGAAAATATTTCTGATCTCAAGCAGCTTCCATTTTGGTGTTTTAGTTATTCTTCGAGATTTCTGTGACATCTTTTAACTTAAGTATACAGCGTGTATCATGTCATCCAAATTCATAGCTATCACATATAGATGAGTTTTTATTTGGTAGCCATGATCTTTGTTCTAAACCCATGTAAATTCAATGTCTCTTGGTTCTTTCCCTTTGGCTGTCCTCCAAAGCACATTAAACTCAATATTGAGCTTAATCTATCTCCACCAATGAATTTCTTCCATGCAGTTGCCTCCACTACATAGCCTAACAAACATGTAAATACATTTAAAGACTTTGAGGGCAATGATTTACACTTTTCTGTCTTGATCATGCTTTACCATCAATAGGAAATCTGTAAATATATTAAGTAAATGATGGAATGAACGAATAATAAGCATACAGTCTAAGAGGGAAGACAGATTTTGAAAGAAATATATACAGTTCTTCTAGTACATCAGGAGACAGAAAATCCAATCTGTCTTGATTTAAAACATCAAGTCCTAAAATGGAAAGTTGAGCAAAGTGCTCTTTGACTGCCCAAATCAGGAAATTATTCACTGAGGAGGCAACATGTTAATTGGGTCTTTAAGGAATAATAGGGATGTTTTACATAGAGAAAACTTGCAGGATAAAAGAAATACAGAATTAGTAGAGGGGAAGAGCAGGAACTGATTTGTTGAGTGAGCTTCACTCATAGTGCGTAGCCTAAAAACTATTTGAAAATATTTGTTTATCCACTATCAAGCCTATTTTGTCATCTTGTTACAGTAGGTAGCTAGTCAGACATGAGCAGGGCAGGAGAGCCGTTTCCCGCAGGGCCACCTACCCGATGTCAGGGGATCATCAGGTGATGGTCAGGTGGTTGTTACACTGTTTCTCTAAAGTAATAATTGGTAGCAGCCAGAGCCAGGGACAGGCAGTCCCCCATAGACAGAAGCATCTAAAACTGGTGATCAGCAGCTTTCTGATAAGATCTCAGGAGTTGGGAGAGTAGGCTCACACATGTGCCCTAAGAGGCGAAATGGTGGAGTTTAACTCCTATATGACCTTCCAGGAACATGCAAACTGGAGAGGGAAGAAGGCCTCAAGTGAGCCTGCATACAATTCCAGTAAACACACTGAACGTGCGTCCCCTCCCAAGTGCTGGCAGGCCGGTGAGCATGCGGAGAGCCCAGGCCAAGAGAATCGGGGGAGAAGGGATGCAGCCTCTCAGAAGCACACCAATGTATAAAACCCAAAGGCAAAGGCCAAGCCAAGTACTTGATCTCTCAAGTCACCCACTTACCACTGGGGAACATATTCCAGGGTCTTCCCATTGGGAAACATGTCTGAGTCACAGCACCAAAGTATGTTAGCAGAGGTGAATTCGTATGGTCTGAGGCAACCTCAATTCTTCCCTCCTCAAAAGAAAGAATTTGAACGAGGAGCATAAGGCAGAAGGAGAGACCAAGGAAAGTTTTAAAGCAGGAGTGAAAGTTTATTAAAAAGCATTAGAGTAGTGTCAAAAGGATTGGTACCAATTCTTCTTTGAATGTCTGGTATAATTCTGCTGTGAATCTGTCTGGTCCTGGACTTTTTTTTGTTGGTAATTTTTTAAATTATAATTTCAATCTCACTGCTTGTTATTGGGGTGTCTAATTATTCCTGATTTAAGCTAGGAGGGTTGTATTTTTCCAGAAATTTATCCATCTCTTCTAGGTTTTCTAGTTTATGTGTGTAAAGGTGTTCATAATAGCCTTGAATGATCTTTTGTATTTCAGTGGTGTCAGTTGTAATATCTCCTGTTTTGTTTCTTAATGAGGTTATTTGGATTTTCTCTCTTCTTTTCTTGGTTAATCTTGTTAATTGTCTGTCAATTTTATTTATCTTTTCAAAGAACTGTCTTTTTGTTTCATTTCTCTTTTGTGGTTTTTGTTTGTTTGTTTGTTTGTTTGTTTCAATTTCACTTAGTTCTCCTCTGATCTGGGTTATTTCCTTTCTTCTGCTGGGTTAAGTTTGCTTTGTTCTTGTTTCTCTAGTTCCTTGAGGTGTAACCTTAGATTGTCTGTTTGTGCTCTTTCAGTCTTTTTGACGTAGGCATTAAGGGCTATGAAATTTCCTCTTAGCACTGCATTTTCTGTATCCCAGAGGTTTTGAAAGGTCGTGTCATTTTCATCATTCAGTTTGAAGAATTTTTAAATTTCCATCTTGATTTCTTCTTTTACCCAATTCTCCTTCAGGAGCAGGTTATTTAATTTCCATGTATTTGCAGGGTTTTGAAGATTCTTTTTGGAGTTGGTTTCCAGTTTTATTCCACTGTGGTCTGAGAGAGTGCTTGATATAATTTCAATTTTCTTAAATTTATTGAGGCTTGTTTTATGACCTATCATATGGTCTGTCTTAGAGAAAGTTCCATGCCCTGTTGAATAGAATGTGTATTCTGTGTTTGTTGGATTAAATGTTCTGTATATATCTGTTAAGTCCATTTGTTCCGAGGTATAGTTTAAATCTATTGTTTCTTTGTTGACCTTCTGTCTTGATGAGCTGTCTAGTGCTGTCAGTGGAGTATTGAAGTCCCCCACTGTTATTGTGTTGCTGTCTCTCTCATTTCTTAGGTATATTAGCAATTGTTTAATAAATTTGGGAGCTCCAGTGTTAGGTGCATATATGTTTAGGATTGTAGTATTTTCCTGTTGGACAAGGGCTTTTACCATTATATAATGTCCCTCTTTGTCTTTTTTACCTGCTGTTGCTTTAAAGTTCATTTTGTCTGATATAAGAAAAGCTACTTCTGCTAGCTTTTGATACCCATTTGCATGAAATGCCTTTTTCCAACCCTTTACTTTAAGTTTATGTGAGTTCTTATGTATTAAGTGAGTCTCTTGAAGGCAGCAGATAAGTGGAGCATTTAGGCCATTTACATTCATTGTTAGTATTGAGATGTGAGGTACCATTCCAGTCATCGTGCTGTTTGTTGCCTGTGTACTTTTTCTTGTTTTGTTTTTTGTATTTTAAAATCTATTTTTGTTTTATAGATCATGTGAGATTTATGCTTTAAAGAGGTTCTGCTCTGATGTGTTTCCAGGATTTGTTTCAAGACTTAAAGCTCCTTTTGGCAGTTCTTGTAGTGGTGGCTTGGTAGTGGCGAATTCTCTCAGCATTTGTTTGCCTGAAAAAGACTGTATCTTTCCTTCATATTTGATGCTTAGTTTTCCTGTATACAAAATTCTTGGCTGATGATTGTTTTGCTTGAGGAGGCTGAAGATAGGGCCCCAATCCCTTCTAGCTTGTAGGGTTTCTGCTGAGAAATCTGCTGTTAATCTGATAGGTTTTCTTTTACAGGTTACCTGGTGCTTTTGTCTCACAGCTCTTAAGATTCTTTCTTTTGTCTTAACTTTAGATAACCTGATGACAATGTGCCTAGGTGATGATCTTTTTGTGATGAATTTCCCAGATGTTCTTTGTGATTCTTGTATTTGGATGCCTAGGTCTCCAGCAAGGCTGGGGAAGATTTCCTCAATTATTCCCTGAAACATGTTTTCCAAACTTTCAGATTTCTCTTCTTCCTCAGGAATGCTGATTATTCTTAGGTTTGGTTGCTTAGCATAATCCCAGATTTCTTGGAGGCTTTGTTCATATTTTCTTATTCTTTTTTCTTTCTCTTTGTTGGATTGGTTTAATTCAAAGACCTTGTCTTCAAGCTCCGAATTTCTTTCTTCTACTTTTTCGATTCTATCACTGAGACTTTCCAGAGCATTTCTATAAGTGTATCCAATGTTTCTTGACATTTTGATTGTTTTTTATTCATGCTATCTATCATATCTATTTCATTGAATATTTCTCCCTTCACTTCTTGTATCTTTTTTTTTGGATTTCTTTGCATTGGGCTTCGCCTTTCTTTGGTGCCTTCCTGATTAATTCTATGAAGCAAGAATCACCCTAATACCAAAACCAGGAAAGGACATAACCCAAAAGGAAAACTACAGACCAATATCCTTGATGAATATAGATGCTAAAATCCTTAACAAAACACTAGCTAACCAAATCCAACAACATATCAAAAAGATAATCCACTATGATCAAGTGGGTTTCATACAAGGAATGCAGGGATGGTTTAACATACACAAGTCAATAAAAATCATACACTACATAAACAGATTTAAAAATAAAAATCACATGACCTTCTCAATAGATGCAGAAAAAGCATTTAACAATATCCAGCATCACTTTATGATTAAAACTCTCTGCAAACTCGGCATGCAAGGGACATACCTCAATGTAATAAAAGACATCTATGATGAACCCACAGCCAACATACTATTGAATGAGGAAAAGTTGAAAGCATTCCTTCTGAAAACTGGAACAAGACAAGGATGCCCACTCTCATCACTCCTCTTCAACATAGTACTGGAGGTCCTAGTAAGAGCAATCAGAAAGGAGAAAGAAATAAAGGGCATCCAAATAAGTAAAGAGGAAGTCAAACTGTCCCTGTTTGCTGATGATGTGATCATTTACCTTGAAAGCCCTAAAGACTCATCCAGAAAGCTCCTAGAACTGATAAAAGAATTCAGCAAAGATTAATGTACACAAATCAGTAGCTCCTCTATACACTAACAGCAACCAAGCGGAGAATAAAATCAAGAACTCAATTGCTTTTACAATAGCTGCAAACAATAAAATACTTAGTAATATACCTAACCAAGGAGGTGAAAGACCTCTACAGGGAAAACTACAAAACACTACTAAAATAAATCATAGATAACACAAACAAATGGAAACACATCCCATGCTCATGATTAGGTAGAAACAATATTGTGAAAATAACCACACTGCCAAAAGCAATCTACAAATTCAATGCAATCCCCATCAAAATACACCATCATTCTTCACAGAATTAGAAAAAAAAATCTAAAATTCATTTAGAACCAAAGAAGAGCCTGCATGGCCAAAGCAAGACTAAGCAAAAGGAATAAATCTGGAGGCATACACAATCTGATTTCAAACTATACTGTAAGGCCACAGTCACCAAAACAGCGTGGTACTTGTATAAAAATAGGCATATAGACCAATGGAACAGAATAGAGAATCCAGACATAAACCCAAATACTTAGAGCCAACTGATCTTTGACAAAGCAGGCAAAAACCTAAAGTGGGGAAAGACACCCTTTTCAACAAATTATGCTGGGATAATTGGCTAGTCACATGCAGGAGAATGAAATTGGATCCTCATCTCTCACCTTATACAAAAATCAACTCAAGATGGATTAAGGGTTTAAATCTAAGACCTGAAACTATAAAAATTCTAGAAAGTAACACTGGAAAAACCCTTCTAGACATTGGCTTAGGCGAGGATTTCATGACCAAGAACACAAAAGCAAATGCAATAAAAACAAAGATAAATAGCTGGGACCTAATTAAACTAAAGAGCTTTTGCAGGGCAAAAGGAACAGTCACCAGAGTAAATAGACAACCCACAGAGTGGGAGAAAATCTTCACAATCCATATATCTGACAAAGGATTAATATCCAGAATCTACAATGAAGTCAAGCAAATCAGTAACTTAAAAAAAAAATCCCATCAAAAAGTGGGCTAAAGACACGAATAGACAATTCTCAAAAGAAGATATACAAATAGCCAACAAACATGAGAAAATTCTCAGCATCACTAATGATCAGGGAAATGAAAATCAAAGCCACAATGTGATACCACCTTACTTCTGAAAGCCTGAATATAATCAAAAAATAAAAAAAGCAAAGGATGTTGGCATGGATGTGGTGAACAGGGAACACTTCTATTCTTCTGGTGGGAATGTAAACTAGTACAACCACTATGGAAAACAGTGTAGAGATTCCTTAAAGAACTAAAAGTAGAATTACCATTTGATCCAGCAATCCCGCTGCTGGGTATCTGCCCAGAGGAAAAGAAGTCATTATACAAAAAAGATACTTGCACACGCATGTTTATAGCAGCACAATTCTCAGTTGCAAAATTGTGGAACCAACCCAAATGCCCATTAATCGATGAATGGATAAAGAAACTGTGGTATATTTATATGATGGAATACTACTAGGCCAAAAAAATGAATTAATGGCATTTTCAGCGACCTGAATGAGATTGGAGACTTTATTCTAAGTGAAGTAACCCAGGAATGGAAAATCAAACATCGTATATTCTCAGTGATATATGGGAGCTAAGTTTTGAGGACGCAAAGGCATAAGAATGACACAATGGACTTTGGGACTTGTGGGGAAGTATGGGAAGGAGGTGAGGGATAAAAGACTACAAATATGGTACAGCGTATACTGCTCAGATGATGGGTGCACCAAAATCTCACAAATCACCACTAAAGAACTTCCTCATGTAACCAAATACCACCTGTACCCCAATGACTTATGGGGAAAAAAAGCATTCCAGCAGGAATGAAAGGAAGTAAAGTACTTAGAAGAGGGCCAAGTGGATGACTTGAGAGATCAGATGTGTGGTTCGACCTTTGACTTAGGGTTCTTATAGATTGGCATGCTTTTGGGGGGATTGCATCCCTTCTCTCCTGACTCTTCCCTTGGAGTGGGCTACCTACATGCTCAGTGGCCTGCCAGCCCTTGAGAGGGGCTGCATGTGTATTGTGTTTACTGGAATTGTACATATGCTCATTTGAGGCATTCTTCCCTTACCAGTTCTAATGTTCCTAGAAGGTCATATAGCAGTTAAACTCCACCATTTTACCTCTTAGTGCACATGCATGAGCCCACTCGTCCAAGTTCTGAGATCTTATCAGGAAGATGCTGATCACCAGTTTCAGATGTTTCTGTCTACTGGGGGTCTGCCTTTCCCTGGCTCTGACTGTGACCAATTATTATTTTAGAGAAACAGTGTAACAACGACCTGAACATCACCTAATAGTCACCTGACATTCCTGGTTGGGGGTGTGGGAACTTTTCTGCCCTGCTCATGACTGACTAGCTACCTACTTAACAATATCTCCGTTTCCAAAATGGAAGTTGTATTTGCAAGGAGGTTTTAAATCATTTTAGGCATGTATTCTTCAGCTATTTCCGTAACAAACTCAATTATTGTAAACTCAGTGGTTTCCTTCATTAAGCAATTATTCTCACTCTCACTGCCTGCAGGGAAACTGTGGTTCATCCAGACTAGACTAGGCTTGGATGGGTAGCTCCCTGGCCATGGATTAGCTGGATTTGGCCATGGGCTCTCAGTCTGCTCAATGCTGAGGGACAGTGATAATACCGCTATCATGAGATATGCCTATATTAGTCCATTCTCACACTGCTAATAAAGACATACCCGAGACTGGGTAATTTAAAAAGGAAAGTGGTTTAATTGACCACAGTTCAGCATGGCTGAGGAGGTCTCAGGAAATTTACAATCATGGTAGAAGGCGAAGGGGAAGCAAGGTACCGACTTCACAAGGCAGCAGGAAGGAGAAGTGCAAGCCGGGGAAATGCCAGATGCTTATAAAACCATCAGATCTTGTGAGACTCACTCATTATCACAAGAACAGCATGGGGGAAACCTCTCCCATTATTCAATTACCTCCACCTGGTCCCACCCTTGACACGTGGGGATTATGTGTATTACAATTCAAGGTGAGATTTGGGTGGGGACACAGAGCTACTATATCAATGCCCAATCTCCAACATACAAGAGAAAAGCCAGACTACACAAGGCTATGAAAAGTTCCGGCTCACATCATGCCTGCCAAATTCCCAGTGGCCAAAGCAAGTCACACGTCCAAGACCAACATCAAAGGGCAAAGACTTAGTCTCTGCCTATAGTAAGGAGGAAACAGGAGTAAAATGCTGAAGAATAATCTAGAATAGCAGAAGCTATTTAAAAAATATTTTCAGATATTAAAAAGTTCAGTCCAATTTTAATCGAAACTCCAATGTGTCATACAATTTTAAGTTTTTCTTCTTCCTTACCTTAGGCCTGAACTGGCTCTGAAGCCAGAAGAGAGAAAGGGAGAGTGCAGCCTGTTCTTTCTGTTGGGCTTACTCATTTCAGTAGTCCATTGAGCTGCTCACAAACATTCCAGTTCTCCTTCCTAGACAGAGAAGATAAGATGACTTTGACAGCTACTTAAAGTTAATTATAGCCATGTGACTTACTTTAGCCAATAAAGTGTGTAACTTCTAGGTGGGAGCTATAATAATAAGTTTATGCTTTGCTACATTCTCATTTTCTATTCCAGTATTCAAAATTGTAGTGCCTGATCAGCCTGGGTTTTTGTGGTGTAATTAGCAGAGCTCCTGGGATAGACATAAGTGAGAAAGAAGTCTTTGTTCTCGGTTATTGTACTGAGAACTAAGCTAAGGAGGTGTGTGTGTGTGTGTGTGTGTGTGTGTGTGTGTGTGTGTGAGAGAGAGAGAGAGAGAGACAGAGAGAGAGAGAAAGAGAGAGAGATATCCGCACATCATCACCTCTTCTCTTATCCTTATTGATTTTTCTTTCACTCTCTCTGTGTTGGGTCATCTTTTTCCGGCTTCTCTACCATGTGTGAGGGTAAACAAGGAAAAACATGGTACAGTTTTAGGTAGCCAGCACAGTTGTAGTTCCTACCCTCCACACACACCTGTTAAATACCCTTAGTACTGACCCTTCCCTTCTGTGTGTTTTAGGGGTTTGTTACCTCACAATGTCTGGGATTCCTCATTCTTCAGTATTTCCTGAGAAGGACTATGCTTAATCCTACTGATGTCTTATGACTTTGCCTCAATTCCTACTTCTGGTGGGATGCCTCTAGCCACTTTCTGCTGGTATCTGCTTTCTCCTGCAGATAGGCCTCTTGAAAATAGATCTTTTTTTGACCACCCTAGTCTGGGTGCTGCTCTCAGCACCCTGAGGCACACAGAAAGCCTTCCCCTTGCCATGCTGGTGAGGCAGTTCCCAGTGCAGCTCTCTTTTCTCTGCTGCTGCTGGGCCAGTTCCAGCCAGCCTGTCCCCTACAGGCAAGTAGCCAGTACCATTCCCTTCAAGTCTTCAAGGCACAAGTCAATTTATCAGAAATCTCTCTCAGTGTGCCCTGTCGAGCCACATGTAAGAACTGGGACATAGACTTCCTTCACATTCTTCCTCCCATCCTCACAGGGAGAGGAGAAAAATGCCTTTCCCCATCCTTCTAGACTGACTACTTTCTTGAAAAACTTACCAGTCAATCTGCTTAATGAATGTATTAGTCCATTTTCATGCTGCTATAAAGAATTGACTGAGACTAGGTAATTTATAAAGGAAAAAGGTTAAATTGACTGACAATTCAGCATGACTGGGAAGGCCTCAGGAAACTCACAATCATGGTGGAAGGCAAAGGGCATCTTCTTCACAAAGTGGCAGGAAGGAGAAGTACTGAGCGAAGGTGGAAGAACCCCTTATAAAACCATCAGATCTCTTGAGAATTCACTCACTATCATGAGAACAGCATGAGGGAAACTGCCCCCATAATTCAATGACTTCCACCTGATGTCTCCCTGGGATTATGGAGAGTACAATTCAAGATGAGATTTGGGTGGGGACATAAAACCTAACTATATCAATGAATCTCCAGTTTTGCTGGTAGACATAGAGGTTGGTGGAGAGTTTTGGGCTAAAGGTCTCAGGACTTGCTTTGCCTATCTCTTAGCAAGTCTAGCAGAAATGGACTTAGTCCTTTTCTGTAAAATACAGGTGCAATTTATCCCCATTGTCCCAAACCTGGGACATTTTGGGATCTCAGTGGAGACTAAGAAGACAAATATATTCTAATTTTTTTACAAGTTTAAGAGATTACCACATATTCTAGGAGAAGTGAGTAGTTTGGTGCGACCAGAATAAATGTTTTTCTGTGCTAAGGATGGGCAGACTGGCTGGGATCAGATGATAAAAGCCCACATAGTTCTATTTTCCATGATGACTAGAATCATGCCTTTTATTCCATCTTGCTCTTAACTTATGGGTCCCAATCCAACTCTGGCTCTACCCCTCTTCCTCCTACACCATTTGTTTTACCATGTATAGCAGACTGAATAGTTCTATGTCCGCTCAGAACCTCTGAATATGACATTATTTGGAAACAGTATTTCTAGGCATTATCAAATTAAGATAACACCACACTAGATGAGGGTGGGTCTTAAATCTAATGACTGGTGTCCTTACAAGAGGATGACAGGCCATTTTGAGACACAGAGAACACCTTTTGAAGATGGAGGCAGAGACTGGACTAATGCATCTAAAAGCCAATGATCACCAGGAATGGCCACAGCCACCAGAAACTGGGAGAGGCAAGGAAGGATCCACCCCTGGAAGCTCTGTGGGGACCATGACCCTGCTAACAGCTGGATTTTGGACGTCTGGCCCCAAGAACTGTGTGAAAATAAATTTCTGTTGTTTTAAGTCACCAATTTTGTGGTAATTTGTTCCAGCAGCCCTAGAAAACTAATACAACACCACCTATGATTTCTATACTCATTTTTTTGCTCTAACGAGAATGCAGGTCCCTCAGATGGCAGAGTCTAGGTCTTATTTCTCTCTGGGTTTTCCTTGGCAGAGTGCTTTGACAAGAGACATTTATTATAGATTTGCTTCAATAAAAGCATTGATAATTAGCTTTAATTTGAAATCACTTCACAACAAATTGGAAATTTATAACAAACACGGAAGTGTGAATGGAAGAGATGAATAATTATATGCTATTTACTACTACTATTGTTTCTGCCACATAATAGATCCCCTCTCCCGTTAACTTCAAGTTCTCACTCAATTATTTGGGTCAATTCATATTCTTTAGAAAGAGCTTGCATCTTTATTCAACACATTTAAGCTTCATCTGAGGGAGTGAACCAATTAAACAAAAAACTAAGTAAAATAAAAACAATTCTGAAAGTGCCAGTAAACAGGAAATTATTAAAAATTACTTGGATAATGGATATTTAGAAGAATGTAATTTTATTTTAATTTACTGGCAGAGAACTAATTGTTCAATTATTAGAATACACAAAAGGAAAGATAATGTGGATTTTGTTTTATGAAGTATTTGTGTGTGTGTGTGTGTGTGTGTGTGAATTTCTCAGGGCAGAGTTCTGTGACTAAGACCTTCATTTTATTGCATTTTTACCTTGCCATTTATTTTTAAAATCTCTCTCTGTTACTTAGGCTGAAAAAAGCTTTTGAAGATAAACTATCCCCCAATAAAAAGAATCTTGTTCTTATTATATAAAGTGGTATTAATTTAAAATGAGGAAAGTGAGATTAATTTATCAAAGCAACTGAAATGTGGGAATGTAAAACAAGGAATTAAATATATCATTTTTGCCCATTGTTCACATTGTATTATATATGTGATTGCACATAAAAACAAAGAAGTGAAGGAAAACACTCCTGACTTTTATTAGAGACTTTACAGTCCTACATTAAATGTTTTGCATGGAACCTTCTCTTCAGCGGGGATTGCAATTGTCACTTCTGAATTATTGCAGACTCCACTTTGGTGGGTCTCAGATTAATGAGGACTGACTGCATATGTAAAATGGGAAGGTCATATGCGGACAGTGTTTTCTTGATTCTTTCCTAATAAGTCATTCCCAGATGGTGAGTTACACCCCAGAGACTGAAGTTTTTCAAGTTTGTTAATTTTTTTCCATCTTACTTCCTGCTGATCGATATGGCTACCAAAAGCAGCTTTCTGCAATGAATGCAATTTAGCTAATGAGGAAGTAGGCAGCACTTCTCTTTGAATTATGGATCGTGTGCTTCTCCATATGTCACTTTCATTGGAGGAACTGAAAGGAGGATTCATATTATTGTTTTATTTTAACCAGAATGGCTAAAGTTGTTGGCTGTCTATACTGAGTGGCTCTTTGTGTGGGTGAGTAAATACTCTTTGAAAGTGGAAACTTCCTGACAATAAAATGTTACTGGCCAATGGCAGTCAGTAAGTGAAGGTCTGGTCCAGTCTCTTTTTTAAATTTTTATTTCTATTTTTTTGATTGCCTGTGCACCAGGTGTTTTTGATCTTGAAAGGTGACAGAGATTCTCTGCTTGACCAAACAGTAGCCAGTCTCCTGTGAGCCATCTTCTCAACTAGACCTCAACTTTAACCTATAAAGATTTGAACAGACACTAACGTAGTTTTTAATAGCTCAACCAAATCCAAGGGATGACTTTAGCCCACTTGAAAGTGCCTGCCTGAGAAAGCTCAAGGTTGCCAGAAGAATTTACTGCTTGTTCCAGCCAACATGTGAAGAGAGGCCCCCTGTCACCCAGTCTCTGTGAGAATCTAGAAGCCTAAATTCCATAAGCACCAGTTAGCAAACCCAAATGGGTGTTACACGGACCAACCCCCACTACACACTTTTTGTAATTTTTCAGTTCTCTGGCTCGACTGAGCTCTGCTCACCCACTTCCCTGCACCCTTATTCTCCCTTTGAAACATCCAGTCACCTCTGTTACAAATCAAAGTTGAGTCCAGTTCATGATGAACCCTTTCCCTAATGCAATGGTTATTATGGATTAAAATCCATCTGCACCACTTTAACCAGTGCCTAGCTTTGTTTATCTTTGACAGAGGTCATGTTTTATTTTTTATTTTTTTTTATTTTTTAAATAGTGGGAGAGGTTGGTAATAACCAAAGTCTCCATCAGCTCTGGCATCTTTTGTTTCAATAATGTGATGGTTACTTTTGTAAGCCAGCTTCACTGGGCTAAGGAATGCTCAGATGGCTGGTAATACATCATTTCTTGGTGTTTCTGTGAAGGTCTTTCCATAAGAGATTAGCATTTGAATCAGTGGACCCAGTAAAAACGATTTGCCCTCACTAATGTGGGTGGGCATCATCCAATCTGTTGAGGGCTCAGACAGAACAGAAAGGTGGAGGAAGGCTTTTTATGCTTGAGCTGGGACATACATCTTCTCCTGCGTTTGGACAACAGAGCTCCTGGTTCTCAGGACTTTGGATTTGGACCAAGACCAGGATTTGCAACATTGGCTCCCCTGGTTCTCAGGCCATTGGACTTCGATTGAATTACACCACCAGGGTTCCTGGGTCTCCAGCTTGCACACAAAAGACGATGGGACTTCTTAGCCTCCATAATCCCATGAGCCATTCTCTCATAAGAAGTCTCCCTCTCTCTCTCTCTCTTTCACCCATTGATTCCTTTTTTTTTTTCTCCAGGGAACCCTGACTAATACAAATATAATAATTGCCAGTGGGATACTCTGGAAAATAATGGTTAGCCTTCTGTGAAATTTGATGCCTATCATCTGTTCCCTGAAACTTCCCCTACGTACTTAGAGAAAGAGAGTTTGCCCACATGAGTCTTTCTCATGCAAATAAAGAAAACCCTACTTTGTTTATTTCCATCACCCCATTGAATAGCTTTCTTGCGCTACCTCAGTTTCTCCAAGGTCTTAGGGGGCAGAAAACAGAAACCTTTGGCAAAGGTCAAAGACAGAATGAAACACTAGCTTTATCGATGAATTCTTCTTGAAAGTCAAATTATGTGGTGGAGTTTCTTTCTCCAACTCTCCAGAGGAAAAATCAGTATACACAGGTGTATTAGTCCATTTTCACAATGCTGACAAAGACATACTCAAGACTGGGCAACTAACAAAAGAAAGAGGTTTATTGGACTCACATTTCTACATGGCTGGGGAAGCCTCACAATCAGGGTGGAAGATGAAAGTCATGACTCATATGGCGGCAGACAAGAGAAGAGGAGAGCTTATGCAGGAAAACTCCCCTGTTTAAAACCGTCAGATCTTGTGAGAGTCATCCACTATCACAAGAACAGCTCAGGAAAGCCACAATTCAATCACCTCCCACTGGGTTCCTCTCATGACACATGGGAATTGTGGGGGTTTCAATTCAAGATGCGATTTGGGTGGGGACACAGCCCAACCATATCAACAGGGGGCTCATAGTTTATTGGTATGGTAGGAAGCAGTAGATATATCCCTTGTGTAGCTCAGGTTTTCTCAAATCACATCAGCCTCAAAATTAAAACAAAAACAAAATATGTTTAATTAGATGACATTCTCTGTTGGTGGGGTTTTGGAGAACAAGCATCCTCATACTGCTGGCATAAATTCAAAATGGTACAATACCTATAGAGGGAAAGTTGGCATTATATTTTTAAAAATCCATGCATATTCATTCTTTGTCCTGACATACTTCTAAGTAAATATCCCAAGGGCAAACTGATTAGAAAAACCCCACAAAATCTAAAAGATGTACACACACTGTTGTGCATTATAGCATGATTTAAAGTGACATAGGAGAGGCGGAGTCACCAACTGGCATGGCTAATTGACCAGCTGGGCAAAAGGCATCAAGGCTACAGTTCACATTAGGAGCTGGAGGAATCACAAGGAAATTGGCTGATCAATTTGCAATTATGAATGGATGAGCGCTGTTCCAACCACCCAGAAGTGAAGGATTGGGTCATATCTTTCAGTCCTGCTGGTAAGCCACCTTGGCCTGCTGAATAGATGTCAAAGGGGCAGACCATAAGTACCAGATGCAGCCTGAGCCCAATGACAACATAGGGGCTTTAGCTTGTTCTTCTAATGTCCTCTTTCCAGTTTCCCCTCAGAAACAGGAGCCAACAGGACCATGAAGGGGCTGCTGCTGTAGTGTGCATGGCTGGAGTGTTCTGCCTGGTGCAAGGTATTGACTGATGGCAGCCTGGGGTGGTGCTACTCAAACATTCCCACTTGCTCCTCTGGCTTCCTTTGCCCTGCTTCCGTATACACAAGTAAAGAGGCCCCCTGACTTTCACATCTGACTTCCGACTAATTGCCTATTACTCACTTCAGCTGTTCATTATCATTTTGTAATGCATCAATGGTCCTTAGCAAGAGCCATCTGTTATGGACTGAATTGTGCCCCACCAACAAAACTCATATGTTGAAGCCCTAGCCTCTCATGTGACCATAGGAGATAGAATCTTTAAGGACATAATTAAGGTTAAGTGAAGTCATGAATTAGGCCTTAATCCAATAGGTCTGCTGTGATGATAAGCAAAGGGACAAATACCATAGCTCTCTCTCCATGTGCTCTCAGAGGAAAGGCCATGTGAGGACACAGTGAGAAGGCGGCCATCTCCAAGGCAAGGGGGGAGGCCTTAAACGAAATCAACACTGCTGACACCTTGATCTTGAACTTCCAGTCCCCAGAACTGTGATCAAATGGTTTTCTGTTGTTTAATCCACCCAGTCTGTGGTATTGTATTATGGTACCCTAGCAGGTTAACCCATTATTCAATCCTCTTAACATTACAGCTACTATTTTCTCCAGATATCTTAAATGCCAGATATGCCTCTGTATTTGATGTATTCTTTTCCACTGAAGTAGCCTCCCAGCTTGCCTTCAACAAATGTTGTAACGATTAGACTACCATCTTCTGTGAAACCTCGCTCTCTTCCACCTTTTACCAGGAATGGGGTCCCCCTCCAGCCAGGCAGTGGGTCATCCAGTTCCAAAACCCCTCTCATTGACCACTTTATCCTACCATATCTGTCTTGACAGTTGTAAGATGGATTTTTTGGAGTCAGGTGCTGACATGGCTGTAAGATATTTATTAGGAATCAACATGTATCATAGGAAGCAGGATTGGTTAAAGGAAGAAGTGAATTTCAATGCAGGCAAAATGAACATCAGAAAACATGGTGGGGAGCTCTGAAGCTAGTACTTCCCGTCAGATGATCCTGTGTTGGGCCAAAATGGCCAGGCCTTTCTACTCCTACCTTGCTCAGTCTCCAGAGATGGGCTGCCCTGGACAGGACGTGACTGCAGCTGGGGCAGCTCTCTGCATCTTCACAGATCCTGAAGGGTTATCAGCTAGAGGCCGTCTGCTGAATACATCTCTACAGCTGAGCAGTAATCCTTCCTTGCTGGGGACATGAGTTTCACATAATCATATTTACTTCTGTAAAAACCTGCAACAAAAGTCATTCTTAGTAATGGAATGTTTAAAAGCATTCTTTTCTGTGATGAGGAGAAGTTTCTCCTTCTGATCCCTTCTATTTGACATAATATTAAAGTGGCTTGCTAGTGTAGTATGGCAAGGAAAAAAAGAAGGAAAAGAAATAAGGATGATAAAAGAAGAAACAAAACTGTCATTATTTACAGATAATTTTTCTGTTATTTTTAACAATATTGTTGCAAACTATTTCAACATGGCCCCACCAATACCATCTCATATGCTGCTTTCCATGTACCTGAGACTCCTCCCACTGAGAGAGATCATCTTGCTCCCTCTCCTTTAAGCTGGGAGGGAATGAATGACTGCCCAGATCAATGGAATTCAGGAGAAGTAATGTTATGGTTCACTCTCTTTTCACTCTCTCTCTTTCAGAACACTCACTTTTGGAACCTGGCCACCATGTTGGAAGGAATCCCAGAGCACATGAGGAGGCCTTTTGGGGGTGTTCCAGCTGACAGCCTTAGCTAAGGTCTTAGCTAATAGTCAGCATCAACTGCTGGCAAGTGAACAAGGCTTCAGATGATTCCAGCCCTCAGCTTTCCAGCTGAAAACATTGTAAAGCAAATACAGCCATTTCCACTTTGCCCTGTCTGAATTCCTGACCCACAGAAGCCATGAGAGATAACAAATGATTACTAGTGCTTTAAGCCACCGGGTTTGGGAATCATTTCTTATGTATCAATAGATTACAGCAAATGTCAAAAAACTATAGATAAAGTTAGGATGATAATTCAGCACAGTTGCTAGATACAAAAGTCAATATTGAAATCAATTCTATTTCTATATACTGGCAACATACAGAAGTCAAATTTAAAATTTACAATAGTATAAAAATATAATTATCTAAGAACAAATATAACAAAATCATATGAGTCCTTCAAAGAGATAATCACAGAACTCAATTAAAATATACTGAAAAAGACCCCAAAAAGGAGATATGCAAGATATATATTACACTCATGGATTCACAGAATTAATATTGTGTAGATACCAATTACCTCAAAATTGATGTACTATATTGTACCAACCAAATCACAATCACTTAGTAATGTGTTGAGCTGATTTTAGAGTTCATAAGAGAATTGAGAAGTCTAAGAATAGCCATGGCCTTCTGGAAGAACAAGGTGAGTAGTTGGTCTCCAGATTATAAAGATAAAGGACTATAACAGAGTTACTGGTGCAAGGACAGAAACATTAGCAAATGGAGCACAGCAGAAAGCCTGGACACTGGCCTGCATAGATATTGAAGCTTTAGATACAGCAGATGTGGTATTGTAGCCACATGTGATGATGTGAACTGATGGATTTTTCCACGAATGTCATAGAACAATTTGGTATCCATATTGAACAAAAAATGAAATTAAATCCTCCTACAGAGAAACCAATTCCTGGTGGATTAAGAACTATATGTGAAAGGTTTAAAAACACAGATTTTAAAAACAAGATAGAAAAATATTTATAAACTCAGTGTAGAAAAGGGTTTTTTTTTCTTCTTAAAAATAGTCTAAAACCCATGACCCAACTAAGATTGGTCAATGTGACTGCATTAAAATTACGAATTGTATTCATCAAAAGAATCTCTATAGCTTACAGATGAAATAATACCCTGTGACTTGCTTCAGAACAATTTAGTGGAGCCAGTGGAGAGGGAAAGGTGTATATCTGACTCAAAGGGAGCCTGAGATGGTGGTCATTGTGACGAGGCAATGTTCATAATAGCAAAAACTGGAAATAACCAAAATGCCCATGAATAGTAGAATAGACCAAAAAAATGGCGTATTCACACAATGTAACCATAGAGCAGTCAAAATGAACCACAGTTATGTGCATCAGTATGAGTGGTTCTCATCTGGAGAACAAGAAACAAACCACAGGTAATCTATTCACTAAGATTCAAAAACAGAGAAAACTAAATGACATTTGTTGAGAGATTTATACATGGTTGGTAAAATGATGGTTACAACATTGTATGTAGTGGTTATCTCAAAGAAGGCACAAAGATAGAGACAAAGGGGCTTCTACATTACTTACCAAATTATATTTCTTTTCTTTTTTGAGACAAAGTCTCACTCTGCTGCCCAGGCTGAGCGCAGTGGTGCCATAACCACTCACTGCAGTCTTGACCTTGTGGGCTCAATCGATCCTCCCATCTCAGTCTCCCAGGTAGCTGGGACTACGGATCAACGCCACCACTCCTTGCTAATGTTTTAATCTTTTGTGGAGAGGAGGTTTTGCCACGTTGCCTAGGCTACTCTCCAACTCCTGGAATCAAATGATCCATCTGCCCCCGCCTCCCAAAGTGCTGGGATTGCAGTCATGAGTCACCACACCCGGCCAAAATTCTATTTCTTAGTGGTAGTTTCATACATGTTTCCTTCATTTAAAAATTTTATATTGTATATATATTTTAATATATTTTTCTGCATATAAAATAAAACTCACAATAGAAAAGAAAAACAGCAATAGATGTAGCTATTATGACAAAGCTCAAGAAGAATAATGCCTGCTATTTCATGTGTAGTATTTCTAATTCAAATTTATGAATTAGTTTGCCTTTATTATTAATTATTTTTAAATGAATTAGCTGCCTTTCTTTGGGCTTGCTTTAAAAATGAAGAATCACCACTATCGTTCTCTGATTCATTCATTGGTCTGCATATTTTCTGGACTGTTCTTGTTTGAGGCATGTTACTACATATTGGGGGCACAGAGATAGATAAGACTCAGGCCTTGCTCTAAAAGAGTCTGCATTTCAGTACGTGAGTGTGGTTAGTGGGAGCGAAGGATTAGTTGAATAACTTATTGCCCAGAGCAATGGTTCTCAGACTTGAGCATGCAGCAGAATCACCAGATGGGTTGGCAGAACACAGATTACCGGGCCCCACCCCCAGAGTATCTGATTCAGGAGAGCAAGGATAGGGCCTGAGAATCTGCATGTCTCACAATTCCCCAGTGATGCAGATGTTGCTGATCCAGAGGACCCTGCTTTGAGAATCACTGCTTTAGAACATTTGTATGATCTGAAAAGTATTCCTTAATTTAATGACTTCTCTCTTCTCAGATAGTTTTTTTTTGTTGTTGAAAAAAACTAAACAGAAAAAGAAATGTATCAACCCCCTATTCATGTAAGCAGGTTAAAATATAGTATTTTATTACTCTTCACATAACTTTTCTTTTGTTTGGTTTTAGATCTTATGCTTTCTTGATACAACTAAAGCTAGAGAGACATGGAAGTGGGGAGATGACGTGTCCATGCCTAAACTGGGCATCAGGAAAGGGGGGTATGCTTTAGCTGTTACTAGATCAGGCAGGGATTCAGAGCTGAAGCTGCTCCTCAGGGGAAAAGAGGTCAGACCCTCGGTGAGTTGTGTGGAATTACTTGCCCAGTGGTAGCTGGAGGGGCCCAGATTCAAGAGGCTATTGAAAGGCAACTCAGGATTGAGGCATCATCCCATTGGAGATAGTGGTTGTTAAAAATTTAGACAGATTCAAGAGGTAAAGATGAAGAAGATCAGCTAAAATGATCAAAAAGTTACTGGAATATGTTCATTTTTTAAAAAGTGAAAATGACAGTGGTTTATTTGGTTTCCAAACAAGAGGTTCAGAGGTGGCCAGTCCCGGCCCAGGGAATATGCTGGATGGTGCCGTCAAGGGCTCACCATCCTCAGTTGGTGACTATTTTCATGATCCCTGGAAGGCTGCTGTCCCTCCAGACACTTCTGTATTCCAGGAAGGAAGAAAAAAAAGACAGCAATGCATGAAAGGGTTCACAAGCTGTCAGGAAAGTAAAAGCTTTCCTGGAAGTTGCAGCCAGAATTTGTCTGCTTGTACCACGTGACTAACATTTCTCCATGTCCCCCAGTGCACAACGTGTATGTATATTAAATCATCTCATTGTACACTTTGAAAGCATACGATTTGTCAGTTAAACATCTTAAAGTAAAACAAAGACAAAACAAAAACCAGAAATGTAAAAGAATATTTCTGCTTGAATCTCACTGACTGGAACCATGCCACATGACCACCTGAGGGTGGAAAGAAGATAAGGGAGGTGGAATTGGATATGGGATTGGCTAGCCAGTGTCTGCCACACCAAGGAGAGACCCTGTTAGTTCCAGTCTTCCAAATGTTAGTCTTTGCCAGTTTTTTGGGACACACAATTTATTCCAGCAGAGATTTCTCTTGATAGAGTTTAATGTGAAACCATGCATTTCTCTCGGCAAGGCAGGCAAATTACTCCCTCTCTTGGAGACTCATTCTGGCTTGTTTCATAGGATGGTAATTTAGGTGCTGTCTTTGGAAACAGACTTCGTTGGTTTGAATCCTGGCTCCTCTTATTAGTTGTGTGACTTTGGGCAAGTTACTTTCTCCCAGTGTCTGCATTTCTTCATCCATAAAAGAAGAATTAAAAGTGGTTCTCACCTTATCAGAGTATTATAGGAGTTAACACAACAGCTAATATAGCGCATGTGAAACAGAACAGTGCCCAGTCCAGACTAAGCCCTGGATAAATGGATAAATGTTAGCAATTACTCTTCAAAGGTTAGAAATTTACGTGGTCCCAACCTTTCTCACCTGGTTTATGTAAAATGCCTCTCATTTCCTTCATACTAATTGAAAACTTATTTTTCATTTTCCTTCAAGTTTCTTGTTTCTGGAAGCCTAGAGTTGCACCCAGTGTGCATTTCTCAAGTGACACGGTTGCTAATCTCTGTTAGGCATTCCTGTCCTGACAGTCAGTTCATTGCCATGAATCTCCACGTTTTTGGTGAGACCTGTGACATCCACTTCCTAGGAAGGATGCTGCTACCTTAGACCTAACTTTTTTCAGCCTGAGACTTGAAACTTGCCCCAGCAGATTCCCAAACTGAAGCTATTGATGTTTCTGAAGCACGTGCTTCTAGCAACCCTGAAAGCTCTGGTACCTCTGCCCTGTGTTCCTCAAGAAACAGTCTTTCCTTGGCTTTTAAATGTTCCATGCTCAAAATAGCATTTCTATTTGCTAAATTTCCTTTTTCTGTTCCAATATTATTTTGGGAAGGCTCAGCTGGGTTTCCTAACCCCTTATTATTCTCTGGCAGGTCACTTTCCTTCTCTAACACACATGGGCCTAGCCTTGTTTGTTGGGTTTCTGTATCTCCTTTCCTTTCACTATCCCACTGGCTTCTGGCCCAGATATTTATTTCACTAATATTCTCCTCTAGAGAACCTCTTGTGGGGTTCCCACAGTGAGAGATATGGAATGAACCAGCCTTGGGCCTGAAAAGAACACACTTCCAGAGCTGAATAATCCAATCCAGTAAGCACTCAACCATGAGATCAATATCTAACCCAGACTTGGCTTTGCTTTATTATTTTCTGGTCCAGTTCCCCTTTAAGATATTTCAAACTTTCTGTGCCTACCTGTTTTAGTCCATTTTCATACTGCTATGAAGAAATATCAAAGACTGGGTAATTTATAAAGAAAAAGAGGTTTAATAAACTCACAGTTCCACATGGCTGGGTAGGCCTCATAGTCATGGCAGAAGGTGAAGGAGGAGCAAAGGCACGTCTTACATGGTGGCAGGCAAGTGTGTGCAGGGGAGCTGCCCTTTATAAGACCATCAGATCTTGTGAGGCTGGAATAAGTTACTCACTATCATGAGAACAGCATGGGAAAACCTGCCCTCATGATTCAATTACCTCCCACTGGGTCCCTCCCATGACACATGGGGATTATGGGAGCTATAATTCAAGATGAGATTTGGGTGGGGACACAGACAAACCATATCATCACCTGTTTTTCTTTAATTCTATAAATTCATCAATCATATTCATTCAGGCACAGATAATATCACCATGCTTATTTCAATAATTGGGCCCTTGAAGCATACCTAGTAAGTCTTAATCAAACTAATAAAGTTTCAGTCAGTCTTTACCATTCTTCACCATGAGATGATGCTAGTCTATGGAATATAAGCCCCTTCCCTCCAGCAAGCATCAGTCCCCCACGTTTTTGGGTTAAACTACTTGGAAAAAATTCATTGTCTTTCTTTCACATAAACACAGTAAGTACTCCTAGGGTTGATTGTAATGTGACCTTTCAGACTGAAATGTCATCATAACAATTCAAGTAAATGCTTGGTTATTTGCCAGCCACTCTATGTAGTAGAAAATCTATTTGATATGCTTTTAAAAGCAAATCTTCACATAAGAACAAAATGTTCCTGGTATGTTCAAATCACTTGCTATAAATTCTGGAGGACATTTGAGTGCAATTGCATTAAATGTAACACTGAACTCTCAGATTAAAATATTCAGGAGGGCAGCAAACTTATACATTAGTATACTTTTTATTTTTCAGGGAAAATAGTAATTGCATTCATAAGAAAAGAGATAGATATGAATGTAGACATTGACACCAGTGAATTCCAGGGCAAGTTGACCACAGTGTTATTTACCATTTGAAGTAATCTTGAAACCCATCAAGAGAAAATATGTTGCAAAAACTTTGTATTGTTTCTGTTTTTATGTAAGGGCTTTTACCATAAAAAAAAATCTAGTTAAAGATTTTAAAAATAATAAAATCATTTAAAAAACACATGACATATCTTTAAATGCTTATAATTAAGATTTTAAAGTAAGCATTTGGGCCAGGCATGCTGGCTCATGACTGTAACCCCAGCACTTTGGGAAGGGGAGGTGGGTGGAACACTTGAGGTCAGGAGTTCGAGACCAGCCTGGCCAACATGGTGAAAACACATCTCTACTAAAAACACAAAAATCAGCTGGGCGTGGTGGTGTGTGCCTGTGATCCTGGCTACTCGGGAGACTGAGGTGAGAGAATCACTTGAACCCAGGAGGCAGAGGTTACAGTAAGCTGAGATTGCACCATTGCACTCCAGCCTGGGAGACAGAGCGAGACTCTGTCTCAAAAAATAAATAAATAAATAAAATAAAAATAAATAAAGTAAGAATTCATTCTATTGTTATGACAAATTGTATACACCCTAAATTGTTAACAATATTTTGTATGCATACCTATTCCAGCTACCTACCATTAATAAATAGGCTGTTCAAGGTCAAGGATCAAGTCAAAGTTATCTATGTATTTCCAAAAGTAAAATTATATTGACATCTAGCAAGGTACTCAGTATTTTTAAAAATAGAATACATCTATTACACCATGAGTTAAATTTTAAAAAATTCGGCATTCCCTAAAAACAAAAAAACAAAACAACAACAACAACAACAAAAACCCAACTGTTGACCTTGTTAGTCTAGGGAGGGTGCAGTAGAAGAAAAATTTAGATTAACAATCTCCTGCAAAATTTAAAAGATTTTGAATTCATATTATTAGTGTCAGAGCTGACCAACACTTAATTTATAAAAAATAAATACACTATGCATGACCCAATTTTATTTAAAAAGTAAAATATTATTTTTGACTGAGAAAATAAAACAATTTTCTTTGCTGGATACCCTATTTTATCAAATCTAATACAAAAACCTTTTACTGAATATACTTTGTTTTCATAAACTTCTTCACCATATTTTTCATAGTTGTTCCTGTGAAATAGTTGTTAGTAAATACAAAGTGATTTTATTAATTCTAACATTTATTTTTCTTTCCAAACAGAAGGAAAGAAAATAATTACTTGTATGAAATACTTGGCATAATGGCTCCACTCATTTATTTATTCCATTAATACTGAGTGCCGCCCAGGTGTCAGGCAATGATACAGGTACCGGGGACACAGAAGGAACAAAGTGGACTGAAATCCTTCACTCTTGGAGTTTATTTTATAGTTGTAGTCTAGACAGACCAAAATTAAAAAAAAAATCAGTACATCTTACAAGTCTGTTAAAAGGTCATAAGTATTATGTAAAAAATAAATTAGGGAAGGAAGATGGTAAGTACTGAATACTGATAATGTATGTGTGCGGGGGCACTGCAATTTTAGATAGGAGGATCACAAACGCTTTTCTGAAAGGGTGACATTTGAGCAATCACTTGGTGATGTATAGGAGGGAGACATGGGTGTCCAGAATCATGTCAGGTGGCCAGAATGGTAAAGACCTTATACTAAAATATTCCATGTATAATTTATGTTTGCAAAAACAGTCTACTAGGAATCCTACCTGTAGTACTGACACGGAAAGGCTATGAGACCTTCTCAAAGACCCTTTCTCTCTCTTGCTCTCACTTTCTTTATCTGTAATATACGGGGTTGAGCTTCATTGGTTCTCAGCCAGTGTGGTCCGAATGATTCTCAGCCAGTCTGAGGGCATATAGGAATGCTAGAGAGTATTTCTGGTTGCCCCGATGTTTGGAGGAATACATCTGACATTTAATGGGTGAGGCCCAGGAAAAGTAAACCTCTTGTAATGCATAAGACAGCCCAGTATAACAAAGGCTTGTCCTGCTGAAAATGTGAATGGGGCCTCTGTTGAGAACACTGGGCTAGGTCATCAGGAAGTTCCCATCTGGAGCTAATGGTGAACGTTGCCGAGCCTACGCGAACAGGGAACGCTCACTCCCCATTCCCGTGTTTCCAGGTGGCAGAACATCCACTAAAGTAACCTGCAGGCCTCTCTCCACTCTCTCCATCTTTCTTCCACTTTTCTGTTTGGTGCATTCAGGGCTTAACTCTTTCTAGTCTTCTTCCTTTGTACATCAGCTTTTTATTGCTGTGTAACAAAATATTACAAACCTAGTGGAGGAAAACAATACCCATTTATTAGCTCACAGCTCTGTAGGTCAGAAGTCTGGCATGGTGTGATTGGGTTCTCTGTTCACGGCATCCCAAGACTGACATCAAAGTGTTGGCTAGGCTGATGTCCGGTCTGGGGGCTCTGGAAAACATCTGCATCCAAGCTCATTGTTTGCATTGGCAGGATTCAGTTCCTTGTCACTGTGTACTAAGGTTTTCCAGTTGCTCAATGGATGTCCACCAGTGGCAGTCTCAGCACTTAAAGGCAGCCCACATTCCTTGAGACTAGGTCCCCTCCAGCTTTAAGGCAGCCAGAGCATGCTTCCAATCGCTGACTTCTTCATCTCTGACCTTTAGCCCAGTTTTAAAGGGCTCATGTGATTAGGCCAGGCCTACCTGGATAATCTCCCTCATAATAAGGTCAACTGGTTTTGGACCTAAATTATATTTGCAAAATTCCTTCAGAGAAACACCTAGATTAGTATTTGATTGAATAACTGAGAAAATGGATATGTTGTTCACCAGAGGCCAAGAATTTGAGGGGTGATCTTAGAACTCTGCCTACCACATATCTGAAGCAAATTTGCTGGCCTATATATTCCCTGCTTCCTTATGCAGTAAATTTTACAAGGGCGGGTTCCCTTGTAGTGGTCCTGTAGTTTTAAAACCTTTCCAGTAACTGACAAGACTAGCGTATTTCTGGGGTTGTAGAATGAGCTGTAGCTCATATGATTTTGCATTTAAGCCAAGACCTCTAACTTAGCTTTAACCAGCAATAAAGTTTACATGAAGATGTCCATTGGTCTGATTCCTCTATCCATCGTTTAATTACTTCTCAACACAATTAGGAAAAAAGGGGTGTTATTTATTAACCCTTGAAATACAGTGAGGTTTTTGTAGGTGTTACCTGCTATACCTGTCTGAGAAATACATTACTGTTGAACAAGTTCAAGAAAGATTAATAAATCATTAAAATAATGGTTTTACCAATAGATTTTTTATCTCTATTATATGTTTTAAAATCTACTTTAAAATTACACAAGTAATATAAGAATGCGTTATTGTTATAAAACATTCGGTTTAGAGTAAGCTTAAGACTTCCTTAGCATCACTCTCCCAATATTCTCCCAAGAACAAACCATTCTTAAACTTGTATTGCATAGTCTTATAAATTATTTTCTAATGAAATCATACGTACCTGATTAACATTTTTGCATTATTAATATCATTATTATATGTAAAAGGCAAGTCACAGAGTAAGTCTTGGAAAGCTTTCTGTGTCATTTGCATTTGTATCTACCTTTTGAACTTTTGCATAGTGTTTTATTTTAAAGATCTACCGCAGATTTTATCACCACCTCCCTGGTGATCATTTACACTGTTTCTGTTGCTTGTTAACACAAATAATACAGACACAGACTACTTTGTACAAATATCTTTGTGTGCATGAATGAACAAATCTTTCAGAGAGATCCCAGAATTAATATTGGTAGTTACATTACTTCTTATATCGGTTGATACTTCCATGTTGCCCTCTAAAATATTCCCATGAACAGTTTTGTTGTGTGTTTGTGGGAGCCCAATAAAAAGCTTCTCTTCTTCCTTGTCTAAATTCTGAAATGATTGAGAAATGAGAAGAACGTTGTGTGAGGTAGAAATCAAAGATGATTACCATTTGCCTTTTCTTACCCATACTCACCTGCCTCTCTTCACATTGAAAGGTAGAGTCTAATTCTCCTCCCCTAGAATCAGGGCTGGCCCTGGTGAGTAGCCTTGACCAAAAGAATGTGACAGAAGTGATGTCTGTGGAACTCAAATGTAGGCTATAAAAAGCCCTGTAGTTTCTACTTGGATATCTTATAATCTTCACTCTGGGGGGTACTCATTTGGAGCAGAGCTGCAATGCAATAAGAAGCCCAAGCCACATGAGAGGGTGTTCTGGTCAGCATTCCTAGATAACCAATGAGCTGAAAGCCATCATCTAATAACAGAAATCTGCATGGGCCATCTTAGATGGCGAGCCCACTTGAGCCTTCAAATGACTTTAACTTCAGCTGCTGTTTGACTGCAATTGTTGTGAGAAGCCCAAATATTAACTACCCCACTGGCAGTCAATACATGGAATTCTAATACACAAAAGTAGTTTCAAGTCACAAAGAACAGGGATGTTCAATATGCAGCAATAAATACAAAGACTAATATGGTGGATTAAAGCAAAAATTCTACTTTGTTACTGATAAATTGATCTTAGATAAAGTAGCTTATTTTTGCAGATGTGTTAGTCTATTCAGACAGTTATACCAAAAATCCCATAAACTGGGTAGCTTATAAACAACAGAGGTGGGATGGGTGTGGTGGCTCACACTTGTAATTCCAGCACTTTGGGAGGCTGAGGTGGTCGGATCACTTGAGGTCAGGAGTTCAAGACCAGCCTGGCCAACATGGTGAAACCCTGTCTCTATTAAAAACACAAAAACTAGCCAGGCATGGTAGTGGGCACCTGTAATCTCAGCTACTCAGGAGACTGAAGCAGGAGAATTGCTTGAATCCAGGAGGTGGAGGTTGCAGTGAGCAAAAATGGCGCCACTGCATTCCAGCCTGGGTGACAGAAGGAGAATCCGTCTCAAAAAAATAAAAAAAAAGGAAATAAATAAATAAATACACAACAGAAGTGTATTACTCATAGTTTTGGAGGCTATAAAGCCTGTGATCAAGGTGCTAGCAGATTCAGTGTCTGGTGAGGGCTTGTTTCTCATAGACAGTAACTTCTAGTTGTGTCCTCACATGGTGGGAAAAGCAAGGCCGCTCTCAGCGGCCTCTTTTATAACGGCATTAACCCTGAACAAGAGGGCTCCACCCTCAAGACCTAATCACCTTCATACCATCATTTTAGGGGCTAGGATTTTAACACATGAGTATTGAAAGGACACAAATATTCAGACGACAGTAGCATGCAAGTAAATTTTCTATACTGAATCTCAGGGTTAGATATACTGTACTTCTCTTCCAAAATCTCCACATTGGGGAAGCCTTCCCTGCTTGATCTCTCAACTACAGGCCCAGAAAATACCATGTACTCCAAAGCAGAAAGTCTGCTGAATTTGAACTCTCTACTATCAAGAGATATGGAGAAGAAAGAAGCGAAGTTACACAGAGTTGCTCAGTTTTATTTTCCAAAATTCCCAACCATCTTAATCATTTGTCTCATAGAAACAAATAATTGAGAGGCAGAGAGAGGTGTGTTATGCAAATGGAGCTTTCCCTACATAAAAAGAAACATCATAAATGGGGAAAAATGTTCACCCCCAATACACATTTGAGAGTGTACTCATTTCTCCACAAACTTGCCAATAGTGGGCAGGGTTCAACTTAAATTACTTTTTCCTATTTTGTGATGTAAAAAATTATATATCTATATTACATTATGTATCTTTACATATAATTACATATGTTTATGTTATATATCTTATATTTATTTTATATATTTATTATTACTTATATTGCTATTACTGTTATATCTTTATTATTTTTATTTTAATATTATTACAGAGATGAATTAGTATCTTTGTGTGCTAATTTCTCATTTTTTCCTTTTGTATAAAATGTTTGGTCATATCATTTACCCACTTTCCTTTAGCGTTTTCTTGTGTCTCTCTTTCTTATTGATTTGTAGAAGTTCTTTATATAGTTTGTAAACTAATGCTTTCTCTATTATGTAGCTTGAAGACTTTTTTTTCAGTTAAGTATTTGCCTGTCACTTTAAAAAATCATACCTTAGTTTTAACATTTTTGTCTCAAATTATCAAAATTTCTATTTATGGATCCTGCTTTTAGTGTTTTAAAGAGGAAGATCTTCTATTCCAAGATTTAAAATTTTTTAAAAATTTTTATGACATTATAATAGCATTTTCTTTTTCTTTTCTTTTTCTTTTCTTTTCTTTTTTTGAGATGGAGTTTCGCTCTTGTTGCTCAGGCTGGTGTGCAATGGTGCAATCTCAGCTCACTGCAACCTCTGCCTCCAGGGTTCAAGTGGTTCTCCTGCTTCGGCCTTCTGAATAGCTGGGATTACAGGTGCACGTCACCATGCCCGGCTAATTTTTGTATTTTTAGTAGAGACGGGGTTTCAACATGTTGGTCATGCTGGTCTCGAACTCCTGACCCCAGGTGATCAGCCTGCCTCGGCCTATAATAGCATTTTCTATACTTATGTACTTGCATCTGTAATTATATTTTTATGATGTAGAGGCAACTTTATTATCATTATTCTCTGATATTTATATCACTGTCACAAAACATTTATTGGATAATTTACAACTTCTTCTGCTGATTTAGACATACAGCTCTTGCTTTGTAATGAGTTCTAGATTCTCTATTCTGTTCTATTTCTCTTTTTGCCTAATTCTGAACCAATAACACATTAACACATTGTTAAGGTAATACAGGCCATCAGTTTTATTTTTTCTTTTGGTCATAATATTGTTGCAGATACTGGCTTCAATTTTCTGTAGATAATCCCATATTATGGCTGCATCTGTTTGCTTCGTGGTGGTTTCATTTAATGTATTCTTATATACCCCTGTATTTTCCGTGCATGGAAGTTGCCATTTTAAGCTTGGTTAGACTCAATTTTAATATTTTGCACAGTAACACTTCATACTATGGCTTATTTTGCATCATGCCAGGAAATACACAATGTGTTGTTGTCCCACTGTAGTCGGCACTAAAATGATCGGTGGGTTTGGGTAGAATGCTCAATTTTACCATTATATTGTCTTTTCAATAATAAGGTAACTTTTCACAAATTTTTTATGCATAGATAGTCATTACCTGAGCTAAGGATTTCAGCTGGCAATTAAAAGAAGAACTTTCTGATTTCTTCCTAATTCATGAGCTGAATTATTGTGTAAATAAGAAATTATTTTTATCTTCTAGGCATATTCGGTTTCTGTGCTCTACAGTGTGTACAGGAAATGCAAGATAGACATTATTTTCCTTCAACTGTTGATTTTCGGGGAAATAAGTTGGTAGCCCAAATGTCCAGTTACTTCCAACGGTCTCTATAAGGATCTGTCTCTTTCTCTCTATTTCTGTCTTTCTGTCTCAGTCTCCCTACCCCTTCTTTTCCTCTCTCTTATTATGAAATCTATTGGTTTTTCAATATTAAATGTGTTTCAACTGATTGCATTTATTATTCTTTTTGATGTTCAAATGGCCCTATATTTGGCCAGTGGCAGCTGCTTCATTGCCTGTTCTAGTGCTGTTTGACAAGACCTGTAACTGCCTTGATAGTACTCTTGCCTTCTGACACACTAGAGTATCTCACTCTTAATTTCTTGCCTTGATATGCATTTAACTTTACCACTCTTCTCCATGCTCATGCTTTGGGCATTTAAACAATTTAAATCTATTTGATTGGAGTGTGATTTACATAATTAGAATGCACCCAGTTAATTGAGTTTTGACAAATATGTTTACTCATCAAACAACCACTACAATCAAGGTATAGAGCATTTCTATCACCCCCCACAATTCTCCACCTCTTTCCATTCAATGCCCTCAAGAACTCCTGGTCCCAAGCAACCACTGGTGTGTTTTCTATCACTAAAGACTGGATTTTGGTTTTGCCTATCATGGAATTTCATCGAATGAAATTATATAGAATACAACGTCTTGTGTCTGATCTCTTTTAGAATAATGTTTTTGAGATTGGGCACAGTGGCTCATGCCTGTAATCCCAGCACACTGGGAGGCCAAGGCAGACAAATCATTTGAGGTCAGTAGTTCAAGACCAGTCTGGCTAACATGGCAAAACCCCGTCTCTACTAAAAATATAAAAATTAGACGGGCATGGTGATGCATGTCTGTAATCCCAGCTACTTGGGAGGCTGAGGCAAGAGAATCGCTTGAACCCGGGAGGCGGAGGTTGTGGTGAGCCGAGATGGCACCATTGCCCTCCAGCCTGGGTGATGGAGTGAGAGACTCCGTCTCAAAAAATAAATAAATAAATAAATAAATAAATAAATAATAATAATAATAATAGTAATAATAATGTTTTTGAGATTGATCTTTGTTTTTCCATATAGCAGTTGTTTGTTGCTTTTTGTGGCCAAGTAGTATTCCAACTGCGTGGATATTGTGGAATTCTTTCTTATATTTATTTGTTGATAGACATTTGAGTTTCTTTTCCCCCAGTTTGGGGGTCTTACAAAATTTTTGTGAATATTCATATACAAGTGTTTGTGTAGAAAAAATATTTTCATTTTCCTTAAATAAATACCTAGAAGTAAAATTACAGGGACATATGGGAAATATAGATTTAACTTTCTGAGAACCTGCCAAATTGTTTTCCAAAGAAGTTTTACCACTTACCCTTTCCACCAACAATATATGAGCATCCCAGTTGCTATACATCCTTGACAACCTTTGTTTTAATTTATACTCCTTTTATGACTAATGATTTTGAACACATTTTCATGTGCTTATTGGCATATGTATGCCATTTGTATATACATATACAAATGTATATATATATACCACATATACAAATGGTATATATATGTGTGTGTGTGTGTGCTTGTGTGTGCGTGTGAAGTGCTTGTTAAAGTACTGTGCTTATTATATTATATATAAGCATATTATGTATTCTATTACATTTTAAACTCTGGGTTGTTTGTCTTTTTATTAAGTACCACTTCATTACATATTTTGGATACAAGTCCCTTGCCAGATATATCTATTGTAAATATTTTCTCTCAGTCTAAGTCATTATCTGAATTTTCTTAATGGTATCTTTTGATGAGGAAAAGTTTTTCATTTTTGAAAACGTCCAATTTGTTCTGTGTCTTATCTAGAAAATAGCTTTATAGTTCAAGGTTTTAAAAATATTCTACATTTTGAAAAGATTTTATAGTTCTAATTTTGGTCTATTATCCATGGTGAGTTAGTTTTTGCATATGGTATGTCATAAGGGTTATGATTAACTTTTTTTTTTTTAAATTATACTTTAAGTTCTAGGGTACATGTGCACATTGTGCAGGTTAGTTACATATGTATACATGTGCCATGCCGGTGCGCTGCACCCACTAACTCGTCATCTAGCATTAGGTATATCTCCCAATGCTATCCCTCCCCCCTGCCCCCACCCCACAACAGTCCCCAGAGTGTGATATTCCCCTTCCTGTGTCCATGTGATCTCATTGTTCAATTCCCACCTATGAGTGAGAATATGCAGTGTTTGGTTTTTTGTTCTTGCGATAGCTTACTGACAATGATGATTTCCAATTTCATCCATGTCCCTACAAAGGACATGAACTCATCATTTTTTATGGCTACATAGTATTCCATGGTGTATATGTGCCACATTTTCTTAATCCAGTCTAACGTTTAAGTCTTTAATCCATCTTGAATTGATTTTTGTATAAGGTGTAAGGAAGGGATCCAGTTTCAGCTTTCTACATATGGCTAGCCAGTTTTCCCAGCACCATTTATTAAATAGGGAATCCTTTCCCCATTGCTTGTTTTTCTCAGGTTTGTCAAAGATCAGATAGTTGTAGATATGTGGCATTATTTCTGAGGGCTCTGTTCTGTTCCATTGATCTATATCTCTGTTTTGGTACCAGTACCATGCTGTTTTGGCTACTGTAGCCTTGTAGTATAGTTTGAAGTTTGAAGTCAGGTAGTGTGATGCCTCCAGCTTTGTTTTTTTGGTTTAGGATTGACTTGGCGATGCGGGCTCTTTTTTGGTTCCATATGAACTTTAAAGTAGTTTTTTCTAATTCTGTGAAGAAAGTCATTGGTAGCTTGATGGGGATGGCATTGAATCTGTAAATGACCTTGGGCAGTATGGCCATTTTCACGATATTGATTCTTCCTACCCATGAGCATGGAATGTTCTTCCATTTGTTTGTATCCTCTTTTATTTCCTTGAGCAGTGGTTTGTAGTTCTCCTTGAAGACGTCCTTCACATCCCTTGTAAGTTGGATTCCTAGGTATTTTATTCTCTTTGAAGCAATTGTGAATGGGAGTTCACTCATGGTTTGGCTCTCTGTTTGTCTGTTGTTGGTGTATAAGAATGCTTGTGATTTTTGTACATTGATTTTGTATCCTGAGACTTTGCTGAAGTTGCTTATCAGCTTAAGGAGATTTTGGGCTGAGACAATGGGGTTTTCTAGATATACAATCATGTCATCTGCAAACAGGGACAATCTGACTTCCTCTTTTCCTAATCGAATACCCTTTATTTCCTTCTCCTGCCTAATTGCCCTGGCCAGAACTTCCAACACTATGTTGAATAGGAGTGGAGAAAGAGGGCATCCCTGTCTTGTGCCAGTTTTCAAAGGGAATGCTTCCAGGTTTTGCCCATTCAGTATGATATTGGCTGTGGGTTTGTCATAGATAGCTCTTATTATTTTGAAATACATCCCATCAATACCTAATTTATTGAGAGTTTTTAGCATGAAGGATTGTTGAATTTTGTCAAAGGCTTTTTCTGCATCTATTGAGATAATCATGTAGTTTTTGTCTTTGGCTCTGTTTATATGCTGGATTACATTTATTGATTTGCATATATTGAACCAGCCTTGCATCCCAGGGATGAAGCCCACTTGATCATGGTGGATAAGCTTTTTGATGTGCTGCTGGATTCGTTTTGCCAGTATTTTATTGAGGATTTTTGCATCAATGTTCATCAAGGATATTGGTCTAAAATTCTCTTTTTTTTGTTGTGTCTCTGCCTGGCTTTGGTATCAGAATGATGCTGGCCTCATACAATGAGTTAGGGAGGATTCCCTCTTTTTCTATTGATTGGAATAGTTTCAGAAGGAATGGTACCAGTTCCACCTTGTACCTCTGGTAGAATTCAGCTGTGAATCCATCTGGTCCTGGACTCTTTTTGGTTGGTAAGCTATTGATTATTGCCACAATTTCAGCTCCTGTTATTGGTCTATTCAAAAATTCAACTTCTTCCTGGTTTAGTCTTGGGAGAGTGTATGTGTCCAGGAATTTATCCATTTCTTCTAGATTTTCTAGTTTATTTGCGTAGAGGTGTTTGTAGTATTCTCTGATGGTAGTTTGTATTTCTGTGGGATCGGTGGTGATATCCCTTTTATCATTTTTTATTGCATCTATTTGATTCTTCTCTCTTTTTTTCTTTATTAGTCTTGCTAGCGGTCTATCAATTTTGTTGATCCTTTCAAAAAACCAGCTCCTGGATTCATTAATTTTTTGAAGGGTTTTTTGTGTCTCTATTTCCTTCAGTTCTGCTCTAATTTTAGTTATTTCTTGCCTTTTGCTCGCTTTTGAATGTGTTTGCTCTTGCTTTTCTAGTTCTTTTAATTGTGATGTTAGGGTGTCAATTTTGGATCTTTCCTGCTTTCTCTTGTGGGCATTTAGTGCTATAAATTTCCCTCTACACACTGCTTTGAATGCGTCCCAGAGATTCTGGTATGTTGTGTCTTTGTTCTCGTTGGTTTCAAAGAACATCTTTATTTCTGCCTTCATTTCGTTATGTACCCAGTAGTCATTCAGGTGCAGGTTGTTCAGTTTCCATGTAGTTGAGCGGTTTTGAGTGAGATTCTTAATCCTGAGTTCTAGTTTGATTGCACTGTGGTCTGAGAGATAGTTTGTTATAATTTCTGTTCTTTTCCATTTGCTGAGGAGAGCTTTACTTCCCAGTATGTGGTCAATTTTGGAATAGGTGTGGTGTGGTGCTGAAAAAAATGTATATTCTGTTGATTTGGAGTGGAGAGTTCTGTAGATGTCTATTAGGTCTTCTTGGTGCAGAGCTGAGTTCAATTCCTGGGTATCCTTGTTGACTTTCTGTCTCGTTGATCTGTCTAATGTTGACAGTGGGGTGTTAAAGTCTCCCATTATTAATGTGTGGGAGTCTAAGTCTCTTTGTAGGTCACTCAGGACTTGCTTTATGAATCTTGGTGCTCCTGTATTGGGTGCATATATATTTAGGATAGTTAGCTCTTCTTGTTGAATTGATCCCTTTACCATTATGTAATGGCCTTCTTTGTCTCTTTTGATCTTTGTTGGTTTAAAGTCTGTTTTATCAGAGACTAGGATTGCAACCCCTGCCTTTTTTTGTTTTCCATTGGCTTGGTAGATCTTCCTCCATCCTTTTATTTTGAGCCTATGTGTGTCTCTGCACGTGAGATGGGTTTCCTAAATACAGCACACTGATGGGTCTTGACTCTCTATCCAATTTGCCAGTCTGTGTCTTTTAATTGGAGCATTTAGTCCATTTACATTTAAAGTTAATATTGTTATGTGTGAATTTGATCCTGTCATTATGATGTTAGCTGGTTATTTTGCTCGTTAGTTGATGCAGTTTCTTCCTAGTCTTGATGGTCTTTACATTTTGGCATGATTTTGCAGCGGCTGGTACAGATTGTTCCTTTCCATGTTTAGTGCTTCCTTCAGGAGCTCTTGTAAGGCAGGCCTGGTGGTGACAAAATCTCTCAGCATTTGCTTGTCTGTAAAGGATTTTATTTCTCCTTCACTTATGAAGCTTAGTTTGGCTGGATATGAAATCCTGGGTTAAAAATTCTTTTCTTTAAGAATGTTGAATATTGGCCCCCACTCTCTTCTGGCTTTTAGGGTTTCTGCCGAGAGATCCGCTGTTAGTCTGATGGGCTTCCCTTTGAGGGTAACCCGACCTTTCTCTCTAGCTGCCCTTAACATTTTTTCCTTCATTTCAACTTTGGTGAATCTGACAATTATGTGTCTTAGAGTTGCTCTTCTTGAGGAGTATCTTTGTGGCGTTCTCTGTATTTTCTGAATCTGAACGTTGGCCTGCCTTGCTAGATTGGGGAAGTTCTCCTGGATAATATCCTGCAGAGTGTTTTCCAACTTGGTTCCATTCTCCCCATCACTTTCAGGTACACCAATCAGACGTAGATTTGGTCTTTTCACATAGTCCCATATTTCTTGGAGGCTTTGCTCATTTCTTTTTATTCTTTTTTCTCTAAACTTCCCTTCTTGCTTCATTTCATTCATTTCATCTTCCATCGCTGATACCCTTTCTTCCAGTTGATCTCATCGGCTCCTGAGTCTTCTGCATTCTTCACGTAGTTCTCAAGCCTTGGTTTTCAGCTCCATCAGCTCCTTTAAGCACTTCTCTGAATTGGTTATTCTAGTTATACATTCTTCTAAATTTTTTTCAAAGTTTTCAACTTCTTTGCCTTTGGTTTGAATGTCCTCCCGTAGCTCAGAGTAATTTGATCGTCTGAAGCCTTCTTCTCTCAGCTCGTCAAAGTCATTCTCCATCCAGCTTTGTTCCGTTGCTGGTGAGGAACTGCGTTCCTTTGGAGGAGGAGAGGCACTCTGCTTTTTAGAGTTTCCAGTTTTTCTGTTCTGTTTTTTCCCCATCTTTGTGGTTTTATCTACTTTTGGTCTTTGATGATGGTGATGTCCAGATGGGTTTTTGGTGTGGATGTCCTTTCTGTTTGTTAGTTTTCCTTCTAACAGAGAGGACCCTCAGCTGCAGGTCTGTTGGAATACCCTGCCGTGTGAGGTGTCAGTGTGCCCCTGCTGGGGGGTGCCTCCCAGTTAGGCTGCCCGGGGGTCGGGGGTTAGGGATCAGGGACCCACTTGAGGAGGCAGTCTGCCCATTCTCAGATCTCCAGCTGCCTGCTGGGAGAACCACTGCTCTCTTCAAAGCTGTCAGACAGGGACATTTAAGTCTGCAGAGGTTACTGCTGTCTTTTTGTTTGTCTGTGCCCTGCCCCCAGAGGTGGAGCCTACAGAGGCAGGCAGGCCTCCTTGAGCTGTGGTGGGCTCCACCCAGTTCGAGCTTCCTGGCTGCTTTGTTTACCTAATCAAGCCTGGGCAATGGCGGGCGCCCCTCCCCCAGCCTCGCTGCCGCCTTGCACTTTGATCTCAGACTGCTGTGCTAGCAATCAGCGAGACTCCGTGGGTGTAGGACCCTCCGAGCCAGGTGCGGGATATAATCTTGTGGTGTGCCATTTTTTAAGCCCATCGGAAAAGCGCCGTATTCGGGTGGGAGTGACCCGATTTTCCAGGTGCCATCTGTCACCCTTTTCTTTGACTCAGAAAGGGAACTTGCTGACCCCTTGCGCTTCCCAAGTGAGGCAATGCCTCGCCCTGCTTCGGCTCACGCACAGTGCGCCCACCCACTGACCTGCGCCCACTGTCTGGCACTCGCTAGTGAGATGAACCCGGTACCTCAGATGGAAATGCAGAAATCACCCGTCTTCTGCGTCGCTCAGGCTGGGAGCTGTAGACCAGAGCTGTTCCTATTCGGCCATCTTCTGGTGCTACATTTTAAAAGAGAAAGAAAAACTACATATACAGTAAGGTAGGCATTATTTCTGAGGTAAGGTAGAATATTTTATTTAGAGACAACAGTGTAAATGAAAACTTTCTGATGTTATAAAGGAAATAAGCAGATGAATGAACAGTATTATATGCTCCACTATTTTTATAAAGTTATAAAGTTTCCAGACTAATGTATTACACCACATGCTATTCTAAATATTATGGCAGGAATGAGGGATGGCACTATGGTCTGAATGTTTGTGTCTCCCCCAAATTTATATGTTGAAATCCTGCCCTTCACAGTGACAGTATTAGGAAGTGGGGTCTTTGGGAGGTGATTAAGTCATGAAGGTAGAGCCCTCATGAATGAGATTAGTGCCTTTATAAAAGATGTCTCAGAGAGCCCCTCACCCTTTCCACTATGTGAGGACACAGACAAAAGACACCATTTATGAACCAGAAAGTGGGCCTTCATCAGACATTGAATCTGCTGGCATCTTGATCTTAGACTTCCCAGCCTCCAGAACTATGAGAAATAACTGTATGTTGTTTATGAGCCACCCAGTCTATGGTATTTTGTTACAGCAGCATGAATAGACAACCAACAACCCTGCCCTAAAATATCTAACTGTCTAGATACCACAGTGGTTCTCAATATTAATTGCATAGTAGACTCACCTGGAGGAAGTTTTAAAATTTAAGATGCCCATGGTGTCCCCAAATGACTTGCATGAGACTATGGGGTAGTCCCAGGCTCCAGGTTTGGCAGCCCCTCAGGTTGTGCTTACCTGCAGCCAGGCTGAGGACCACTGACATGGAGATCATTTTGCCTCCCAGCACCCATGCTGTCACTTCCATATCTTCACAGTGAAGCCAGGTGATATGACTGTCACCATCTAGTTGAAACTCTACAATGGTTTTCTGTTGCTTTTTTAAATAGCCCATACAAATCCTTAAAATGGTTACTGCTCCTGCATAATTTGGCCCTGTCTTCATTTCCATCCTGCTGTCCTGTTTAATGTTCCTTTAATGATTATGCTCTCCTTCAGGCTTTATGTAAGGTTTTTAACACCAGCTTCCACTCCACCACCTACGTCCACCCAGGTAACTCCTACTCACTCATAGGATCTTATATCACATGTCAACTCACAGGGAAGTCTTTCCTTACCCACTTCCCAGATTAGACCAATTCTCCTGTTATAATCCCGTAGGGCACCCTGTACTTTCTTTTCACAGAATTTGTGACAGTTTCAATGAGATATTTAGCTAATTATTTAGTTTGTACCTACCCTTGTTAATAGACTGTGCGTCCTCTGTGAAGGCAGGCACCACTTTCATTTTACACATGACTAAATCTTGAATACCTAGAAAATTGACCCCTGGATAGTAAGCTTTAATTTTATTTTTTCCTTAAATGAATGAAGCAAGTAGAAGGCTGATCTTAAAAGGTCTAGTGGAGTGTTGACCAAATTAAGGAATGATCTAGAGGACATTACAATTGAGAGAGAGAGGTGGGTGCTAAAGCTGAATCTGTGGTATCAAGCCTGGGTGATTCAATGAATACTCATGTCATTAACAGAGACTAGGATGCCAGGAAAAGTAATTGTCATTTAACCAACTTGTACAATGGTTGCTTTATTGGAAAATCAGGAGTTGAATTCCCACCTGATTCGAAACAAATATATATGACAGGGAAAAAGAGATAAAGAAGAGCAGTAAATAGAACTCCCAGATAAATGTGGAATTCTAATATAAAACAGAATTGGTCCAGCACTTCCTGATCCTTGGGAATAACAGAAGGGAACCAAGGGAACCCTGGAGAAAGCTAAACCTGTTTGTGTCCCTTTATCAGACACATTTAGCACCAGGTTTATCTTTCCAGACCACTCCTCAGGTTGACACAGGACACCTGTGAGGTAGCTACCTTCTAAGTCCTCTGAGAAGCCCGGCCAAAGATCCCCCACCTCCCCCCAAGTCTTTGGTGTCACTTGCATCTACTTGATGTTCCCCCATTTTCCAGGCAGAAGCCCGGAAAGTGGAAATAAGGACATAGATTTTCAGTTCTTGCCTTCTTCCTGTCTCTTGTTTTTGGTCTTCCCATTGTTCTTCTATTAGTTACTTACAGTTGCCTGATATGGTTTGGCTGGGTCCCCACCCAAGTCTCATCTTGAATTGTAGTTGCTATAATCCCCATATGTCATGGGAGGCCGCTGGTGGGAGATAATTGAATCATGGGGACAGTTGCCCCCATATTGTTATTGTGATGGTAAATTCTCACGAGATCTGATGGTTTTATAAGGGGCTTTTCCCCCCTTTGCTTGGCACTTCTCCTTCCTGCTGCCACGTGAAGAAGGATATGTTTGCTTCCCCTTCCACCATGATTGTAAGTTTCCTGAGGCTTCCCCAGCCCTGTGGAACTGTGAGTCAATTAAACCTCTTTCCTTTATAAATTACCCAGTCTCAGGCAGTTCTTTACAGCAGCATAAGAACAGACTAATACACTGCCAAAACAAATAACCAAACATTGGGTCACCTAAAACAACACAAATTTATTCTCATATTTCTGGAGGTCAAAAGTTCAAAATCAGGCATCAGCAGGGCCCTTGAAACCTGCTCCCTCTGAAACCTGAGAAAGAGACTTCTCTGTCTCTTCCACCTCCTAGTGTATGTGAGCCATTCTTGGCCTTCCTTTTCTTGTAGATAAATCACACCAATGTCTGTTTCCATAATCACATGGTGTTCTCCCTGTGTCTGTATGTCAGCACATGGCATTCTCCTGTGTGCCTGTGTTTTCCAGTGGCTCTCTTCTTCTAGGGACACAGGCAGTATTAAATTAAGGCCTACCCTAATGACGTCATGATACCTTCATTCCATCTGTAGCAGCCCTATTTGTAATAGGGTCATGATCACAGGTACTGGCGGTTAGGACTTCAATGTATCACAGGTGGACTCAATTCAACCCTTAGTAGTCCTCACATCCTGTCTGTTTGTCATGGAATGGCTGGGTTCCTGTTCTTCCTGCAGTAAGTGAAAGAATCTCTCTTTTAAGCTGCTGGAGAATGCTATGACAATAGATCCCCTGGACTTAGTTGTTCTTAGGCCAAAGGAGGAGACATAACGATTTGGAAAAGTTACGCTAGAGGCCATAGGCGGGCTTTCAGGGCCTTTGTCCTAATGCCTTTCCTGTTTCTGCCTGTCAAAAGCTTTATATCAACTTCCTCCTCCTTGCATTCTGTCTGGGAAAAGTTCTGACTTTTTCCCCTAGGCAAATGCGGGCTAGCAAGGACAAAGGCCATGTACGCAGAAAGGCAAAATAATAAAAAATGATATTAATAATGTAATGGTTAATATCTAGGTAAACATTAGTATTCTTGAATAATCTCAACTGTACATGCCGATATGATGTGGCTTAGTTTTCAAGTAACCCAGTGTTAGTTCAGGATTTGTGAGCTTCCATAAATGATATAAGCTCATTCAAAATAGGTGCCGTTGGGCGCCAGATCCTTAGCTGTTTTCATCTGAAAGCCAGAGACTGGTTTCTGCCACAGGAATAAAGATACAAGTCTTCCAGTTTGAGAAAGGCTCTCTTCATTTTTCAAGATCCTCTATTCCTGGCCTGGGATCCACACTGCTGTGTCCCCTACAGATGGGCTCTCTGTCCTTAGAGCAGTATCCTTACAGCACCAAGGCATCTGCTCGATTAGGGAAAACAAAAAAGCATCACACCAGCTGCTCACCATTTGTTGACCCAACATCTAATTAAATGGTCAGAATATATCACTTTTAATTCAGCTGTGCTCATCTTGGTAGATGTAGTCACAGCTTAGTGGGAAGAAGAACAATAAAAATAAAAAAAGATGTGAAAGGAGGAACTGAATATCAGACAGCCTTTGACCAAAGGGGAATTAAGCATTTTTAATTTTAGCGAATTTGGTGAACTTTGAATAACAGTTGCAAACGACATAGATTATGGAAAATACTTGTTCAGTTTCATGTACTTTGTTTTTGAAGCAGAAACACTCACGAGGAAAACAGCTCCCATATGTTCTCACTTTCAAAATTGTGGAATAATTAGTGCACTTTAACGAGTCAGTAGATCTGCTTTCCATGTGAGCACCATACGGTACAGACAGTAAATTGATAGCTTTCAAGTGTCTTTGGCAAGGCCTGACATGAGATTGGAGTTTGGGTGGGTGGGAGGCTTTGACAATGGGAAATTATTTATTCTTCTTTAATTAAGTGGCTGCATTTCACATGTGCATCGGTTTGTTTTAGATAATAATAAACAGCTCATTACCAAGCCCCTCCATAAATACCCCAAAGAACACAGTGAATGTGTCAGAAGGAAATAAATATTTACCGAATTAACTGACAGTCTTGCTCATGAATATACGCCAACCTCATGTTTGTATGTATTATTTTAGCATTTTTTAAATGCTGCCTAAATTGTCTGCTTTTTGCTATGGATCAACTATGTTTTAAATTACCTTTTAAATATTCTTTCTATCATGATCTTTTCATTGAATATTTTGGACCTTATCTTATAAGCATAGAAGGCTGTCAGAGGTAGAAATTACCAAGGATTTTTTTTCTTTTTTTTTTAATAACAAATGCCTCTATTATTTGTAAGGCCCATTTGTCATTGTCTGTAGGTCTGATTTGATACTCCAATTTTGACAGTAGTTAGGCAGGGATCATTTCTCTCATTATACATGAGAATGTTGAGATTGACTTAAGTCCATTGATTTTTTTTTTCTCTCACTACACCAGGCATTAAACAGAGATCTTATCCATTGAGCTTACAAACATAAAATGAGCAAGCATCTAGCATTAGAAATGTGCACAAAAAAGGAGATCCTATCTAATTTTGGGGTCCAGGAGTGCTTATCTGAGAAAGAGATCTTCAAAATGAGACTAGGAAGGAAAAGAGGTGAGTAGGTATGGGAGGGTGGGCTGAAGAGGTGGGGTAGTGTCAAAGGAGGGGTTGGTGATCACATGTCCAGAAGACCTGGGGAACAAGAAAGAGTTAACTGAGGAGCTGTGAGGACCAAACTTTGGCTAGAAATGAGAGTCAGAAAGTTAAGTTGAAGGAATAAGTAGTAAAATGAAAAACTTAAGACTTTGGAATGAACTAAGGAAATATGTGGATATCCTGTATCAATGGAATGATGAAGCCTCTGCGGATTATCTGATTTTATCATGTCCTGAGCTTTTGTCTTGATTTGGCTATTTTACAACTCTGGGAAGATAGAAGTTAAGTTGTAGAAAACTGATAGCAATGCAAATAGGTTTGCCTAGATAAAAGCAAACTGCCCAGTGGAATGCAATTGATTATTGTCCAATGGACAGATAAGGTTTTGCAGGCCAGTGCTAACATTCTTTTACTATGTGTACATTTTGGATTCTTTGTCTTTTCCTCTAAAAAGTTGTAACATCTTTTCCACTTCCCTCATTAATTAATGAATTAAAGCTTAGACACATATTCATTTTATGTCTCTATATGGAATGCTTTGTTTCCTCCAGCAACTTAGTTTAGGCTTTTTGTGCCAAGTAGGTGCCATGTCAATTTCTCCTTCCTTGGTCTTCACGGAGTAGATAACCGTTTGCTGCACACATACTTACATACTTTGGTACCCTAAAACACTGGGCAAATGTTTTTGTATAGTTTGGTAGTTTTGGTTGCCTTCACTATATTTCTTTAGCCATGTTCTGTTAGCCACATTAATGGGCATTTTTTCTTTCCACTCTCTTTTATCTCATCAGCGTGCACACACACACGCGCGCACACACACACACACACACACACACACACACACAATGCTCTGCAAAGGATTGGTGTTCAGTGGAGGAGCCTTAGAGGTAGAGGAGGAATCTGGAGTGTTTACATGAATGGGCTTCCAGCCTTTGCCTTGACATAGCTGATACCAGTGGTGACTGCAGAAATTGTTAATGAAGGTTGGTGTTGTCATCTATCTTACTCTATTTGGGCTGCTATAACAAAATATCTTAGACTGAGTGATTTGTAAATGACAGAAATGCATTGCTCAGTTCTAGAGGCCAGAAGTCCCAGATCAAAACACTAGCAGGCTCTGTGTCTAGTGAGGGCCTGTTCTAGAGGCCGGAAGTCCAAGATCAAAGCACTAGCAAACTCTATGTCCAGTGAGGGCCTGTTCCTCATCAATGGCAACTTCTATGTGTCCTCACATGGCAAAAGGGCAAGACAGCTCTCTGGATCCTCTTTTACAGGGATATTAATTCCATTTATGGGGGAGAACCTCATGACCTAATCACCTTCAAAGGCACCATCTTCTAATAACATTGCCTAGGTGATTAGGTTTAACATATGAATTGGGAAGGCTGGGGACAAACATATTTAGACCATAGCATTAGCCAAAGATTTTTGAAGGAGGTAGGGCTTATGCTGGGACTTTAAGGATAAATAAGATTCCAAAGTTGAAGAGAGAATACATGGCACAGAAAATTAGAGCAAACAAATAAATAGGTACCTAGGAGGGCTAGAGGTAATCAAAGCATGCTGTACATAAAGTGATTTGAGCTGATCTACCTAGTCATAGCAGTGGGCTGTCATAGAGGTGGAACATGGGGGTTAAGGACCCATTGCCATCCTTTAGGGGAACTGCCTGGAACTGCACAAGGCAATTCATGTATAGCTTCTCCTCACCAGTCAAACATACACATGGGACGACAATTGAGCACACTAGGAGCTAGAGAATGGAGACTTAGCTAAGAACTAGGATTGGTTTGTTTGTTGCTCTAACACTGAAAACAAAGGTAAAAAGAGACACCAGGAAACAATTAATATTGTCTGACACAGCCCATCTCAGATAACACCTTGTTATTGGACTTGGTTGAGATAATTATGGAAAGATCAGCCTCTCCTTTATCTGGATGTGGCATTTGGCTTTATCAGTGTAACAAAAAGACCATTATTCTGTGTATCCAAAATCAAAGCTCTAGGCCCTGGCTATGACACTAAGCAGCAATCACCTGGCCCTACTGAGCCTGAAAGCCTTATTTTTCTTTTTCAGTGACATGAGGCATATGTGCTAGAAATTCTTCAACATCCTTTTCAGGTCCCTTAATATCATACTTGTCCTTCTTCTTATACCATAAGATCTGTAAGACCAAAGATTGTAACTCCTTCCTTTGGCCTGGTGATATCTTACATGATGAGATGCTCAGCAAAGTAATCTCGATCAAGTCTGGTGGATCAAAACTCTAGAATAATGGGTAGATGAATGGGTGACCCAGATGTATGCCAATTCTCTCTTTGTTTTAGTCTCACGCTCATACGGATGCAGAATTGGGCATCTCATTGAGTTTCTTAAAAAGGCATTCATTCATGCAAAAAGCTCTAATAAGCAAAGCAAATTCTATGAAACAATTTGTGAGAGTGTGAAAGGAAGAATTTACACCACATGCTTGACAGCCAATAATTTAAGAATTCCTAGAGATATTCTGAGTCTTCAAAGTCATTTTTTGGCTGTACCAGAGTTGTGTTTTCCCTTCTTGCTACTGCTCCCAGCACATTCAGCTTTTCTTGTCCATCTCCCATCTCTTGGATTCCCTTCCATTCCCAGCCCACCTCCAGGCCAAAAGAAAAAACAGAAACAAAAACAAAAACAACAAACCCAGCAAATAAACAATGTAACTTCATTATACCTAAATAGATTACTTAGTGACTTATCTCTGCAACATAGTATTTTGACAAGCAAAATTAAGGGCCAAGCCCACAGGGATACCTTCCTTAAAAAGCAGGTGGGGCTATAACTATCTTATTTCTGTCACAGCCAAATAAATGCAGAGATGAAGATGAAGTAATTGAACAAAGAGCATGGGACACGGAGTTAGCCATTTTTAAAAGATGCCATTTACTGATTGATCTTTCTATGCCAGGCTTAATCATCTGAATGTGCTATTATTCTCATCCTGTAGATCCAAAATATGGTGGTGGCAGAGCAGTTTTGGACTTGTTCGAGATGATAGATAGTATGCAGCATAGATGGAAGTAAGCCCAGAGCCATCTGATTCCAATGCTTTTCCTTGCCTCCCTCAACAGTTTGTTTTGGTGCCTTCTCTATGTAGCTTATTCTATAATTAGGCCAGCCATCTCTCTGAATGCCTGACTTCCCCAGGTAAAATAACGGCATCCCAGAAGCAGCTGATTAGACCTGAGCAGCTGTAGTTCCCCCCAAATTACTTTAACTGTCTTGACTTGAGCTTCACCGATGATCCCCTATAGGCCCTTGTAATCTGATAACAATTGGAGACTCAGCAAAGTGCTTATCAGCTATTTCACAATGATAAATGTTTGCCAGCAGAGCAAATAAAAAGGGATATCATAGAAAAGGCTCTTTATGTGGGAATGGCAGAGAAAGCACAGTGTTTAGGGGATATATGATTCTAACACCTAGGATAACTGTAATCTGTCAAGAAGAGCAAAATGGGAACATTTTTGGGGGGTAAGTTTTGCTTTTGTTTTCTGAAAATTATCGCAATAAAAGTCTGTCCAGTGGTAGAAGAGGATGAATATCAAAATCTGGACAGCCATTAATATGTAGCCACCAGCCACATGTAGATACTTAAAATTATGTATAATTAAATAAAAGAAAATAATAGAGGTGCTTAGTAACACTAGTCACATTTCAAGTGCTCAGTAGCCACATGTGGCTAGCAGCTACCTAGCTGGATAACACAAATATAGAAAATTCCAGCTGAGCATGGTGGCTCACACCTGTAATTTTAGCACTTTCAAAGGCTGAGGCCAGAGGATCACTTGAGCCTAGAAGTTTGAGACCAGCCTGGGCAACACGGTGAGAATCTATCTCTACAAAAAATAAAATGAACAAAAGATTAGCTGGACATGGTGACATGCTCCTGTGATCCCAGTTACTTGGGAGGCTGAAGTAGAAGGATCCCTTGAACATAGGAAGATGAGGCTTCAGTGAGCTGTGATGGCACCACTGCACTTCAGCCTGGGAAACAGAGTGAGACACTGCCTCAAAAAAAAAAAAAAAAAAAAAAGAAAGAAAGAAAGAAAGAAAGAAGGTAAAAGTAAAAAAAAAAAAAAATTCCACCATTGCAGAAACTTATATTGGACAAAGCTAGTCTAGTGCATAAAGTTTCAAGATTAAAGAAGGCCATCAGTGACAATGCAGAGCTAATTAGCAGAGTGAGCATTTGCAGGACAGTGCTAGGATCGAAACTGCAAGTCTTAGAATTGCTCCAACTCACACATTCATTAAATGAAAATAGCAGTATCTATTCTTTTTTAAAAAAACTGTGGTAAAGCACGCATAATATAAAATTTACTATCTTAACTACTTTTAAATGTACAGTTCAGTAGCGCTAAGTTTGTTCATGTTTGTTGTGCAACCAGTCTCCAGAACTATTTCAGCTTGCAAAACTGTGACTCTATATCCCTTAAACAGCAGTCCCCCATTTCCCCCTACCCCCTGCCCATCCCTGGAAACCACCATTGTACTCTCTGTTTCTATGAATTTGACTACTCTAGATACCTCGTATGAGTAGAATAATACAGTATCTGTCCTTTTTGTGACTGGTTTATTTCACCTGGGATAATGTCTTCAAGGTTCATCCATGTTGAAACATGTCAGAATTTCCTTCCTTTATAAGGCTAAATAATAGTCTATTGTTTATATATATGTTACATTTTGTTTATCTCTTTATCATTGATAAAGATACTAGACACATGGGTTAATTCCACTTGTAAGTGACTATAAATAATGCTGCTTTGAACCTCAGTATACAAATATCTCTTTAAGATCCTATTTTAATGTGTTCAGATACATAACCAGGAGTATAAATTGCTTCACGATATGGTAATTATTTTTATTTTTAATGGTGCTGGGATAACTGGCTAGCCCTACACAGGAGATTGAAACTGAACCCCTTCCTTATACCATATACAAAAATCAATCCAAGAGGGACTAAAGACTTAAATGTTAAACTCCAAACTATAAAAACCCTGGAAGACAGCCTAGGCAATACCATTCAGGACATAGGCACGGACAAAGATTTCATGAAGAAGATGCCAAAAGCAATTGCAATAAAAGCAAAAATTGACAAATTGAATCTAATTAAACTAAAAAGCTTCTGCACAGCACAAGAAACAACAGAGTAAACAGACAACCTACAGAACGGGAGAAAATTTTTGCCAACTATGCATCTGATAAAGGTCTGATATCCAGCATTTATAAGGAACATAAATAAATTTGTGAGAAAAAAACAAACAACCCCATAAAAAAGTGGGCAAAGGACATGAACAGACACTTTTCAAAAGAAGTCATACATGCAGCCAACAATCGTATAAAAAAAAGCTCGACATCACTGATCACTAGAGAAATACAAATCAAAACTGCAATGAGATACCATCTCACACCAGTCAGAATGGCTGTTATTAAACAGTCAGAAAATAACAGATGCTAGCTAGGTTGTGGAGAAAAGGGGACACTTATATACTATTGTTAGGAGTGTAAATTTTAAAAAACCTTTTAAGGAACTATCATGCTGTTTTCCATAGTAGCTGTACCATTTTACATTTCCACCAACAATGCACAAGTGTTCCAACTTCTCTGCATCATCACGAACACTTGTAACTTGCTGTGTTTTTTTAAAGAGTAGTCATCCTGAAAAATGTGATATTAACCCATTTTTAAAGGCTACTTTATTTCCAGAGATGTGGACACTGTTGTATGCTATTATTAGAGGAAATAATTTGTTTTTTTTTTACATTTCTGGTTAAAATGTAAACACATTTATTATAGAAAACTGAGAAAATATGGAGATGACTTAAGAAAAGAGTGAAAAATTAGCTATGGACTTACCTCCTAGGGATAGCTGGTGCTACTGTCTTGATATATGTTAAAAATATGTAAAAACATATAAAGATACTTTAGTTTTCCAAATGGAAACTATATGTACTGCCTCATAATTTGATTTTTGGTATTTAATAATACTTGAGCATTTTTATGTCATTAAACCATTTTAAGTGTTTTATAGTAAATAAGTAGTATTTAGTCATTTGGATATAATATACTTTATTAAATTTACCACTTAATTTTGGATTTACAGTATTTAAAATTTATTTGCTATTTCAATAACCTTGTAATGAATTCTTCTAAACATAAATCACTGCATAACCTGACTAGCCATATATGAAAATTTTCTAGGGCATAATTCTGGAATATGTTGGTCACAAGGTTTGAAATACTCATAAGAAAATAAACCTTTCCTTATTTAAGAATAATGTAGGCCTGGCACGGTGGTTCAGACCTGTAATCCTAGCATTTTGAGAGGCTGAGGCAGGTGGATTACCTGATCCCAGGATTTTGAGACCAGCCTGGGCAACATGGCGAAACCCTGTCTCTACAAAAAGTACAAAAATTAGGCAGGTGTCATGGTGTGTGCCTGTAGTCATAGCTAGCACTCAGGAGGCTAAGGTGGGAGGATCGCTTGATCCTGGTAGGTGGAGGTTGCAGTGGGCTGATATCATACCACTGCACTCCAGCCTGGGTGACAGAGGGAGGCCCTGCCTCAAAAATAAAAAAATAAAAATGTGAATAATAAAAAAGGAATAATATATAAACATTTTTTTAAAGTATGCTTATATGCATTGATGAATTATCCATATCAGCATAGCCAATACTTTCTTTTTTCAACAAGTCTTTTTAACATAAGCTGAGTATTTCCAGCTCATCCAGATTAATTTTTCCAAAAGCAAATAACAAGATGAGAATTTGTGCGCAAGTGAATTATTGAGTAAATCACCAGGGAAGGCCGTTGACATAGTGGGAGAAGCAGGATAGGGAAGGTGAGGAAGGGTGTGGTCAGAGTAAAAAATTCCTGCAGGGTAGCTTCAGTCTGACCTTGCGAGAGACCTCAGGAGTAGGGTATGTCTCAGGGTTGCCCTGCTCCACGTCACGGGGCCTGGATTCCTTATTCCCAGTGATAATCAGTGGTAATGACCCCATGGCGAGAGAAAATACAAACTCTCAGATCCTTTTGGCTCTCTGTGCCCTTGGACAAAACTTTGTCCATGAAGGTGCAGCAAGTACTGGCCATTGAAAGTCCCTGAGAGGCAAAGGTGGGAGTGAATGGGGCTGGAGGCAGGGCACAGACAAAGTACAAAGGATCTCAAGCCCCTATACTGTCCATTAAACCTATGTCCAGGAAACTCCCTCCTGCCCAGAAGAAGTCACCCTGAGTTTTAACACCATAGATAAGTTTGGCCTGTTTTTGAACTGTATATATAATAGAATTATACAGACAATACTGTTTTGTTTCTGCCTTTCTTTACGTATCATGATGTTTGTGAGACCCAGCCAAGTTGTTGCACATAGCAACAGCAGGCAGATTTTCAGTGTCATTTATGATTCCATTCCTTAAACATACCAACATTCATTTGTTCAGTTTACTGTTCTCGGACATCTGAGTTGTTTTTGCCTTAGAGATGTTATTGAATTTTGCCACTATGAACATGACTGTCCATAAGCTCTCATTTCTGAGGAAAGTAACGGCTGAGTCATAAGCTGGATAGGTCATAATACTTAGTTTTAGTATAGAAGCTGTTCTCGGAAGTGGTTGTATCAATAGATATGCCTACCAGAAGGTTATGAAAATTTTACTTTCTGTCCTCATCATAGGTGGTATTGCCGGTCTTAACATTTTAGCCATTTTGGTGGACACAGAGTGGTCTCTCATTGTGGTTTAATGTGTATTTCCTTAAAAAAGATGTTGAGCAACTTGTCATATGTTTCCTGGTTATTTGGATATTATCTTTTGTGAAGTGCCTACTTGTAACTATAGCTTTTAAAATTGGGTTTTCTGCCCTTTTTTGTACTGATTATTAGAATTTAAATATGTATATATATATAGCCTACTGTACATTTATTTATGATATAAATAAGTATATATTTGTATACACATATTCTGAATATGAGTCTTTTGTTGTTTATATATATTGCAAATATTTTCTACTTTATGACTTACATTTCTATTCTCTTATTGTTGACCAGAAATTCCTAACTTTAGTGTAGTCTAGCTGACCAATCTATCCTTTTTGGTTAATGCTTTTCAGGCCCCTTTGTCTACTCCAAGGTCATAAGAATATTATTCAATGTTATTTTCTAAAAGATTGTTTACCTGAAATGTATTTTTTATATATAGTATGGAGTAAGGATAAAGTTTCATTTTCTTTCCTTGTGGATATTCACTTGACCCAGTATAATTTATTGGACAAAAGTTCTTTCTGTACTATTCTATAGTTCTTTCTTACTCATAAATCAAATCTTCCTATCTGTATAGATCTGCTTCTGTTCTAATTTTTGAATCTTTGTGCCACTAGTACTCTCATATATACTATATCTTTATAATAAAATTTGATATCTATCAGAGTAATTCCTACAACTTTGTTCTTTGATAAGGGAAATAAGCCCTACATAAAGAACAAGCAAACAACCAACAAACCCAACAAACATAATCCTTTATGTTGTATATTCTAAAATTTAAAAACTCAAGTAACAGAAACTACCCTTTGTGTTTTGCCCACTCACTGCCATCCCCCTTACCTCTCCTGTGGAACTTCTGTGATCTTTTCAGATATTTATCAACATCCCATTTCAGAGAGCCCACTTATCTTGTTTACTGTGACTCTCCTAGTTTTCAAGACATAGATTGAAATCTATTCTCAAATATATATCTTACATCACTTATTGCTTGTATTAGGCCACTTTTGCTTTGCTACAGAGAAATACCTGCAACTGGGTAATTTGTTAAAAAAAAAAAAAACAAGAGGCTTAATTGGCTCACAGTTCTGCAGACTGTACAGGAAGCATGACACTGTCATCAGCTCAGCTTCTTTGGAGGCCTCAAGGAGACTTTACTCATAGTGGAAGGTGAAGTGGGAGAAGGAACATCACACGGTAAGATCAGGAGCAAGAAAGAGTAGGGGTTGGGGTTTGTCACACACGTAAAAAAAAAAAAATCAGATCTCCCAAGAACTCACTCGCTATTGCAAGGATAGCACCAAGGCATGAGGGAAGAACTCACTCACTATTGCAAGCATAGCACCAAGGCATGAGGGAAGAACTCACTCACTATTGCAAGGATCGCACCAAGGCATGAGGGATCTGCCCCCATGACCCAAACACCTCGACCATGCCCCACCTCCAGCACTAGGCATTACAGTTCAACATGAGATTCGGCAGGGCCATATATTCCAACTCTATTATAGCTCTTTCCCTGATTTTAAAATTTATGTTTGAACCATTTTTCATGCATCTATTATCAGGCTTTTGAGGTGGATGTCTTGCGAGCTCAGAGTCCCCCTCTGAAATGGATCTTCAAACTAATTCTGAAGTGGACTGTGCTTGTTTTGGGGAGGTAGTATGGGAGACATGGAATCTTGAGTGGTACTCATGAATAAGGCACAACCTGAGAAAACCCGGATCATTAAGAACTGAAGCAGTCATTCTTGCTTCTGGTTGGCATATTCTCCTCATTTCTTTCCACATGCAGATATTTTAGTAAACAATAATGGCCGGGTGTAGTGGCTCATGCCTATAACCCCAGCACGTCGGGAGGTCGAGGCGGGCAGATCACCTGAGGATGGGAGTTTGAGACCAGCCTGACCAACATGGAAAAACCCCGTCTCTATTAAAAAATACAAAATTAGCCGGGTGTGGTGGCACATGCTTGTAATCCCAGCTACTCGGGAGGCTGAGGCAGGAGAATCACTTGAACCTGGGAGGCAGAGGTTGCAGTGAGCTGAGATCGTGCCATTGCACTCCAGGCTGGGCAACAAGAGCAAGACTCTGCCTAAAAACAAAACAAAACAAAAAACAAACAAACAAAAAACCCAAAAAAAAAACCCAAAAAACAAAAACACATGTTTTAACATTTCTGTGTTGCAGTCTTATGTTCATACACACGCACACACACATATAAGGTTGTAATCTTGGCTCTCAAGACAAATGGAAAAGGGTTACAAAGTGCAAATCGAATGCACATATGGTAAGACCCTTTGAGGTCTCCATTTTTTATTGTTCTTCTTCCTCCCCTCTGCCTCCTAGGGATTCTTCAGCAAAGCTTTATCTCTGAGAGATTTACAGTTCAATAAGGCTTTTGCTTTTTTACATAGGAAGCACAGACTGAGTCTGACTATCTGGTTTTCTATCTTTTCTGTGCTCCCCACACTCCTTATTTAAAACGGATAATTTTCTTTGCATATGCTCCATTTCAAACACTAGACTGTTCTGAATCTTGGAGTTATCAAGGTGTCTTACCCCTGCTCATGTGTTTGTTAAACTGTAATGGCACCCTGCCAATAAAATGCTTTAGGAGATAAGGTAGGACCTCATAGATGGCACCAAGTGACAGTGTTCTTCTTATGGCTCCTTAATCATGGAAGAGAACACCTGGAAAATTCATTATCTTGTCAAATGGGAACAAAGTATATGAAGGAAAATTAGGTTCACAAAGGAGTGATGAAATCTGGCTGGGCACAATGGCTCACACCTATAATCCCAGAAATTTGTGAGGCCAAGGTGGAAGATACATTGGAGGCCAGTAGTTTGAGACCAGCCTGGGCAACTTAGCAAGAACCCACCTCTACAAAAAATTAAGAAATCAGTCAGGCATGATGACATGAGCCTTTAGTCCTTGCCACTCGAGAGGCTGAGGCAGGAGGATTGCTTGAGCCCAGGAGTTCTAAGTTACAGTTAGCTATAATTACACCACTGCATTCAAACCTGAGTGATAGAGTGAGACTTTGTCTCTATTTTTTTTTTAAAAGAAGAATAATAAAGTTCTTTACTATGTCCTTTATAGCATGTCAGTGAAAGTTTTCCAAACCTTATAAAGAAACTAGAGAAACCTTCAACACATGTTTGTATAAGGTTCCCCATGGGAAGATCAAAATACTCATACTTTTGAGAAAGGGAAGATCTTTATCTACAGGTTTGGAAAATTGTAGGGCTGCTAAAGCATCCAGAGCATCCAAATAAATGAGTGTCCAAATAAAGCTCAGTCACCTCTGCATTTTTCTAGTATATTTAAAACCACCCTTGAATCAAGTACCTATACCCCTGTATTTTCCTTCACTGAGTATGGCAGACTCTCTATGAAATTGTCTGCATCAATATAAGAATAAGCCTTTGAAGTATCATCACTGAAGTCTCTGAGCTCTTAAGAGTGCTCATCCTAAAAACCATCCTAAAAGCAACCAGTGGTTTCTCTTCTGTCTACAATAAATGGACCAAACGCTTCTCTCCAGGATGAGTTGTTTTACTGAGATTGATTTCTCTATTGTTCAGACCTTAATTTTTAATTATAACTTTTAATTTTGAAATAGTTTGTCTCACTAGTAGTTACAAAAATGGGACAGAGTTCCTGTGTACTTTTCACCAAGCTTCTCCCAAATGCCAATATTCTAAAATACATGATACATTGTTGATACTGTCTGAATGTTGGTGCCCTCTCCCTTCCAAAACATGTGTGTATATATATATGTGTGTGTGTATACATACACACACACATATATATACACACACATATATACACACACACATATATATACACACACACATATATATACACACACTTATGCACACACACTAATACTGTTACAGTATTAAGAGGCAGGGCCTTTAGGGAAGTGATTAACTCATGAAGGATCCACCTTCATGAATGACATTAGTGGCCTTAGAAAAGAGGTTTAAGGGAGTTGCCTGGCCTCTTCCACCACGCACAGGCACAGGAGACATCATTTATGAGAAACAGGCCCTCACCAGACACTGAATCTGCTGGCACCTTGATCTTGGACTTCCCAGCCTCCAGAACTGTGAGCAATAAATTTCTATTGTTTATATTACCCATTGTAAGGTATTTGTTATAGCAGCCCAAGTTGACTAACACAATTACCCAAACCAGGAAATTGACACTGGTACAGTAATATTAACTACAAGACAAATCTTATTGAGATTCCAAAAGGATGAAATCATGTCCTGAATTTTCAGTAACATGGATGCAACTGGAAGCCATTTTCCTGTGTGAATTAATGCAGGAACAGAAAACCCAAATACCACATGTTCTCACTTATAAGTGGTAGCCCAACGTTGAGTACTCATGAAGTTAAAGACTAGAATGATAGACACTGTGCTCTACTTGAAAGTGGAGGGTGGGAGGAGGATGGGGGTTAAAAAAATATATCTATTGGGTACTATACTTACTACCTGGGTAATGAAATGATTTGTACACCAAACCCCAGTGACACAGGATTTATTCAGGTAACAAACCTGCACATGTACCCCGTGAACCTAAAAGTTGAAAAAGGAAAAGAGTATCATCTTTTTCTTTACAAAATACTTCTTTTATTAATCTCAGGATTTTCAAAACATTTATTCCAAACCTAGGGATTGTGTATTTTTTAATACAAAAAATAGGATAAAAGTCTATTTAATAAAATGGAACACGGATCCTCCTGAAACAGGAGGATCACTTGAGTCCAGGAGCTTGAGGCTGCAGTGAGCTATGACGGTGGAACTTCACCTCACCCTGGGCAAGAGAGCAACACAGGCTGTCTCTATAAACAACAATAAAATAAAATAAATCAGAAATTTTAGTACACGAATATTTCATTTTACTTAAGGTTTGGGTTTCTGCACTAAAACTAAACTAAATAGTAAAATATTTATGTAAATGATCTAACATATGGGACTTAAAATGAACTATAGCAGTTAAAATGTATTATAATTTTCAACATTCATGTCTTATGAAATGCTTCTAGGCATTGGATCCTGGTTAGCTGGAAGTTATATGCATCTGTAGAAAAGCTTGCACTTGTACTTTCTAATCATAGCTTAAGTTTGTAATAGTTGACGCTTTTTTCGATTGCTGACATTTAAAAATGTAATTGTATTTTATTTTTATATATGCTAGTCATATTGTTAATAACACATTTGAATGTTTGATTGGCTTTGTGAAGTTTGAGCGTGTCTAGCATTAAGTTAATGCCTCTGAGAAACTGAGGTCTTAAACTAGATTTTCTCCAAGTAAAACGAATATAGAAATAATATATTTTTTCAAGCCAAACCTCAAGAGCTTGTATTTCTTTCATTTCTCTTTACTAATCATATGGAATCTAAGGTACTAGGGATTTTTTTGATTCCTCAGTGGAATTTTTAATATTTTGGCTGGTACTCTCTTAAGGTACTACTTAGGATATTCTCATTGTACCAATACATATATAACCTGATATATTAAAGTGGCAAGAGAATGGTAGATGTGAAATAAGTGTGTTCCTACATTATCAGAAATTAAATCATAGGAGACAGAATTGGTTTATTCAACCAGGAAGCAAATATAGGTATCTTGTACTTAACATTGAGTACTAAGTCATTGTAGGTAGTATCAGATAATGATGAAACGAAACTATTGTGCAGAGTTTTGAAGACAGAGCTGGTCTGGTGGAGGTGTTTCTTTTCTTTTTTTTTTTTTTAACCATCCTAAGGTAGAGAAGATCCCTCTTTCATAGTATTCTGACTATCTAAGTAACCTCTGCTATCTTTGAATTTACCAGTGACAACTGTTGAAATGCCAACAGCGTCAGATTGAAAATCAGCATAAAGTCCTGAAGCAACACTATAGATCAGATAAGTACTTGCAGCCATGGAGAGTGAACAATTATAATTGATTCTAGAAAAGTGATTCTCAAAGTGTGGTCCCTGGACTAGTGGCAGCAGCATCAGGGAATTTATTTATTTATTTATTTATATTTCCAACTTTAAAGTTCAGGGGTACATGTGCAGGATGTTCAGGTTTGTTACATAGTTAAATGTGTGCCATGGTGGTTTGCTGCACAGATCATCCCATCACCCAGGTATTAAGCCCAGCATCCATTAGCTATTCTTCCTGATGCTCTCCCTCCTTCCCCCCCACACCCTCCAACAGGCCCCATTGTGTGTTGTTCCCCACTATGTGTTCATGTGTCCTCATCATTCAGCTCCCACTTATAAGTGAGAATATGCGGTATTTGGTTTTCTGTTCTTGAATTAGTTTACTGAGGATAATGGCTTCCAGCTCCATCCATCTCCCTGCAAAGACATGATCTTGTTCCTTTCTATGGCTACATCGTATTCCATGGTGTACATGTACCACATTTTCTTTATCCAGTCTACCGTGGATGGGCATTTAGATTGGTTCCATGTCTTTGCTATTGTACATAGTGCTGCAATTAACATACACATGCATGGATCTTTATAATAGGATGATTTATATTCCTTTGGGTAGATACCCAGTAATGGGATTGCTGGGACAAATGGTATTTCTGCCTCTAGGTCTTTGAGGAATTGCCATACTGTCTTCCATAATGGTTGAACTAATTTACACTCCCACCAAGACTATAAAAGCATTCCTTTTTCTCCTCAACCCTGACAGCATCTGTTGTTTTTTTCACTTTGTAGTAATAGACATTCTGACTGGTGTGAGATGATATCACATCTTTTCGATTTGCATTTCTCTAATGTTCAGTGATGTTTAGCTTTTTTTCACATGTTTGCTGGCCACATGTATGTCTTCTTTTGAGAAGTTCTCTTCTTGACCTTTGCCCACTTTTTAATGGGGTTGTTTTTTCTTGTAAATTTGTTTAAGTTCCTTGTAAATTCTGGATATCAGATGTTTGTCAGATGGGTAGATTACAAAAATTGTCTCCCATTCTGTAGGTTGTCTCTTCACTCTGATTATAGTTTCTTTTGCTGCGCAGAAGCTCTTTAGTTTAATTAGAACCCATTTGTCATTTTTTGCTTTTGTTGCTGTTGCTTTTGACATCTTTGTCATGAAATCTTTCCCTGTGCCTATGTCCTGAATGGTATTGCCTAGGTTGTCTTCTAGGGTTTTTATAGCTTTGGATTTTACACTTAAGTCTTTAATCTATCTTGAGTTGATTTTTGTATATGGTGTAAGGAAGTTTTAATCTTTTGCATATGGCTAGCCAGTTATCCCAGAACCATTCATTAAGCAGGGAATTCTTTTGCCATTGCTTGTTTTAGTCAGGTTTGTGGAAGACCAGATGGTTGCAGGTGTGCAGTCTTGTTTCTGAGTTCTCTATTCTATTTCATTGGTCTATGTGTCTGCTGTTGTAGTAGTCTTATGCTGTTCTGGTTACTGTAGACTTGTAGTATAGTTTGAGGTTGAGTAGTGTGAGGCCTCCAGCTTTGTTCTTTTTGCTTAGGGTTGTTTTGGCTATATGAGCTTTTTTTTGGTTCCATATGAATTTTAAAAGTTTTTTTTTTTTAATTGTGAAGAATGTCAATGGTAGTTTAATGGGAATACAATTGAATTTATAAATTGCTTTGGGCAGTATGGACCTTTTTATGATGTTGATTCTTCCTATCCGTTGCCATGGACTGTTTTTCCATTTGTTTGTGTCATCTCTGATTTCTTTGAGCAGTGGTTTTTGTTCTCCCTGAAGCGGTCCTTCACTTCCCTTGTTAGCTGTATTCCTATGTACTTTATTATTTTTTTGTGGCAATTGTAACTGGGAGTTCATTCATGATTTGGCTGTCAGCTTGCCTGTTGTTGTTGTGTAGGAATGCTAGTGATTTTTGCACATTGATTTTGTATCCTAATACTGCCAAATTTGCTTATCAGCTTAAGAAGCTTTTGAGCTGAGTCAATGAGGTTTTCTAGATAAAGAATCATGTCATCTGCAAACAAAGACAGTTTGACTTTCTCCCTTCCTATTTGAATACTCTTTCTTTCTTTCTCTTGCCTGATTGCCCTGGCCAGAACTTCCATTACTATGTTGAATAGGAGTGGTAAGGGAGGACATCTTCATCTTGTGCTGGTTTTCAAGGGGAATGCTTCCAGCTTTTGCCCATTCAGTATCATATTGGCTATGGGTTTGTCATATATGGCTCTTATTATTTTGTGGTATGTTCTTTCAAAACCTAGTTTACTGAGAGTTTTTAACATGAAGCGATGTTTAATTTTATCTAAGGCATTTTCTGTATCTATTGAGATAATCATCTGGTTTTTTTCTTTAGTTCTGTTTATGTGATGAATCGCATTTATTGATTTGTGTATATTGAACCAAACTTGCATCCCAGGGATGAAGTCTACTTGATCATGGTGTATAAGCTTTTGGATGTGCTTCTGGATTGTTTGCCGGTATTTTGTTGAGGATTTTTGAATTGATGTTCATCAGGGATATTGGCTTGAAGTTTTCTTCTTTTGTTGCGTCTCTTCCAGGTTTTTGTATCAGGATGATTCTGTCCTCATAAAATGTGTTAGGAAGAAGTCTCTCTTTTTCAATTTTTTTGAATGGTTTCAGTAGAACTAGTACCAGATTTTCTTTGTACTTCCAGTAGAATTCAGCTGTAAATCTGTCTGGTCCTGGGCTTTTTTGGTTGGTAGGCTATTTATTAGTGCCTCAATTTTAGAACTTGTTATTGATCTATTCAGGGATTCAATTTCTTCCTGTTCAGACTTGGGAGTGTGTAAGTGTCCAGAAATTTATTCATTTCTTCTAGATTTTCTAGTATATGTGCATAGAGGTGTTTATAGTATTCTCTGATGATTGTTTGTATTTCTGTTGGGTCAATGGTGACATCTCCCTTATAATTTCTAATTGTGTTTATTTGAATCTTCTCTCTTTTCTTCTTTATTAATCTAGCTAGTAGTCTATCTATTTTATTAATTTTTCCAAAAAAGACAGCTCCTAGACTCATTGACTTTTTGAAGAGTTTTTCCCATCTGTATCCGTCAGTTCAGCTCTGATCTTGGTTATTTTTGCCTTCTGCTAGCTTTGGGGTTTGTTTGTTCTTGGTTCTCTAGTTCTTTTAGTTGTGATTTAGGTTGTTAACTTGAGATCTTTCCAACTTTTTGATGTGGGCATTTAGTACTATAAATTTCTCTCTTTACGCTGCTTTAGCTGTGTCCCAGAGATTCTGGTACATTGTATCTTTGCTGCCATTAGGTTCAAAGAACTTCTTGATTTCTGCCTTAATTTTGTTATTTATCCAAAAGTCTTTCAGGAGCAGGTGGTTCAACTTCCATTTAGTTGTGTGGTTTTAAGTGAATTTCTTAATCTTGAGTTCTAATTTTATTGCACTGTAGTCTGAGAGACTGTTATGATTTCTTTTGTTTGCTGAGGAATATTTTCCTTTGGCTTATGTTATCAATTTTAGAGTAAGTGCTGTGCAGTGATGAGAAGAATGTATATTCTGTTGTTTTGGGGTGGAGAGATCTGTGGACATCAGGTCCACAGCATCCATAGCTGAGTTCAGGTCCTGAATGTCTTTATTAATTTTATGTCTCAATGATCTGTCTAATATTGTCAGTGAGGTGTTAAAGTCTCCCACTATTATTGTGTGGGAGTCTAAGTCTCTTTAAGGTCTCTAAGAATTCACTTTATGAATCTGGATGCTCCTATATTGGGAGCACATATATTTAGAATAGTTAGTTCTTCTTGTTGAATTGAACCCTTTAGCATTATGTAATGCCCTCTTTGTCTTTCTTTGATCTTTGTTGGTTTAAAGTCTGGTTTGTCAGAAACTACTATTGCAACCTCTCCTTTTTTCTGTTTTTCATTTGCTTGGCAAATTTTCCTCTATCCCTTTATTTTAAGCCTTTTTGTGCCTTTGCATGTGACATGGGTCTCTTGAAGACAGCATATGTGTCTTGATTCTTTATTCATCCTGCCATTCTGTGTCTTTCAACTGGGGCATTTAGCCCATTTACATTTAAGGATAGTATTGTTTTATGTGGATTTGATCCTGTCATTATGATGCTAGCTGGTTATTTTGCAGACTTGTTTATGTGTTTGCTTCATAGTGTCACTGGTCTGTGTACTTCAGTGTGTTTTTGTAGTGGATGGTAACAGCTTTTCCTTTCCATATTTAGTGCAGCCTTCAGGAGCTCTTGCAACGCAGGTCTGGTGGTGGCAAATTCCCTCACCATTTGCTTGTGTGAACAGAATCTTATTTCTCCTTTACTTATGAAGCCTAGTTTGTCTGGACATGAAATTCTGGGTTGGAAATTCTTTTCTTTAGGAATGTTGAATAGAGGCCCCCAAATTCTTCTGGCTTGCAGAGTTTCCACTGAGAGGTCCACTATTAATCTGGTAGGCTTCCCTTTGTAGGTGATGTGGACTTTCTCTCTGGCTGCCCTTAACATTTTTTTTCTTTCCTTTCAAACTTAGAGAATCTGAAGATTTTGTGTCCTGGAGATGACTTTCTTGTGGAGTATCTTACTGGGGTTCTCTGCATTTCCTGAATTTGAATGTTGACCTGTCTTTCTAGGTTTGGGATGTTCTCCTGGATGATATCCTGAAGTATGTTTTCCATCTTGGTTCCATTCTCCCTGTCTCTTTCAGGTCCACCAATCAGTCATAGGTTTGGCCTCTTTACATAATCCCATATTTCTCAGAGGTTTTGTTCATTCCTTTTTTCTTTATTATTGTCTGTGTTTCTTAATTCAGAAAGCCAGTCTTCCCACTCTGAGATTCTTTCCTCTGCTTGATCATTTCTGCTAATAATCCTTGCAATTGCATTGTGAAATTCTTGTGGTGTGTTCTTCAGCTCAAAAAGGTCAGTTATGTCCCTCTATTTACTGGCTATTTTGGCTGTCAGCTCCTTTATTGTTTTATCATGATTCTTAGCTTCTTTGAATTGGGTTACAATGTGCTCCTTTAGCCCGGTGAAATTGTTGTTGCCCACTTTCTGAAGCCTACTTCTGTCATTTTAGCTGTCTCAGCCTCAGCCCACTTTTGAGTCCTTGCTGGAGAGGTGTTGCGGTCATTTGGAGGAAAAGAGGCACTAAAGCTTTTTGAGTTTTCAGTGTTTTTTCATTAATTCTTTCTCATCTTTGTGGGCTTATCTACCTTAGATCTTTGAGGTTGCTTACATTTGGATGGGGTTTTTGTGGTTTTTCTTTGTTGTTCTTGTTGTGGTGGTTTTCTGTTTTTGTTTTTCTTTTAACAGTCTGGCCATTCTTCCATAGGGCTGCTGTGGTTTGCTGGGGGTTCTCTCCAGAGCCTAGTTGCCTCGATTCTTTCCATACCTGGAGGTATCACCAGTGAAGCCTGCAAAACAACGAAGATGGCAGCCTGCCCTTTCCTTTGGAAGCTCTGTCCCAAAGGGGTGCTGACCAATTGCTGGCCCAAATGTGCCTGTAGGGGGTGGTTGGAGACCCAGTGGGAGGTCTCACCCAGTCAGGAGGTATGGGGTCAGGGACCCACTTAAAGAAGCAGTCTGGCTGTTTTTCGTTTGAGCAGCTGTGCTGTGTTGGGGATCCCTTCAGTCCCTGATTGGTCTGGGCTCTCTAAGGCCTGTAGACTGGACCAGCTGAGGAGCCTGAATGGCCAAGTTGGTGGCCTGTCTTGCCCCTAAGGTCCTCTGTCCCAGGGAGAAATTGAAGCTCTGGCAGCTCCATAGAACATGGAGCAGTGGCCAGAAACCCTGGCTGGGAGGACCCTCACTGTGAGGAGAAGTGAATTAGGGTCCCATTTAAAGAAGCTGCCTGGTCATGTCTCTACAAAACAGCTGTATTGTGGTGGGGAACTGCCTCTGCCCCTGTCAGCTTGGACTCTCTGTAGCCCGCAGGCTGTAACAGCTGAATTGTCCAACCAACCTAGGTGGCAGCCTTCCCCTCCCCCAGGCACTCTGTCTCAGGGACAGATCAGAGCTCTGTCAGTAATAAAGTGCCAGCAGTTGTGGCTGGAAGGTCCCACCCAGTGAGGAGGACTGGATCCAGGCCCTGCTTAATGAACCAGTCTTGCCATATCTGGCAAAGCCTCTGTGTTGCATTGCTTGGGGGGACCCTTCCTTGTCTCGACTGTTTGGACTCTTCAGAACCCACAGGCTGGAATGAGGGAATCCACCAAACAGCAGAGATGGCACCTGCCCCTCCCATCAAGAGCTCCGCTCAATCTCAGGCAGTCTTCACCTTGTTGCGGGTAGCTGGCTGGAATTCCAAGCCAGTGGGTCTTATCTTGTGAGGTGCTGTGGAAGTGGGGCCTGCAGAATGAGGCTATTTGGCTCCCTGGATTCCACCTCCTTTCTAGGGGTATGCATGGACCTCCTGCCATGTCTGAGTTGCAGATATATTTGTTAGGGATCCTGGGGATGGAGTATGTCAAGTTCTTAGGTCTCTCTGCATGTCTGAGCAGCTATTCTGCCAAGACTCCACAAAGCCCTGTGTGTTGAGCTCAAGGCCCTAGTGGAGTGGGCTCCCAAGGGGATCTCCTGATCCACGGGTTGCAAAGATCCAGAAGTGTGGTTTCCCAGGGTCACACAGTCACTCACTGCTTCCCTTGGCTGGGGGTGAGGGTTCCCTTGGCTCTGCATCACTCTTGGGTGGGCTGTCACCCCACCCTGCTTTTCTTCGTTCTCCATGGGTTGAGTTGTTTCTCTGATAAGTCCCAGTGCAACTACCTGGATATTTCAGTTGAAGGTGCTGTATTCACTCGCTCCTTTTCATCCTCTCCACGAATGCCATGGACTGTAGATGCTTCTACTCGGCCATCTTGGCCCCCTCCAACCAGGGAATTTATTGGAAATGCAAATTATCAGCCACTCCCCAAATTTACTGAATCAGAAATTCAGTGAACAAAGCCCAGCTATTTGTTTTAAACAAACCTTCCGGGCAATTCTGATGCACAATGAGTCTTGAGAACCATCATTCTAAAACAAAATAATCTGACTGCAAATCTACAGCATAATGTGATAGAAACAAAAAGAACTGCCCAAAATCGAACTCAGTCACTAATTATATTTTTGCACTAACATTAAATTATTATTTTGAATTTTTTCTTATATTTTTAGTAAATTTTAAAAGATATGTTTGTTAGGACTCAATATGCTTAGTATAAGAGAAAATAAAATAAAATTTAGGTGTGGGCACTGTACTATTAGAGTTGAATCAGAAACATAAAAAGCAAAATCATGTAAGTTTTCAAAGAAATTCAGAATACATCTTTATTAGCTTTGCCCAAAGAAATAGCCAAGGACATGTGCCCCACACCACCCCACCACAATTATTCACAGCATCACTCAGATTCTTGTCTATTCAATTCTATTTTCCCATTATGAGAAACCATGGTGCCTTGAAAATAAGTAGCTGATTCTTTGTCTGGGTTGAAAGGGGAAAAGTGAGCCTATATAATTATGTTGTGCCAGAAAGCAAAAATATGTCACAAATAATGCAGTCACATTGAAATAATCTAATTTGCAATGATCTAAGCATAATTTGAAGGGAGCTTCTATTGGCCAAGATGAGGCAATTGGGCCTCAAAAGATTATTGACAAAGATCAATGATATACAGTAAATCTGAAAAGGCATAAATCCATAATGACATACCAAAGGAGAAAACATTGGCATAAAGATATCTAAGTGAAGGTCAGTAGAATATGAAAGTAATATTTTTGGTCTTGCTATTCAAAACAGGTTGGTATTATTGACTTATTTATTGTGTCAATAAAAAATACAGAAACTAGTAAATGTAAATTTATTACTTAGCAACTTTTTTTTTTTCTGATTCATTGGGAAAGTCAGTAGAACAGTCCTATAAATTGGTATCCCTAATCAGATAAAGGCACATAAAATATGAAAAACTCACATGAAAGAATTCCAAGTATTTTGTAAACATTGTGTTATCTCCTACCAAGTTTAAATATCTAGAATCAAAAGAAGAACAATGTTTATATTTATGAGTATATAAAATCTTGGGTGAAAGCTGCAGCTTTTTATTAGTAGAAAGAATGATTAGATAATCTGCTGAACTTGAATTTAGGAAAACACTGTTCTCTTAAAATTATGAAATTTGATATAATAACCATAAAATAGCTTCCAAATCAAAGTATCTATTTGTAGAGAATGTCATTATTTTTTAAAAGGGTTGAAGAAGCTTGAGGTCTTTGCAGTTGTGCTAATCAAGATGTGGAGTACAGGTTTCAAGGACTATGAATTCAGCCTGTGATGATTTCAATGCTTTCTCAGCTATTCTTTCTAGCATCTGTCTCTACACACTGTTGTCATTCTCAAAGGCCCACTTCTATTCCAAATTCCTTTTCAGTCTAACTATGAGTTTCCAGGCCAACACTGGACTCTACAATAATCCAGCTGGGTCACTGGGTGTATCTGTGCAAAGGGATTTAGAGAAAGAACTGCTTCACACTCAGAGAGACTTTGCCTTGTGAGTTTTCTCATTGACCTCTGTGGGATACACATAATTCATTGAATGTTAATGCTGCACTATGATGCAAGAATCCTCAAACAAGCCACAGACATGTCAAAATAGCCACCAAAGCAATGTGAGTATGACTCTTCTGTGAGCAGAAGATATCACTTAAATGCTAGAAAAAAATCCCAAATTTTACCCCAATGGGGAAGCTTTATCCTAGAGGAGAAAATGGAAGTTACCCTATGTTGCCCACAACTGAGTGAATAAAGACCACAAGTGAGTCCTGAATAGCTACGTGGGAGCAGAAAAATAGCTCGAGGACTATTGATGTGAAATGAAAAATCACTAATTCTAAGATTTCTAGGCCTTTAATGTGTTTACCAATTATGTCTACTCTATTAAAGTCATCTCTGTGAAATACTTATGAATAAATACTGTGACTCTTTTTTTTCCAAATGTGTATCTGCATCACCTTTCAGATACACATATAATTTCAGATATACATATAATTTATGTTTTTACTATAATTTCTTTGTTTTCAAATTGTAACATTAAAAATATCTTCAGACAGTATATTTTAACTTCTTTACTATTTTTCCCCATGGCCTCTTTTCAAAATATGTACTTGAACAGATTTTCAAATGTGTCTTGCAAGCCTTTTGAAGGTTATTTATTAATGAGTTCAACATCCTTGGCCCCCTGTGGGTCCCAAAACTATACCTGAAAAAATGGGAGCTGAGCTATCTTCTGTTATAATCAATTACAAAATAAACCTATAAAATTGATGAGTTAGAAACAGAGAGTGAGATGAGCATCTGGCTATGGCTATCGGATGCTCTCATTTTCTGAAATTTTTAGAGAAATAAATGATGAAAGAAAACATATTTTAAAAGTTGTAAGTTTGTTTGCTATAAAATCCTTTCTAAGACTGTCTTTTTTCATGACTTTAATTTTTACTAGCATGTCAGTAATTGCTCACCAATTTACACACATACACATACACAACTCGGCTAGTAATTATATCAAAATTCTAGATCAATTTGAAGAGAATCTTCACATGTTATAGTTCTCAATTTATTTAGATCTGTACTTTCTCTATAGGTATCTTGTGAATTATGCACATACATATACACATGATTGTATAAATTATGTATATGTAATCTATGTATAGTTCTATACATATGTATAATTATAATTGGTACTTACATTTCATTTTCTAATTGCTGTTAAAGTAGAAATGTGATTGACTTTCATATATTAACTTTGTATCCAGTGAACTTGTTAAATTCACTTGTTTGATTTAATACATCAGAGCTTTTTAATTTTTATGTTTTTAATAACTATAGGCAAATATAGTGTGAGTGATGATAGTTTTATTTCTGACTTTCCAATTCTATTAATTTTCTTGCCTTATTGCACTGGCTACCACTTCCAGAAGAATGCCAATTAGAAGTAGTCTTCTATTGCCTGAGTCTTGATCTCAGGAGGAAAGTTTATAATGTTTTGCCATTAAGAGTCAATGTATGTGTTTCTATAGGTGTTTGTTTGTTTTTATTTTTAATATCATTTATCCACTTAGGAAAGTTCACTTCTATTTCTAGTTTGCTTAAGGTCTTGCTTTGCTTAAATACCGGTTAGACATTAATTTTATCAACTTTGTTATGCAACTAAAAACAATCACATGAACTTGTTTTCTATTTCTTTTTGGGTTAGTTTTAGTAAGTTGCATTTGTTAATTAAGTTTTCATTATTATCTAAATTTTCCAATAATGGCATAGAGTTGTTCATAATAACTTCCTCATTTAACATATGTTAGAGCTGTAGTGATTACCCCTCTAGTATTGGTAATTTATGATTCATCTCTTTTTAATCTTGATCAGCTTTGCTAGGAAATTACTGGTTTTATTATTTATTTCAACAAATTGACCTCTGGCTTTGTTGATTCTCTACATTTTATATTTATTTGCATAATGCTATTGTTTTGATGTGATTCGTCCCAGCCAAAACTCATATTGAATTTCATCTCAATGTAGCAGTATTGGAAATGAAGTCTGGAAGGAAGTCTTTGGCTCATGGTGGTAGATCCCTCATACGTAGATTAATGCACTGGGGGTGAATGAAATCTTGCTGTAGTGGAAATGGATTAGTCTGGCTAGTGGTCTATCTATTTTACCAAGAGTCTGGGTTCCTTATTTGCCCTCTCTTGCTTCCACTCTCATCATGTGAATTTTTTTTTCACACACTGGCCCCCCTTCCACTTTCTGCTATGAGAGGAAGCAGCCTGAGGTCCTCACCATATACAGTTGCACAGTTTTGAAGTTTTCAGCCACCAGAATTGTTAGCCAAATAAACCTATTTTCTTTATAAATTATCCAGCCTTGGGCATTCTGTTATAACAACACTAAATGGACTAAGACACCTTTTATTCTATTCTGCTTATTTTTTCCTGCTTTGAGCTCATTTGACATTCTTTTAATATCTTTAAAAACACATCTAGGCCATGAATTTTTAATCTTTAAAAAAAAACATATATACTTAGGCCTAGAAATCTTAACTACAGTGTAACCTCATCCAGTGAGATAATTTTTAGTTACATCTTTTTTTTATTGTTTTATTCTTTGGAGACAGGTTCTCATTTTCTCATTTAGGCTGGACTGCAGTGGCACAATCATAGCTCACTGTAACGTGGAACTCCAGGGCTCACATAATCCTTCTACCTCAGCCTCCTGAGTAGCTGGGAATACAGATGTGCATCATCATGCCTGGTAATTTGTTTACTTTTTGTTGAGACAAGGTTTAGCTATATTGCCCAGGAGTGGTCTCAAACTCCTGGCCTCAAGTGATCCTCCTGCCTTGGCCTCTCAAAGTGCTGAGATTATATTTACATTTATTTATGTTTTATTTACTTTAAAATGCCTTCTAATTTTTATTGACCTATTGTTAATTTAGAAGTTTTTGCTTACTTTCAAAGTTAAAATATAGTTATCCTTATGTTGTTAATTTCAAGCTTAATTCTCCATGATCGGAACATACTTTGATTTAGTTCCATGTCCAAAAAAAATATTCTGTAGATGTTGGTTATAGTCTTCTATAAGTGTTAAGTAGGCAGAATTTTTAAATTTTATTTTTAATCTTCAACATCCTTTCTTATTTTTTATCTGATTTTATCAATGCCTTATTCTATCAGTGACTGAGAAGAGTGTGCCAAGATTCCCTTGATGATGGAACATTTGTATTTTCCTCTTTTTATATTTGTCAATATTTGTGATAGATGTTTTTAGTCTATTTCATTAAAGGAAAAACAGTTCTATATAATTCTAATAAGTTGATGCTTTTAAAATAATAAAGTATCCCTCTTTCTATCAACTTTCTAGTTAAACATCATGATTTTGGTATTTTAAATAAAATATTAAACTTCTTGATATTTATAATGAATATAATTAACTATAATATTCTGATATTCTAGTATTTGTCAGATTTATTTTGCTTAGTGATTCTATGGCATATTTCTTTATATTCTTTTATTTCTAATTTCTTAATATCTTTATATTTAGAGTCTGTCTATTTTAAGTTACAAAGGGTTTTGTTTGTTCTTTGTTATGCAGTATGTCAATTTCTGTTTTTAATTAGACGATTTTATCCATTTATATATGTCACATCTTTGTTTTTTGATTGACTTAATTTTTAAAACAATGTTATATTAACAGAAAAATGATGAGATACCATATAGAGTTTCTATATGTACCTCACATCTAGTTTCCCATATTATTAACATCATACATTGTATGGTAATTTGTTACAATTAATAAACAAATACTGATACATCATTATAAACTAAATGTTATATTCAGATTTCTTTAGCTTTTACTTAATGTATTTTCCTGTCCAAGAATCCCATGCTAAATTTAATTATTATATCTCTTTAGCCTCCTCTTGGAGGTTGGAATTTAGTCTTTGTGAAGTCTGCTTCATTGTGCTAGATTCAGCCATTTGGAATTCTAGCTAAAAGTCATTAAAAAAAAAAAAAAAAAAACTCAAGATGTATTCCAGGACTCTCTTATAGTCCCATCAGAATTCTGGAAGCTATTCTCTTCTTGTGAGCCTGTCAGCTGCTCTTGAGACATGAAAACATCCATTGAGGTAAAGTAGTGCCAAATATTGTAGTCACCTCTGTCAACTCTGGGCCTCCAAGTACTTGCCACTTTAATAGCTCTCTATTATCTTTGGTAGATTTTCTTTAAAAAATATTTTTTCAGCATTTCTTCATTCTGCACTGAAAATTTTATCTGCAAAAACTATTCTACCTTGACCATAATGGGTAAAGGCAATTAAAAAGCTTTTGCTCCATGTTTCAAACTAGCTTTCCGGAAACATACCAATTTGCATTCTTGCCAAAAGTTTATAGCAGTAACTATGTCTTCAAACACCACAGCAATATCTATCACTAGTAATGTTGAAGCTTAAGAAAATGAAAAAGATTAGGATTCATTTCTTTATTAGTTTATCCAATACATATTATTGAGCTCTTACTGTAGAGCTGACTTTGTCTCTTTCCTCTTACTTTCAAGAGGCTTCTAGACCCGTCCTTCTCTCCAGAAACGTACAAGCTGCTGGTAAGACATTACCTCAGAAAAAAAGACATGTTTGTCATATTTCCTTAAAAGAATGGATACCTATCTACATTACATTCACAAAACTAATGAGTCACCCTGGGGTCCATACTTGAATGAATATTATTTCCCCCAAGTCCAATGGACTTCCTGTTTGCTTCACTAAAACCAGACAATGTATTGGCAACCTTAATCTTTAGTTGAAATCTTTTCTTACTAAAACGCAGAAAGGACAAACACCAAACCAAACCACTAACAACAAACATGCCAGTATATAAAAGAAGGAGATCTATTTGACATCTCCTCTATGTTTTGAATTACTCCAAGTTTGGTGGTCAATGTGACTTTTTTTTTTTTTAGGAGAGTGGTAATGGACATAAATTTAACCACTTTTATTAACCAAGGGAATGTCAAGACATAGGCTATTATGTCTTAATATCCTCTTATCTCCATTTAACCCATAAATCATTTATTATGCATCTTTTAATGTAATATGTAGTAATTTAAAATTATTGATAAATTACTTTTGTTCCCTAGATGATGTTTAAGAGCTTTTATTAATAGCAGCAATTGAAATAATTATAATTAAAATAAAAAATATTAACAGTCACTGTCTATTTCTTGTATGCCATATGCAAGGCTCACATAAGTACAATCATGGTCAAATCCTCACATCTGCCATGAGTTAGCTGTTGCCCCCTATTTTTTAATTGATAAGGCAACTGTTACTTAGAGGAACTTTGGATATCAATTGAAGCACCAATATAATTTAAAGTCTGATTGATAGAAATGCAAATATCAAGTTATAACTAATTTAATTAAACAATAAATAAAACTATATGTTTATTACATGATAAAATTTATGAGGCATTCTTTTTTTTTTTTTTTTTTTTGAGACGGAGTCTCGCTCTGTCGCCCAGGCCGGACTGCGGACTGCAGTGGCGCAATCTCGGGTCACTGCAAGCTCCGCTTCCCGGGTTCATGCCATTCTCCTGACTCAGCCTCCCGAGTAGCTGGGACTACAGGCGCCCACCACCGCGCCCGGCTAATTTTTTGTATTTTTAGTAGAGACGGGGTTTCACCTTGTTAGCCAGGATGGTCTCGATCTCCTGACCTCATGATCCACCCGCCTCGGCCTCCCAAAGTGCTGGGATTACAGGCGTGAGCCACCGCGCCCGGCCTATGAGGCATTCTTGCCTTAGAAACTTGATTTTAATTAGGCAGAGCTAAATAAATGAGTAGTTCTCAATGATAGAAGGGGTTTGTTCTTCTCAGCGTGTTGTAGGCAAGAAATTTAATCTTATTTTTTTCCTGTAGTGAATGTTTCTCTCTGCATAGGCAGGCCCCATTTATCTTTTTTTTTTTTTTTAACTTAAGTATGCCACTGGCATGTGGAAAGATCTTTATATATAAATCATTTATGTTTCTTGATTCATTTTTCCTCTGTAACTGGGGATACTACCCTATAATTTCATTAAATTATGATTCACTGAGAATTAATTAAAAATATACACGAGGTAAAAATATAGTTCTTGCTTTTTAGAAACTTTTTTTCACAAAACCATATTTTGCTTCTTAAAAATATATTTTGAAACAATTATTAAATAATCTACTAGGAAATAGCAATTATGTCCCCTTTCTAGATGAGAAAACTAAGGCCCACTGGGGTTAGGTAAATTGCCAACTTACTAAATGCAAAGACTTCAAGAAAATTGTATCCAAAATAGAACCAATTTTGTTGAACTTTATGTGTCATGTGTGAATTTATGGGGAAAGAATAAAAGAGTGAAGGAAAGTTTCATTTTACGTGACTTCACCGGAATTTGCATATCGTGATTTTGAGCTTTTATTTTGAAGCTATTAATAAAAATTATACTGACAAAAAGCACTTGAAATACATCTTCTTTTGCTCATTTTCAATCCCAGGTATTATCACTTGGTGGTAGCTCCTTTGAGAGGAGTTCAAAAGTATTGTTTGCAGTGTTTGATTCAACAGCAGTATTTATTTTGGCTACCCAGCTTTTATGAAATACAGAAATATTTCCATGACTGTTTATCATATTTGAATTAACCATGTGGGATTCCTGAGAGCAAGCACTTACAAGACCTTTTTTCCCTTTTTGTTTATAAATTGGTTTTCTTTGATTGTATTATTTATGTTCATATACATAAAATGCAACGTATTTCACTTCTCAAAATTACAGCCCTTTCCAGTTAAAGCATCCCTGGCAGAGGGCCAGGATGATCTGCCACCCCGCATCGCAGATCCTGTCATATCTCCTGTCCTACCTCTTTAATGGCTTCCCTCCAACTAGATACGAATGAAACTCATTTTCCTGGCGTATCTTCTGTCTTCTGTCTCCAACTCCATATTCCGTGACTTTCTTCCTCAAAACTCACGCTTAGCAAAGCTGGATAACCAGTACTTTCCAGAATATGTCTTTCTCTCTTGTTCCTCTTGTATGTGCAGATACTTCTCTCTTGGTAATGTCAGTTCCCATCTCTCTTTCATTGGTCTCCATCCAGAACTGCACTAGATCATGTCTACCTCGCTATTACAATGCTTTGAAACTTTAGTTCCCCTTAGATTGTAAACTTCTGTTCATTTATTCAACAATAATTTATCAGTCACTGAATGTCAAATACTATGTTTAGGTATGGAGAGACTTGGGGTTTAAGGTTAAAATGATGAATTACGGATATAGTTCCTGCTGTAAAGGAACCGTCAATCTGATGGGAAAACAAATAATCAATAAGTGTGGTGATACAGGTGTCTCTTGCTTCAAGTAGATAATATTTTATATGAAATTTTCCTTGTTTAACTATTGGTATAGTTTCTGTCTGCTTTCAGATTTTGTCCTGGCTTCTGTCTCCTTATTAGACCCTGCCCAATGTAATAGGGAAGCACAGGGGCTTTGGAAGCACATATAGGACCTTTAATACAATGCCTAATACAGAATGGGATTTTAGCAAAGTTTCCTAGTGGAGACATCCCCTGACCAATGGAAACCATGATGCTTGCTGGCATTCATGAATTGCTCTTTCAATGAACAAATGAATAAGAAAAATATTATTATTATTATTATTTATTTATTTATTTTTAGACCGAGGCTTGCTCTGTTGCCCAGGCTGGAGTGCAGTGGCGCTATCTCAGCTCACTGCAAGCTCCGCCTCCCGGATTCACACCATTCTCCTGCCTCAGCCTCCCAAGTAGCTGGGACTACAGGCGCCGGCCACCACGCCCGGCTAATTTTTTTGTATTTTTAGTAGAGACGGGGCTTCACCCCATTAGCTAGGATGGTCTCGATCTCGTGACCTCGTGATCCTCCTGCCTCGGCCTTCCAAAGTGCTGGGATTACAGGCATGAGCCTCCGCGCCTGGCCTATTACTTTTCTACATACAAAAATCCTATAAAGTAGGTGGAGAAACAATCATTATTACCATTTAACAAATAAGGATTTGGAAGCCAAATCAATCAGATAAATTTACCAAGGTCATTTGATAATTATATGGCAATTCTTGGACCACGGCATATTTTTCTTTATGCCTAAGCAAGGGCTCTTTCCAATTTTTCGAGAATGTTACAAACTGTACATATACATTGCAGGTGCTGAATGGTGGTATGATTTTTTACCTTTCAGTTTTAAGAAATTGTGGAGGCAGGTGCGGTGGCTCACGCCTGTAATCCCAGCACTTTGGGAGGCCGAGGCGGGCGGATCACAAGGTCAGGAGATCAAGACCATCCTGGCTAACACGGTGAAACACCGTCTGTACTAAAAAAATACAAAAAATTAGCCAGGCGTGGCGGCGGGTGCCTGTAGTCCCAGTTACTTGGGAGGCTGAGGCAGGAGAATGTCGTGAACCCGGGAGGCGGAGATTGCAGTGAGCCGAGATGGCGCCACTGCACTCCAGCCTGGGCGACAGAGTGAGACTCCGTCTCAAAAAAAAGAAAAAAAGAAAGAAAGAAAAGAAAAAGAAATTGTGGAAAAACATTGTGACTCTTTAAGAATCTAGTCTAAGGTGTTCCTTTCATTTAACAGCAGTGAGGATGTACCCAAGGGCAATGTACCAGAGCTGGTTTCTCTGCCCTCAGATCCAATTTTACCCCACTGCTTCTCTGCTTCATATGGGAAGGGATTCTGGCCGCTGCAGGCTGGATTCTTCTGTCTCCCATGCCAGCTGTCTTCCAGATGGGTTTATCTAATGGGAGGCATTGGTGTAGATTACTAATTGAAAGAGAGAAGTCAGGACACCTCTCACCATTTCTGCATGGCTGTCTCAAGCAGCATCTCTGCTAGCAACTGATCCTCTCTGTGACTCCAGTTTCTGCCAAACAGGCTTACCAGGGTCCCAGGGTTGGCCAGGGGACCCTGTATGGACCCTGGACTATGGAGATACTGCCTCTTCTATTTGTCCCTCTTTACTCTAGGGCTCCATGGCCTCTTGCTACTGCTTATCTCTGGGTTAATTCACCATGAGTTTCTCCATTACCTGTGTAACCTAAATCCTCTCTACTAAAAATAGTGATGATGCCTGTTTTCCTCGTAGGACTCTAACTAATCCAACCAGACTGGGGCTACGAAATACCCTTTAAAGCTGGATCAGATATTCAAATGTATTCTTAAGTTGGCAAATAACAAATGAGCAAAGTTAGCAGGTATAGAACAATAGACCTGTAATAAAGAAAGACAGCAGAGTGAGTGTAGTGATGAATGACACCTGTTGTTCATCCCTGGGGTTGGAAGACAATAGGCAGGAGAAGAGAAGGGAGAGCTGCAGTGTGGTCAGGCCTCATCAACCCCCTCAGCTCAAAATGGGCACCTTTCTCACCTGCATCCACATCCTGGGCAATTGTTAGAAATACAGAATCTAGGGCTCAACCCCAGACACACTGAATGTGAATCTGCATTTAAACAAGTTTCCAAGGCACCTGACAGGCACTTGACATTTGGAGTAAGTGCTAGTCTCAAGGATTCCTTGCTAAAGGTGTGTCTCAGCCCCAGCTCATTGCTGCTGTGTAGGAAAGTGCTCCCCACATAATCAAATATTACACTTTTTCAGGAGAATTTGGAAGTCAACAGAAAACCATCTGTGGCATTCCTTGGTTTTCAAATATTGGACTTATTTTTGAAGGGTATGTATGCCAAATAGAATTCACATCTGTGCCTCATAAGACCGGCAGGTCCAGTTGTCTACAAGCCCTTAAGGAAACAAGGCATGGAGTCGCAACATGCTCCAGTGCAACACTGGCATGTCTTATCTTCCTAAAATTTACCTCTGCCTTAGTTGATTTTCTCCTTTTATGGTTTTCTGTGGCTCACAGAGCAGAAGCAGTAGCTCAAAGACACACAGCTGATAACAGACCAAACAGGGACTTCATCAAACTCCACATCCCCTCGTACCCCAATGTCTCCCCATCCCCCATAGATTTGCTTTTGGATTTTATGGGTCAGTGCCCAGGGCACTGGGGATCCATCCCAGGTGCTAAAGGCCTGGGATTTCCCCTGCTGTATCTCCAACAAATAGAGCAATGGTTAAGTGTGGAAATTTCCTCTCCGTTCACAAAGTAGACGTTTAATTACCAGGAGCTTCTGTGTTCCCACAGCAGGATGCATAAAATGAAGTAAAGCATAATTGTGGCAGTGCGTCTGGTTCGGAAATTAAAACTCCAGCAAGGAAGGGCGTGCAGGGAGCCAGATGGTGTGGAGCATAAGGTGGCATGCTGTCAGCCATTTCCCACTTGGGCAGATCTCATTGGGAGCTGATTTGTTCCAGGTTGGGCTGCCCCTCGGCCAGGCCTCCAGCTCTCTGTCTGGGGGTTGTCTGTGGCTGTTTTAACAAACAGGCCTCTTCTAGCTGATTTCTTCCAGAGAGGCACAGACATGTTGTCAGTGGTTAGAGAGCAAAATAGCCAAATCTTCAGCAACTCCTCGAAAGTCTACAGACAGAGAAGTTCTGGAAAACAATAATTCTGGGGTTTTTAACCTACCTGATGTGACATATGTAAGAATCCATCTGGTCCCTGTAAAAGTGTTCAGAGTAAAGAGAGTGATCTGCCATGTCCCTTGTGCTTGTGACTTCGGAGCCTGTGACTTGCTTTTCTATACCAGATTCTTTACTCTTAACCCCTCTGGACATTACACAAAAACTTGAAAGAGTGGAAAAGAGGAATATTATGGAACATGGGCAGAGAAGTACACCTCACCAAGCAGTTTCCAACTGCAACTTCCCTCCAAGAACATTTGCCACACTTCCTTAGTACAGCACAGCAGTTTTGTGTATAACTTAGAGATGCTCCCGCCCCAAAGTTGGCTTCATCTTCCAATTACTTTTTCCACTATTATTTATTCATGTATTCATTTTTCTCTTTCAACAAGGGTATTTTTTTCTTTTTTGAACTTCTATTTTAGAATCAGGGGGTACATGTGAAGGTTTGTTACAAAAGGTACATTGCATGATGTTGACGTTTGGAGTTGGAGTATAAATGAATCCATCAGCAAGGTAGTGAGCATAGTACCAAATAGGTAGGTTTTTTCCAACCCTTGCTCTTCTCTCTCCCGCTCCACTCTAGGAGTCCCCAGTTCCTATTGTTTCCATTTTTATGACCACGTGTACCCAATATTTATCTTCCACTTATAAGTGAGAACATGCAGTATTTGGTTTTCTGTTTTGGCATTAGTTCATTTAGGATGACAGTTTCCAACTGCATCCATGTTGCTGCAAAGGACATGAGTTTATTCTTTTTTATGGCTGTGTAGTATTCCATAGTGTATATGTACCATATTTTCCTAATTCAGTCCATCATTGATGAGCTCTTAGGTTGATTCTATGTCTTTGTTATTATGAAGAGGACTCCAATCAGCATATGAATGAATGTGTCTTTTTGGTAGAATGGTTTATATACCTTTGGGTATATTCCCAGCAGTGAAATTGCTGGGTTGAATGTTGAATGATAGTTTAACTCTTAGTTTTCTGAGAAATCTCCAAACTGCTCTCCACAGCGGCCTAACTAATTTACATTCCCAACAACAATAGTATAAGCATTCTCTTCTCTCTACAGCCTTGCCAACACCTGTTATTTTTTTGACTTTTTAACAAAAGCCATTCTGACTGTTGTATAATGGCATCTTCTTATTGTTTTGATTTGCATTTCTCTGATGATTAGTGATGTGGAGAATTTTTAAAATATGTTTGTTGGCCTCTTGTATGTCTTCTTTTGAGAAGTATCTGTACATGTCTTTTGGTTACTTTTTTCTTTTCTTTTTATTTTATTTTATTATTATTTTTTCTTTTTTGAGAACAAGGCCTGGCTATATAGCGCAGGCTGGAGCGCAGTGGCACAATCTAGGCTCACTGCAACCTCAGCCTCCCCTAGTCAACTCATCCTCCCACCTCAGCCTCCTGAGTAGCTGAAACTACAGGTGCGTACCATCACACCCTGCTAATTTTTCTTGGTATTTTTTGTGGAGATGGGGTTTCATCATGCTGCCCAGGCTGGTCTCCAACTCATGAGCTCAAGTGATCTGCCTGCCCCGGCGGGATTACACTTTGCCCACTTTTAAGTGGGGTTGTCTTTTGCCTATTGAGTCGTTTAAGTTCCTTATGGGTCCCAGATGTTATATTTTTGTCAGATATTTTGCATAGTTTGCAAATATTTTCTCCCATTCTATAGGTTGTCTGTTTGCTCTGTTGATAGTTCTCTTCCTGTGCAGAAGCTATTTCATTTCATTAGGTCACATTTGTCAACTTTTGTTTTTCTTGCAATTACTTTTGAGGACTTAGCCATAAATTTTTGCCAAGGCCAATCTCAAGAAGGGTATTTCCTAGGCTTTCTTCTAGGATTCTTAGAATTTGAGGTCTTACAGTTAAGTCTTTTATCATCTTGGGTTAATTTTTGCATACGGTGATAGGTAGAAGTCCAGATGTATTCCTCTATATATGGACAGCTGGTTGTCCCAGCACTACTTACTGAACAGAGACTCCTTTCTCCATTGCTTATTTTTGTTGACTTTGTTGAAGATAAGATGGTTGTAGGTGTAAGGGTTTACTTTTGGGTTCTGTATTCTGTTTCATTGGTCTGTGTGTCTGTTTCTGTACCAGTACCATGCTGTTTTAATTACTGCAGACTTCTAGCATAAATCAGGTAATGTGATGCCTCTGGTTTTGTTCTTTTTGCTTACAATTGTTTTGGGTATTTGGGCTCTTTTTTGTTTCCATATGAATTTTAGACATTTTTTTCTAATTCTGTGAAAAATGACATTGGTAATTTGATACGAATAACACTGAATCTGTACATTGCTTTGGGCAGTAAGGCCGTTTTAATGATGTTGATTCTTCCAATTCATGAGCATAGGATGCTTTTACTTTTATTTGTGTCATCCCTAATTTCTTTCAGCAGTGTTTTGTAATTCTCCTTGCAGAGATATTTCACCTCCTTGGTTAGCTGTATTCCTAAATATTCTTCTCTTTTGTGGCAATTGTAAATGAGATTGCATTCTTGATTTGCCTCTCAACCTCTATGGCTCTATGGAAATTCTACTGGTTTTTGTACATTGATTTTGTATCCTAAAACTTTGCTGAAGTCATTTATCAGCTCTAGCAGTCTTTTGGTGGAATATTTAGGGTTTTCTAGATATAGAGTCATATCATCAGTGAAGAGAGTAAGCTTGAGTTCTTCTTTTCCTATTTGGGTGCCTTTTATTTCTTTCTCTTGCCTGATTTCTCTGGCTAGGACTTTCAGTACTATGTTCCGAATAAGAGTGGTGATAGTGGGCATCCCTGTCTTCAACAAGTGTGTATTGAGCAACTATTGTTTGCAAGTCACTATTCTGAATGCTGGAAATAGAGTAGTGAATAAGATGGATAATAAACATATAAAGATATCAGTTAATTTTGGAAAATGAAAAATTTGGGGCAGATGTGTGAATGTACACACACATACATAAACACACACACACTCTCTCTTTAGAATCCTGAGATAGCTACTAGAATCCTTTAATCTTTATTTATCTAATCCTTTACCTAATCCAGAATTCCTTATTCTAAGGAATCCTGGAATAAAGAGAACCATGCGGTAGGGAACACAACTTTAGTTAGGGTGACCAAGTGAGGCCTCTCTGAGGAGGGGACAGTTGAGTTGAAGTCTCAATGATGAAAAATCCAGATATACAAAAAAATAAAGATCTGGATGGAGAGAAATGTTTCATGAAGTGGGAAGATTCCTGATAAGAATCCAGATGTGGGAATGACCTTGTATGTTCAGAAATAGAGAAGGCTTTCTGAGGAATGGGGGAGAAAAATAGGTGGTGAATTTGGAGAGGGTAGCAGGGGCTGAATCCTATAGGACTGTGTAGACCAAGGTAAGGATTTTCATCTAATTGTAGGGATAATGCATTCAAATATATTAATACATAATCTAATTTGTGCTTCAAAAAATATCACTATTGAGTGGAGGATGAACCATACGGTGGACAGGAATGGAGTCAGAAATAGCAGTTGGGAGGCCTCCTCAGAAGTCTAGATAGGAAGTGATGATGGCCTGACTAGGATAAGAGATGTAAGAATGGTGCAAAACATTTGGGATATATTCTGGAGGAAGCTCCACTCAGGTCAAGCCCCACTTCACCTACACCAACCTTCTCTATTAATTTTGCTAAAATTCCAGCAGGTACTGAGTAATGTGAGACTCTCCTATGTAGAGTGTAGAGTCCAATGATTCAAACAAATTGGCAAAGGAAAATATTTGGTATGTTAACATTTACTGTTCAAGCCTCAATCCACATTCTGAAAATATGCATTTATTTATTAGACATTCTGTGCTGGGAGGAGAGCAGAGGATCCAGGGAGCAGATTGCAGGGAGCTTCACTGAAGCAAGATGACCGTGATGCTGGAGAAGAGCCCTTGAGATGGAACAGGTGAGCTCATGTCAAATAGGGGAAGAAAGAGGCAATCTGCATGGCATCAGAACAGAAAACTAGGACTATATTAGTTTTCTGGGGTCTCTGTAAAAAGTACCACAGACAGGATGGCTCTCAAAAACAGAAATTTGTGGTCTCACAGTTCTTGAGACTAGAAATATGAGGTCACCGTTTTAGCTGGTGTGTGTTGGGGGGTTGGGCCCTCTGAAGATTGTGGAGGAATAATCTGTTTTAAGCCCCTTCCTTATTTTCTAGAGATTTGCTGATAATCTTTTGCATTCTTTGGCTTGTGGAAGCATTATCTCAATCTCTGCCTTCATGTTCACACAACATTCTCTCTGTGTATATCTGTCTCCAAATTTCCCTTTTCAAAAATAAGTCATATTGGATTATGGTCCACCCTAAAGACCTTGTCTTAACTTGAGTATATCTATTAAGGCTAGTTCCAAATGAGGTTCCATTTTGAGGTACCGGGGGTCGGACGTTCAATGTACCATTTGTTGGGGAGCAGTACTCAATGTGTAACAAGGACTAATTGGTGCAAGTTAATGGGACGTTCATCTTGTTTCAATCCAAGGATGAATTTTTAAGCAGTCAGAATTTTGCAGCCATGGTGAAAGTCGACTTTTGTCAATAGTGAGTACCCAGTGCCTGGGGGTTTTCAAGAAGAGTCTGAACACTCAGCCAAGGATGTTGTGAGCAAGGACTTCTATATCGCATGAAATGATGGGTTGACATAATCTCTGTGGCTCTGGATTGAGGCCTTCTTTAATCACAAAAATCTCATAAAGTTAAAACATGGATGAACCTTGAATATATCATGCAAAGTGAAAGAAGCCAGACACAGAAGGCCACGTACTGTGTGGTTCAATTTATACAAAATTTCAGAAATGGGCAAATACATAGAGACAAAAAGTAGATTAGTGGTTGCCAGAGACTGGGAGACAGGGAGATGGAAAGTGATTGCTAATGGGTACGGGGATTGTTTTGGGGTAAGGACATATTCTGGAATTAGATAGTGATGATGGTTGCACAACTTTGTCACTACACAAAAAAACAACAACACTGATTTACATACTTTAAAATATTGAATTTTAAGGTATGTGATTATTTCTCAATTTTTTAAAAAAGGAAAATGTTTTATGAAATGGGTATTATTGTCCCTACTTTATGGATGACAAAACTTGGATGTAGGGAGATTTAAAATCTAGCCATGCTCAGATGGCAAATTACAGAGCAAAAATATCTGTTTACCTTTATTTTTTTCCACTTACAAAACCAAGTTTCCTACTGATATGGTTTGGCTCTGTGTCTCCACCCAAATCTCATCTTGAATTGTAATCCCAATAACCCCTTTTTGTCTAGGGAGGACTTGGTGGGGGGTGATTGGATCATGGGGGTGGTTTGCCCTATGCTGTTCTCATGATAGTGAGTTAGTTCTCATGAGAGCTGATGCTTTAAAAGTGTTTGGCAGTTTTCCCTGTTCTCTTTCTCTTTCCTGCTACCTTGTGAAGAAGGTACTTGCTTCTCCTTCACCTTCCATCATGATTGTAAGTTTCCTGAGGCTTCCCCAGCCACGTGGAACTGCGAGTCAACTAAATCTCTTTCCTTTATAAATTATCCAGTCGTGAGTATTTCTTTACGGCAGTGTGAATTTGGACTAATACACCTAAAAACTGCCTGTCTGGCATTTGATCTCTTATTAGGAAATACCTGCTGCTGAGGACATCCCATAATCTAGCCTGTCCATTTATTTGGTCTGAACCTAAGAATTTTGCTTTCTTTCATGGTTAGAGAGAAGCAGGGAGAATTTTATTTCTTTAATCTAGTTTTTTGATTCTCTACTAAAGAAGGAAACACTTGTGATGAGAAAAGACTGGTTACTAATTAAGATATAACTTTCTAAAAATAGTGTGTGCATGTATACGTGTGTGAGAGTCTGTCTGCTCATGTGTGTTGTTGGGGAACTTCAGCATTTTGGCCTTGTATTTGTTTCCTATTTCTGCCACAGCAAATTACACCTAAAGTAGCAGCTTAAGACAATGTACACTCATTATCTCCTGGTTCTCTTGGGTCAGGTTAGCTGAGTCTTTGGATCAAGTGCTGAAATCAAAGTGCTGGCCAGGGCTGCAGTTTTATCTGAAGCTGTAGGTCTTCTTCCTTTCTTATTGAGGTGGTTGGAAGAATTCAGTTCCTTGTGGTTTCAAGACGGATGCCCCTGTTTTCTTGCGGGCTGTTGGCCAGGAGTTGCTCTCAATCCTGGCGGCCAACCTTGTATCCTAGTCACATGACTGTCTTGCAACATGTGGTTTCTTTTCAGAGCCAGCAGGAGAATCTCTCCCTTTGGTGGGACAAAGTCTTATGTTAAATTATTTGATTTGATTAGGTTACATTATCAGGTGAAGGTGTTGTAATAATCACTCCCATGTTAGCATTACTTTATATATATCATATTCCACAGACCTAGCTTCTCTCAGGAGGAAGAGATTATACTGGGCACATACACTAGGGGGTGGGAGTTTTTAAGGCCTTCTTAGAATTCTGTGTACCACAGGTATTTAGTAGTATTGATTTAAAATTAGGTCAACTTGATTTGGTTCTATTGTTTTATAGAATCCTTTATTTAGAACATTGCACACAGAGAGAGACCATCTATTAAATGTACATAGAAGGCAGGAGAAAGTAATGGCTATAACCTCTAAAATGTTTACCATGTTTTGCACTGTTAACTCAAAAAGCACTTCAACACAGCATCTGTGTCTGACATCCTCACCTGTAGCTGCCACAGGCTTAATGAAGTGACACTTAAGGAGTGGGTGAACAAAAATCTTCATCCAATTTTTGAGCACCAAGCACTGAACTATATTTGTTTTCTAGGGCTTAAACAACCATTTATTGTCTCACAGTTCTGGAGACTGGGAAGTCCAAAATCATGGTGTCAGCAAAACTGGTTCCTTCTGAGGCCTCTCTTCCCAGCTTGTAGATATATGGCTGCCTTCCCTTTGTGTCCTCACATGGCCTTCTCTCTGTGTGTGTCAGTGCCTTAATCTCCTCTTCTTATAAAGACGCCAGTCATATTCAATTGGCACCAACCCTAATGACCTTTTTAATTAATCTAATTATCTCTTTAAAGAGCCTATCTGCAAATGCAGTGGTATTCTGATGCACTGAGGGGATTGGAACTTCAATATAAGGATTTTGGGAGGGACACAGTTCAGCCCATGACACCAATCAAGTGTGAGGCACCCAGAATAGGAATTATTATTCTCATATTATAATGACAAACTTCGGGCATAGATAATGACTCAAGGTCCAATCACTGATATGGGGCCATAGGAACTTTTAAACACAAGCAGCAGAGCTACCTCTTTTGATCTCTTTTAGGTGCGCCAAATTGTGTGGCAGGTTGAAATTTACCTCTCAGACATGAGAAGAAATGCTATTAAGTTGGGACACAATGAAGTCAATCTCAGAAGGCTTTATTAAATCGGTAGCTTTTTGGGGGACATAAATTATCCTTGCTTTCCCTGCTGCATGAGTGCTATTCAAAGACTTTTTGTTTTACCTCATCCTCTTGTTTTATGATGAATTTGTGCGTGAAAAGACTCATTAAGAACATCATTATTCTACATTTATCAGTAATGAACTGTCTGTGGCACCTATTAGCAGCAAAATGGTCTAAGTCCCGTTTTGTATCTGTCTACATTCTTCTTCATTATTTTCTGCTCCACTCTCATCCATTTAAAATGGATTTGGCTGGGTGCAATTTTATCCCCAATTGTTCTTTTATTTGAGAGACAAATATTAATAGAATTCATAATCCTTGAGGAGTCCACTCCAAATGTTCCAATATGAAAATGACTTTTTAATTTTTAATGCTGGTGAGGGGCAGGGACGCTCACCTCCAGAACCTACTGTGTAGCAGACTCTCTGCATTTATTATTACAGTTAATTTTTGGAACTCAGAAATGGGCATTAATGTCCCCATTTTACCAAAGACAGATGGGAGGAACAGAGGGAGAATGCCTCATTTTGGCCATTCATCCTAGTACTAAGTCCACTATATGGGTGTGGGGCTAGGGGGTTAGGGATCAAGACCATTGCCAAAGGTTATGTTGCAGAATAGGTTTTTTTCTGAATTCCACATTCATGCTGATTCCAATATACCCAGACATAGGCTCAAACCTGGAACTTATTAAAATGTGTGAGTACCTCTGCTGACTGCAAGCTCCACAACACCTTTTGCTTAGTTAGCCTAGTTCATTTCTGCTGGTGTTTTATTATGCAAATGTCTTGTTCTGGTTTAGTCTGTCACCTTTTAGGCAAGAAAAGAGATTTTAAAAAAATCTTTCTCACTTCTTTAGTTCCTTTGCAGATTTTTTTTTCTCTTTATCTCCCTCCTCGTAAAATTAAGATTCCTTGGGAGGACATAGAGGGCAGAGATCTTACCAGAGCCCCACCCAGATGCAGAAAGTTATGTAATTTTACATCTAAACCTTCCAGCATCTCCTACTGCACCCAATTGAGAGGTATGCTGTTTCACTTTCTATCATTTGCTCAGAGCCAGGAAACAAAACCTGTGATTAACAAACCAAGTCTTAAATGCGATTTTAAAATATTGACAAACAATCTTATGTATGTCTTTCATGCCTAAACTTCAGAGTGTGAGAATTTTTGTGGGCTTCTGTTGATGCAAAGGATACACTTTGAGGCCCTGAGTCCTGTGGGTCTGAACTTCAGCTTCACCCTCTGGAAATGTTCACTTCGATAAGCAAATGCATTCCGGTATTGTAGGATACAGATATTGTAGAAAACTAATTCAAAGTGACCTAACCAAGAGTCTTCTGCACACTGTACCTACATCTTTTTGTTTTAAATTTATTTTAAATATTCTGTTGCACCTAGATCTATGAACGGTAAAATTATAGTAAATATTTTTGACCAACTTTTCCCATATTGAGATACCTATAGTTATCTACCTATATGTATCTATATTTCTACAAATCATTGTTCAGTCATCTCAACATTTTCCACCAACAAAGGCCTTTGCAACACAAATCTAAAGCTTTCCAAATGGCATATGAAGGAAGCAAAGTGGTTTTCAGGCCCAGAAATGCTGACCAATGAGTCTCCTCCGTTCTGACTATGATTTTAGAGAAGGTGCAGCTTCTCAGACATGAGAAAAACCTTTCTAAAGGAAGTGATTAAAACATACGTAAAGATATACCTTTAAATAAATCAATTTCTTCCACTATTATATGTTCTGTTCACATGCCCTCTTTTTCAACTCTTGGCTAATAGCTAGGTATCAAAGGCCAGATGCCTATTTCCAAATCCTGACTCTGGTAGCTACTAAGTCTTTCCCGGCCTCTCTTTCCTCATCCATAGAATAGGATAATAGTAAGACCTACCTCGGAGTGATATTGTGAGTACAAAGTGTTAACCTCTGAGCTTAGCTTCTAGCAAGCATTTATTCAACATTAGTGCTTGTTGCTATTATTTTGCAGTATACACATCTAAATGCCATAAATATTGATCAGTTGCATGCCTGTCTTTAAGTGGATGTTGCAGATGAAGAATTTCTACTGTTCTAACCTATGTAAAGAAAGCATATATCTCTTGGGTTAGGGATTTGTCAGCCATACAATAACAAGAACAAAGATTCAGAGGGGTGGAGGCTCACTAACAAATTTGATTTTTGGTAGGACACATAAGCAGTTGTGAGATACACGCATATTCAATTTTTCCAGCATGTTCTGTTTCCATGCTCTCCAATCTATATTCTTATTATTATTTGATTTTGCCTGTAAGTCAATGCAAGGGAGACAGTGGCTGGCCATGTGGATTTTAAGCCCCTCAGTCCAGTGAGTGTTGCTTCTTGTTATGGGCCATTTTCTTGCCTCTCTGCCTGTAGGCATTGTGTATATAAATTTAGTCAATGTGAGTCATCCACACAAAGGGTACTTTTTTACTCAGTATTCTAACATAAGTCATATTTCTGAATTTCCAGGACCCAGGGCTCAACTCTGAAACATGGCCCTGACTGGTTAATATATCAGGACTACTAGAGCTTAACTATTCAAAGTGTGTCCTTGGGCCAGCAGCATCAGCATCACTTGGGAACTTAACACACATTAGAATTGCAGAATTTCATGCTCCACTCCAGACCTACTGAATCAGAATCTGTGTTTCACTAAGATCCCTAGGTGATTCATACACACTTGAATGTGGGAAAATTGCTCTACTAGAACATAAGGACTGTCCACATGATCCCAAGTAATCCCATATATGGGTGAGCTTCTGCCTATGGGATAGACATAGAGCAAAGATGTGGAGTGGTGGGAGAATAGGCAGTTGAGGGAGAAGAGTAGAGTGTTGAGTTTCCTGATTTATAGGGAAGGTAGTTGTCAGAACATGATGAAATAAGAAATCCTGGGGTCAAGATTTTGAACGAGTGGTTTGAGCAGACGTTGCTTGCTTCTAGGAAGATTATACAACATGAGGAGAAGGGCACACTGTGATTCAGGTGCAAAGGCATCAATTATTGTGAAAGAAAGACCAGGAAGTTGCTGGGTGGCAGGAATGTGAAGGAGTAGAGGAAGCTATAGTCCACGGGTATAAAGCTTAGTATCTGAGCATTGGTCAGTTTTTGCACTAGATGGTGGTACACTCACTCATCACTGCATTTCCTACAGTGATGGAGCAGCTTGCACACAGTAGGTTCTCAACAAATGTTGGTTGCTTGAATGAAAAACAATAATAGCATCTCTTGGGAATCACCGTATTTAGCATTTCGTATATACTAACTAATCTAATCTTCAATATAACCCCATCAAGAAGTTGTTACTATTGTTCTTTTCTTCTTTCTCTTTTCCTCCTCCTTTTTCTTCATCTCTTTCCCCAATTTCCCCTTCTTTCCTTCCTCCTTTTCCTCCTCCTTATCATCATCATCATCATCATCATCATCTTTTCTGATGGAAAGAGTAGATAACTAATGTACAAAGAGTAACTTCCCTAAAGCCATGTAACTAGTGAGTCTGATTCTGGATCTCACACTCTGAGGAAAGAATAAACAATATGATAGAATTTTTACCCAGGCACACAAATCTAGAGCAAGAAACTGTCTTCTTCCTTGGAGAAATGTGTAAGCACATTCTCATCTCTTCTTCATGGTGCTGTGAACTAGCATGCTGACTAGCTTCTTCAGGTCAAAGCAGTTTTGAAAACCTCCATTACATCACTTGACTCTTTTCATTGCAACAGACTCCTTTGGTGGGAAGAAGTTCACAAGCTGAAGTTGGAGCTGAAGGTGTAAATTGATCTTCCCATTAAAATTTATATGAATATATATATAATTTTCAAAAATGTCCTTTTTTTTTTTTTTTTAAGATTGAGTCTCTCTCTGTTTCCCAGGATGGAGTGCAGTGGTTCGATCTTGGCTCACTGCAACCCCCACCTCCTGGGTTCAGCCTCCCGAATAGCTAGGATTCCAGACATGCACCACAATGCCTGGCTAATTTTTTTTTTTTTTTTTTTTGTATTTTTAGTAGAGATGGGGTTTTACCATGTTGGCCAGGCTGGTCTCGAACTCCTGATCTCAAGTGATCCACTCGCCTTGGACTCCCTAAGTGCTGGGATTACAGGCGTGAACCACCACGCCTGGCCAAAAATGTCCTCTTACAACAAGTGTGGAAAAATAGTCATTCTTTTTTGTCACCTCCTCACTTCAGAGATCACACTGATAAGCCTGGCATTCTTTAGAATGCACGTTTCAGAAATTATGAAGATACATGGATTACAAAAAAGGAGAATTAATGAAGGAAGAAGGAAAATATAGGTACAAGTTTTAGAGTATTGTATCGTGTAAGTATAAACTTTCATCATTTTAATTTATAAGGTAACTTTTACATTTAACCTTCAGGCCTAATTAATTGCACAGCCTGTAGCATTTCACTGTACCCACAGCCACTTCCCTCCTGGCATTCATGTCTTCATGTTGAAATTGTCTCCCATGACCATGTGGGTTTTTTGAGACCAAATGGGGTTTTACTCAGTCCTTTGTTCTCAGAATCTACAGATCCTCCATCCATACCGGTCTGGTCTTTTCTTCAAGTTTTCTTGTATACTGTTTGTCTTTTTCAGGTCTCAGCTCACACTTTTCTGACAATGAGCAAAACCAGAAAAGTGTAGTTCCTAGTGCTGAACTCTCTCTCTCTGATATTGTCCCCCTTGGTCATGACGATTTCCCACTTTGATTTTGTGACTTTTTAATAGGCACCGTAAAGGTTCTGTGAGGTCTTTGATAGCTCTAAGATGTAATGCACTCTGGTACTGGCTTTGGTTTCAGATGTGTGTGTGTGTGTGTATGTGTGTGTGTGTGTGTGTAAGACAGAGACAGAGGGAGAGTGACAGCAAGAGAGAGTGAAAGATTTTCCTGTCTCTCCTTATGTCTTCCAATGTTATCTGAACATAAAATAACATAAAACAAAATAAAGAGCATCTGGACTGTGAGCAACAATGAGTCACCTCCCCTGAGCTGCTGAATTTCCTCAAGACTCTATCATCTCCCTGGCGATGTCCCTTCACCTGTCACTCTCACTAGCTATTCTCTTCTCCAATTTAGCTCCGAGCATTTCCCTGAATGGGAGGATGGTGGTATTTTTAAAGACAACTTTTCCTCTGAACTCCAGTGAAGTGTTATATCATTGGTACAGTACCAATGCGAGGCCCAGGGCCCCTCCTGTCTCAGTTCTCAACTGGCAGTTGTCCAGGGCATGTTCCTGACTACTCTGGAATCTATCTGAACTCTTCCATAGGTGATTTCATCTGGGTCCATAGCTTTAAATGATATCAACAAGCCGATGACTCAACAATTTGTATCTTCAGTCCTGGAAACACCTTTGAACTCCAGAAGTTTCATTTTTCCTTTTGCTTCCCCAACTGTTCATCTGCTAATCTTCTCTCTAAGTAAGTGGCACCACCATCTACCTGGGGGCTCAAGACAAACACCTGGAAGTTATTCTTGACTACATTTCTTTGCAACCCTTCAGGCAGTCCATCGGCAGGTCTTCCTCCAAAATCCATCCTGTATCTATTCATGTTTTTTTAATTAACCACTGACTTACTCTAATCCATAGTAATACTGTCTATTGCCTGGAGTAATAAAACAGCTTCCCAAATTCAATTTTTCCCCCTACAGTTTGCAGCTACAGAGGTATTTTAAAAGCCTCAACCAGATTATATCATCTCTGCCCACTGTTTAACATCCACCTGTGATTTCCGTTTGCACTCAGAATAAAATCTGACCTATATTTCATGGCACTCAGAATGCAACAAGTTCTATTCTACCTCTTTTGCAAAAACTCACATCATCTCCCCTACTCCCTACCCACAGTCACTACCTTTCCTTTACTCTCCATGCCCAGTTCACTTCATGTCCCAAGCATTTGCATTTATTGTCTCTTCGTATAAGTTTATCACCCCCAGTCACTTTTTATCATGTGGCTCACTTTAAAATGTCTTCTATAGTACTTGACATCATCAGAAATGATTTTATTTATTTTTAGCTTGTTCTGTGTCCCCTTCTTTCCACAGGACTATCACTCCATGAGGCCAAATATCTTATTATCTTCATGCTTTAGTCTACTCCCAGAATCCGAAACTTTTAAACTTGACACAAAGTAGATGCTCACAAACATTTATTGAGAACAAATGGCTGAATGAATGAATTTTTACCCTAAGTTTAAGCTATATTCTTACAGGTGTCTCTTTGTTGCTATTAGGAGGGTACATTTTCTTCCTCTTTGTTGACCTCAATGCTCTCATATGCAGTGGGAATTTATGACTAGGTGATCTACAAATTGTTTTACAAGGTTCCAGGCATGAGGAAAGAACTTCTTTTTGTCTGTGTTCCAAAGGGTCCTTTATGTATTGCAGGTGTTCATGGCAACAGTATGACAGATAAGGCATAGCTGCAATGGCGTGATAACCCCAGCTCTCTGGTTTTGTCATTATGTATGGCAGTCTTCATATTCATAGATGGTGGTCTCACGCATCTTACCTGGTTTTGTCCCTGCACTGCCTCTATTTGGTCTAATGTTCATGATTTGGCTTTTGTATCCTGGCATGGCTTCCTAGCTTACTCCACTGGCTTGAACTAGATGCCAAAAGTATCTTATCTCCCAACTCCTGACCATGGCTGATCTTTGGTTCACTCTGCCATCTCATGTGCCATCAGAGATGAGCCATCAGAGGGGATGTCATCAGAGGGCAGCTTAATGGTTAAGAGCTTTGATTTTGAACAGCATCTTTACCACTTACAAGCTGTGTGACATTGGGCAAGTTACTTATCCACTCTCAGCAATAGTTTACCTGTAAGAAGGGACACTATTATAACAGCAACAGTGCTCACATGATGCCTTTGATGGTTACCACTGTGATAATTAAATGAGATAAACCATACAGAAGACAGTTCAGTGCCGGTCCAGAGGACATGTGCCATGAGAGGTACCTATTATTACCATGCAAAACCCCTGTAACTGGATCGCGATCCACCTGGCTCTCTCGCCTTCTAACAAAAACAAAACATAACAACCCTTAGAAAATATCATTGCTGTCCAAAAGGTGTGATCCAAAATCATGATTCTTGGCACATAAAAAACTCAGAATACATGTTGGCTGAGTGAATAAAAATATGAATAACTGCCTCTAGGAAAAGTCCCCTTAATGTTACCTACATCTGTTCCTTGGGAACATATAATAAAATAAAATATTGCCACTGCTTTTGAGGTCAGCAAGGGTTTTCTCAAAACTTAATTTTTCTATTATTCAATTAGTGTTTGCTTTTGCCTCATGCAAAAAAAGAAGTATAACAAAATGTGAAGTGAAAATAAATTCTACAAGTGCACAAGAATATTTTCCTAGTATTAAGGCTTGGATTTACAAAAAAAAAAAAAGTGTGAATTGTAGAAGTAGAACAGGCTTAGACTTGCACTAAGGCTCCATCAGGCCAGCTTTGTGAGCTTGAGCTATGTGTTCCAATCTCTGCCTGCATTTCCCTAACATGAGAATGGGAACAACAATCACTATCCCGGGAGAGTAGTTTGAATTAACAGATATATGTATAAATTCAGAATATTTTATGGCACATTGGATAAATGACTTCCTAGTCTCTGGACTTCACCTTTCTTACCTATAAAGCAGAGATTGTAATGATACCTGATCAGTCAGTCAAGTTGTGTTACAGTCTCATTGCAGTGACTGGGACATGCTAAAACCTCCATAAATATGAGCTCTCCTTCCTCTTCCTTCTCTCATCTGTCTTCCTTTCTCCTCAGCCCTCTTCCTTTTTCTTCTTCTTCTGCATTTGAGACATACATTGATAGAATTTATATAGCAACTACAGCAATAATTGCTTTCAGAAGTATTTATATGAAGGCCCAGAAATTAGATGTCCCACCAAAGAAAGTAAAACCACTCTACATGAACTACATACCATATATCTGTTACATTATATTTTAACCTGTAATCTTATAACAGCTTTATCAGATAAGTAGTTCTAACCCCATTTTTTAAAATGAAGCTAAGACGCTGAGGATGAGCAAGATTAAATAATTTATTCAAGGTTGTAAAGTTAGTAAGTGACAGAGCCAGTTTTCTAATTCAGGCTTGTCACACTCAGATAAAGCAATTTACTTTGCATAGTGTCTTTGAATGTTTTATGACAAATTTAATCTCAATTTATTCCCAAGATACACTTACTCATTTGACAGGGCATCCTTGTCATGCCCCTATGTCTACTAGCAAGTAGAAAAATAATAAATAGGGTGTGGGTGAGAAAATGTTCCTTAGCAAAGGGACTAATATTTTGGAACTGTGTTGCAGAATGAATAATTATGTCCTCTTAAAGTTTATAAATTCATATGTTGAATCTGTAGCCCCCAGTGTGGAGATATTTGGAGATGGGGCCTTTGGGAGGTAATTAGAATTAGATAAGGTCATGAAGATGGAACCCATATGATAGAGTTAGTGCCCTTATAAGAGACACTAGAGAGCTTGCATCTCTCTCTCCCTTCTCTCTTTCTCTTTGTATGTACAAAGAAGAGGTCATTTGAACACAAAATGAGATGGTGGCTGCCTACAAGCTATGAGAAGAGGAGTTAGAACAAAATCTACCTTGCCAGTCACCTGGATTATAGACTTCTCAGTCTCTAATATTGAGACATAAATTTCTATTGTTTAAGCATCCCAGCCTGTGGTATTTTATAATGACAGCCTAAACCAACTAAGACAAACTGTCTAATTGTGCCTTTCAAGAATTCAATACATTTCTCCAAATTTGCCATTTGCAAAGCCTTGTGTGAACATAAATGTCACTCAAAACTATAAGCAGGTAGTCTCAATGACACACTCGTTCTCAAGGGAATAAAGTTGGGCCTCCCAAAAGTTCAAGCCACATGGATTCCTAGCAGCACAGAGTCCCTGGACTGGGAGTGGGCCATATATTTGGGGTAACTGGGATGGCAAGAAGCAGAATGAAGCCAGATCATGAATGCATGAATGATTCTATTTAGAGTTGAGTCTAAAGATGAAGGCTGGTGAAGCTTCATCAGTCATCAGCTATGAGTGGAGTTGAAGCAGACAAAAAAGAAGGTGTGGAAGTGAAATGCAAGATTTGGCAACAATAAAGTTGTCATAATTTCCATAGAGAGAAGAGTTAGCATCCTTTGTACTGAATGTCAGCTACATGAAAGACTGACTGGAGGAGGCACACAGTCAGGGTGACAGTGGTTTTCTGGCTTTGCTTCAAAATCTCCAAGGATTTGAGAATCAAAGCTGTCTAACCCTATGCTCAGCCTAAACACTGGGAACAGAAACTACACTTTATTGCCTGCGTTAACTTGGCTGTGCTGTTCCACTGTCTTCATTACACTGTCTTCATTACATTCATTACTTCATTACATGCTTTACTTTTTTGAGGCTGTCCTGGCCAAGTAGATGGATGGATGGTTCATTACACGAAATTCCTAAAGACCCACTGAGTCTTTAATGGAAAGCAGCAACAGAGAGTTTGTACCCTAGCATCCTTTGAGTCCTTCACCTCAAAATCCTGTCCTTACTATTTCCACTAATCATCTTTATCGTGATTCTTACCCGATATTTATCAAGTCACCACATTGAAAGACCCTCCTTAAACCAAACTTCCACATCTCAATTAATTCTGACCTTACAGACCCCACTCTTAGACACCGCCAAAATTCTGCAAAGATGGCACACTCCTTTATATCAGTAAGCAATAAGCTCGCCTTTGTCTTATTGATGAGTTATATTGATGGTATTTAAAGAGCCCAGTTTTTGACATGTTCCATCAAGGATCCAAGTGGATATAACTCTGGACATCTGAATCCTGCCTCAAGCAGAGAAGCTTGTCTTATATATTTTATATACTGAGCTTCCATGTCACATTTGGTTCATATAAATGTTTCAGATTATAATTTTAAAAAAATTACTGTTGCATTTAAAAGAAAACTGTTCTATGAATGGTTCCATCTGAGTCTGCATATATTTATTCCTTATTGTCTATATTTTTTTGGGAAATCTCAACTTCCCAGATTCTCAGTCTGTTACTCTATGCAATGGGCATGTTCAAGCAGAAATCCTGCAAGACATCTCCTATCTTTTACCTTCTCCTGTTCTGAAATGTCTTTGCATTGATGCTGTCTGTCAAGATGTCCTCTTATGGCATAAAATTCTGTTTCTAAAATGCTAATTTTCCTCACAGCATCCAACGGAATTCAAGGCACATACCAGTTGCTCAATAACCAGCTGTTGGTAATAGTTTGTACAATTGACGTTGGATCCAATTCAATGTCTGGAGTGTTTTATTTTAACTGTCTGATTTGGTAAATCAGTGCCAAGACAATAGTATATCAGAGACAAAGTTGATTCATGGAAGGGAAGGGAACTCACATTTATTGAATGCCCACCAAATGGCAAGCCCAGTGCTAAAGGTTTTGTATGCAGGAGAAATCATCCTCATCATCACCTATTCAAAAAGTTTGAAAACGAATGCCAAGCAAGTTTAAGGAAATTTCCCAGGTTACTCGTACTATATTCAAGACAAGGATTGAAACCAAATGTACCTGGTATCTCAGCACATGCTTGGCAAGGTATGGTGGGAATGATAATTGAGGCTTTATCAAATATGCAAGTTCTTGAGCTTAAAGTCCAGTGATAAGAATTTATAGACTATGGTGGGACCCAGGAATCTATATTTTTAAAATAAACACATGATTTTAAGTCAGGTAGTCGCTGAGAAATAGTTTAACAAAGCTCTTGCTGCTTATATCTTAGTAAGGAAATGTTTTGAGTTCATTCTCACAAAACTACAAAATACAGTTTAATTATCCTCATAGTACAGAGAAGGGAATTGGGATCCACAGGACCCTTGAGAAACACTGATAGTCCATGGATGTGTTTTCTTTTAAACTCAGCGCACTCCAGGTTCTTAAATTAAGGACACTTCCCTAAAAAGTTTCTTGTTTTGCTGGGTACATCCTTCAGTCATTTTTTATGAGAAAAGGCAAGAAAAACAACATTTTTTAATGTCTTGATTGCATGAAATATCCTTAGCTTACCTTCACATTTATCGAATATTTGAGTTGGTATAGAACTCTAGGTTTCAAATATTTTCCTGTCAGAATGTCAAAGGCATTTTTACAGTGTCCTCTGGCTACCAATGTTCCAATCATGAGCCTAATATTTTTCTGATTCTTAATGCTTTGAAATGCTTTGAATATAAACTGTTTTTTTCCCTGTTCCTTTGTTTGTTTACTAGAAGCATTTAGGATTTTCTTTTTTCCTTCCTGAGTTTTTTTTTGAGTCAGAGTCTCACTCTGTTGCCCAGACTGGAGTGCAGTGGTACAATCTCGGTTCACTGTAAACTCCACCTCCCAGGTTCAAGTTATTCTCATGCCTCAGCCTCCTGAGTAGCTGGGATTACAGGTAAGTGCCACCACACTCAGCTAATTTTTGTATTTTTAGTAGAGATAAGGTTTCCCATGTTGGCCAGGCTGGTCTTGAACTCTAGATCTCAGGTGATCCGCCTACCTTGGCCTCCCAAACTTCTGGGATTACAGGCCTGAGCCACTGCCCCTGGCCTTCTTCTTGAGTTTTAATTGCAGTGAAAACTAGTTAGAAGTTAACTAGACTTTTCATGTGGAATGTGTTGTTTTTGTAAGGACAAAATTCAATCTCCTAGACATCTCAAGCTCAGTCCTTACTTCTTGGGTAAAAAATGATTGCCTACATAAACTCCTGGCATAATGTGTATGTTCATGAAATGTTTCTAGTAGATGTTGAACTAATTTCCAGCAAAGACATGATGGCAAATTAATGGGAAAAATAAAATTTTGAACAAATAGTGATAGAAAAACTAGCTAGCTGTGTATAAAAGTAAATGGACCTCAACTCATATCTCATTGTAATCATGACACTTAATTCAAAAAAGATATATACACGTCTGTCTAACATGTAAAACTATATTCTAAAGTTTCTATACGAAAACATAGGAAAATATGCTTACAAATTTGGCAGGTTGGAAAAACTTCTATGTCACAAAAAATACTCATCATAATTAAAAAATTATAAGTTGGACTTAATTAAAATAAAAGACACCATTAAGAAAGTAAAAAGGCAAGTCACAAAATGGAGAAAATGTTTGTAACACACCGATCGGGGAAAGAAAACCTTGTATCTAGATTATACAAAGGATTCATACAGCTCAATAATATATAAACAGCCCAACTTTAATAAATATGGTCGAAAGAAATATAAAAGTCCAAGTAAGACTATGAAAATGTGCTCAACATCATTTGTCATAAAGGGATACAAGTTAAAACTAAAATGAGATACTATTTCACATTCACAAAAATGGCTAAAATTGTAAAATGAAAGACAATACTGAATATTGGTGAGATTATGAAGAACTAGAACTCTTGTATTTCTGTTGAGAATGTTAAATACAACCACTTTTGGGAAAAAAAAGCAACATTTTATAAAGTTAAATGTGCACATACCCTGTGATCCAGCAATTTCACTTCTAGATATTTACCCAAGATAATGACAACATATGTCCACTAAAAGTCCCATATACAAATATTCATAGCAGCTTTATTATCAATAACTTCAAACTGAAAAAAAGTCAAATGTCCATTATTAGGGGAATAAATTATAAGAAATAAAAATGTTAAAAGATAGTATATTCTAATACTGAAATATTACTCAACCATAAAAATGAAACAGTCAATCCATATAATAGCATGGATGGATATTAAAAATATATATATTATATTGAACCAAAAAAGCCACCCCCAAAAGACTAAACAATGTAGTCTTTTGTGTGTATTTATATGAATTGATAGATATCAGAATAGTGTTTTCTGGGGGGTGACTGGAGGAAGAATAAGGAACATATCTGGGGTGGTGGAATGTAATGCTGATTTGAGTTTACTGAATACATTTGCCACAACTTATTGAACTTTGCGACACAGATCTGTGTACTTTTTTGTATGTAAATTGTAACTCAATTAAAAGAATTTAAAAAAGAAAATGGCCAAGCACGGTGGCTTCCGCCTATAATCACAGCACTTTGGGAGTTTGCCAACGTGGGAAGGCTGTTTCAGGTCACGAGTTCAGTGTCAGCCTGGGTCACATAGTGAAACCCTGTCTACAGAAAAACTAAGAAATCAGCCGGGCATGGTGACATGTGCCTGCACTCTCAGACAGTCAGGAGGTTGAGGAAAGAGAATTTCTTGAGCCCAGGAGTTTGAGGCTGCACTGAGTTATAACTGTGCCATCGCACTCCAACCTGGGTGACAGAGCAAGACCCCATCTTGAAAAAATTTAAAAATAAAAATAAAAACAAAATTTGTCTCATGGGATGGGGCTACACTGTGGTTAGAAGTAGATTTCTAGTCTTGTATGTATATGTTATCTTTTTAAAGATTAAAAATACATGGCAATAGGTATGTTTTTTAAGATATTAAGAGAAGATTGTCAAATTAGCCCAAAATAGAAGGAAAAAAAATAAGCAGAAATGAATAAAATAAGAAATGGTTGTGGGAATGGTACTTCAACCAGAAAGCATGGCACATGGCCAGTGCCTTGGGTAGAGGATCTGAGTTGGTATAAAAAAAAATCTGATTACAGCATCACTTTCCTTTATTTTATAAAATGAAGCTATTGATCCCTTCTCATCAGAGTACTGTTAGGATTCAACGACACAACGTAAGTGAAAATTTTTTGTGTGTTTCAAATTTATTTCCTTTATTTATTTTAGCTCTCTCTTCCTTTGCTTTCTTTTTTTTTTCTGAATTTCAACTTCATAATCCTAGGTGTATTTGTTTGGATAGCTTAGGAAACAAATTTGATATTCCTTCCCTTTTTCTGATTTCCTCAAAGCCACCAGCTCTGTACTGCCTCTCTCTTGGGCCCTACCCTTCACATTTTAATTTCCCAGAGTCAAAGACACTTCTCAAATGAAAGAAACCTTCAGCCCAGACCTCCTCGAGCTCTCCCAGGTACCTTACAAGAAGAGTAAGAGCTGACAAAAGATCACAGATCACCCACCAGCACTACATCTCCCTCACAGTGGCCACACCTGTGCCATCTGACTCTGTCCCTTCCCACTGCTGAGTGACCCAGGGCAGAGACAGATGTCCCCATCATGGTTTCTCAGGCCACGTCCCCTGAAATGTCATGAGAGAACACAGACCTTGGAGCTGAGTCACATTAATGATACCATCTTTTCAGAGAGAAGCCCTCTGTCCCCATGGTGAAGTCTCCAATTGAAAACTCATCCTGACTCCTTCCAGCACTTACCTGGACATGCAAGTTCTGTGGCTCATAACCTAAGGAACTGGAACTATTGGGACACCCAAAAGTCTTCTCTGCATTTGAAAAAAATCGGTGTACCTTCCAAATCTCTCAAATTCAGACTCTTTTTTACTTTCCATTTCTTCCCATTCACGATCTGATACCTGGAGAGAGGAGGCAGGGAGCACCTACCAGTCCCTTCCGGTAGGATGCAACGTCCACTCAACCTTGTCGCTCTCTGAAGGTTCTCCTGATCTCACCACATGACAAAATGTGCCCTCCCCCATCTTCCTGAGGCTATTGAGTGGAGATGAAAACATGGAAAACTCTGGGGCCGAAACCCTATAAATATTTGAAGAATAGCTCTCTTTTCATGTCCTGTTTTAAGAATATTTTTCTTTTCATGTTCTTTCCTTCCTTCTAATTAGCTTATTTTCTGTGGAGTGCTGAAAAGCAAGGTCATTCTGTTAACATATATTAAAACACGTCCCTGATGTTTGAAGAATTATTTTCCATAACATCTGTAATTTTCTGACATTCTGGATAATATGATGGAAAAATACAAATAGGAAAAATTCAAGTTAAATGCCTTTTGGAGTTTTTAAAATAGAATTTCATTATATATAAATTTAGACTCAGTACATATTTATTAGATACCTATGCAGGCTATTGTGTTATGCTAATACTGGTTTAATAATAATAATAACTGTTATCATTTAAATGACCTAGGCACTATACTAATTCATTTATTTTATTTAATTTTTAGAGCAATTCCAAAAGGTAGATTTTTTGTTGGGGGTACAGGTTCCCACTCTGTCACCCAGGCTGGACTGCAATGACACCATCACGGCTCAATGCAGCCTCAGCCTCCCAAGCCCAAGCAATCCTCCTACCTCAGCCTCCCAAGTAGCCAGGACCACAGGTGCAGGACATCATGTCCAGCTAATTTTTGCTTTTTTTTGGTAAAGACGTGGTTTTGCCATGTTGCCCAGGCGGTTCTCAAACTTCTGGGTTCAAGAGATCTGCCCACCTTGGCCTCCCAAAGTGCTGGGATTATAGGCATGAGCTACTGCCCCCTGCGGGTAGATACCATAATCTTCATTTTTCAGAAGGGAAAGTGGTTTAGAGAAAGGAAGGTGAGTAATGTGATTTTAGATGGTGTCTAGCAAAAGTAGGGTTTTGAGTCTAGATTTTATTCTAGTTTTAAGCTTTTGATTCTTGTGGCCCATGCCGCTCCCACATACCCTGTCCCTAGGGGATTTCCAAATACCAATCCCAGATTTCTTTTCTCAAAAGTTTTGTTTCACTATGTCCATGATGCAACCAACTAGAGATAGATACTGGAGCACCCCTGCCCACTCCTTCAGGAGTCCTCAAGCAAAGACACAACGACTACAGGAGTTTGTGTAGAAATGACGTAGCTCTCCGGCCCCTCAGGCAGGCTAACTCTGAGGCACGTCTTCTACATTGTTCTGGAATTCTCCAGTAGACACAGTAACAAACGCTTTATTGCCCATTTTGTTTCCATTTCACTTCTTTGTTCCCCTACTTATGTTTGCTACTTGCACCTGTATCCCTGTTGCTGAGTCTCCTTCTGGGCAAACGCAATCTAAGAACCCTGCAGGAAGGCCAGCATCTACTTCCAGGAAGAAAACCTGGAGCCCATGGTGGAGTGAGTGCCTCGGTTTTGGAGAGCTCCAATGACAAGGTAGTCAGTGTAGCGCCTTCGGTTTGCATAATACAATTGATGACTTATTTACAGAAAAGCACAAGTTATAGTGAACTGAGCTAAAATTGAGTGCATTGAGGGCAAGACACAGAAGATGAGATAGGGGCAGGAGAAGCTTGGAGGCATATTATAAAGACACTATGGTTTAAATAGATGGAGAAAAGAAAAGATGTTATAGAACAAGGGGCTCCTGAGAACAAGTGCAGAACAGAGACAGGCATCATTGGCTTGGTCAGCACTCAATCACTTACTAGTATACATTCTTTCATTAATACTAAAATGTTTCAAATTTATAGAGTGGTTTTGTTTTTGTTTTGTCTTTTTGTTGTTGTTGTTGTTTTTTGTTTTTTTTTTTTGACAGAGTCTAGCTCTGTCACTCAGGCTGGAATGCAGTGACATGATCTCTGCTCACTGCAACCTCTGGCTCCCAGGTTCAAACAATTCTCCTGCCTCAGCCTCCCGAGTAGCTGGGACTACAGGTGCACACCACCACGCCTGGCTAATTTTTGTATTTTTCTTAGAGATGGGGTTTCCCCATGTTGGCCAAGCTGGTCTTGAACTCCTGACCTCATGATCCACCCACCTCGGCCTCCCAAACTGTTGGGATTACAGGCATGAGCCACGGCACACAGTAGAGTGTATTTTTTATGCGTCACATCAATCCCACGTTTCAAGCTGATAGCAAATGGGTTACATCATTTGAATTGTGACCTCTGATAAAATATCTTATTTTGCTAAACCTATTAGGTGAATATTTATCATTCTGTCATTTAGTGAGGGAAAATAAGGCTCTTAGAAACAGAGCCAGAGTTTATGCAACCAGTCTGTGAAGCCACCTGGATGCAACACTGAACTACAGTAAAATAACCATAATTTTGAGCTACATGCCAGGAATTGGGGTGAACTCTCATTGCAAATGGTATTTTGTTCCATCTTCCTGGTGATCTTTACTAAGGTATTATCCTTTCAATTTTTCAAAAGAAATGGGAGTCCAGCATGGTTAAGCTATTTATAGAGCTAATAAGTGATGTGTTTCTGAGGGAAAGAGAAAAAAAAAGTATTTGGTGTCAGTTTAACCCTTTTTTTCTTTTGCAGCCCATGAAATTTTGCTTGTAAATTCTGATGCAAAGCAAACCATTTCTATCCTTCTCTCACAGTAGAGATCCTCATTTCTTTGATCAAGTGCCTTCTCCAGACTCATCCCATTCCAACAAGCCCATATGGACTGTTGGCTGTATAGATTCTGCTAAGCTAAGCCCCTGGCCATCTAGAAGCAGGAGATAACCACATTAAGCTTCCCATTATGTCCCTGAGCCTTTTGTTTTGCAATTATAGGAGTGCAGGTTCTGTCTAATACAGATGGGCAGAGGGCCAGGAAAAGACTCTGACCCTTCATTGTTTATGGGAGAATCTGAACTCTGCCAGCACTCAATAAAAGCAAAACATCTGCAATGTACCTGCCACTATCAATCAACGAAGAGCTATTGGTAAGCTGAACAATGACCCTCTGAAGCTATCCATGTTTTACTCCCAGCAGCCTGTGAATACGTTACTTTACATAGGGAAAGGGACTTTGAAGATGTATTTAAGGATCTTGAAACAGAGAAATTATCCTGGATTATCTAGGTAGGCTCAAAGTAATCATAAGAATCTTTATAAGAGGGAGGAAGGAGAAACAAAGTCAGTAAAAAGATGTGATAACAGAAGCAGAGGTTGGAGTGATGGGCTTTAAAGATGGATGGAGCCAATTACTTTTTTTTCCATGAGCCAAGGAAATGAGTAACTTCCAGAGGCTGGAAAAGGCAAGGAAATGGATAATCCTTTAGAGCTTCCAAAAGATGTATGGCCCTAATGACCCATTTTGGACTTCTGACATCCAGAAATATGAGATAATACCTAAATGTATGTTGGTTTAATCCACTTAGTTTGTAATAATTTACTACAGCAGCAATAGGAAATTAATACGCTAGCTAATCATTTCATCTGTGGGCAGTTTCAAGTCAACTATATGTGTTGACTTATAGTATATGTGATTCGGGCCAGGAATTGAGTGCTAAGTACTACGAATCAGGGTTTTAGAATGAGATGTCCTGAATTTGAATCCCAGTAGGGCCACTTACTAGCTATATGATCTTGGGCATATTAATTACACACTATGTGTCTTAAATTACTCATTTGTAGTTCAGAGATCATACCAGTTTTCTTTCTTGGTGTTATGGTGATTGTATAACATAATATATTAAGTTATCTTAGGGCATAGCATTTGCATTATGCATTTTCTTTACTCTCGTTTCATTTGTTTTCCTTCTCTCATGCAGTAAGAAGTATATTTTTGTGGATTACCCTATCAGGAAACAGGAACTTTTATTAAATTTCTTGTTGGCATGACCTCTTTCTTGATAATACCTGAGGAAGTTGTTAGTTTAGTATTTCATAAAGAGAGCAGGGTTAATTGCAAACAATCATACCTTCATGATAAATTGAACCATTTATAAATACCTACAGTAATTATGATCTGACAAATGTATACAACCACCAATTACTTTTTTCCAGGATCCTGATGCTCTGTGCCCATTCTGGCTGGTCTTTCCTTCTAGTGTCTTAACTGATGGGATGATGGTTCACTTCTCTGACTCCAGAGCTGCCCGTGGTCAAAGTTCAGCCCTCATGTATTTTGTGCATTTCTGTGTGGCTGGTGAAAATCCACATGTGTAATTTGCCGACGGTTCCTCATTTCCCCCATACTTTCCTCCTCCTGTGATTGCTTCTCACAGTCCCTGCTTCTGTCTTTTGTGGAAGGAACTTTATTTGCATTCTTAGTTGCAGGAGAGAAAAATGACACCTTTGGGAATCAGGTCTATCTTTAAGACTGTTCCATTCTCAAAAACAGTCTTCTTGCTGCCCTTTCCTGTCTCTGCCTGCAGAGGCACCCTTTTCCTGTCACTTCCTGTGCTCCACTAATACTACTCAGAGTTGAGTTAAATTGTTTTCTGTCTGAGGTTCCCCTGGTAAGCAAGTTTAGGTCCCCTTGATGTGAGTCTCAAAACTGATCACTTTGTCATTCCTGCAAAAAGATTCAGCCTCTGATATTTAGCTTTTATTCATCTGAAAAACATGCATCAATACTTCCCAAATGCATCAAGAATTGTCTTGAGCTAAATCCTGAAAGCAGGCTGAGGAGCATCAGACGTAATTAGCTCCTTCCTGCAGGTCTACCCTTCTCCTTTGCAGGGCTCAGAGCAGGAGAACAAATGCAGGGCTACAAACTATATGGCTAAATATTTAAATATTACACATAAAAAAGCAAACTATTTAAATGTGCTATACCCCACTGCCCTTGCATACCCCTGATACCATGAATTAAAACAAATGAGCTCTTGTCATGAGTGCCAAGCCATTCCTTATTATGAAATGATTTATTTCATTCAAGCCATCTGAAAAGAGAAGATGGGGTAAACTAAGAAATTTGTCTTTTCTCTTCAGTATTTTCTTGCTCAAGTCCTTCCTGGATACTGAAGCAGTACACATGTTTAAAGTCAGTAGTTGGCATAATCCACAAACCTTCAAGAATTTTAGATGTAGGCATCTCTTCTTCAAGAACATAAGGCAGGAGATATGAGAAGAATTTCCTGGGGTTAGAATAGTGTGGATAATAGAAAAAGATGTTTATGGTCAAGGTTGTCCTGTGTCTGCAAGAAGTATCAGATCACAAGTAAAAGAGCCATTCCCGTTTTGTTTAACAAATGTGTGTGTGGTTATGTGTGTGTGTGTGTGTGTGTGTGTGTGTGTGTGTGCTTTACTGGATACTTTAAAGCACAGAGCTCTGGGCAAAAGCCCCTCTTGGTAAGATTTAAGAACCATATTTTCCCAGGTTTTCACTTAAAGTGGCTGGAATGAGCTATAGTCCTTTAAGAGCATGGTGGCAATGTGCTTAAGAGTGAAAACTGCCTGGAGTTACAGAAACTCCCAGGTTTTTGTAATCTAGTTGAACAAAAAAGAATTAGGAATATGAAGTCATTAGCATTACAAGGCATCTCTTGACTGAGTTAAGTGGTAGCAAGGATGATAGCTTTGTTAATAGTGTGGAGTTTCACGCATGGATTGCATTGGAAACACTAAATTTTGTATATGGAAAATATGGGATTGGATTGGAGAAAGAGAACATAAAAATTACAGTGCATAAAACTTCAATAAAAACATCACGCAATATTTTATGTTTTTCTTATCACATGGGATGAGAATCCACATCAAAATTGTCACATTAGTCTCCATCACAGGGTTTATTAATACACAATCTTGAGGCTCTGAGAGTGCTGCAAAGGGAGATGGAGAATAAGGAAGGTTATGCTGGGTCAAGCCCAAAGAGGCAGGAGCAAATTGAACACAGTATTGGGTAGGCATTGAGAGGTTCAGAGAGAACAGAATCAAGCAGCAAGTCACAGGCAAGCACCCAGCTTTCAGTGCTGGGATCATAAGAGCCTGAGACAGGACAGGAACCTTCTGAAATCATCCAAAGATAAGATGAAAGAATAAGAAGTGGAGAAAATGGGAGCGCGTGTGAAGGCAGTTAAATACACCCAGACCCTTGCATAAAAGGATGCCACTCTTACCCTAAGAGCAGATAGGAGAAATGAGTTTAAAGATAAAAAACCACAAAAGTTTAATGTAGCTACTGGGGTTTCTCTCCTGGATTCTACATAACTGAAAGGAAGACAAGGAGTAATGAGTCATATGGAGATCAGTAGATGTCTTTTAATACTGATAGAGCTGAAACGGAAGAAAGTGTCATGGATATCCATTGCCAGGTAGGCTTCCTGATCGTCATCTTCAGTGTTACACATATTCATTCACCCCAGCAAAGACCATGCCAAACCCGTCCACGTGAGGATTAGGACCTGGAGCAGCAGCTTAGAACATGTGGTTCTGACTACCCAGACAAAGGGCTTGGGCTGCATGAACTACTTCCCGAAGGCTGTCATGACAAAGTACCACAAACCTGGTGGCTTAAAACAACAGAAGTTTGTTTTCTCACAGTTGTGGGGTCCAGAAATCAGAGTGGGTAGGGCAGTGGTCCTTCCAAAGCCTCTAGGGTAGAATCTTTCCTTATCTTTCCCAGCTTCTGGTGGGTTCAGGAGTTGCTTAGCTTGTGGCCGCATCACCTCAGTCTCTGCCTCTGCCTTCACGTGGGTCTTCTCCTCACCTTCTCTTTGTCTCATCAAAGATTCTCCTGCCTCTTCTCTTAAAAGGACATCTGTCATTGGTTATAGGGCCCACCTTGAATCCAGGATGATCTTGAGATTCTTAATTACATTGGGCAAATACTCTTTTGCTAAATAAGTTCACATTTATAGGTTCTAAGAATTAGGACTTAGACATATCTTTCTTGGGAACCACTATTCAATCCACAACACTGCATATACCCACGTCTTTTTCCAAAGCTACCACCGAGGTAGGTCCACCCTCTTCTGAAGAATATCCAGGAAGAGGGAGAATGTGAAGGAGGCCAGGGGTCCTACTGAAGAGGTCCATCCTCAGTTGATAAAAACCAACATCATGAATGGGGACAGCTGTTCTCCCTAACAGTGCCATAATAATAACAACCATTCAATGTGCCAGGTACTTTTGTAAGCAGTTTAGAGGTATTAACTCATTTAATCTCCCCATGAACCTGTGAGAAAAGGACTTTTATTATCCCCATTTCAGGTGAGAAAACTGAAGTATAGAATGTTAAACAACTTATCTGAGCTTATGCATAAGTAAATGGTGCAGCTGGAATTAAATGCTGGCAGGCTGGTTGCAGAGGTCAATCTTAGCCCCTGACTTTCCACATCACCTGGTACATTTGCCATCTGTACTATGATGAGACTGGGGTTATCATATAAACCGCTCTGGGAGAACTATGATCAATGGTGCCTTGAACTACAGTAAATGTACAACAGGGAAAAGTTGAGTAAATGATGGTCTTCCCCTCTAATAGGATATTCTGCAGCAACTTTAAAAGTATTTTTGAAGATATTTCATGATAATCTAAAATATTCATAAAATCATGTTAAGAGAAAATGCCAGATTATATGTAATTCAAAAATATATCTTATATCTATAAATATATTCATAGAAAATAAATCAGAAAAAGTATATTAATATGTTAATATTGGTTGTCTCTACATTGGAAACTGTTTCTTCTGTCATTTCTTCTGTATTTTTCAGATTATCTGCAATAAACATATATTGCTTCTATGGAAGTAAAAGCAAGGCTGCTATTAATTGGGGCCAAAGAGAAAGATAAGAAATAATTCAAATTGTTTCCAGGAACTGGTAGATAAAAAACAAAACAAGACAAAGAAAAGGGCCCCATCCTTGGGCCTGTGCAGGAGCATAAAGAGGAGAAGCATTAGGTTCTAAAGAATTTTGATTAGCAAGAGCCAGACAAGAACCTCAGGGGTGGTGGCTGCACGTGCATGGGGTGACATGAGGAAAGGTGCCACAGAGCACACAGAAGACTCCCAGTCGGTTGATTTCCTGTGTTTTCTGGCTGAAACATGGAGCAGGCATCAGAGAGGCCAGAAGGATAGCTCAGCATTTCCTGGGCAATAGTCCAAGCTTAATTTTGCTCACAAGGTTTTTACACGTTCCAAATGAGAACACTGTGGTGGGCCAGCTTCCTACGTCTCCACCTACATCACTCATGGGGGAGCATTTACGCCAGGTCTTCCCTGTGAAACCTGATTCTGTATGCCCAGCACTGAGGAGGCCATCTCCAGATGAAGCAGAAGCCCTGCACCCTACCCTACCCTACCCTACCCTACCCTACCCTACCCTACCCTACCCTACCCTACCCTACCGTACCCTACCGTACCCTACCGTACCCTACCCTCTTTTCTTTTTTGAGACAGAGTCTCGCTCTCTCGCCCAGGCTGGAGTGCAGTGGCGCGATCTCGGCTCATTGCAAGCTCCGCCTCCCGGGTTCACGCCATTCTCCTGCCTCAGCCTCCGGAGTAGCTGGGACTACAGGCGCCCACCACCACGCCCGGCTAATTTTTTGTATTTTTTTTTTCTTTGAGACGGAGTCTCGCTCTGTCGCCCAGGCCGGAGTGCAGTGGCGCATGCCCGGCTAATTTTTTGTATTTTTTAGTGGAGACGGGGTTTCACCGTGTTAGCCAGGATGGTCTCTATCTCCTGACCTCGTGATCCGCCCGCGTCGGCCTCCCAAAGTGCTGGGATTACAGGCGTGAGCCACTGCGCCAGGCCGGCAGAAGCCTGATCTAAACTTTAAGGCTGGGTCCAGGCAGTTTTCACTCTAAAGCACATTGCCACCATGCTCTTAAAGGACTGTAGCTCACTCCAGCCACTTGAAGGGAAAAAGAAGTGGTAAAGATACACACAAAGACCAGAGCCGGTCCTGGATCTAGAAGGCCAAGTGGTGTTCAGGAGCTAAGGCTGTCCAGGAACTAGCTAAGCTCTCTTTGTCTTTTCCTGCCTTCATGGTTTCATTCACCTGCTCAGGATGACTCCATTTCACATTTCACATCTACTTCAACTTCCTTTTTCTACCAGCTGGCTTTTTGCACTGTTTAATTCGTCTATTTTATAGGCTATGCTTCACTTTGGCTCACTTGAGACCCAGCATGACTCTCTCACCTCTCACTGTGCTATGGCTTTGAGCAGCAGCTTCCTCTGTTAGCGCCGCTTTTGGTCAATGACTCTGAATTCCAGAGAGAGAAACGATTTGATTGGTCAGGCTGGTTTTCCCTGTGAATGGAAGATGACAGGGCATTGGCTGGCTCCAGGATTTGCTGCCTTAGTCAATCAAGCATGTCTCTTGGCGTTGTCCACTTCTTCAGGTCCTATGGGAGAGGAATTTCTTTACAAAGATGGTGTTAGGCCAGGCACAGTGGCTCACGCCTATAATCCCAGCACTCAGGGAGGCTGAGGCAGGCAGATCACCAGATCAGGAGTTCGAGACCAGCCTGGCCAACATAGTGAAACCCTGTCTCTACTAAAAATACAAAAATTAGCCGGGTGTGATGGCGTGTGCCTGTAGTCTCAGCTACTCGGGAGGCTGAGGCAGGAGAATCACTTGAATCCTGGTGGCGGAGGTTGCAGTGAGTCAAGATGGCACCAATGCACTCTCAGCTTGGGTGACAGAGAGAGACTCTGTCTAAAAAAAAAAAAAAAAAAGAAAAAAGAAAAAGAAAATATGGTGTTGGTGGCATGCCAGGCACTGTGATCAATGGGTCTTCTATATTGTTTATGCAGAAAAGACCACTTTTTTAATGAAAGCGCATTGACACGGCAGGCAGTTACAGCTAAATGAATTTTTAGGTCAGCAATCTAACATGGATCTTTGGACCAATTTATCTGGGAGGGGAAGCCTGTCACCAATGGGCAGTTTATTTCAAAATATGAGAAGAGGGCTCAAAGAAGTCAGAAAAAGAATCTTATTTTTGTTCCTTTAGGTTATAGCATAAAGAGAAATGGTCAGGAATTTAATCATGGTTACTTCCCCTTCTAGGACTACACATTTATTTTCGTAAAGTATATGAAATATAGTTTTTACTCTGGTAAGTGATTTTGAAGTGTTGTCTTGGGGGAACCACTAAAGAAAATATACTTTGACCTTATCTTAGCTTGGTGCATCTCTCCACTGATTATCAAGTTGTGGCTCCAGAAATTTCAGACAGAGTTGGCCTAATTGGGGATACTGCGCATGAAAATGAATTGCACAGCTGGGACCCTCAAAACTGCCTTGGCTAATTAACAGGAAGTAGCTTTGAACTATTTGCTGTATTGGGCATTGTGGTAGTTACTAAATGATTGGATCAAGTCCAAACCAGCTAGAAGGACCCAAGAGTTTGAGGACATGTTTCCCAGATACTATGAAGAGACAGAGGACAGAGGCTCTTGCTATTCCAAGCATAGAAAACTTTCTTTTCTTTACTTTTATTTTTTGGTAGTAGCACATGTGCAATCCTGTGGGGTGGGCAGGGCATTTAAAAAAAAACAAACATTTATTTTTGGGAAGACCACTTGGATTATATATTCTTGACTTCAGCTAAGAAAGATTGGATAAAACATTAAACACGTTGAAGATATAAAGTCTTTTGTTTTCCTCTCATCCTCTTTTTGTCTATCTCTTGTCTCTTTTTAAATTCTAGGCTTGGATTATAGTTCTCATTGTGCCATTTCTTGGCTTGTCAATTGGCTTCTGTAAATCTTCATTTTTTTTCATCTATAGGTCTATTCACACCCACCATTTCTATTTCTATTACTGTTTCAAATGACAATGTAAGCTTCTCAGTATGCTTTTTTTCCAGACATTCCAGTTACCCACTGTTATGTAACAAAATGCTCCAAAACTTAGTGGTTTAAAACAACAATTTAGTGCGGCCCCCTGTTGTCCTGTGGACAATTAGGCTTAGGTGAACTCTTCTTGCTTGAATTGTCTCAGGCAGTTGAAAACAGATGACAGCTAGGACTGGAGATTGACATTTGGGCTGAGATACCTGGGGGCTGGTCAAGTTTATCTCCTTCCGCGTGACCTCTCCACATGCCTAGTTTAAGCTTCTTTACAGCATGGAGGTTTCAAGATAGCAGACTTCTAACATAGCAGTAGGCTTCTCCCAGGCTGAATACTCCAAGAGATGCAGGAAGATGCTGCAGGATTTCTTGTCATAGTCTCAGAAGTTCTGAAATGTCACTTCTGCCATGCTCTATTGAGAAAGTCACAAAGGCCCATCTGGAATGGAGGTGAAAATAGTTAGACTCCACTTTGGTGTCAGTTGCAACATACATCTATAGGGAGGGAAGAAATTGATGACACCGTCTTTGGAGACTGTCAACCGTACCTGTTCTACATTTCTCCTAATTTCCGCTCCATCTGTTTATCCTTCCATCCATTTATCCATCTATCCATCCACTCATCCATTTGTCTGCCCATCAGTACTTTCATTCATCTACCCATCCATCTGTCTACCCACACAGCCATCCACCCATCTATCCATCCTTCTATCCATTCATTCATTAAACAACTACTCAAAGACTGCTATGAGCCAATCATTATTCTGGGTGCTACTGATACATTGCTGAAAAGAGCCTCATGAGGATAATAAATTAGTAGGGGAGACAGGGAGGCTAACAAATATGTAAGTATACAGTTTCAAACTGTGATAATTGTAATTAATCACACCAAGCTTATGACTGAAAAACGAATTGTTCAATTACTAGTAGGTCCCAAAAGTTCTCTTTGAGAGAATGTCACTGAAAATGAATGATAATTGGTCAGGAGAGGATGGGAAAAGACCCTTTCATGCAGTTAGAGAAGCATGAAACAAATTTGTCTTTGCTCAGTTGTAACAACATGAGTGAGACTTTCCCTGAACAATCTTCTAAAAATATAATCATTACCTCTTCTTAGGTTCCCTATTCCCTTTCTCTTCTTGCTCTTTCACTGTGACATTTAACACATCTGAAATATCAAGTTCTCTATTTACTTCTGGGTTTGTTTATTATATGTCATACCCACTAAAATGTAAGTTTCTTGAAAATGGAGATATTTGTTAAATAAATGCATGAATTGTGTTCAGCCTTTCTAATAATATTTTATTGTATTTATACTGTATTTTATAAACTACTTTTAGATCTAATATTCTATTTAGTGTGTATCAAGAGCATTGGATGGATGTTGAGGAAACCTATATTCTATATTTCATCCTGCCACTAACCTCCTGCTTGACTCTGAACAAATTGCATGGTGGCCTTCTGTCAGTTTCCTCATACCTAGAACAAGGATGTTGACTTCTGTTTGCTTCTATTATTCTAAGGATCCATAATTTCTTTTCATTTTTGTACAGTGAAATAATTAGAGAAGGACCCAAGACTTAAATCAATTGACCTTATTCACATAAGAGAAGGCCAGAGGGGAAAAGAAAGAAAAGATTCTTACAGGCAGCAGGGCTCACAAGGCATGTTCTGTGGGTGAACTTGTATTTTCTTCATAAGGAGAGAAAAACAAGAAACAAAACAAAACAAAACAAAAACTTCTTCCTCCAGGACTTGGGTACTAACACAAAAGATTCAACAAACAGTTTTTGTTTTCTGTGCCAATAAAATTTTATATGAAAGACAGGAGGTACAAAAACAAAGATCAGATTCATCTGATCTTTTTAAAAATTTTTTAATTTAATTTAAGTTTCAGGACATGTGTGCAGGACGTGCAGGTTTGTTACATAGGTGAACGTGTACCATGGTGGTTTGCTGTACCTGTCAACCCATCACCTAGGATTAAGCCCCGCATGCATTACTTATTTATCCTGATGTGCTCCCTCTCCATGCCCTACCGACAGGCCCCAGTTTGTGTTGTTCCCCTTCTTGCATGTCCAAGTGTTCTCACTGTTCAGCTCCCACTTGTAAGTGAGAACATGTGGTGTTCAACAAATGCTTTTTAAAGCTAACCAGTATGTGGTCTGGCCTGTGATGATCTGGCTTAGTTATCCATGCAGAAATGATTTCTATGAGGGGTTTGGAGAAGAAAAAAAGTCAGGAAATTTAGCCTAGTAGACAGGAAAAGCCATCGCAGCAGGTCACTTCTGTTGCCACCATCGAGGCAGCTTAACCAGGTGGCCATGGCATGAGCAGCATGGTGGAGGGGTCCCATCAGTGAGTAACACAGAAATGGAGCCCTTTACCTCTGTAAGTGTGTTCTGCAGGTAGGCACAGCAACAGTAGGACTAAGGCACAAGGAGGGTTTCTGGAAGGTGAGAAGGTCTCATACCAGATGGGGAGGAGCACCAGGAGCCATTTCAAACTGAACTACAAGTCCAAAGACAGCTGGTGAGTCACCCCCAGGGAATCAAGTGTGATTGTTACTTAGAACCAAGCGGATGGCCTGGAAAATAGGAAACCCTTGTTCTTAGGCATAAACGTGCACATATATTCTGATAGCTAGGAGAAAAAAAAAACTAAAAAATATTTGCAAGACCCTCTTCAGGATTGAAGCATTGAAGATCTCTCTTAACAGGTAAATATTATACCTGAGTCCCCACAGAAGCACATCCTAAGACAAATATTCAAGTGTAAATTTTTACCTAGGGTTAATCCTAGGTGACACTGATAGAAGGGTAGGGAAGCAAGATAGGGAAGAATGAAAACGTGGTATCAGAGGGATAGTATTAAAAAGTCACCACTGGGGCAACTGGAGCTCATCCCTCTGAAAAACTCAGGAAAATAAAAATAGAATGTATGCTTCAGAGTCTTCCTAGAAAAATTGAGGGGGCTGTGTGTTCATACACCAGTTCTTTCCAATTACTCACTGGGGTTTGCTCTCAGGGAGAAGATGGCACACAAATATGTGGCATTTTCAGATCATTGTATGTACAGACAGTGTGGGTCTTGGAAGACAGAGAGGAAGCCTCAGGGAAAAGGATGCAGGTGCTGACAGTCAAAATAGTACAGAATTGACTGGAATGGTAAGGATCAAGGAAATATGGGCAACACTTGACTTGGTACAAGCCAGTACCAGTCATTAATGTCATCTATAGAATCAATTAACAAAATGGAAAAAAACCCATATATCCCATATATATATATATATATATATATATATATATATATATATATATATATATATGTTTTGTGTGAGTGTGTTTGGAGAAGGAAAAATATCAGGAAATTTAACTTAGGAGATAAAATAATCCATCCCTAAAAGGCGTGTGTGTGTTTGTGTGTCTGTGTGTGTGTGTGTGTGTGTGTGTGTGTGTATGTTTTCTTTTCCTATCAGGAATATGAGGGGATGGCAGATGGGATAGAGACACATTGTTAAGCAGAAGAAAGTACCGTGAAGTTACTGTGATCTCAGGGCAGAACAGAAACTGCAATGCTAAATCAGAATTAGAGAGAGGCTGGGTGCAGTGGCTCATGCCTGTAATCCCAGCACTTTGTGCAGCTGAGGTGGGGTGGGGATCCCTTGAGCCCAGGAGTTCAAGACCAGTCTGGGCAACATAGTAAGACCTTGTCTCTATAAGAAATTAGCCATGTGTGATGGCACATGCGGTCCTAGCTACTCTGGAGGCTGAGGTGGGAAGATCACTGGAGCCCAGGAGGTTGAGGCTACAGTGAGCCATGATCATGCCATTGCCCTCCAGTCTGGGTGACAGAATGAGACCCTGTCTCAAAAAATAAAAGTAAAAAAAGTACAGTGAGAAAAGCCAACCAACCTCATGCTCTGCACCTCTAGTAACTGGTATCATAAAGTGTTTACTAAGCTTATGTCTCGCAAACTCTTTATATCACAGGGTTTAAGAGTACTCGTAGCTCAAAGAAAGGTAATACTTGTAGAAACCTGGGAACAGAAGTGGTGGTAGGAAGGGCCTCTTTTATCCCAGAGCCAGAACACAGCTCTTTAAACCTAGGTTCACTCTAGAGATCCCAGCAGTGGGGTGCCCAGATCCTGACTCAAGTACTCTGCAATTACATTACTAGGTGTCCCATCCTTCTAGCCCTGAAAAAGTACACGTTTATATTTATTCTTGGCCAATTTCCAATCTTGATCCAAAAGGATAAGCAAAAATGGTGCAAATCCTCTCCGAGACATTATAGAGTCTCAGTGAGTCCCAAGCAATCAATACAAATAAAACAACACCAAGGCATATCATTGCCAAATGGCCAAAAGCCAAGATAAAGTGAAATTTCTACAATTAACTAGAGGAGAAAAGGGCATGTCAAAAGCAGGAAACAACAATAGTAATTATGGTTAATTTTTCATCAGAAACAATGTGAGGCAGAAGACAGGGGAATGGCAACTTTAAAGTGCTAAGAGGGAGGAAAAAAGTTTCATACTACGATTCTATATCATGAAAAAGCATCTACTTAAGAAAAGGTAAAAAAGACAATTTTTGAATCAACTAATAATGAGAGAATTCAATAACAGCAGACTTTCACTATAAGAAATGCCAAAGGACATTTGTATTGGAGGTTCTAGCCTGGACAACAGGGCAAGAAAATGTGAAGATGAAACACATAAAAACTGGGATTAATAAAAACAAAGCTGTATTTAGATGATCTGATTTTGCACTTACAAAATTCAATGGATTCAACTCAATTTCAATGAAAAATCCCATGTGATTTTTGTAAAATCTGACAAGATGACATTAAAATTTATTTGAAAAAGAAGAACCAGGTAGGAGAACTTATATTACCTTATTGCAAGATACACTACAACTACTACTTACAAGAATTAAGACTGTGTGTTATTAACATAAACACAGGCAAATAAATTAATAGATTATAACAGAGAACACATAAGTAAACCAGATAAAGGCTTTAGATATATACTTTCAAGTGGTCTTTCATTGAGGTGTTGATATGATTTGGCTGTGTCCCCACCCAAATCTCACCTTGAATTGTAATCATCCCCACATGTCAAGGGTGGGGCCAGGTGAAGATAATGGAATAATGGGGGTGATTTCTCCCATACAGTTCTCATGGTAGTGAATAAGTCTCACTAGATCTGATAGTTTTATAATTGGGAGTTCCCTGCCCAAGCTCTCTTGCCTGCTGTCATGTAAGATGTGACTTTGCTCCTCATTCACCTTCTGCCATGATTGTCAGGCCTCCCCAGCCATGTAGAACTGTGAGTCAATTAAACCTCTTTCCTTTATGAATTACCCAGTCTTGGGTATATCTTTATTAGCAGCGTGAGAACAGATTAATACAAGTGTCATAGCAATTCAGTGGGTAATGTAACAGTGTTTTCAATAATAATGCCAAAAAACTTGTATATCTGTATTTTACAAATTAAAAAAAAGAAGTTTTAAACCATACCTCACCTCATACAAATAACTCAAGATAGATTGCAATGCTAAATGTAAAAGCTAATAGTGTAAAAGTTTTAGAAGAAGATACAGAAAATATATTTGTGTCCTTGGTATGAGCAAAGTTTTCTTAGAATTCAAAAAACAATACCCACTAAAGAAATAAAAATGAAATGAAAAACTTGATTTTATAAAAAATGAAAACTTCATATGGTTATTGGCTGCTTGTATGTCTTCTTTTGAAAGTATCTGTTCAGGTCCTTTGCTCACTTTATAAAGGGGTTGTTTTTCCTTGTTAATTTGTTTAAGTTTCTTATAGATGCTGGATATTAGACCTTTGTCAGATGCATAGTTTGCAAAAACATGGAATCAACCTGCATACCCATCAGTGATAGACTGGATAAAGAAAATGTGGTACATATACGCCATGGAATACTATGCAGCCATAAAAACAGAGTGAGATCATGTCCTTTGCAGGGACATGGATGCAGCTTGAGGCTATTATCCTTAGCAAACTAATGCAGGAACAGAAAACCAAATGCTACATGTTCTCGCTTATAAGTGGGAGTGAAATTATGAGAACACATGGACAGAAAAAGGGGAATACCACACACTGGGGCCTATCAGAAGGGCCTCTTTTATTCCAGAGCCAGAACACAGCTCTTTAAACCTAGGTTCACTCTAGAGATCTCAGCAGTGGGGTGCCCAGATCCTGACTCAGGTACTCTGCAATTACATGACTAGGTATCCCATCCTTCTACCCCTGAAAAAGTACATGTATTTATATTTATTCTTGTCCCAATTTCCAATCTTGATCCAAAGGGGTAGGCAAAAATGGTGGAGGTTGGGAGGAGAGAGAGGATCAGGAAAAATAACTAATGGGTTATTACTAATGGGGTTAATACCTAAGTGACAAAATAATCTGTACAACAAACCCCCATGACACAAGTTTACCTATGTAACAAGCCTGCACATGTATTTCTAAACTTAAAATAAAAGTTATAGAAAAGAAAACTTCAGCTCATCAAATGTTAACTTTGAAGAGATAAGTCACAGATTGGAAGAAATAATTTATAATTGTATATCTGACAATAAACCTGTTTCCTTAATATGCAAAGAACACTTACAGCTCAATAATAAAAAAATAAAAAATAATTTAAAAGTAGTGAGCAAAAGACTTGGGTAGCTACTTCACAAAAGAGGATATATGAATGTTTAATAAGAACATGAACAGATATTCATCAAGGTTAGATAGTAGAGAAATATAAATTGCAGTCACAGTGAAATATCATTATACACCAACTGGAATGGCTCAAATTTAAACGATTTAGAATATCAAATTTTGGAGAGACTGCAAAAGGACTGCAACTGTGATACACTGTGAGTGGGAATGTAAAACAGCAACTTTGGAAAACTGTATGCCAATTTCTTGTAATGTTAAGTGTACATTTTATAATCATCCATTTCTCTCCTAGATATTTAACACAAAGAAATGGAAACATCTGTTTATAAGCAAGAACTTTACGAGAATATTGATTGCATTCTTATTTGAAATAGTGAAAAAATCCAAATGTCCATTAACAAAGGAATGAATAAACATAAATATGTCAATGAATATAACACAGATGAATGACAAAAATATCAGACACAAGGATCATACTGTACGCTTCCTCTGATATGAAATTTAAGAACAGGTAAAACTCATCTATAGTAATAGAAATGAAGAAAGCAATAGCCTCTGGAGGTGGGCTGGGAGTAAGGTGCCAGGTGGCAGGTGGATTTGACTGGAAATGCAGAAAAAATTACAGAACTGTCTGTGGCAATGAAAACTTTAAATATCTTCATTGTGATTGTGGTTATAGGAGTGTATGCATTTGTTAAAATGCACCAAATTGTACACTTTAATACTGACAGTATTAATACTCAGTTACATAAAATAGGTTATATTAAAATAAAATTAAGTTAAAAATCAAGCAAGTACACAAAAGAAAGAAAAACGAGAGGCCATATTCAATGACACTAGCATGAGCATGCATTTAGAAAATTTCACTTGCCCATCGAAAGAGATGCTAAGATTATGGCTCACTTTCCCAAATTACTTATACAGGCCTATGAACTAAATAAGACATTGAGGGGTTTCAACCAAAAGATGCATCATATTCTTGCTGGTAACCAAAAGCTATGTAAAGTGCCTTTCAGAATAGATTTCAGGAAAAGACATAAGAAAGAGCAATTTCCCTGTGGCGGTGAGCAACAGCCACTCACTCGGGTTTCCCTCCTCCGATTTTCCTGCAGAAGACCACGTTGAGAAGTGCCTGGTAGGAACAGGCTGAGAATGTTAAAAGTTGAAATGCAGCATGCCTCATCACTCATTCTCTTTCAGCAGCATTGGTGGCAATGCAGAACTCCTAGTTCAGAGGGGGCTAGGCATGGGAAGATGTGGCAGCCACCATCTGGGTGGACTCACAGGGAAACAACCTCAGATCTTTGCTTGTCAGAAGCAAATATCTTTGGACTTGGTGTTAAAATGGGGCAAATATGGATGCCTATTTCTTCAGCGTTGCTGAACCTTGGTGCCATGTGCCCCAGTTGGAGCCACTGACAGTCCTTAAAAGCTGTTTTATTCCCTCCATGTGTGCTGGGGAAATGCACCTTTACTGGATTTCAGGTAAATCATCCATTTTCCCCAGCTGGCTCCTCTGCAGCCTTTTAGGGCTTGGTCTTCTCTGATGGTATCATCAGAAGCTCTATGTTTGTTCACCCACTGGTAGTGGCACAGATCTCAGAAGGTTTTGATAGAGCAGAGACAGATTTGAGTGTCACCACCATTCCCCATTCTGTTTTCTCAAAAATGTCCCTGACTGTGAAAAGATGGGCCATGTCAAGGATGAATGCATATGAGAAAGAGCAAGTCTTCAGGAAGAAGTGCATCTGATTCTAAAACCTCGTTCTGCTGTTAAGTTGAGCCAGAAGTAGAATCAATTGAGCCTCAATTTCCACCACTGTGCAATGAGCATACCAATGCCTACTTTATAAGGTTGTGGTAATTTAATTTAATTATATTTAAATGAGAGAGAGAGAACCAGCTCAAACGATGATTTCTGGCATACTGTTGGTGTTCTATCCACCTTAGCTCCTACTGTGCTGTCTAGCTTTCTCGGCAGAAAAATTCATCAATGGTAATCTAAGTAACTGAATAGATTCATTTGCTTTCAAGAATGCTTCTCCATCCTTTCAGCATGCAAGTTCTTATACTCACTCATTTACCCACAATTCGGTTTTGTATTTATTTTTTTCTAGCTTTATTGAGGTATAATTTGTATACAAAAAACTGGCACTTAAAAATTTGTTAAGAGGGTAAATTTCAGTCCTTTAATTGACTCATGTTACGTATTCCCATGCTGTTTACTTTACACTAGCCAAAACAAACAACAAAAATTCTTCTTTATGGAGACTGCTTAGAGAGCATGATTCTCATTATTGAAACTTACATTCATGTGTAATTTTAAAATTCTCAAGTTGCTGTGTGCCATGGTCTGAAAATCTGTGTCCCTCCAAAATTCATAAGTTGAAATACTAACTCCTGAAATGATGATATTAGGACATGGGGCCTCTGGGAGGTGATTAGGTGATGAGGGTGAAGCACTCATAAATGGGATTTGTGTCTTTAAAAAAGAGACCCCAGAGAGCCACTCTGCTCCTTCCACCACGTGGGGCCCAATGAGAAGGTGCCATCTATGAGCCAGGAGATGGGCTTACACCAGACTGAAACTCCAGGTGTATTCGTCAACTTTTGTGTTACTATAAAGGAATACCGAGACTGGGTAATTGATAAAGAAAAGAGGTTTAATTGGCTCACAGTTCTGCAGGCTGTACAGGAAGTGTGGTGCTGGCATCTGCTTCTGGTGAGGGCCTCAGTAAGCTTCCAGTCATGGTGAGAAGTGCAGGGAGAGCCAGTGTATCCCATGGCAAGAGTGGGAGCAAGAGAGAGACGGGAGTTCCCCGACTTTTAAACAACTAGGTGTCATGTGAACTAACTGAGTGAGACCTCACTTATTACAAAGGGGATGGTGCTATGGTTTATATAATAATGGTTTATTCATGAGGGATCTGCCCACAGGATCCAATGACCTCCTACCAGGCTCCACTTCCAACACTGAGGATTGCATTTCAACATGAGATTTGATGGGGACAAACACCCAAACTATATCAGCCAGTGCATGATCTTGGACTTTCCAGGATCTAGAACTATGAGAAATACATATTTATTGTTCATAAACCACCTAGTTTACGATATTTTTGTTAATAGCAAGCTGAATGGATTAAGACACCTTCATATTGGCGCATATGAATTCAATGATCTTATAATTTTATTGAACAAATTAGGTCATTTTTGAGAATAAAAAGGCATAATAATTAAGCAGAGGCATCAAACAAACTAGCATTGTTCTAGGCCTACTGAACATATGATCACCCTAACATGAGTCTGAAGCCTCTTTGGGACAATCATCAATCTTCCTTATGAGATGACAAAATTGAGGGTCAGGAAGGCGACATATTTTGCTCAAGATTATCTAATTAGTAAGTGGCAGGGTCAGAATTTAAATGCAGATGACCTGAATCCAAAACTTGTAATTTTTCTAGAATAATAAAAAAAATTTGAGAGTCATGGGAATGTCTGCATTCTTTGTTTTGTTGGAATTTTGCTGTATTAACTATTACATTGGCTAGAATTCAAATACTTTTTCATGTATAGCTTTTTGGCATGGACTTCACTGTAGTCAGACTTAAGAAGCACTATAACTATCTTTGCCCACTGGGGTACTATTAAGTACTCTATGGCATTATGGAAATTCAAATTTCCCTAGCTAGACGTAATCTTTGCTAGTGCATTGAAATATAATCTCATAGCCTGATACTTAAGGCCCATCATTATTAGAACAGAACTCTTTCCTCTCTATGATTTAAAAGAGAGGAGAACATCAGCTGTTCTCCTTCAGGGGCATAGGTGTGGGAGGGGATATTTCTGGCCTCTCTCTTTTCATTGTCTTCCTCACACTTTATCCAATGAGTTAATAAACCTGGACAAAGCCAGAGCCTGCCTTCCAGAAGTAGGTCAGTGTTCCTGAGCAGGGTACCCATCCTGATGGCCCTATGGCCTCTGCATGCATGATTCAGCAGCCAGGGCCAGGCCTCCAAATTCCAGGGGTATCAGGGACAAGAAAAATGCACTTGTTCCTTTCATTGTAGTGTTCACCAGAGGCCTCTGAATTGGAAGTCATAGACGGCTTGCAAAAATTGATAGGATTGGTACTTCGTTCCCATTTGGCTAACTTCCATGCACATTGGCTTTATAGGCCAGAAGCACGGAGAGGAGGAAGAACAAAGGGATTGGTGCCTGAAAGCCTGTTGAGCCCCACCAATATATTCATCAGTGCATTTTTTTTTTTTGGCCATCAAGCCCATAAAATAACTTGTCCTACTGAAGCATAGCATGAATTTTATGATCCCATAACTTTGCAGCTTCTTGTCCTGAAATGGCTATACATGCCACTAAGGCCAGTGTATTAGTTTTCAGTTCTGCCAAAACAAAGTATCACAAACTGGGTGTCTTATAACAATAGAAATTTATTCTCTCATAGTTCTGGAGACAAGAAGTGTGCAATCAAGTTGGTGGCCGAGCTATGTTACCTGTGAAGGCTCTAGGAGAGGATCCTGGCTTGCCTCTTGCTAGCTTCTCACAGTTGCAGATAATCCATGGTGCTCCTTGGTTTGTAGATGCATCACTCCAATCTCTGCCTCTGTTTTCACAAGGTGACCTCCCTTGTATCCTAATAAGGACAGAAAACATTGGATTAGGGTCCACCTTAATCCAGTAGGAACCCAACCTAGGTTGGTTATGTCTATATAGACCCTATTTCCTGATAAGGTCACTCACAGCTACTGGGAATTAGGGCGTTAATGTATCTTCTTAGGCGACATAAATTAACCCGACACAGCCAGGATCCCTAGTTGTATTATCAGATCCGAACTTTTCTCACCTTTCCAAGAACATCACTGTAACTATTCTTCCCTCTCTTCCAGCATCATTAGCTCTCCTCTCCCTCTACAAGTCCTTCTTAATCAGGGTACAACATGTGGGGATGTTTTTGCATATTGAAACAAAACGAACACACACACAAAACTCTCTTGACCTCTGAAAGGTATTAGGGTTCTCAAGAGAAGCAGAATTGATAGGACGTAGATAGATTTGAGAGAGAGAGAGAGAGAGAGAGAGAGAGAGAGAGAGAGATCTATAGATGGAGATTAATTGCAAGGACTTGTCTCATGTAATCATGGAGGCTGACAAGTCCCAAAATTTGCAGGATGGTTTGGCAAGCTGATGACCCAGGAGAGCTGATAGTGTAATTCTAGTTCAGTGTGCTTGAGACCCAGGAAGAGCCAGTGTTCCAGTTTGTATCCAAAGACAGGGAAAACAAACGTCTATGTCCTACTTTGAATGCTGTCAGGCAGAAACAATTCTCTATTACTTGGGGGAGGATCAGTCTTTTCATTATATCAAGGCCTTCACCTGATTGGATGAGACCCTCCCACATAGGGAAAAATAATCTGCTATATTCAGCCTACTGATTTAAATGTTAGTCTCATGGTAAAAATAACTTTGCAGAAACAACTAGGATAATTTTTGACCAAATATCTGAGCACCTTATGACCCAATGAAATTGACACATAAAATTAACCATCGCAATCTCCCTTTCCTCTTCACCATTTTTCTTTTTGACTTTGTAACAAAACTTCTCAAAGTGATGACTTTACTTATTGTCTCTAATTTTTTTACCTTTCATTCATGCCTGAACCCATTCCAGTTAGACTTTCCTCCACAACCACAGAAAATGCTTTTGTCAAGGACCTGTGGCCTTTTCCTACTGGATGCTGTGGTCAAGTCATAGTTGACTAGGAGGGAAACCCCATTAAAGCAGGGATATTTATCTGTTGTGTTGGTTGTTGCACCTCTACCTCTCAGGACAGCACAAAACACATAGTAGGACCTCAATTAACATTTGTTGTATTATTAATAAAAAAGTAACTACTATTTGGCTCAGAACCAGTATTTGTCACATCTGATTGTTTTTCTTCTCCTTTAAACTGTGTCTCCCCTGCCGGGCGCAGTGGCTCAAGCCTGTAATCCCAGCACTTTGGGAGGCCGAGGCGGGTGGATCACAAGGTCAGGAGATCCAGACCATCCTGGCTAACATGGTGAAACCCCGTCTCTACTAAAAATACAAAAAAATTAGCCGGGCTTGGTGGGGGGCGCCTGTAGTCCCAGCTACTGGGGAGGCTGAGGCAGGAGAATGGTGTGAACCCAGGAGGCGGAGCTTGCAGTGAGCTGAGATCTGGCCACTGCACTCCAGCCTGGGTGACAGAGCGAGACTCCGTCTCAAAAAACAAACAAACAACAAAAAAAAAACCCTGTGTCTCCCCTTGGCTGTTAAGCCATTCTAATTTTCTTCCCAACTTGCTGGCTGGTTTTTTTTTTTTTTTTTTTTTTTTTTTTTCTTCAGTATTGTTTGTTGATTTCTATTTATTTCCCCAGCTTTTTAGTTTAGAGAGATTGAGGGTTCAGTTCTTGGTCTTTTTATTTTCTATGTCTCATTCCCTAAGGCATTCATTATACAATTTTAAATCCTAGCCATATGCTGATGACTCCTTGTGTCTTTGGTCCAAATTTCTTTCTTGAACTCAAGACTTCCACACTCAAGTTCCTGCTTACATATTCATATTTTTCCTAAAGATTTTAAAAGCCTCTTCAACTAAAATTAACCACCCCTACCTGTGGCTTTTCAATAAACCTTACTTTTATACTTTGTTGAATGCCTTCTACATCCTAGATTCACATATGTTCTATGATTTAATAATTTATTCCAACCAGTAGTGCAATGCCTATGAACTTTTAATAAATGTTTTGTGAAGAATGTATAAATTCTCACTAAAGTCCTATAAAGTAAAAAATTATCATTCCTAATATAATGAAGAAAATGTGTTTCAATAGCATTAAGCATCTTGTAGAAGGATTTATAGCTGGTAAATTGACTCAGGGTGAAACTCAAGGCCTTTGACTCTAATTCCAGTGCTTTCTCCACTTCAGCACACTCTTCAACCATATGGGTCATAGTCCCCAGTTTAGACGTCAGTGAACAAGTTGCCTGCATGGGCTGTCACCCCAGTGCTTTTTATTCAATAGGAGAGAGATTGAGCGACTTTATGTTTTGCAAACAAAAGGTTATAAACTTAGTGTTACTAAATGAAAACCTTGTATTACTTACATGTTTGGCTTTATAATTTTCCCTTTTATTGTTATGAGAAGACATACAAGTAGATAAAGTAAGTGTGGTAAAGAAAGGAAGACTGGTATTTCCAGCTGTCAAATCACTCAGAAGTGGAAATAAAAGAAAACCAGACAAAAACAAAAATAAAAGTAGTGAGAAGGGTGAAAGACCGATGGTAAGAAAAGTGTAATAGAACGTTAAAGAGAAGAAAGCTAAGTCTTAGAGAGTTCTCTAATGTCTAAGGGCAATTTTAGTGTAAAATACTATCTAGTAACTGGTTTAAAATATTCTAGTTAATGGGATAGGCATATGTATATTATAATTTTTCAAAACAATTCCACCAAATTACCTTTTACAATTACACATGCTTTTCTATCACTAGCTCTTGGTTTAATCCAAACAGAAATCAATTCTCAGGTTTATGGCCAAAAATATTATAGTTAAACCGCATTTTGAAATCACAATAGACATGTTTTCACACCTGATCACAATGGAGTAATAAGGATAGACCTATCCTCTCTCCTAGAACAAACAAACCTTTTAAAAAAAGACACAATGCTTTTCAAGACATGGAACATCAGACAATGAAAGATAGTGATCACTGCGAGACAGGAAATGAATGAGTAAGGAGTATGCTTGCCTCAGCTTACTGCAGTAATTTATATTCCCAGTGAGTTCAATACTGTGACTTATATATTTATCCATTCTACAAGTATACACTGAGATTCTGCTGTGTAGAAGACTCTGTTGTAGGAGCTTGAATAAAAATGATATACAAACCAGAAAGGTAGGGTAGCTGCATAAACTTTTGCACATTGTTCACTGCGTAAGAGTGACCTGCAAAGGTTAAGTATTGGTGGAAATTCCACCAGGCTCCACTCCATAGTCTATGGAGGCTGCATCTACTCAAGGAGACTCCTACTTCTGATTCACACAAAGGGCTTGTAGTAGAGTCTTATACACATGGTTTGTATTCTTATTTAGCTTGCACTCTAGTGGTAGAGACATATAATAAACACATAAAGAGGACAATTATAAGTGATAAGTGTGATATAGAGAATTAAAATAGGATGCTGAGAAAGAAAGTCATAAGGGGGTACCTTATTTATTTGTTTACTAATTTCTTCATCTCATTACTTTTAATTAATTTGAAAGATAATATGGATATTTAAAAAGTCAAAGGGGAAAAGAGAATACAGAAAAAATCAATGGACTTGCATTACTTTTAATTAATTTAAAAGATACTACGTATGTTTAAAAAGTCAAAGGGGAAAAGAGAATACATAAAAAATCAATTCTTATATATGTTTATTTTTATTGGCACATAATATTTGTAGATATTTATGGGGTACATGTGATATTTTGCTACATGCATAGGACGTATTATGATGAAGTTAGTGTATTTAGCGTATTCATCACCTCAAGCATTTATCATTTCTAAGTTTTGAGACTATTTCAAGTCCTCTTCTCTAGCTATTTGGAAACAATACATTATTGTTAATTACAGTCGCTCTATGCTGAAAGCAAATGTTAGGTCTTATTCCTTCTATCTAACTCTATGTTTATACCTGTGAACTAACATTTCTTCGTCCTCCCTACCCACAATCCAAACATCCTTCCCAGCCTATGGTATCTATCATTCTACTCTCTATCTAATTGTGGCATATATACACAATAAAATATCATTTGGCTATTAAAAAAGAGTGAAATTGTGTCATCTGCAGCAACGTGGACAGAACTGGAGGCCATTATATTAAGTGAAATAAGCCAGGTACAGAAAAAAAAGCAATTCTTTATCCTTTTTTGCCTCCATGCCAGATCTCAACTTGCCAGTTCTTTTCTCCAGAGAAAATTAGGGTTATTAGGGTTACTAATTTCTCCTGCAGTCATACATAGATATTTTGTGTATATAAAACCATACATGTGTATGTTTAAAAATAGTCTCCACAAATGAGAACATGCTAAAAACATGGTTCTGTTTCTAGCTTTTCCTCCTAAAAATATATTGCAGATAATTCCAATTCAGCGTATAGAGCTGTTTCCTTCTTTCAAATGTCTGCTAATTCAACATTGAAAGAAGAATTCTTGGTTTATTTAATCAGTATTTTGTTGTTGTTGTTGTTTAATTAATAGAGATTTAGGTCTTGTCCAATCTGTTGCTGTTAAAAAAACAAAGTGGTATTGTACATTGTTGAACATATGTCATTTCACACACGTGCAAGTTTTCTCTATGGAATAACTTCCTAAAACTGAAATTGCTGAGTTGAAATTTGAGCTCTAATTTAATAGGAATTGCTGTCTAATTTTCCCTGAAGTTGTACCAATATAAACTTCTATCAGCAATATACAAATGTGTTTTATAATTTCCACATGTATTATCAAACTATTAGACCTTTGCCAACAGATTAGGTTTAGAGGATGATATTCTTCAAAGCTTTAATGGAAATGTCTTTCTTTTCTTTTCTTTTCTTTTCTTTTCTTTTCTTTTCTTTTCTTTTCTTTTCTTTTCTTTTCTTTTCTTTTTTTTGAGATGGAGGCTCACTCCGTCACCCAGGCTGGAGTGCAGTGGCATGATCTCAGCTCACTGCAACCTCTGCCTCCCAGGTTCAAGCAATTCTTGTGCCTCAGCCTCCTGAGTAGCTGGGATTACAGGCGTGCACCACCATGCCCGGCTAATTTTCATGTTTTTAGTAGAGACTGGGTTTCACCATGTTGCCCAGGCTTTTCTTGAACTTCAGGTGATCCACACACCTTGGCCTCCCAAAGTGCTGGGATTACAGCTGTGGGCCACCACACCTGGCCTTAAATGTATTTATTTGTTGAAGGTTTCATACTGTTAGATATTTTATTTTTTCTTTTTTCAAAATTGCGTTTGCATGGCCTTTACTTATTTTTCTATTAGGTTCTTCATATTTTTTGTTTCTTACTTAGTTTTAGGAGATCATTTTGTATTTAGAACATTAGTCATTAACTCTAATATAATCTACAGATACTCTCCCCAGCTTATTGGTTGCCTCTTGACTTTTGTCTGTGGCTTTTTTTCATGCAGAATTTTAAATTTATTTTGATGTAGTCAATTTTTTAAACGAAGTAAGTCATTAAGAGAGAACATGGGAGGATGCCAGGGATCAATAGTGGAAAAATGTTGAATTAATGGATTAGAGAATGGAGAACATGCAAGGATTAATTTCCAGATAAGGGAATACAAGGTGAATGGGCTGATAGATTGAGATGGAGGGCAGAGAGTCTAATGATGTCCTACCTAAGTGATCAGAAACATATTGATGATGACAAATTTAGAATACAACCATGGGAGTGGTATCTTGCAGAAAATGGATGATTACAGATGCCCATGCAGAAGAATGGAGAGAAATGGGTATTAGGAAAATTTCCCATTTGGACATTGATGTGATAGATGTATTACTAAAAAGGCATGGCAGTAGTGATGGGCATGGCTAAAAGCAACATAAAAATACTTAGTAATTGCTCAATTGCAAAGAGCTGTTGCAAAAGATAAGAATACATGGTTTTACTTCATTTTGTTATTTTAATCCTATTTATGGTGTAGCATTATGGATGAAGGACTGGATGGAGAGTCAGAAGACAGAGCTCTTGTGCGAGACTCTTCTCTAAGCCTCAATGTTCTCATTTGTAATATTAGTTTGTTGGACTAAATGAATTATATAATTACCTCTCGCTATAATATGTTATTACAGTGCCCTGAGAAGCATCACTACATAGTGATACTTTTCCTGGTAGACACACGACAGGAACAGGTCTGAAATACTGGCACACTCACCAAACTATCAGTGGAGGTAGACCAGTTCTCCTGGTTGGCGTGAGGCCATCTTCTAAGCAAGGCCGTCTCTAAGGGAGCCTTTAAAATATTGACAGCCAAGTTGGCAAGAGGCCCAGAATTGAAAAGAGATCAAAAGCATAGCCTTAAATAAAACCAGCTGGAAATGCAACTATTAAAAAAGAAGCGGGGAGAAAAAAACACATTCTGTAGGCTGGGACCTTATTTTAACATGTAAAACACAAACACTGGAGGCCGAGATTTAGACCCTTTTGCAGAGCAGTTATAGAAGAGGTTGGGCGAGCATTTTGATTTGTTTAATGAGAACCGGCTGTTTAAACATGTTTAGTCTCATTAACCATGAGTGGGAAGAGATGTCTTCTCTCTTGTGGTTGACAGAACTGTGGCGGATGCTTTTTTTGCAAAAAGAATTTGGAGGTAAAACTGGTAAAGCTCCCTCCACATTATCCCATTTAATTTTCATAAGAAGCCTTCAAAGAAGAGGAAATTAAGCTCCAAGAAGTCGAATGTGTTTTCAAGTAACTGAGGCTCAGGATATTTAAATAACTTGGCCAAATAAATGGCCAAGCTGAAACCCTTAAAATTAGAAATCTGGCAGCAAGAACAAACACAGTGTGGAGTCATGGGGTGAAGGAACAGTAGATGGATGGACTGCTAAATGCAAGGCAGTGGATCTAGAGCATAGTCTCTGAGCCTCAACACTGCGGACATTTTGGGCTGTGTAATTCTTTGCCATAGGGGACTGTCCTCTGCACTGCAGGATGCTTAGCAGCATCCCAGACTTGGTCAGTAGCACCCTCCCTCCCAGGAGGACAACCAAAACTGTACTCCCAAGTGCCAAACGAGGACAAAATCACCTCTGGATGAGAACTACTAAGCTGGAAAATGAAGCACTCATACACAGAATGTAAGACTATCACACTTATTGGAATCAGAGAATGTGATGAAAACTTGATCACATTAAGAAGGCAGATGTTAGGCTACAAAGATAAAGTATCAATGGACAAAAATCTACTACCTCAATGTAGCAGGTTAACTTTGGAAAGAGGCTCATGCATGACTCAGGCATGTGAGTTCCTGGTTGCTTCAGATGTGTGTGTCTGTTTGCCCATGTCTTATAAGGTATGCAGCAATGATCAGGTCATTTAACCCCTTTAATTGACCATTTCTTTATATTAATATATAAAATTACAATAGTAATATGTATCTTTCAAAGTTGTTGAGAGGTTTAAAAACTAGAAAATAAATAGAAAATCCAGATGACCGAGGGTTTAGTGATGACTTTTTAGATACAACAACAAAGGGATGATCCATGAACAAAAGAATTGATAAGTTGAACTTCATTAAAATTAAGAATTTCTGCTCTGCAAAAGACACTGTCAAGAGAATAAAAAGATAAGCCACAGACTGGGAGAAAATATTTATAAAAGATATATCTAATAAATAATTGCTATTCAAAATATACAAACAACTCCTAAAACACAACAAATAAGAAAATAACCCCATTAAGAGATGGGCTAAAGACCTTAACAGAAATCTCACCAAAGAAAATATTCAAATGGCAAACAAGCATATGAAAAGATGATCCAAATCATATGTTGCTACAGTTTGAATAGATACTCCATAAAGCATGTGTCAGAAACTTAATCCCCAATGTTGCAATGTTGGAAGGTGGAGCTTAACGAGACATGGTTAGGCCATGAGGGCAGAGTGAACGCATCAATACTGTTGTCAAAGGAGTGGGTTCTTTATAAAAGTGGGGGGCGGGGGTGGGCCTGGTGGCTCATTCCTGTAATCGCAGCACTTTGGGAGGCCGAGGTGGGCAGATAACCTGAGGTCGGGAGTTTCAGACCAGCTTGGCCAATGTGATGAAACTCAGTCTCTACTAAAAATACAAAAATTAGCCAGGCGTGGTGGCAGGTGCCTGTAATCCCAGCTACTAGGGAGGCTGAGGCAAGAGAATCGCTTGAACCCAGGAGGCGGAGGTCACAGTGAGCCAAGATTGTGCCACTACACTCCAGCCTGGGCAACAGAGCAAAGACTCCATCTCAAAACACAAATAAATAAATAAATAAATAAAATAAAAGGGGGAGTTTGGCTCCATTTTACTCTCTTCTTTCTCTTGCCATTCTGCCTTCTGCTATGGGATGATGCCAGCTCCCCAATCTCAGAATATTCAGCCTTCAGATTTGTGGGAAATTTCTGTTCAGTGTAAATTACCCAGATTTAGGTGTTCTATTATAGCATCACAAAATGGACTAAGGCATATGTTATCTGGGAAATTCACATTACAACTACAATGAGATACCACTACATAATTATAAGAATGACAAAAACCAAAACACTGACACCAACAAATGCTGGCAAGGATGTGGAGCAATGGGAACTCTGATTCCTTGCTGGTGGGAATGGAAAATGGTAGAGCTGCTTTGGAAGACAGTTTGACAGTTTTTTACAAAACTAAACATACTGTTACCATATAATCTGCAATTGTGTTCTTTGGTATTTACCCAAAGAAGTTGAAAACTTATTTTCACACAAAATCATGAACATAGATGTTTATGGCAGTTTTAATTATAGTTGTCAAAGCTTGGCAGCAACCAAGATGTCCTTCAGTAGGTGAATGAATAAACTGTGGTATATTCAGATGATGGAATATTATTCAGCACTAAAAATAAATGAGCTGTCAAGCCATGAGAAGATATGGAGGAAACTTAAATGCATATTACTAAGTGAAAGAAGCCAATCTCAAAAAGCTTCATACATTATAATTCTAACTGTATGACATTCTAGAAACAACAAAACTGGAGAAAGTAAAATGATCAGTAGTTTCTGGGGATTAGTGGAGGGAATGAATAAATAAGCAGAACACAAAGGATTTTCAAGACAGTCAGAAAAACTCTGTATAATACTGTAAGTCTGGATACACTTCATTATACATCCAAACTTACAAGATGTACAATGCCAAGAGCGAACCCTAATGTAAACTGTGAGCTTTGGATAATGATGTGTCCATGCAGGTTCATCAGTTGTAACAAATGTACTACTCTGAAGAGAGATGTTGATAATTGAGGAGGAATGGGAGTATATAGGAACTCTTCATACTTTCCACTCAATTTTACTGTGCATCTAAAATTGCTCTAAAAAATTAAAGCCTTTAAAAATATATGTATATAAACATGCCAGCACCTAAAAGCCTCTCATGAACTTAGGGGTTGTGAGGTTGTGAGTGCGAGTGTGTCATGTTTGGTTGTTTATTTAATTACACACCAAGTCATTTAAATATAGAAATCATGTCTTAAGTATCCTTGATTTTAATTTTTAAATAAATTTTGTTTTGTATCTCAAAGTGTTATTTTACTTTGAGAGTATCTCATAGTTTCATGCTTTACACCTTAGAGATGCTTGTATATAGTAAAATAATTACTATAGTGGAACAAATTAACATACATATAGCCTCACAGAGTTATTCATTTTCTTTACCCCTGTGGCAAGAGCAGCTATAATATACTCATGTAGCAAAAATCCTGAATACAATACATTATTATTAACTATTGTTTTCACATTGTACATTAGATCTTTAGACTTGTTTGTCCTACAGCTCAATAGCAAGAAAATATATGATCCGATTAAAAAATTGGCAAAGGACCTGAATAGATATTTCTCCAAAGAAGAAAAAAAAATGGCTAACAGGTACATGAAAAGGTGCTCGACATCACTAGACATCAGGGAAATTCAAATCAAAACCACCAGGAGATATACCAGTTAGGATGGATGTTACCAAAAAGACAAGAGATAACAGTGTTAATAAAAGGTGTCAAGAAAAGGGAACGCTTGTACACTCTTGCTAGAAATGTAGATTGGTGCAATCATTATGTGAAACAGTATGGAAATTCCTAAATAAATTAAAAATGAAATTACCGTATGACCCAGCAATTCCTCTTAAGTCATCCTTATAACTCATCCTCCTATCCTTGTATGTTGTATATATGGATATATAATAATTATTTTTGAAAAAGAAATAAGTTCTTTTTTACTAGCCTTAGAACAATTTTTTTCCAATTGGAATTTAACATTTTTAAAACTCTTTCATTTTACACATAAAATGCCAGTATTTAACAAATAGAAAATGGTTTAAAAACTTTCTTATTTTTGACGTTTTTGTTATATATTGCCACTCTCATGGGAGTGGATCTCTTTGGTGAGGACATAAAGATAATCGTGATAATTCACAAAATAAGTAGCTGGTGCACACAGTGGGGTTCTATGTTGAATGGAAGTAAAGCCATCCCATTGAAGACATTTAGAAAATGTTTTTCAAAATCACTGTGGGATGGGTAAGGCAAGGGCTTTCCAGGAAAAGCATCTTAGCTGTTAGGGTCCAAAAGCAAAAGATGGCACGTTGATATTTGGATCATTCAAGCAGGATTTACTTACAAGCAGACTACTTTCAAGGGAACTGTAGAGGACAGTGCCTAGATAGGAACTTGTAATGGTGATGCTGTTACTGTCTTAGACACAAAGGAATATGAAGAGGGAGAGCATACTGAAATCTGGAAGGCTAGAGGGAGTCTGTGTGTAGAGCAGTCTGCCTTGGAAGAGGCAGAGACCTATTAGGGGGACATGGCTAACCTGAAGTGACCTCACTGGGAGGGATTCAGTGGAAGAAATAATGCTGACCTCTGTCTCCTCCTTCCCTTACATTTCCTACTCAGGCTCCCTTTTGGCTTACCTCAGAGGCCGAGGAGTATAGGAGACAGTTGTATTACCCAAGAGGCCAGCTTACTAGTTTAAGAGCAGAGGGCGTGGATGGGCAAATGGAAAGATACCTGCAGACTGACCAAGTCAAACACTAGGCCCAGAAGATGAGATATTCGAGTAAGTCATGAAGCGGGGTTGAGGCGATTTTGGGCTACTATTTGTAGTTTGTCTTTATGGGCCAAGCTGGAGTTCAGTGCTTGTTCTGTCAACTGTAAAATGCCAAGGGTGGACAGCAACCTGGTTTATTCTACTTCAAATGAAAGAGGCCTGTTCTTGAATTTACAAAAGTCAATGCATTCATAATAGTGGAACTTTAATTTTTGCCCGGTTGGAATGTTTTTTTTCAAATTCTCAAAATCCTCAAATAACCCTGGGCCATGTGTTTGTACGTCTTGAATATTTGCTGAAAGATTTCATCCATTCATAGAAAAGTCATTGTAAACAAATTCTCAACAAATGAAATTTGCATACGTAATTTTTAATGGAGTCACTGCTAAGCTTTTCTGGCGTTGTCAGATACACCAATGGGACATTTGCTCTCCTACGTCTTCTCCGCCAAGCCCATCCCCCTGTTGTGGGTGGCGGTATCTTTACATCTGGATGGCAGCTCTCTGGCACAGTGCTGCTTTTCCACTGCCCTGTGTCCATGGCAGGCATACCTAATCAATCATAGCATGCCTATACTGCTCTTAAACACAAAGCTCAGCATGAAACCAAAAATAATTTGTAATCACTGCTTTAAATAGTACTCACTATAACAGTGTTTATTGACCTGCTTTCCCCAACTGGGAGAATATGCACAGGTTCAGCTTTCACATTTGAGACGCTAAAAATAAAAACAAAAACAAAACTCATTTCTTATTTAGCCAACATTTAATGTGCACCCACTATGCGTCAGGCTTTTTGCCCAGGCAGGTAGGATCTAAATGCATAAGCTGTGGTTATTGTGAAAATACTCACATTCCAGTGAAATACTCAAGCCAATAATGCCTATGAGTTTAAGGTTTCTTTAACAGAGGTTTGTACCAGAGAGAAGATTCAGTTCCATTTGGAAGCTACGCATGACAAATATGCTGTTTACATCTTTAAAAATACCATAAATATCGTGTGCAAATGGGCACTGTGCTCACTGGGGAATTAATCTTACTCCACTAAGACTTTATACATTTGACTTTGGAGAAAATTGAGCATAAGTTAACAACATCTGAAGAGGGCAGAAGACATTCCACTTGACCCCATGAAATGACTTTTCTCTAATTCTGAAATCATAAATGCAGACAATCTGAAAAGGCTTCAAAAGGATTATTTCTTTTTATTTATTTACATGGTCATCATCATGATTATTATTGCTACATTTAATATTTATTGAATGTCAAGCAATCTTGGGCTAAGAATAGCATAGAATACAGGAGAAAGTTAGTGGTTTGACATATAAGATTAGTCTCCAAAATGGAAACTAAGATTCTTTAGTGATGAGTAGTTTCTTTAAGGGTAAGAATTGGATTGAGGATGAGAATAAACCACACGGATTGATGTAGTTTCTAGGGCGGTCCACATTGCGGTAGCTGGATTCGTTTTGGAGGTGTTTTTCATTTCTTCATTAACTATCAGTGTCTTTTAAGCCAATCTCTGTTGAACAAAATGGTTATTATGTACTTGTACTTTGTTCAGAAACTCAGGCTAGTTTTAAATAAGATAAAGAAAATTATCTATTTTTCAGAGGGAAGATAACAGTATCATAATCAGACAAGGAAGGTAGGGAATAAAACAGCTATTTTTGAGTGTGCTTTAGTTACCTAAGTTTTAAGTTTCTAAAATGTTAAATAAATAAATAAAAGAAGTGAAAACAAAGGAAGCCCAGTTCTTACCGAGTTGGTATATGTTAGCTGGTGTGTTTCCATTAACGATGTTTTATCTCTGAGATTGAGACAAATAAAATGAAATGAAGAAAAACCGTGTGACAAATTTCAGGAGATGGTTTTTGTTCTGTTTTGCTTTTGTTTGTTTGTCTTTCAAATTCAGATGAATTTGACTTCACAAACCAAAGTGCAAAATCACTGCTTGTACCCTTTACCAAAGGTTGAATGGGATTACACAACAGGTGGCAGACATCTGCTTGTTGCCCCAGCAGAATGAATTTCTCTTGTTCTCTATTTAAAACACCTTTATTTCTACTTGGGTATCCACGGGCTTTAAAGAAGCTGGCTACTCACTTGTGTTTAGGAGAGTCATGTGTCTTTGGTCATGATATTTAATTGAGGAATGGAGATGTGAGCTAAGCTAGTGCAACTTGAATTAGTTTTGGGACTTTTGCTTAGGAAACCCTTCTGCCTCTGAAGGATGTAGGGTGCCGATGTGAGGCCTGAGACAGCCACACACAGTTTCGGTAAGAAGCCAGCCTGAGGATACAACCAGAGTAGAAGTCAGAGTTCAGAGTTTCTAAGAGAAATGAAGCTGAAATCCTGATAGCATTGTAAACCTCTGAATCAAACTGTGCCTCAAATGCTCAATCCTTGAAGTGTGAAGTCCATTAAATTTTATGTTATTTTTATTTCTTACCCAATTTAGATACAGTTTTTGTTAGTCATAACCACAATGATCCTAACCAATACATGTTTAGAAGTGGTGACTCTATTTATATAGATTTTCCAATGTGCCTGACCCTATAGTAATTACTGGGAGTTAGAATTGTAGAGCCTACTGAACCACTCTCCCCTCTTTTCTCCAAAGACTTGAAAACTCCTTCTCATCCTTTACAGTTCAATTCAAATTCTCCCTTCTGTGTGAGTTAGTCCAGGCTTGCTCTTGAACTTAGAATCATTTTTTCTTTGCTTTCATGTTATTGTAATTATAATTCTCCTGCAGCACCTACCACGTTGCCTTCTGGTTGGTCGTTTTCATTTACAGGGTAGTCTTCTCCATAAGGTTACAGTTATCTGAATCCCAAGTGCCTGAAACAGAGTATATGTTAAAAAAAAATACGTATCTATTTTATTTATTCCTTTATCCTTCCTATATTGTCAGACATTGTGTCAGAAGCTTGGGATTCAATGATGAATGCCGTTGTCTTGGCTTTTGAAGAAGATACAGTCTAGGGATATAACTTTTAATTGCAGATTTCTGTTCATTTAATCGTTATTAGTTTCTGCATATACTAGTAATTAAAACACATCTGTAATATATAATTCTTTACTTATGTATAAATTATACAGAAGTGCTACTATGCTAATATTCACATTACAAAACTTAAAGAAGACATTGGATGAGCTGAAGTGAAGCATAAATCAAGGATCTACTAGCTTGCTGCTGCATCCTAATAGATTTGCCTGGCTTATGCCCCAAATCCCCACACCCAATCTAAAGATATTTGGCCAAAGGGCTCAGAGAACAATGAGAGACACACAACTTATGGATTCCAGGAAAGGCCTGCCTCGAATAAGAGGGAGAAGGTAGAAGATGAGCCCTCACTGCTCTGAGCTGGAGGCTTTGGGAGGTGGTGGGAAGAGCCAGCAGTGAGCTGTTCAGATAGCATCACATCTTGATCTTCATGCTGTGAGGCTTTGGAGAGGGAAAAGGTTTGAGTTCCCTCCAGAAAGACATCATGTTTCCTTTTCTCCCACAACAATCAGTACAAAGCAGGCTTTCTGTGGGGACTAAAGGAGAATGTCCTCCAGTGCTAATGAATCCTGTTGTTTCTGTAGCATTCTGCTTGCATGATTCCTTGCAATACAGATTGCAAAATGTGTCTGAAATTCTACATTGCCAAAACAAGGGCCTTCTCTAACTTAGCCTTTAGCTCTGTGTTCAGCACCCATATTAAACCCAAAGGGCTTGACCTTGACGCCAAGAAGTCTTCATTAGCTCCCTGACTCACAGGGAGCTAATCTGACTCACAATGTCTCCAACCAGGCAGAACTAAGGGGTTCAGTATTTATTTCATTTGCTATACGCCCGCTGGATATTTTTAAAAGAACAGAACAAATGAACCAGAGTGCATTATCTCATGCATTTTTTTCTTCTCACAATAGTCCCATGAGGGATGTATTATCCCATTTTACAAATAAGACAACCAAGAACACAAGAATTTAATAACTTCCCTGAAGGTCAAATTAATATGCTGAAGAGCCAGGATTCAAACCAGGAGTTTTCTGGCCCTGGTTACTTTTATTCTTTCCACTGCTCTGCACTGCTTTATCTCATTACTGATGGTAGAATTAATTGCTCTAAAAGTATCAGTTTCTATTTTATTTATAAGCAGTTACATAGAAGTCATACAGCTTCAGAATTTGAAGGGACTTTAGAAATAGTGTATTCTTCTTTTTGTAGTAATATGTTATTCTTGTTTTTCATATGGATGTATATTTCACCAGGAAGGGGAACTGACTTACTTAGGGCTGGAGCTGGAATTACAATCTGAGTCTTTCATTCAGAGCTAATCCATGTTTCTTCCATCCCATCTTATATGCCTCATCTGATTCTTTATGAATTAGAAAAGCAGGGTTTTACAATTGTAATTATTTTAACATTTTATGACATCTAAGAATGTAACTGATACTTTCAAATATATTATCTCTTTTCATTCTTATCATTGCCCTGTAAGTATTATTATTCTCCCCAGTTTACAATGAGACCACAGATAGAATCAGTATGCGACTGGAGAGCCGGGACTTTAAAACCACAGGACCTCATTGACTCCCCTAGGATAATCTGTTCCCATCTAAGTGCAGTTAACATTAGTTTTTAACTTTATATTTTATGTGGAAATGTATAATTTCCCGAATTATTTTAGTTTCATAAAATATTGTCATCAATTCATGTTTGAGGAAGACAGGGAGACACAGAGTCAAATCGACTTGCCCCAGACCATATTGAGAGTGACTCTTGAGTCTGTCTTTGAATTTAATTAGGAGAACAAAAGTAGCCTGAGTTATCTGTTGATAAGACATTTTGCTTAATTTTTACATTTAAACAGCCATTTGTATTAAACAGATGGAAAATAAAAACATAATAAAATGTAAAAGTATCACTAAACTATAACAAAGATGAAGACATAGCCTAATTAAAAGAGGCATGGCTTAACTCACAGAGTTGATCAGAGACATCTTTCCTGTAACATTGATGTTCATAGTAACAATAGACACATTTAGGGGGCCGAAGCCTGCTTTATATGCTCTATCTTTAAATGCTCATAAACTTCTCTAAAGTAGGTTGATATGTTGATTACCATTATTCTAATATTATATAAGAAAAAGTCAAGCTGGGCTGGGACTCCATAGAATTTGTTTGAGCTTGGGTCTAGGCTCTCCAAGTGCAGCCCAAGCACTAAGGTTCTTCTTGCCTGGTTTATGTCTTTGGTGGAGCATGTTTATGGAGGGTTCACTCACCACAGGAAAAAAAGGAAGCACTTTCCTTGAAGCACATCCTCATGTCCTCATCTTCTATAAAAGATTTCTTTGGCAATTTAAGACTCAAAAACCAATAGAACCAAAAGCCCTTTTGTGTGATATCCTTGTCAAAGAATCTGCAAGATAATGACCATATCCTTTATGTTATTTTTTTGCCAATCAAAATGGAAATGGAAATAACTTTTATTGAGTATTAAGGCCAGGCATAACCCTAGATATTTGATAGAAGGCACTTAATTTGTTCTGTAATTGTGATGCAAACTGAGATCCAGAGAGTGATAGTGTCACATGAAGAAAACAACAAAGAACCAAAGAAAATTCCAGAATTAAAACTGCATCTATCTGATCCCAAGCCTGCACGTCTCTCTGCACAGCACTGCCTGGCCCTACTTTAATAGAGTCAGTTTCATTTCAGTTAATTTCACCAAATATTGAGCACCTATTATATTACCAGAGGAGTGCTGTGGGAACACAAATATGAGAAAGGACCAGGCTGAGTTGGTCACCAGAGAACTTGTGGTCAATAGGAGGATTATATGTTTCAAGGTCAAGTATGACAAGTACTGTAAGAGCCATCTCAAAAAAAATCTTCTGAGTAAAAATGAGTAAAGAAATATCACATAATTTGTGGGAGAGTGTAACATGGGATGAGTTAGGAAAGGCTTTGTAGAATAGGTAGCCATTGAATTGAATCAAGAAATAGGATAGAGCTAGAAAACAGTTTTAACAAACACAAAGACATGTGAAAAGAAGAAGAGACATTTTGGGCCCTGTAAGTACTAAGACCAGCAGCAATTTTCACAGTGGTAATGCAACCATTTACTCAACAATGCTGGATTGACTTGGTTACAATCAGAGAGCGTCTTTAGTCTATTATTTCTCTTTATTAAGCCCACTCTATGTACGGGCTGCTGGTGTATCCAGGACACCCAGTGCATGGCACCTCTCTTCCCTGTCTGAATTTTGAACAATTGGAGAGACAAGACAGAGAAGAAACATTTGGAGATCAAATCTAGCCTTCATGTTGCAGAAAAGCTAATTGTAGAAATTAGCCGAATGTGAGAGCAAAGTGCATGTGGGAAGTGAACTCCCAATTTATTCAGACTTCCCCAACTGTCACAGGTACGCTGGCCCAAGGCGAGCATCCGTAGAATGGGGGGGTGCTGCCCAGGTAAGACTCATTGCCTGAAGAGGTGGACGACATCCTTAAAGAGCTTGCTCCCAAGAGGAAAGTGGGAGGAACTAATCTATGAATTCCCAGTTTATTCTTGCAAAGTTACTGTTGAGACAGGTCACTCTACCTTCTCTGCAAATAGCGTCTAAACATGCCAGGAGTTTGAAATTCATTGACTCCCTAAACATGTGAGGTGGAGAGTTTGGGATGGGAAGGGTTTCTCTTTTCTAGATTTATGACTCCTGACCACTTGACCAAGTCTCAGCCAGTATCAAACATGCTGGGGTTCTGTTAAGTCAAAGTGCAGACTCTTCTAAATAATGTAAATGTCAAGACTGGTGCAGTCATCAAAACTCAAGCGTTATTCAAAGTTAAAACTCCTTCCCTGTCCTGAATCAAGCTGACTTCAGGCTTGGAAGTGTGGGTGGTGCAAGGGCAGGGAGCATCTCCATTTCTCCACCCTTCTCTTCTGCTCCCCTTGCTTCCTGGCCTAGTTGTCTGAGCTCCGCTGTTGAGTAGAGGAGGAAAGTGCTAGCATAAAATGGCTCCCATGGCAGGTGACTGTGTGATTGGGTGTGAGTTCATGCTTTTTATGGAACAGACACCTTCTGCCTATCTCTCAAGGGGTCCCTGTTGAGGACATATTTCAGATACTTATTTTGAGTCTTTCAAACTCTATCCACAGTTCCCTTAAACCGAGTGATGCCACACCTCTAGCTGGCTCTTCCAAGCTCTCCTCCTGCTCCTTAGGCTTCTGATAACCTGAGTCACATACAGTCCAGGCTGTTTTCAAACTTTGGGGGTCACATATGGCCTCCTAGGAAACACTGCTTGCCCCCTGGACGGGACTCCATCTCCTTCCTCTGCTTGGGTATCTGAGGTACAAAGCACTGATCTCTGTTCTCCCAACCATTGTCTTCCCCAGGCAAAGGTCATGTGTGACTCAATCCCATTATGCACAAGCCCAGCAATCTAATGGTTCCACTAAAGTCGCTTTCACTTGGATTGAGGTAGGGAGTAAGTATCTCTCTCTTCCTGTAGGTCTGGTGAGCTCGTCATGGGAGGATAGACACCATGCAGACACTTCCTTAAATGGAAACCTTTTTCACATGCCCTTTTAACTCAAACCATTTATTCATTTGAAGTGGGTGATGGACAATCTCCATTGTACAATTCTGTAGCAAATAAGGTCTAGCTCTTGTTTTGGATGTGGCTGATTGGCATCTGTTGTTGTGGTCTTTGAGAATTCTGCTGATGGAGAGACAGAAGGAGTCACATTTTATCAGCCTCTGATGCTAACACTTATTGAGGGCTTACTATATACCAAACACTGTGTTTGATTGTTTCATTTAATCTTCAGAACAACCTGTCAGGCAGGCATTATTTTGCTGATGAGGAAATTGAGATACAATAATTCAAGTTAACATAGCTATAAGCATTGGAGATGGACATAAATCCAAGCAGTCTGATGAATCCCAAATGGTTAATTACTGCATTGAACTACTTTCCCCACAATGCAGCAGGGTTGGGAATCAAGCCAGGGTTGACTTCTTAGAAAGAAACCATGCTCACATCTCAACAGGCTGAGAACAGTGGTTGCTTTAGACAGAGTACATAGGAATTGGGGGAAGAAAGGTGAAGAGGAAATAGGTGGTCACCCTTAGAAACCAATGGATGAAGCAGAGTGTAGAGAATGGGTGTAGACTTTGAAGTCTAATAGGCCTGGGCTGACCCTGGCCTGGCCTTTTCCCTTGCCAGGGAAGTGACCTTGGGCAAATTCTTTCACCAACTTGAGTCTTGGTTTTGAGTTCATATAGTAAGCATTACATATATATATATATACACACACACACATATATATATACATATATATGTGTATATATGTATATGTAATGCTTACTATATGAACATATGTATACATATATACATATATGTGTATATATGTATACATAGATATGTGTATGTATGTATACATAGATATGTGTATGTATGTATACATATATGTGTATATATGTATACATATATATGTGTATGTATGTATACATATATGTGTATATATCTATACATATATGTGTATGTATGTATACATATATATGTGTGTGTATGTATATATGTGTGTATATATGTATATATGTATGTGTATATATGTATATATATGTATACACACATCCCCACACTCATACACACACACATATATATAATACATACATATAACAATCTCACAGTAATGATCTGAAAAATGAGATGCTGTAAGTGCTTATAAAATTGCATAAAATGTTAGACAATTGAAGGTATGATTATTATTGTAACTAACATTAAGCAATTACTGTATGCCAGAAAGTGATCTGAATACTTTGTGTATATTTACTTGTTTAATCTTCCCAATATACAATGAGACTGTACTATTACTACCTCCTTCTAAAGAAGAACAAGCCCAGGCCTGGATGAGCCACAGTTAATGCAGTTAGTGTGTGGCAGGCTGGATCATGAGCACAGATAGCCTGTGAATGGTGCCCATGTGTATCCAGTATTGCTATAGCAACATCTAGAACATCTTAGGGAGGTCCATGGGTCTTCTCAGCTACAATAAATGGCAATGTATCACTGTAATAATTTCCACACAACTCTTTAGGCAATGAGAAGCCATTTAAAGCACAGCAATATTATCAGGGTAAATTTGATGAATAAATATTTGTTAAATGAATTATTAAATTAAGAGAAGTCCAGACCAGTTTGTTTATTACCTGGTTTCTTGTATACACTATCAGAAAATTATTTGGTAGACACAAAAAATTCACCTAATCTTTTACTTTTGTCATGTACAAGGAAATAGATACATAAAACACAAGTGGTACTATCCTGCTATTTTTCAGAGGTTCAGAGTTTGTTCTTGATCATGTTTATAGTCTGTTTATCTGGAGAATGCCTTGGTTTAAGATATACACAGTATAAATGCTTTGGGAAGCAGAAATAGATTTCACTTTATTATTCCTTTCACCAGTAGAACCTCATCTGTTTGTGATGATTTAATCAGTAACAGTGAACTGTTTGAAGATAACCTCCTACATAAATCAAAAACTTCCAATATGCATTTGCTTGAGACTTTTCTAGTGACCTCTGATCAGATATGTATCTCTCTTTCTCTCTCTCTCTCCATATATATATATGCCACACACTTTTATATCTGTTTAATATATATATATCCACTTATATGTGCATAGTGAATTATCACAGCATCAGAACAGATTGTTTTATAAGTTTGATGATCACCAGCATTTAGTTGATTCACATGCACTCCATAGTTTGAAAATTCATTTTCTTTAAATGTAGAGGTTTGATTTTTTTTCTTTAGATGAGAGTTTATTTAAAAGCCAGATATCCTCACTTTTCTCTGTCTCTTCCTTCCTTCTTTCTGCCTATTTCAGTTTGGTTTCTTTGGTCTCAAGCAAGGTACAAAAACTTAGATTAATTAAGAAAAAACATAATGTAAGAAAAGTTATGTTGAATAGATTTGGGTTCGTTTCCTGAATGGAAACAAAAGCTGAACCACAAGGCTTTTTCATTTCCACCAAGAGTTTGCCATTTTTTCGATCTCTGCCTGACCCCCAATCCCAAAGCCATTTCTAAGTGTAATACCAATCCCCAAAGCCATTCCTAAGTACCATGTGAATCTCTATAAAAGTTAGCCATTGTTGGCCAGGCACGGTGGCTCACGCCTGTAATCCCAGCACTTTGGGAGGCCGAGGTGGGTGGATCACTAGGTCAGGAGATTGAGACCATTCTGGCTAACACGGTGAAACCCTGTCTCTACTAAATATACAGACGATTAGCAGGCTTGATGGTGGGGGCCTGTAGTCCCAGCTACTCGGGAGGCTGAGGCAGGAGAATGGCGTGAACCCAGGAGGTGGAGCTGGCAGTGAGCAGAGATCGCACCACTGCACTCCAGCCTGGGTGACAGAGCAAGACTCCATCTCAAAAAAAAAAAAAAAAAAAAAAAGTTAGCCATTGTGTAATGAACAACTCCAAACCTCAGTGGCTTAAAACAGCAGGCATTTCTTAGCTCACATTTAGTGTGACTGGGAAGATCTTTTGTTGTTGGTTGAGAAGAGGCATTATCCATGCATCTGATGTCTGCTCTTGGTCAGCTGGAGACTGGCTTCCTGGACCTTGGCTGGGTTCTCTTACATCTGACACCTTGTCTTGGAGAAATGAGCATATTAAGGGCCATAGCATCTGTCATTCAAAGGGATGAGAGTCCCTTGTGGGTCCCCTTGGCTTGCTTAAATAAAGGTGGTGGAGGTCCAATAAAACTAACAGAAGAGAGAGAGGCCTCTTAAGGCCTAGGCTCAGACCAGCATACTGCATCAATTGGCCAAAGTACATACCAAGGCCAACCCTATTTAAGGTAGAGAGTAGGAGAAATAGATATTACTTATAACAAGGCCACATTGTAAAGGGACATAGTTGTGGTCATTTTCGGTAACAATCCATCATAGACAGGACAACAGGACAAAATATCTTGATGGACAGACTCACTAAGATGCATGTAAATTGGGAATGAAGAACCCTAAAGGAAAGCTAGAGTCTTGTTGCAACCAGAAGAGCAAATTGATGCTAAGAAGACAAAAAATATCTTGCATATGGTCCTCAAGGGCCTGGGTCTATTGGGAGGTAGCAGTTGACACCATTGAACAAAGATATGTCATTGGGCTGTTTTTATTTAGATCTTCCTATATGAGCTCAATGGGGCCTCTACTTGGAGAGCTCTTTGTTAATCATGGATTAAACACGAGTAACAAGCTTCTTATCCAAGAGGATAAAAAAGCATTCTCAGCAGTGGGTGTTAGTGAGGAACACTTCTTCCTTATTGTTGACATCTTCATCCTGTTAAAGCTCAGTTAGTAAAACTTTGGACTTTTATCTGCCCCTTTGGCCTATGCATTGGTGAAATGACTTACATGGCTGACATGTTTGGAAGTAATCACTGGGGATGCTCACCTGAAGTAACCCTCTATGTCTTCAGAGCTGCAAGAAGGAGAGGCTTGCCCAAGTCCAGCACCGACTGAGTTTGGTAGATAGGTCTCTCTGGGTCCAGAGTTTAGCATAATCGAGCCTGCTGGACTAACCTACTGAGGATGTGTCTTCCATCTTGGCCTCCATCTGTATTAAATGCCATGTGTGGCTTTCAGATTTTTTGTTTTATGTATTTACTTGCTCACAATCCAGGTAGAGAGGGGATTATGTTTTTGTGGGTCCTCTTGGCATCTTGGCATTCCCAACAGAAGGAAGTAATGTGAGCAAAACAGCAGCAGCATAAAACAATTTGGGACATTATAGGAATTCTCTGGCTCACATGCCTGGACTGGAGGTGTGGAATGGGTCTAAAACTAGAAGGCACATGATGGCCAGATAAACAAAACCATACTGAACACTGCCATACTGAACACTGGGCGTTCGACACTGAAGGCAATATATGAGAGGTTTTGTAAGTTGTTGTTGTTGTCATTTACAGCAGGTAATGGACATGAAGGAAATGTCAGTATCTTGGAAAATCCACTCAGATACCATTGTTGATTATGTTCTGCCAGAGTTTCAAACACAATGCAATGGAGCCAAGTCCAAGTAAATACCACCTGATAGATTCAAATATGTGTACTCCACACGATTCAAACAAGGAAATGAAACCAAGTAGCCAAGAAAAAGAGAAAAGTATGAAAGGGAGGCAGAGAGGTAAAGTGAGAGTTTCCAAATAGTACAGGTGATTTCACTGTCCTGCCTCACCAATTAGGATATTGGATTTCGTTTGGCTACTAAATCACAGATCCAAAAGGACAGTGTATACCCAATACCAGCTTCAATCTGAAATTGTTGATCTCTGAATCTAATCCATTTATCACACAGGTTTGATGATTTGCCCCCAAATCTCATATTTTAATTTTCAGTGTCCTTTTCGGCTGCTAAAATTAGCTCTGCTTCTAATGTTCCTTATTTATATTCTATAGGCCAGGCTTGAGAGGAAGGTATCATCCTTAACTCCGCCTGCTTCCTCTCTCCCCTAATTAAATTAGTTACCTAGTTACTTGTTTATTGTGCCTTAGGAGAGCCCTCATTGCACTTCCATTTTGGTAGAGTACATTATTCATCAGGTCAGTTCTCTGCTCAAAAGTTGTCATTCAAAAAGGATGTAGAAGAATTGAAATATAAGAACTCTGAAATATTTTTTGTTCCAATATTTCATACTTCCTCTTACTGAACATGTCCTTTGTACCCAAGCTTGGATTCGGTGCTTGGGAGATGCCAGAATGGAGGACTTAGGCTCAAGTAAACACCAGATTTGCTCCAAGCCACTGCCATTCTTGCCTCTGTTTATGCAATATTTTCCAATGCTGTTGCCATCTGTCTGCTAAACCCTATAGTTTCAGAAAGACACAAATCATCTCTTGTAGTGGAATTTCCATGATTTTCTGTTCAGAACAAAAGTTGGCAGTATGGCCTACGGGTTGGCCTCCGTTTTTTTATAGCTTTATTAGAACAGAGCCATGCTTATCATTTACATAGTGTCCATGGCTGTTTTCTTACTATAGCGGCAGAATTGAGTGTTTGGAACACTGGCCCTACCTCTCACAAAGGTGAAAATATTTACTCTCTAGCCATTTACAAGAAAAGTTTGTTGACTCCTGATTTAGAGTGTTAACCACATAATGCTTGGCTTTTACCTCCCCTAATAATAAATAATGGCTATTAACAATAGTCACCACTGATGGAATAGGAAGATTGACTGAGAACTTAGATAACAGGCTGAATCCTCTTTTAGCATTACAGCATTTGATGTTGATGCCATATCTGGGGAGTAGATATGGGATTCACATATTACTGATAAATAAACAAAGGGCTAGACTTGTTCAGGAAAGTAACCTATACTAACACTAAGTGGCAAAAGTGGGATTTGAACTTTTATTTTTCTGATCCTGAAGTCTGTACTCTGACCTGCTCTCTAGCGGATTGTGTGTATCTCTTCTCTCCTGGGCTGAATTTTAATTTTCTCTTTGTACAGGGTTTAGCATAAGGAATGCGATCACCGTGTTTAATCACTAACTGAATGTACAGCTACATTCATGCATGCAGGGGAAAAGAGGTAGCAAGGGAATCATTTAAAACTATCAGCTGTTTCTTGGTACTCTGAATGTAATCAGGGGAATGGAGAGTTCTTGCTTTTTTTTTTTTAATTTGTTTTTATAATCTAAGCTTCTTGAAGGCAGAGATATATATCTTCATTGAAGCAACCAAAAAATAAGTCATATCTGGGCTTAGAGAATGCCTAAGAACTAGAATCTAGGAACTAAGTTTTCTAGTTATGCTTCAGCTGCAAATTAAGTGTTATCTTGAGCAAAGCATTTATCTCTCTGAGCCCACTTATTAATTTAAATATCAAGAAAATGTTATTTGTTGCTTTTCGGGGTTTTGTGACAAAGCCTATTCACATCTAAGAATTCATGAGCATGACTATAATATGACTTTTGGTATATTTATCATAGAATCATGAGATCGCCAGCCAGAGGGGGGAAAGGAAGAGCTCTAACTTTTATAAAGTGCCTGCTATGTTCGGGCACAGGTCTGGGTGTATTTCATGTAGTCCTGTGAGGAAGGTGCTATCATGATTAGAATGAAAGGAAGGTTCAGAGGGGTTCACAAGGTTTCCTAAATCAAGCACGGCGTGAGCGGTCTAGCAGGGATTCCCACCCAGGTCAGATCAGGACACACCATGTGCTGTTCCCACCATGTCAAGGTTTGATACACCTTGCCATAACACATTTGGCACTAAATGAGGCTGGAGTTCGTTCTTTTGTTTGCAGCTCAAGGTAATTGATCTGAAAGTGATGGAAAAAGTTAAAAGTACAACAGAAGCATACAGCATTATTAGAGTGAGTCTTCAATTTTCAGATCTTCTGAATCACAGGCTGCCTGCTATTGAATTCTGTTGTGTTAAGTAATAAATCTTATCAATTCTCTTAAACATAATGCTTCATTTTTTCTTCCTCTTACCACCACCAGCCTCTGAGCCTGGGCCTTCGTGGTTTGTCTCTTTTAGAACAGGCCACTAGAGGCTCTGTCCAATCCTATAAACAAACCTTCAAACTTTTCCAAAGTAATCTTTATATGTATCAAAGCTGATTATGTTATGCCCAAATTAGGGAAAAAGTTAAATGATTGATTTAGCACCTAGTTCATGTCCGTGAAAATAACAGCATTTTTTTCATTACATTCTCTGCTGATACATATATATATGGTGTATATATACATGTATCTATATATACACACACATATAAGAACATGCAACACAATATATATCATATAAAAACATAGACACTAACAACAATCAATAATAATAGTCTATGTGTGAATATTTCACAATTTCCATTCTTCTGTATTACTTCAATTAACTTTCCCTCACCAGCCTGTGAAGAAGCAGTACTGATCCATATTTTATAGACAAGGAATAGAGGCTCAGGAAAGTTAAAAGGCTTGCCAACTATAATTAACCTTTGCTGGCTTTATTATGACCAGGCATGCCTCCAAATATTTTATATATGTCAGCCCATTGTATCTTCATGGGGTTGAAGCCAGGTGGGAGACAGGCTTTCCAAACCAAATTCTATCACCTTCCTTCACACATTCCCACCTTTCTGTGTGAGGTCCTGACCTGTTATTTCCCTCCTGCTTTGTTTCTCTTGGGATTGCTTATTTTGTGGGATATTTTGTCTTATAATCAAAACAGAATATAGTGTAAAGAATGTCACATGGGCAATAATTACATGGTGCTTTATAGGTTACGAATCAACTTTGCTGGAAATGTTTGATGTTTTCCTTTTCCTTACAGTAACCCAAGGATATGATTATCTTTACACTTAAATTGTACAAGTTAAAACAAACAAAAAAAACAGAAGTTCAAGAAAGCCTTATATATCCTTAGTACTAGTCCACATGTTTTCCCTTCTTATTGCTATTACTCTCTGTCCACATTCTGTGAATGACCAATTATTTGTCCTGTCTCAATATTCTTTACCAATTTTAAAAGCTTATCAGGTAAAAAAGAAGATACCAGCCAGTCCAAATAGAGTAAGCATTTAACATACCACCTCTTCACTTCCACCTTGGTGTTATACCAGCAATCAACACAGGTTTCCAGGGCTGAAATTAGGGAGATTACATTTTATGATGATGAAAATCTCTCTTTGGAGGGTAGCATTTTACCTTGTGTGCAATGAAAATCTGTTCTGACAGTTCCAATTATGAGAAACACTCCACCACTAACAGTTTGGCCGTGACTCACCTCCAAGTGTTTCCGTCTGCAACATCTGTCCAGTTTGCCTTTTCTTTTTTAAATCACAATTTAATTTTACATGGAGGATGCTTGTATAAAGCAAGACCCACACACCGTTTTATCAGGGAACCATTTAAAACAAGCATGTGATTTGGGATGCAGAAAATACTTCAGCCTCCAAAACTTTTCTAAACAGATTCTGGTCTTTTGTATCATTTCTGCCGTGGAGTAATAGGGCTAAGAGCTGAATTTTATGCTCTCAGTAACTGAGAACACTAGTAGATGATGTACTTGTATTCATAAACCATGGTCCTAGCAGAATAATGTATCTCTTCTTTTAATATTCAGATTTTTTTACTTAGGTTTTTAGAGAGGCCTTGGTGTGCAGTCCCTTGTCAAGTTCAAGAGTTAGTTCTCCTGGATAATATTCCTCTCCCTTTATGACCACCATGATTTATACATTACTTTTGTCATGGGGTATGTTCTTTGAGATTTTCTCAATAAGCTCTCTGAAGCTAGCATAAATTATCTTCTTAATATTTGAGAAATATTGTAGTTTTATGCAGTTCCTTAAGAACTCTGACCCTTTTTAAAGCTAATCCTAAATAAATTTTATTTCTAACCTCACTGTTTTACATACAAAAATTCATTGTGGCAGTGCAGTTACTTTTATGCTAGACCTTATTATATTAGAGGTTGATATGGTTTGGCTCTGTGTCCCCATCCAAATCTCATCTTGAATTGTAGTTCCCTATCGTAATCCCCACATGTCATGGGATGGACCCGGTGAGGGGTGTTTAAGTCATGGGGGTGGTTACCCTCATGCTGTTCTCATGATAGTGAGTGAGTTCTCACAAGATCTGATGGTTTTATAAGGGCCTTTTCCCCGTTTGTTTTGCTCGGCACTTCTCCTTCCAGCCACCATATGAAGAAAGATGTGTTTGCTTCCACTTCTGCCATGATTGTAAGTCTTTTGAGGCCTCTGCAGCCATGCTAAACTTTGAGTCAATTAAAACTCTTTCCTTTATAAGTTGCTCAGTCTTGGGTATGTCTTTATTAGCAGCATGAGAATGGACTAATACAGTAAATTGGCACCAATGGAATAGGGTGCTGCTATAAAAATACCCAAAAATGTGGGAGCTACTGGAACTGGGTAACAAGCAGAGGTTGGAAGCATTTGGAGGTCTCAGAAGAAGACAGGAAAATGTGGGAGAGTTTAGAACTTCCTAGAGACTTGGAGGACTCAGGAGACAGGAAAATTTGGAAAAGTTTGGAACTTCCTGGAGACTTATTGAATGGATCTGACCAAAATGCTGTTAGTGTTAAGGACAATGAAGTCCAGGCTGAGGTGGTCTCAGATGGAGATGAAAAACATCTTGGGAACTGGAGTAAAGGTGACTCTTGCTATGCAAAGAGAATAGTGGCATTTCCCCAGCTGCCCTAGAGATCTGTGGAACTTTGAACTTGAGAGAGATGATTTAGGGTATCTGGCAGAAGAAATTTCTCAGCCACAAAGCATTGAAGAAGACACAGAGCATAAAAATTTGGAAAATTTGCAGCCTGACAATGTGATATAAAAGAAAACTCCATTTTCTGGGGATAAATTCAAACCTGCTGCAGAAATTTGCATAAGTAACAAGGAGTCAGAGTTAATCACCAAGACACTGGGGAAAATGTCTCCAGGACATGTCAAAGACCTTCACAGCAGCCCCTCCCATCACAGGCTCAAAGGCTTAGGGGGGAAAAATGGTTCCTTAGGCTAGGCCCAGGGCCTTGCTGCTGTATGCAGCCTCAGGACTTGATACCCTGCTTTCCAACTGTTCCAGCCATGGCTACAAGGGGCCAAGGTACAGCTCAGGCTGTTGTTTCAGAGGATGCAAGCCTCAAGCCTCAAGCCTCAAGCCTTCTCAGCTTCCACATGGTGTTGAGTCTGTGGGTGCACAGAAGTCAAGAATTGATGTTTGGTAACCTCCACCTAGATTTCACCAACACCTAGGATGTATGGAAATGCCTTGATGTATGCCTTGATGTTCAGGTAGAAGTTTGCTGCAGAGGTGGAGCCCTCATAGAGAACGTCTGCTAGGAAGGTGCAGAAGGGAAATGTGGGGTCGGAGCCCCCACACAGTCCCCAGTGGGGCAGTGCCTAGTGGAGCTGTGAGGAGAGGGCCACTGTCCTCCACATCCCAGAATGGCAGATCCACTGACAGCTTGCACTGTGTGCCTGGGAAAACTGCAGGCACTCGATGCCAGCCCATGAAAGCAGCCAGGAAGGGGCTATACTCCTCAAAGTCACAGGAAGGAGATGCTCACAGTCATGGGAACCCAACTGTTGTGTCAGCATGCCCTGATGTGAAACATGGAGTCAAAGGAGATCATTTTGGATCTTTAAAGTTTAATGACTGCCCTATTGGATTTTGGACTTGCATGGGGCCTGTAGCCCCTTTGTTGTAACCAATTTCTCTTATTTGTAATGGGTGTGTTTACCCAATACCTGTGCCCCCATTGTATCTAGGAAGTAACTAACTTGCTTTGATTTTATTGGCTCATAGGTGGAAGGGACTTGCCTTGTCTCAAATGAAACTTTGGCCTTGGATTTTTGGGTTAATGCTGGAATTAGTTAAGACTTTGGGGACTGTTGGAAGGGCTTGATTGTGTTTTGAAATGTGAGGGCATGAGATTTGGAAGGGGTTGGGGGCAGAATGATATGGTTTGGCTCTGCGTTCCCACCCAAAACTCACCTTGAATTGTAGTTCCTATAATCCCTATGTGTCATGGGAGGGACCCAGTAGGAGGTAATTTAATCATGGAGGTGATTACCCTCATGCTGTTCTCATGATACAGAGTGAGAACAAGATCAGATTGTTTTATAAGGGACTTTTCCTCCCTTTGCTCATTCTTCTTCCTGCTACCATGTGAAGAAGGATGTGTTTGGTTCTCCTTCTGCCATAAGCGTAAGTTTCCAGAGGCCTCCCTATCCGTGAGGAACTATGAGTCAATTACTCCTCTTTTCTTTATAAATTACCCAGTCTCAGGCAGTTCTTTATAGCAGCATGAGCATGAACTAATACCGAGGTTATGTGACTACGAGTGTGATACATGAGTACAGAGAGTATGTCTTATTAATTTCAAAATCCCCAGTACTTTAACTCATCTATACCTCGATCTAGAATCATACAGTCTTTAATTAGTGAGATTTCTTAAGATTATCTCCTAGATCAGCCTCTAACTACTATTTGACCTTGGATATGTGTCTTAACCTTTCTGAGTCTCAATTTCTGCATCTGTAAAAAAGGGCTACTAATGGCACTTACACATTTTGGTGGCAGATTAAATAAAACTGAGTTAATTTATCTGATTTTAAGTGTAGAACACTGTGACTGACACAAAGCAATTGTATAAAAATAGTAGTTATTATTATTAGACATGGTTAGACATGGAGTCTACTAAAAGTTTACTAAATTAATCTTGAATACAGTTGGACAATACACAATTCTGTAAACAGAATTTTCTGTTACTATAAAATTATAGAGAAGTGACTGCGATGTAGTGAAAAGAATAAATGTATTTATTATCAGACATCCTGGCTTTGAGTCACTGCTCTCTGACTTATTAGTGGGCAAGTTTTCCCATCACTCTGAGGTTTGTGGACATTCATTGGTAATCATGGATAGTACTAATAATCACTGCCTATTGTCATGAGGACTGTATCTGTGGATACATTCTCCAGGGCAGAGTTTTTCAAATTTTAAATCCAAAAGCTTTTATTCAAAGGACTTTTCTTCTCAAAGAGAGCCCAAAGAATAAGCAAAGAAAACAAATAAAAACAGAGCTGAAGTTATGGGCTTGAAACAGGGATGAATGAGATAGAGCCCAGGATGCTCTGATCCCACCCATCCCACACTTTACCCCATTCCCTTCCCAGCAACCAGACAGTTAGAAAAGTATTACTCCAGGAGAAGGAAACTGTGAACCAATAAAAGATTATCATGCCACAAGGCATGAGTATGCTGGAAAATTTCTCCTCTATCTCTCTTTTTGTGGTTGCAAATATTTCTACCACGCATCATACTCTTCCTGGATTTGGGAAGAGGATCCTAGTGACCCTAACTAGGGAGGCTTTTGGGAAGACCAAGGCTTTTTCAGAGCTCCAGGGTAACCAGACTTTGCACCAGTAAGCACTGTTTAGGCTACAGATGGTGGTGAAGAAAACATGGAAAATTGGCATCTGGCAGCTACTGAACTGAGAACAATCCAGAGAATTAGGATTTTCATGGCAGAGTCCTGGTATCATGAAAGTAATCTCTGTTTATCAAGCTCTATTTGATTTGGCTTTCCCTCAGATGATTAATTTCATTGATGGTTAACGCATTTGATTGTCAAGGAAGAGACGATAAAATAATATTAAAATTGAGAACTTTCAAGACCAATTTGTTTGAAAATTTTTGTTTTACAAACAGAGATGTTAACACCCAGGGAATTAAATGACTTTTCCAACTATCATACATAGTAAAGTGACTTGGCTCAATCTGAGTGTGCCTTGGGGAAATTAATCAGAAAAACTCTGTTGTTGTTAAGATGGTGGAATGATCTCTCCGGCTGACTCTCACACCTTTAATGTGTGTGATAAGGAAGAGAAAACACACATATTTACTTTTGAAAGAGGTTCAGTCAGAGCTAGACAGATAGATAGATGGAGGGATAGATAGATTGATGAATGTATAGATAGATAAATAGATGGATAGATAAATAGGTAGATCAATGGATAGATGACGGATAGACAGAGGGATAGATAGATGATAGATGAATAGATAGATGGACAGATAGATAAATGGATAGATGACAGATGAATGTTTAACATCTTTGATAGACTCCAATGTGTCAGGTGGTGTTCTAAGTGCCTTATCCATCATGTTTTATTTACTTTTTACAACAGCCCTATGAAATTATTTTATATCATTATCCTCATTTTTCAGATGAAGAAATTGAGGCACTGAGAAGTTAGCTATTTTGCATAAGGTCAACCAGCTAGTATAGCAGGGTAGAATAAGACTTGGGAAATCTGACTCCATATCCCTGATATATAACTACTTTGCCATCCTACTGAGGAGAGAGATCCTAAACCCTCCAGAGAGGGCTTGGGACATAAGGAGAGGATGGGACATTATACATGGTCCCTTGGTGTGATGAGCTGATCCCCAGGTATCACCTCCAAGCTTTGACCACCAGTCTGGAGCTTACTGTCCTACACACTCACCCTCTTCCTTCTACCCCTCCTGCCACACACACATCACTGCAGTCTTGAGTCCCTCTGGACCTCAGTTTCTACCTCTCTTCCTTTGGAAATGTCTGCTTTTCCCCCAGTCATTCTTGCAGCTCATTCTTGCTTAGGTTGTCAGTTGTAACTATTCCACCTTCACTTGTTTCCATGGCTAGATTAGGTAAGATAGAATTCAGGGCCCCAGGGATATCCTCATCCAGTGCCAAGAGTACAAGTGACAGCTGACTTTCCGGTTTCCAGATGATGTTGGAACCCATCTGGATGGCAACTCCATCTCTATGCTGGTGTCTTGCCTGGGAGGCAAAGTTCACATGGGGAAGGTGAGTGAGCTGCCATGCTTAAGAGAGTTGTATCTTAGGGGCCTGGGAAGGCTGGCTGAGATGGAGCCTGACAAAAGAATTTTCCCTCATGGTAGGAAGATGATACTTGCCCAGGAAACACTGGTAGAGAAACATTCTGGTCTTCAACTGTAACCCTGGCATATCAATATGACCACTTTTATATGGAGGGGACACATTTATGTAGCCAGCTGAAGTTCCCGCAGCTTTACTGGCATAGACCCCCCATGTCTTTGTCTGTGCTGCTAGGCTTAGAATTTTCCACTTTGTCCATGAAGGGACTTTCCACCATGGCTTATGCCCCTCACCAAAAGATAGACAATTATAAAACTGTGCCATGACTGCTACAATAGGGTGCTGTTGCAGTACTCTGGGATTATAAAATAGTACTTAAGGTTGGAGTCAGCAAAGACTTTTTGAGACTAGGAATCCCTAGCATTTAAAAATCCTGCTGAGTTTCTCACACATGCCCCACACTATAGTGCCTTCAGCTCTTGCAAGTTTGTTTCTCAGCTCTTGTGACTATTGCTGGATCTCCCCTGTCTTTGTGCCTGTGCCTGCTTGCTGCTCCTGTTTGTGCCTGTTTGTCAGTGATATAGCTCAACAGTTTGCTGCTTCCCATAGGCTCAGGAGAGAGCAGTCTCTCACTTCCTGATAAGCCATGTGTGGTGTCTCCTCCTCTGTTTGCCTGGCTCTGCAGCTCTCCCCATTTCTCTTTATCTTGGTGTCAATAAAAAGAGTCAAACTCTGTAAAATATTCAAAGAGATTTATTCTGAGACAAATATGAGTGACCTTGGCCCGTGACACAGCCCTCAGGAGGTCCTGAGAACATGTGCCCAAGGTGGTCGGGGTGCAGCTTGGTTTTATACATTTTAGGGACACATGAAACATCAATCAAATAAAGAAATACATTGGTTTGGCCCAGACAGATGGGGCACATTAAAGTGGGGGCTTCCAGGCTATAGGTAAATTTAAACATTTTCTGGTTGACAATTGGTTGAGTTTGTCTAAAGACCTGGGATTGATAGAAAGAAAATGTTCAGGTTAAAATGAAAGACTGTGGAGACAAAGGTTCCTTTGAAGTCTTATAGTGGCTGCCTTTAGAGACAATAGATGACAAATGTTTCCTATTCAGATCTTTAAAAGATGCTACACTTTTAGTTAATCTTTTTAGGATTGGGAGGGCCTAGAAGAAAAAGATCTAGCTGTGTTAATAGACATTCTTTACAGATGCAAATTTTCCCCCAAAAAGGATAGCTTTGCAGAGCCATTTTAAGATATGGCGAATAAACACGTTTTGGGGTAAAATATTTTTATTTTCTTCCTTTTCTTGTAATGTTATGCTAGAGTCAGGTTGGAAAGTCAAGTCATGATAAACAGGTTAAATAAAACCATCTGATGAGAATTTATGGTTTGTAGGGCATGAATCCCCAGGCCTGTTAGATAGGAATTTGGGCAAGATAAAAAAAATCAGAGCTTAGTCCTCACTGGTCTTACGGACCTTCTTTCTACAGGCCTCATTCTCTACTATTAAAAGGATGAATATTTAAAACATAAAAAGTTCCTTTCTAAGTAAGGTCCAGTCCCACTCAAGATGGATTGCCCTTTTGTAGAAATATATTGCTATAGAATGGGTTCCTAAGAAATAGATCCTGATACAAAGTTCAGAGTACAGGACATTTATTCAGTAGTGATCTTGATATCAGTGCCCCTGGAAGGAACAGGAGGAAAGCAGCATAAGGCAGAGAGACAAGTAGAACCTTCCACACAGTCCGTGTGATGCAAATGCAGCTGGTCCTACGGGAAGATGTGGAGCTGCTGTGGCTCTTCAGACTTGTCCAAAGTTGGGCCAAGATGACCAGATCCCTACTACAGTCCCACATCAATCAGTCACTGGATATGTGTCACCCTAAGATGGTACATAATCTTGGAATCTCAGCAGTTAAAGCAATCCTTGAAAGGGCTAAGAGCTGAAAGTTGTGTACTGACAGCACTCCCAGCAGAGGGGGCAATATGGCCTTCATGCAAGGCTGATGTGGTTGCATCACAGGGACCCTACCCTTGTTAAAATCCCCCCTCTGTTAAACCAAGGATTTATTATTATTTAACCACTCCATGTCCAACATTACTTAGGATGGTCCTTTGAGGTCCAGTCCTACACAAGATGGATTGTCCGTTTGTAGAAATGCATTGCTACAGAATGGGTTCCTAGGAAGAAGATCCTGAGACAAAGTTCAGGGTGCAGGACATTTATTCAGGAGTGATCTGGAGATCAGTGCCCCTGGAAGGTACAGGATGAAAGCAGCATGGACACACTAAAAACATAGTGTGTCCATTGAGGTCCTCTGGAAAGCAGAGGCCAAGATAGAGTTACAAGGAATGTATTAGGGGGAGGCGTGCCTGTGAAGGATAAGAGGCGGAATGCATGTGGGTAGATGGGGAAAGTCGGCCAATCTCAGGGTAGGTCTAGAATCAGGGAGAGAGAGAGGTAGAGCCTCAGGTGGCAGAGCAGCTCTGAGAGAGTCTTGATCAATGATTGGGAGTCCAGATTAAAGCAGAGGTTCTGCCTAGGCAGGATAGCCATCCCTAGTATCTGTAATGTGCTCAGTTGATGACGAGAAGCAGCCCTAGGAGGGTGTGATCTAAGAGTGCACCCTGCAGAAGATCCCAAAGATGTGGCAGCTGGAGGCTGTAGCTTCACTCCTTGAAGCAGGCTGCCTCATGAAGGGAGTGCTGGGTGGCACACCTTCATGGCTCTTGCAAGGAAAGACCAAAAAATGCCTAAGACAGCACCTGACCTTATATGATGGTGTAGCCAGTGTGCTTTGGGAAATCCACTATGATTCGCTCTCTTTGATAATTGTCCCATCCCACGCTGAAGCAGGGTGAGCTGGAGCGTCATGTAACATTTTAACCATGGGATCTTTCTCCAATGGATCCTAGGAATAGGAATGGAATCTTTAAACTGTGAAAGGAAAATAAATCTTGGGGCCCCCAAATCACTAAGCTAAAGGGAAAAGTCAAGCTGGGAACTGCTTTGGGCAAACTTGCCTCCCATTCCTCTGCTCACTGAGATAAATGCATATCTCCTTGCCTCCTTCGGAAAGACTAATCAGAAACTCAAAAGAATGCAACTGTTTTTCTCTTCCCTACCTGTGACCTGGAAGCCCCCTCCCTGATTCGAGTTATCTTGCCTTTCCGGACAGAACCAATGTACATGTTACATATATTGATTGATTTCTCATGTTTCCCTAAAATGTATAAAACCAAGCTGTGCCTCGACCACCTTGGGCACATGTCATCAGGACCTCCTGTGGCTGTGTCATGGGTGTACATCCTTAAGTTTAGCAAAATTAACTTTTTAAATTAACTGACAGTGGTCTCAGATATGCAGGGTTCATAAAACCAACTAAGCTAAACTTAACTTTTGTATATTTGAAAATTTAGAAGTAGAAATCTATATTACCCTGCTGATAAATACATACCAGAGGCTGGGCAATTTACAAAAGAAAGAGGTTTAATTGGACTTACAGTTCCACATGGCTGAGGAAGCCTCACAATCATGGCAGAAGGTAAGAAAGAGCAAGACACGTCTTACATGGATGGCAGCAGGCAAGGAGAGAGAACTTGTGCAGGGGAACTCTTCTTTATAAAACAGATCAGATCTTGTGAGACCTATTTACTATCATGAGAACAGCATGGGAAAGACTTCCCCCATGATTCAATTATCTCCCACCAGGTGCCTCCCACAACACATAAGAATTCAAGATGAGATTTGGGTGGGGGCACAGCCAAACCATCAAATATTCATTGTGTCTATTTATAATCATGGTAGCACAGTGGTTTAAAGGCCGACTTTGGGGCAAGACTGCCTGGGAGTAAATCCTGTTCCAGCCACTGTCTACTCCCAAGACTGATGTACTTTGGCCACTTCTGAGTATGTAACCTGCTGTCAATGGAGACCACTGTTGAACCCCTGATACATACTATTTCAATTGGCCACTTGCTACGTGATTACATGATTGGCCATGACTATGCTGGCTCCTTTCATCCCGAAAGGGCAATAGTTCATTCTCACAGTAATGGACACTTATTCCTTGCAGAAAAGGCTTTGCCTTTTCTTCTCACAGAACCTCAGACAGAATCTCTCTTCTGTGACTTTCAGAGTTTCAGACTGAGTCATGGCATCCTAAATAGCAGAGCATCTGACCAGGAGACCCAGTTCATGGCAAAGGAGCTATGGGAGTGAATCTATGACCAGAAAAGTCCATGATCATATCACACATGGTGTCATCCAGAGTCTGTAATCCAATTTCATATAAGAATGTCTGCTGAAGTCTCAGCCAGGCCAGCTCAGAGGCGTTACTCCGAGTGTGGGTTGCCATTCTTCAGGAGGCAGTGTACTCGCTGGTCAGAGAACCCTACCTGTCCCTGTATCCTCCATAGGGGAAACAGACTTACCTAAGTCTGAGAATCAAAGTATGGAAGCAAGAATGGCCTCAGTTACCATTGTTCTCAATGACCTATGGAAAGACTTTGTGTTTCTTGTCCCTGCAACTCTGTGTTTGATAGGGTGAAGAGGTTATATCCCCAAAGAGGGTGCATTCCTTCCAGGGGTCACTTCAAAGGCCCCACTGAAATATATGCTATGGCTGCTGTCTGGAAACTTTGGACCCCTCATGTCCAGATTCATAATGAGAGAAGAGTCACCATCTAGGCTGGGGTGATGGACACTGATTAGTGGTGTTTACTGTGGCTTCTGTTGTCCAGTGGAGGTGAGGAGGTCTATGAATAGACCTCAAGTGATCTAGTTCGGCTTCCTTAATAGCTCCTTGCCCCAGTGTGACTGTGTAAGTCCAGCAAACCTAGTCAGAGAAGGGAATGGTTTCCAGAGCTCAAGCCACCCAGGAATTAAGGTTTGGGTCACCATTCCCAGGTAAGCCACTATGATGATTAATTTTATTTTTGTGTCAATGTGGCTAGGCTACAGTGTCAGGCTGTTTAATCAAATGCTAGGTGTTGCTGTGAAGGTATTTTGTGGATGTGGTTAACATCTACAATCAATGCATTTTAAATGAAGTAGATTACCCTCAATAATTTAGGTGGGCCTAATGAGTCAGTCGAAGGTGTTAAGAGCAGAAACTGAGGTTTCCTTGAGGAAGAAGCAGAAAATTCTGCCAGCGGACTGCAGAAGTAGCTCCAGCCTGAGTTTCCGGTCCACCAGCCTGCCCTGCAGATTTCAGACTTGCCTAGCCAGACTCTACGATTGAGTAAGCCAATTCCTTAAATTACACAGAGAGAGAATCATTAGTCCTGTTTTTCTGGAGAACACTGACTGATATAGCCATCCAGACCAGCAGATGTGATATAGCCACCCAGTCCAGCAGAAGGGAGTTTAGAACGATTAACAGAAGTGGGAATGATGACTGTCCGTTGCAACCCCAAGAGCAACTGCAATGAATGTTGTGCCTCACAGCATGCTTCTCCCAGGCATGCCTTAGCCAATGATGGAACATCACAGGAGTACTAGAGCCTAGTACTTCCAACACAGGACTTCTTTAAGGGACATTGCAACAGAGTCCCTACTGTGTTGATGGAGACTTAGAGATCTGTATCATGGCAGGGGCTCTCCCTGCTCAATCTTGCTTCCCTCTTTTACTTTCACGGGGGTCAGATCTGCATCAGAGTTGGAAAGATTTTCTTGCCCAATTCTTCTCTTGCCTCTCCTTTTCCTTTTACAGGCCTTACTCCCTAGTAAATTGCTTGTGCTCCTACATCTGTCTCAGCATGTGCTTCCTGGAAGACCCAGCAGACACCACATCCTTCTGTCCTTATAAAACATTTCCCATTTCTGTGTAAGTTAGCCCTAGTTACTATCTATTTCTTGAACTACAAAGAGGTTTAACTTGAAAATATCTTATATTTCTTTGCCTTCATTATGTTTCTGGGATTCTTTAACATTTACTTGCCCTTTGTTCATCTTAAATCTGACATGACCTACACCCGAATTGCAATTGGTGACTGATTGTCTTTTATGTGTTGTTCATAATTCCTGCCTGCTTCCCTTACTCTTCCAACAAGGTTCTAAGCTCTGAAATAAATCTGGATATATCTTCTGCTTTTTCTATATTTCTACTGGGGCCTGGAACAGCAGCAGTATGTGTATGTGTGTGTGCGTGCACATGTGTGTCTACACTGGAGAGATGAGATTAAATAGTCAAGGTAAGGTCATATTTTTAAAAAATAAAATAAATATTTGCATACTTGCTGTAGCAGAAAATAGTTTACACTTATATTTGCAGATGGATCATTCTGGATTTATTTAGAAAAACTGGGAAATGCCCTCCTCTGGAGAAAAGATTCCAAAGATTTGTTGCATACATAAGCCTTTTAGACTAAATATTGACAGCAGCCTCCTAGGCGTAGAGTACTTTAAAGTTTCAAGAATCATGCAAACACCATATAATCAGTGCAAGACGTTCTTGTTTTAACTTTTAGGGTCAGACTACCTGCATTTTAGGTCATGCAGACTTAAGCTTAGTCTAGAAACTAGTTATACACATTGCATCCCAGGTTTTTCCTTTGTAAATAGAATTTAAAGCATTAGGAACATTTCCAAAACAATGCCAATAGGCCAGACAGAGCCTCCGCTCAAGAATTATTTGATCAACAAATGTGCTGATCCTGTGAATCAGGCATTTTCTTGGGCACTGGACATGGAAATTTTAAGAAATACCCATACATCCTGACCTTAAGGGATGGGCAGTTCACTGAGCTAGTTTTAAATTTAGATGCATAGTCTCTTTGGGTTAATAAAAGCATTCAGAATTAGAGCTAATAATGGGTTCTGTTACTTATCAGTGCTACCTACTTAGGAAATAAATTAACTTTTCTGAGCTTCTTTTTCATCTTTCCCTTGTGGATTAAAATGCTTATTTCCTGAGATTGTTATGAATATAAAATGAGACAATGCTGTGTAAAGCACATGCTAAAATATCCGAAATATACAGGATGCACTTTTCCTTAAAATATTGCTTTAGCTTCCGTTCTTCACCACCCAATCACTGATATTCACTTATATACACACACACCCCCCCACACAAATATGTTCTCTCAATATACAATTTGGTAGAATTGTCACACAAAACAATTTTTACAATTAATATATTTCTTGAAATCAAAGGGTAAACATTTAAACTGCAATTATGAAGCAACTAAGAGCACATTCTCTTTCTAATTTTGGCAACCTGCTATGGCTGGAAAAGTCTGGAAGAAAAGAAGTAAGATTTTCCAACAACCAAACAGGTTAATGCTGGGTGATGGCATTCTGCTCCTAGAAGACTATGGAATTTGCTAATGTCCCAAACTACCTGAGATCTCTGTGGTCATCTACCTTTTACTTGGGCAGAAGTCTTCGAGAACAGGAAAATATCTTTACCAGCATAATAGCTCGAGTTTCTGCAGAACTGGCTTTGACACTTGCCTCTTCTGAGAACTTGTACAAGTTGGCTGTCCTCTCTCAGCTTCACTCTTCACTCTCCTCTGTAGTAAGAGGTGACTAATGATGCCTCCCTTGCAGGCTTGTTCTGAGGATCCAGTGAACACTAGTATAAGAAAAACCTGAGAGCAAAGACTGCCTCTGTGCAACTCATAGCTTTATTTTCTTCCTTGGTTTATTATTCATGAATCATCATCTGTTGTATAGCTCAATTGCCAAAGCCCCATCAGTGTGGGTCAACAAAATACAGTTACATGTCTATTAAATATCCAAATTAGAGTGGCTTTAAAACTCTACTTACTCACATAGCATAAACTCAGCTTTTTTCTTCACCAAATGTCTAACCTATGTGGCTTAGGGGTCAGTTAGCGGATCCTGTGTTCTTACTTTAAACTGTTAATAGAAGGAGAACTGAATGCCCTTAGTGTTTATGTTTGCAGCCACCAACCCCACAGACAGTCCCTCCTTCTGCTCTTGCTGCACTAGGGCCACCGTCTCACAGCTGGTATTGACCATCTGCTGAAGTTCTAAAACCCACAGCAATGTGCGTCCCACTGAGCTGTTGGCTCTGGTATCCCAGGTGCCTTCCTTTCTGTTCCTCCCGCCCCACCTCCCAGGCCATGGCAGGGAGATAGTTCTTCTTTTAGGGTGCTGCTTAGCTATCCTGTTTAGGCCTCCAGATACATCTTCGATGGGACAGTGTTTTAGATTTGCACAATCTAACCATTTTCCCCCAAGACATGCATTCACAGTGCCTGAGTTCTGATCTGGACAGCTTTTAGTAATGGCTGCATATTAGGGAGGAAACCAGCACTCACTGCCCATCTCCGCCCCATGGACTTCCCTTGGACCCTTCTCTTGGAGACTCCTCTTTGGGCTGCCCAGTCCTTCCTGTGTCCTGGGTCAGGGTCACTATAGTCTATCAGACCTTTTATAACTTTGGACTTTGAAGGGAAGTAGACGAAGTTTTGATTATTTTCTTTCCTCTGTGCCCTTCTAACCATAGGTAAATCTTTGGAATCCAGGAGATAAATGATTTGCATCCCTGTTCTATGTTCTTTGGGAAATAATCTGAGCCCCAAATGCCAGTGGACACATTGGATGTTGGGTGAGGGCACTTCCTCTTGAAACCAGCTCAGAAGCAGCCAGATTTCCCTGATCCAAGCCTCTCTCAACTTTCTGAGGCTAAAGTATTTGAGCAGGGATTGGAGAACAAACAAGCCACTATGCAGAAGCAGGTTGGAAAGCATTATGGGCAGATGGAAAGTACAAAGATGAAAACTCATGCTGCATTTGGAAAGCAGCAGGTATTTCAATGCGTGCAGAATGTAAGGTGAGCAGTGGGACCATTAGCAGATGAGGTTGAAAATGTACTGGACTCTGTACTGTAGAACTCAGAAAGACTGTGAATGCTATATTAGGGAATTGGGAGTTTATCCAGTGGCTATTGGGGCCACTGTTAGAGATTACTTAGCACACAGCAATGATGCTGGGTTAATCAGATCAGGCCAGGCATTTCTAGCATGTAAGAATTTGGAGTCAAAGCCCTTTCTACTTCCAGGCCTGTACACATGCGTACCCTGCACACATGCATACCCTGCAAACAGGGCAGCCCAAAGGGCGTCTTATATAACAGGATGGCACCATATCCACATGGGCTGAGATTGCTGTGTGTCTCTTCTTTAAACACATCCTTTTCTTCAATCTTTCTTTCTTTCTTTCTTTCTTTCTTTCTTTCTTTCTTTCTTTCTTTCTTTCTTTCTTTCTTTCTTTCTTTTCTTTCTTTCTTTCTTTCCTTCCTTCCTTCCTACCTCCCTCTTTCTTTCTTTCTTCCTTCCTTCCTTTCTTTCTTCCTTCCTTCCTTTCTTTTTCTTTTCCTTTCTTTCTCTCTTTCTTTCCCTTTCTTTCTTTCTTTCTTTCTTTCTTTCTTTCTTTCTTTCTTTCACTTTCTTTCCTTTCTTTTTTCTTTCCCTTGCAGAATTGGATGGAGAAGCCATCTTAACACTTTGAAAGATAAAAAAAAATCATCTTGCTAATGTCTGCTTATATTGATTAAACATTGGTAAACAATTATAGTTTCAAATAGTGTTAAAGCTAGAAGTGAGCATGAAGGGAAGCAGCCTTTAACTTTTCACATACACACTGTAACTTTACAGCTCTTACTGAACTTTGCTGTTTATAGATCTGTACTTATGACTAGGCTTTGCACTTCTTGAAGGTAGGATTTATATTTTAAATTATTGTGTTCCCAGCCTCTACTTTTGTGCTTAACTCGTAACAGGTATAATGACTGTTTATTCAATGAAGAATTAAATCAGCAAATCCACTACTATAGTCTCCTCGTTGATGAGCAACAGACCATGAGATTATTTAGAATCTCTTGCCAATTTCTTTACTCTGGAGCTGACTGTCACAGCATCCTCTTCCCTATATAGGGTTATAGGTTGGAGGGAGCTGAGGATGAATGTGTGCCCTGTGAGAAGGTTAAAGGGAAGAAGCAGTCATCACCTGCTGAATTCTATTGCTGGCTACAGGAGATGAGAGCCCAATGCAGGGTTGCCAGGAGTTTCCTGCTTGTCCATTGTCTTCCCCACTCTGTGTCCAGTTCTCTTTTCTGATCACTGGTCCTGATAAGCACTCTGACCCCCCACCTACCACCAAAGTGCTTTACTGCAAATTTAAATAGATAAATCTATAAAAAGCTAAGAAGCTTCCATGGACTTTTCTATACCTGCCTCCTCTACAGTCCCAATTCAGCAGCTGGGTGTGCCAGTTTCAAGATTTTCTTGCAAGCTCTGACCCTCTCATCCATGCCAGGGCTGGCTAGGGTACACCAGCTGTCTAAGGTCTAATTCTTATAAATCTCTACTTCAGTAAAATTCATAGAAGTTCTGTTAGTCTGAATGAACTCTAACTGATATGTGTGTATAACACATTTTATTTAGAATATAAATATGGCTTATATATCTGTATAAGTTTTATTCTTCTTCTTTTTTTTTTTTTTTTTTTTGAAATGGAGTCTTGCTCTGTCACACAGGCTCAGGTACAGTAGCACAATCTTGGCTCGATGCAACCTCTGCCTCCTGGGTTCAAGATATTCTCATGCCTCAGCCTCCTGAATAGCTGGGATTACAGGCATGCACCACCAGTCCTGGTTGATTTTTGCATTTTTAGCAGAGACAGGGTTTCACCATGTTGGCCAGGCTGGTCTCGAACTCCTGGCCTCAGCTAATCAGCCCGCCTCGGTCTCCCAAAGTGCTGAGATTAAAGACGTGAGTCAGTATGCCGGGCCAAGTTTTATTATTCTTAAAGTTTGATCATTTCTATGGCTTCATAAGCATACAAACCCACTGGAGGAAGGAATCATTGCTGTAGTTACAAAACACTAGCTTTTGGACCCAGTTTTTCATTAGGCTTCCCTGTTCTCATTGGCCCTGGAGTTTTAGTTGGAGTTATTTCACAAGTCAAAAGGTAGATCCTGAAAGATGTCATTCTTACTCAGATCAGGAAAACCACAGCTGAGTGTTTCTTGTAAGCTCCAAAGCGTGTGTCTACTGTGGCCAACCACAGCAATCATGTTCTCATAGCCTAGTTCACAGAGGAGAGGGGGAAGTGGGGCTGTGACAAATGCTGAAGAGCCTGTCTCTGAGTCAGAATTAAGTTATGCAAGCACATGCAAATACACACACACACACACACACACACACACACACACACAGGCACATACTGCAGTTCAATTAGGGAAGAAGATCCTCCATGAGAATTATGGGATCAGAGCTTCATAGGAATTAGACCTTAGAAAACTGGTCTGCACTCACCAGCCCCAGTGCTGGTGAGCAAGTCAGAGCTTGCAGGGAAACTTCAGAGGTAGACACATTTATTCACTCTATTGAAACTGTGGAGGAAGCTGGTACAGAAAAGTCTGTGGATATCTCTTTAACATACTAATTCAATTTTTTGGGATATATACCTAGTAGTAGGATTGCTGGATTATATGATAGTTCTATTTCTATTTTTAAAATTTTATGGACCTCCATAATGGCTTTGCTAATTTGCATTTCCCTTGAAAATTGTGGTAGGATTCCTTTTTCTCCACATCTTCATCAACACTTGTTATCTTTTGTAATTTCTTTTATCATAGCCATTCTAACAAGTGTAAGAGGATACCTTGTTGTGGTTTTAATTTGCACTGTCCTCATAATTAGTGGTGTTGAGCATTTATTTATATACCTGTTGGCCATTTGTATGTCTTCTTTTGAGAAACGTCTATTCAATTCCTTTGCCCATTTTTAAATCAGGTTATTTGTTTTCTTATTATTGAGTTGTTTGGGTTTCTTATGTATTTTGGATGTTAACCCATTGTCAGATCCATGGTTTGCAAATATTTTCTCCCATTCCGTAGGTGGTCTTTTCACTCTGTTGACTATTCTCTTCACTGTGTAGAAACTTTTAAGTTTGATATAATGTTGTTTGTCTATTTTTACTTTTGTTGCCTGTGCTGTAGGGGTCATACCCAAGAAGTAATTGACCAGACCAATGTTGTGGAGCTTTCCCCCTATGTCTCTCTAGTAGTTTTACAGTTTAATTCCTTAATCCATTTTGAGTTAATTTTTATGTAAGGTGTGAGATAAGGCTCTAGTTTCAGTATGTCAAAAAACATCCCACTCCCCTGTTAATTGCAACTTTATTCACAATAACCAAGATATGGAATCAAACTAGGTGTCCATCAATGGAGGAATGATAAAGAAAATTTGCTATACATACACAATGGAATACTACTCAGCCTTGAAAAGAAAGAAATCATGTCATTTGAGACAGCATGTGTGAACCTGGAGGACGCTATGTTAAGTGAAATAATTCAGGTACAGGAAGACAAATACTGCATGATCTCACTTTTATGTGGAATCTAAAAAGAAATCTTAAATTCAGTCAGGCACGGTGGCTTACGCTTCTAATCCCAGCACTTTGGGAGGCCGAGGCGGGTGGACCGCCTGAGTCCAAGAGTTTGAGACCAGCCTGGCCAACATGGTGAAACCCCATCTCTACTAAAAATATAAAAACTAGCCGGGCATGGTGGTGGGCGCCTGTAATCCTAGCTACTTGGGAGGGTGAGGCAGGAGAATTGATTGAACCCAGGAGACAGAGGTTGCCGTGAGCCAACGTGGTGCCACTGCACTCCAGCCTCGGCGACTGAGTCGAGACTCCGTCTAAAAAAAAAAAATCTTAAATTCACAGAAACAGAGAATAGAATGGTGGTTACCAAGGTCTGTGGGGGATCCAGTTGAGGATACGTTGATGGGTCAACTGCCTCTTCGAACAAAAAGATATACAATTTAAGTTAGATAGGAGGAATACATTCAAGAGATCTATTTTATAACATGATGACCATAGTTAATAACAAGGTATTTTATTCTTGAATATTGCTGAAAGTAAATTGTCAGTGTTCTTACCACAAGAAATGTTAGTATCTGAAGTTATGTATATGTAAACTAGCTCAGTTGAGTAATTTAGCCATTACACAATGTATACATATTTTTTTAAAAAAACAGAAAATAAAAAGAAAACAATGTATGCAGTTCTGCATAGAAATCTCTAACATGTATGTATTGTTTAAACCAGTTTTCTAAGTGTGTATATTTAAAACTTTCAGAGGCAAATATACATTCGTGAACAAATGATGAATGAGTCAGAATCAAATGCTCAGTTGACAATATTAATGGTGCCTTGTTAGTTTGCAGCTTTTATAAAATGTGATGATGCTTATAATAATAACAGTTTCCAACATGTACAGGCGCTAGGGGTTATTTCTATATTTGTAAGGTTTCACCACACTTAAATTCAGTAAAGCTATTTAACGCCTCTGCCTGCAAAAACTGTCTGTGGAAGGTCATTAGCCAATTGTAGATGCATCTCTGAATTTTCAGCAAAGCATCTCTCTCTCTCTCTCTCTGCCTTTCTCTCTCTCTCTCTGCCTGTCTCTCTCTGTCTCTCACACGCACACACACACATACAGAAACACATACCCTCATACACACTTGAAGTTACTATAAAAATCCCATGCTTTTATCATTGGTTAGCCTCTTCTACTTTTATATGACATTAGATTTTCTGGTTTAAGAGCTAATTTTCCCAGAAACAAGAATAATAAAATTATCACAACAATTTTTTTAACATTTTAATGATATTCTAATCTTTCTAAAGCACTTTTACTTTTGGAACTAACCACAATGGGCAGGTATGGGCCCCACAATGGGCACTGCAACCAGTGCCCGCACTGGACTGGATGTTATTCCTCTTCAGCAGAAGATGAAGGCCCAATTGGTGAAGTGGCTCAGTGGAATCAGGACTTGAATGCAGATTCTGCTGAAGACCTGTCCAGGGAGAAACTGCTCTTCCCTATCATGCTGCTTCTCCTTAAACACCAAACCAGACCAAAAAATTAGAATTGTGTATACACATGCAAAATAAATGACATAGGCGCCTAATTTGAACTTCAAATAAATGCAATAATACTTATCCTAGATAAAGCAGAATTTGGAAGATGATTTCAATAAATCCACAATTACATCTAGAATAAGTCTTCTTAACTGGGCACCCATCCATTCCTTGGCTTCTGGAAGTTCTCGGATGCCTTAAATTATATGTACAATGTCTATAATGTAAGCACCCGAGAGAGGCCAACACATAATGGCTAGTTTATGTTGAGGTGCTGGATACTCATCTCCAACAGACTCTGTGTACCAACCCACATGGCCTCCTGAGGCACAGAGAAAACGAGTCTGTGCACAAGATTGCTCTACTCCCCTTATACAGAACAATACTTGAGTTCTGAGCAGCCCTCCTACCCCAAAGAGCAGAATCACTCTATCGTAGTGATGTTCTGGTTTCCCACCTTGGAATGGGAGGAATGTAATAAAAAACAAGCCCATTCTCCCCATCAGAGCTCCTGCTGTTGGATACTTCCCGCCTTAACAGCTGAAAAAGAGGCAATTTCTGATGAGGAAATTGGATTGGGTTGAAGAAGAGTCACAAATACCTTCTTATTTGCTCCTGACCCACTAGTGTGTACTAGGGAATGCCTGGCCTCGACCTTTTCTGAGGTCAAGGCTGCTACAGAGGAATTTATTCATTCCTTAGGCTCACATAAGAAGATATTTAACAGAAGTTTGTTGAACAAATGAGCTAAGTGTCAAGAACGACACAAGGAAGGAGCAGGGCAGAGTCAGCTCCTAGAGAGAAAGAGAGTTTTGTTATGCGGAGCTCACTTTTACTTCCCCTAGCAGATAACTTTCTCCTGCTTCTTAAAGAGGCCATGAGGTGGGGCAGGGGGGAAGGGGATGGTGCTAGTTTAGGGAAAACTTTGGGATTATGCCATTACCCCCAAGTTTTTGCAATCAACTGTTGGAAGAAAGATCTTAGACAAATTAAATTTAACAGAGTTTGTTTGAGCAAAGGAGCAATTTGCAATCAGGTAGCCTCCCGAAACAGACTCTGGTGCTGCTCTGTAGTATAAGATTTATGGAAAGAGAAAGGAAACTGACATACAGAAAACAGAAATGAGATACAGGGACAGCTGGATAGGTTATAGCTTAAAGTTGGCCTTATTTGAACACAGTTTGAACAGTTAACCATCTGTGATTGGCCTAAACTCAGTGATTGGCACAAAAGTAGGTTATGGTCTGTTTGTATACCCAGTTAGATTTCAGTTCACTGTGTATAGAGAAACCTTTAGGCACAATTTAAAATATGTAAGGGGGCAGCTTTAGGCTACATTTAGTTTAATACAACCAATAAGTAGGATTCCTGGGCTGGGGGCAAATCCAAATGAATGAAAAGAAGCTCTGACCTGTCTGTGGTGCTTTCTACTTTTGCAAATGTCCTGTTCTGTGGAGAGCTGCATAAACCAAATAGCTGACATGAAAAATAACTTAGGGGAAAAGGAGACATATACTACGGGCCCAGTGAAGCAGGGAGAAACTTAGGGGCCATGGAATTTCGAGTAAGACTCACAGACTCACAGAGAGGGGAAAGGGGTGGGGGGTAATTCAGGTCTTGTTGCTCTGTCAGAATCGCAAATTGCCCTAGAGGATGGCCAAGGACATCTCAAACCCCTCCAGCCACATGCTACTTCAGTGATCATGCACATCAGTAGCTTTCAACTATGGCTGAGCATTGGGACACTCATTGGGATCTTTTATGCTAAAGGATTCTAATAGGTGATCAGCAAAGTGAATAACCAAGCCCAGAGAAGCAACAGGGGGAAAGAATGCTGTGAGGAGTCTGTAAGCAAATGTGCAGTGGCAGGAATTTGCCTATGAAAGTCAAGGAGGAGGAGGGAAGCCAGCAAGAGTGGAGGAAAGATATTTATAAGGCAGTAACAACAGATGAAGTCACAGCCAGCTTGAAGCCAAGTTTTCTGCAGCCCTTAAATACAGGCAAATGTGTTCCCTCTCCATGTGACAAAAGGGTATCTTCATTTTTGTTCTTAAGCACCCGCTAAATCCCAAGCACAAACATTGTACTTCATCTTTTTAATCCTCACAAAATATTTATTTACTCTTGTAGTCAATATCTATTTAGTGCCTATTATGTGCCAGACACTGCTATGCAGAACCAAACAGACATGCTCTCTCCTTAATTCTAATGGTAGAGATAAGTTTACATCAAATAAACAAATAGCTACAAAATTCATTAATTTAAAATTTTTAAAAATCAAATAAGCAAATAAACAAACATGATTTTTTCCTAGCAGTAATAAGTGCTAAGAATAAGTTGAATGATAAAAGAGAGCTTTCCAGATTAAAACAGGCTTGATGATGTCTTTTAATGTTCTTTCTTCTTAAGTCAAAAATTCCCAGTTCCTTCCAAAGTTTCCATAATACTTTCTATGACCTTTACAAGGCACAGCGTTACCTAAAGAGAATATTTGATTGATGAAAGAATGTGCACTGTGGGCTCTGGTTTGAATCTTGACTTGAACTCACCAGCTGGGGGATTTTGAGAACATCGTCTGTTTCTTTACTGTAAAAATGAAAAGAGAAATCTTGTCCCTTAGATCTGATTCTCTGGATGAAATGTCAGGATGCAGATGCAGTTTCTACCACAGCTGTTGGCACATAGGGAGTGTTTAAAAACAGTCTCCTTTCCTTCACCCCCGCACCGTGTACACGTCATAGCCAAACACTTGAAATCACACATACGCACACACACCTGGCTGTCTGGATGCTCAAGGATGGACTGTTATCTCTCATAAAAGACAACTACAAATGTTGAGAACACACAAAACAGCCCATTGATATCCATTTGGCAGCTACAAAAAATTTAAGTATGAGAACTTTCTGAGCAATAGATACTGAAATTACACCCTCAGGCAATTCCTTCTGCAAACTAAGTAATTTATGAACATGTGGGACCTGCTGCCCTGGTCCTAGAGAGATCGCTGGAACTATCAGGACTATGGTCAGAAGGACAGTGATTCACAGCTTTGCCCACCTTTAAGGATGGTCCCCAAAGGTTTGTTTTTCATGGGGTGTAATAAAAATGTCCTCTAAAGTTACACAGATACACATTTGAGTCCAGGGCTCCTTGCGGTATTTCCTGCGTAACTAATAGGGTCTCAGGGGGATGAGATCAGCTAATGAACACCCAAGCTGGTTTGTCTGTTTCTGTGAGGTGAGGTGGAACCCCTTCAAAAAATGAGAGACACGTGACCACAATGAGATAGGTATGTCTTTGGGGGCCCTGATCAAGACACTTTATGAAATGGTGTTCTTCTTCCTTTTACAAAGGAGTATTTCTCAGTTAATTATCATTTTTTAAGTTTTGACATACTGACACTTTTCAAAAGTGAGTTTAATGATGGTATGTTATCAATACTCTAATGGAGAATTGTACTGTAGTTTTGCATGATGCTACTATTGGGGATAACTAGCTAAAGGACCCATGGAATGTCACTGTAACATTCTCAGAAATGCACGTGAATCTACAATGATCTCAAAAGAAGAAATTTGGCTGGGCGCAGTGGCTCACACCTGTAATCCCAGCACTTTGGGAGGCCAAGGTGGGCAGATCATGAGGTCAAGAGATCGAGACCATCCTGGCCAACATCTTGAAGCCCCATCTCTACTAAAAATACAAAAATTAGCCAGGCATGGTGGTGGGCACCTGTAGTCCCAGCTACTCATGAGGCTGAGGCAGGAGAATTGCTTGAATCCAGGAGGCGGAGTTTGCAGTGAGCCAAGATCATGCCAATGCACTCCAGCCTGGCAACAGATTGAGAATCCATCTCAAAAAAAAAAAAAAAAAAAGAAAAGAAATTTTATTTAAAAATGTCACTTAGGCTATCCATCAAGCAGCCGCAATGTGAAGACCTTTTTTAGATCTTGATTCGAGTATACAAAGTGTAAAGGGGCATTTTTAAGTCAATCAGGAAAATATGGAATTAGGCGTTAGCTGATACAAGGGAATTATTTTTAATTTTGTTAGACATAATAACATCTCTATTATTATACCGCATGATGGTAACGTTTCTTGAAAATGCCCTTATCTGTTAGATACATATACTGAATTATTTATAGGTACAAAAGCATCATATCTAGAATTTAAATAACTCAAGAAAAAAGTGTGGGGAGAAAGAGATGAGACAGGATTTACAAATGCTGAAGCTGGACTATGGGTATATACGTGGTGAATAATTATGCTATTCTCTCTGTTGATATATATATATTTAAATTCTACGATCTTAAAAATTAAAAAAAAAAATGTCAGCTCAGGGTCAAGCACAAGGTACGACAAATTCAGCTAAAAACAGTAAGACCACGCATGGCTGGGTGGTCATTGGTCAGCCACAGCCAACACAGAAGGAGCTGTTCCCAGTGTTTAATTTAAACACATAGAGTGATTCATTCAAATGAGAAATGTAACTATCAAGAATCAGAAACTCATGAGTGTGGACATTTATGTAAGAAAAAAACAAAAAGCAAAAGGTGTCCAGCAGAGTGAATGGACTTGGCAGCCACTCTAATGTTGGCAACCTACGATCTTGGGTGGTGCAGGATGTCACTGGATTGCAAATCCACCAGGGCAAGTGCCTGTCTGTTGTGCTTCTAATCACAGGCACTAGCATCATGCCTGGTCTGAGGCTAGTCCTCAAAAGTCAGCTATGGAATGAATGTATGAAAAGGGGCAGTTTCTGAAGTGCTCAGGAAGAACCAAAACTGGGAAAGAAAAGCTGAGGGCAAGTTCAGATGAAGAGAGGCCATCTCCAGCAGCCAGGTAGCATGAAGCAGGAGGGAAGCATTTTTCAGGAGAGCAAATGTGAGCTGGACCAACCCGCAGGAGTGAGGGCACTGGCCAGCATGCTCCCTCTTTCACTGCTTCTCCGATTTGGCTTACCGTCTATAAAATAAGGACAGTACTTGCTCCACAGTTTTCTTATGAGGATTAAACAGGTTATAACAATTTTACTATGTATGATCCAGATTACTTGTCTTTAATTCCTATCTCTGTTCATTTTGACCCTGGGTAAGTCCCTTAACCTCCCCACACCCAGTTTCCTCATTTGTAAAATGTGGCGAATAAGAGCACCTACCCCAAGGACTGATGTAAGGTTAAAGACTTCATGCGAATGGGTGTCATCATGCATGATGCTTAGGCAGCGCTCCACAAGTGGAAATATTACTGTTACATTATTATCATCATCATTAGCACTGGACGAGCTTCCCAAAGGTTAACTCCTTTTTTTTTTTCTCGCATTTCCCTTTCACTCAGGACAATTCAATGAGGTTTCTGCATCACAGAATGAGAAGTGAGCTTCAGAAGAACAGAGGAACTCCACATAACAAGCTCAGTGGCACATAATAAGCTCTAAAACAAATAAGTGAACAAACCTCAGACTTATTATTTGTAATTGTTAGTGCTTCTAACCCCCAATGCACTACTCTTCCCTTTATGTTATGCTCTGTATTTTCAGAAATTATTACAATTTGAAATACCACTTGCTGATGAGAGAACATCTGTGGTGTGTGCTTAGGTTTTCCTTCCAGACATCTGGCAGTATCCATGATTTTCAATATCCGAGTAGCCTAAGACAGTTCATTTTTGAACTCTAGTGCTCCTTGGAGGAAAACAAATGAATTTGCTTTTTTTTTTCGAACAGGCTTTGTTCCTAACTCACCAAAAGGACAGCATATACACAGGCACACATGCGCACACACAGGCACACACGCACACGTTTATACATACGTGAACACAGGTGCATGCACACACATAGGCACACACACGTGTGTAAACAGGTCATGCACACACAAGGCACACACTCACACATGCATACGCACGTGAACACAGGCCCAGGCACACACACGTGTATACACAAGTGAACACAGGCACATGAACACACAACACGTACACATGCATACACACGTGAACACAGGTGCAGGCACACACACGTGTGACACGTGAACACAGGCGCATGCACACACACGGGCACACACTCACGTTTATACACATGTGAACACAGGTGCATGCACACAGGCACAGACGTGCACACACTCACATATTTATACACATTTGAACACAGGTGCATGCACACACACAGGTACACACTCACATATGCATACACACGTGAACACAGGTGCATGCACACACATGCACACATGTGCACACACTTGTACACACATGAACACAGGTGCACACACAGGCACACACATGCACACACTGGTACACATGTGAAAACAGGCAGATGCACAGAGGCATGTGCTCACACGTGCATACACACTTGAACACAGGCAATGAACCTACACAGACATACACTGACACGTGTGTGCACACGTGAACACAGGCACACACACTCATATGTGTGTACACATGTGAACATAGTTGCATGCACACACAGGCACACACTCACTTATGTGTGCACACATGAACACAGGCACATGCACACGGTAGAAGAACAGCAGTGGAAGGGCTGGTGAGCCTGCTCGTTTGGCAAGCATACTCTATAGATGAAGTGAAAAGAAAGTAGTGGGAGGGCACATGAGCTGGCAGGAGGTCTCTTGTGAGCCGTTTCCTTTCTTCTCTAATAATAGGAATGCTGGCTTACAGGCAGTTTTACCCCCTGGGATGGCAAAGCCCTCTCTGTAGTTATTCTTAGAGATGCTGGTTATATTGGCCGAGGGAAGCTTGCTGATCGGAAAACACAGGGCTGAGAAACCTCTGGAAACTCGTTGCAGCTCGGATCTGAAGGTTGAGTGCTAAGAGTCCACAGAGATCAAGCTACATGCAATGATTGTGCTTGCAGGAAAGGCAGGGTACTGTGGAATTGGTGTCAGAGGATTCGAAATCAGCTTCTAACTAGCTCTCTGGGTTTGAACAAGCCACTCCCCACCTCTATCTTAACAGGAATTTTTAAACACCCGGTAGTAAGTCTTGAAAAGTGGTCAGCACAGTTCCTGGCACATAGCAAAGCCTAAATAAACACTGACGCCCATGATTGTAGACATGGTACTGTGCTAAGTGATTGAGCAGTGAACAGTCCTCCAGAGGAGCACACCGTTGAACATAGAAACAAGAGCAAGCACGACCATAGAGGCACATACAAGACACAAAGAACACATTCACAGAGAAGGATTTGGTCTTTCTCTGGGGGCAAGGGAGAGAGAGAAGTTTCCCAGGGGCAGTCATATTGAAGCTGAACTAAGGAAAATCAATGAGAGGTCAGAGACATAGAGTAGGGCACTCCAGACAGGAGAAAGGGCCAGATCAAAGCCAGAGGTGCCTCTGGGGAGCTCCAATGAGGCAGTCTCTTGCCAGAGAGAGGGAGAGGGGTGGGAAATAATGTCATTGAAATAGTCATGACCAAGGCATGAACTCCAAGCTTCCTTCCATCCGTAACAATCTGTATGACTCTAAGACTCCCCACTTGCTTTTTCTATTGACTAAGTCATTAACAGGTCAGGCTTCATCATGATCTGGCAGAGCAGATGCTTACAATCTGGCTGCTGGGCCTCGAGAGCATGGCCTGGAGCTGGTGCCAATTTCTTCATCATCTTTAAAATCGGGAATGAATAGATTTCTGCCTTTTCCTCAGCTTGGGGTTGTTCTGCACGTGTGGAGGATGGGTAGGAAGTAATGCTGACCAATCGCCTGTCACAAGGCCCAAAGACCAGCCCCCTGACAACTGGAGCAACTTCATTTGGAAGGATACTCCTCTTCCTCGGTGTCTCCAGCCAGCATGCCTAGAATAGGTCACATGCTGGCTCTCTAACTCTTGGTTTCCTTTTTCTGATTGAACACCTGAGAACATCCCTTTCCCCCGAATTGGCTAACTTCTGTTCATTTTCTAGATCTTTGTTTAAAATTTTGTTTTTAATTTTTTAAAAAACTATCAACATAGTAAGCATATAAAAAGTGTATATAATAATTATGAATTATTTTTAAAGTAAAAGTGAACTTCTTTACACCCATGATGCAGCTAAAGGTATTTCTTGAAGTCATTGGGAGTAAGCCATGTGATCATTGATTATATTTGAACATTGTCCCAAGGGGCCTAGCCAGCATGGAAAGCAAGACCATAAAAATGAATGTGTAAAGGTTGGAAAGAGAGAAAACTCTTCTTACGCACACATGATATTATTTTCTATGCAGAAAACCTTGAAAAATCAAAAGATAAAATTATTAGAATTAATAAGAGAGTTAGCAAGTTTGTAATTACAAAATAAATTTGCCAAAGTGAGTTGAGTTCCTTATCTAGTTTGAAGATGTAAAATATTAAAACCTAAAATGTGTAATATTCAAACAGATACATATATAACAACATAAACTACCTAGAAAAAAGTCCAACAAAGTTTATGCAAGTCCATTATGACAAAAATTCCAAAAATCTTTTGAAAGATAATAAAGACCTTACAGAATAGATAGAGAGACCAGACTCAATACTATAAAGATGTCAAGCTTCTCACCAAATTGAGCCATAAATCTAATGCAATTACAATGAAAATGTCAACAGGGTATTTCATGGAACTTGGCAAGCTAAAACCTAAAATATAATTGGAAATGCTAAGATCAATCATAGACAACATCCAGAAGAAAAAAGGATTAGGTGGACTTGCTTTTGCAGATACAAATTGTTATAAAATTAGAGGATTTAAATACCAGTGATATTAGGCATTGGCAAATTGATAACAGTCAGAATACAGCACTCACAAATAGCTTGGGAAAATATGGAAATGTGATTTATAACAAAGCTGGTGTTGCAAATCAGTGTAGAATGAATAGACTTTTCAAAAAATGATGCTAGGACTCTGGGTTATCAATGGGGAGAGGAAAGAAATTGAATCACTACATCATTCTATACATAAATATCATTCCAGGTGGATTAAAAAATTAAATATGAAAGAGAAAACTATAAAACTTTTAGAAGATATAGGAAAAATATGTTTAATCCTCTAGGGTGGGGAAGACTTCTTAAACAAGAAACAAAATGCACAAACGTAAAGGCAATGGCACAGGTGACAAGGATTGTACCAGCGCTTTGCAACTTGCAAGTGACTTGGGTTCTGCCATGCCCCAGTCAAGCATGTGGGACCCAGGAGACAGGCCAGGGAAGAGGGCCTCTGGGGACTCATAAACTTCATCCCATACACAATGACTGTGAAAGCTATTAATTTTGTGTTGTAAAACAATTAATTAAAATTTACAAATGATTAAATAGAGAAATAGATTGACAGTTTGCACAGACATCAAAAGAGTGTATTTCCATCATGTAAGATTAGGAAGAACACTACATTCTCTTTGAGTCTACAAATATTTATACAAATTTAATTAATAACACAAAAGACTAATGCAGATTAGATTTATATCAAAATTCCCATCTTTGGAAGCTTGACAAGCATTCACACTACTGGCTCACCTACTATGTATGTAAACTTGTCAATTGCTTCATCAAAACTGATATTTGCATATTTATGTTCAGTTCTCAATACTGCCAGATTTGTCTATTTTTGGTCATTGTTGACACTTCACCTTCTATTAATTTTAATTTTGAAAATGATCGTTCATAGACAATAGATACATACAAATAGGAAAAGTCTTAAAGGTAAGGATACATTTGGCAGAAAATTATAAATAATAAATTCTATAAGTTATAATATTGTCCATGTGTATTTTTTAAGATTAATTCCAATGGCTTTCAAGCGTTTCTGCAATGAAAAATTTTCCACTAAAACATCTTCACTTGACAATATTTTAAAAATTTTATTTTATTTGGTAAAGACTTCCAAAAATATGTTTCCTCTGCCAGTATCAGAGAAATGACTGAATGATAGAAGACATTGAGATTATTACATCCATTGCTTTAGAACAAGTGCTCAGGTCTTGGTGAAAATGATGGAGACATTCAAACTTTGTCCTTTAGATTTCTTCTGGCAAAAAAATCCAGCATCTTTTGTTATTTCTCCTGGTATTCTTTTTTGTATATAAATGTCTGTAATTTGCAATCATTTTTTATTCTGATTAACTTCATCTATAGCTTTACACCAAAAGGAAAAAGTAACACAGGAAAAGTAATCCCATAGATCTATAAATTTTACTGCTTAAACATACAAATATATATTAAACCACAGGTATTAGAGACATGAATTGCACCCAACACAAGCTTGAAGAATTTTAAACTTAGAAATTTACTTTCCAGCCAGGGCAACATGGAGAGAATTTGTCTCTACAAATAATAATAATAAAAAAAAGTAGCCAGGCATGTTGGTATGTGTGCCTGCTGTCTCAGCTACTCTGGAGGCTGAGGTGGGAGGATTCCTTGAGCCCAGGAGGCCAAGGCTACAGTGAGCTGTGTTCCTGCTACTGCATTCCAGCCTGGGTGACAGAGGGAGAACCTGTCTCAAAAAAAAAAAAAAGAAAAAGAAAATGATTTTATTCTCTAAATAAGCACATGTAGTTGAGTTTGTGTGTATGAGAGTCCACTGTGCAAATGGGAATTCTCCAAATTAACTTCCGTGTAAAAATACTGTATTTATCAAAGGACAGCTAATAAAAAATCCTAATATGAAACTTACATGCACATGATCAAAAACTGGAAGTAAACATAGCAATTGTTTAGAACTGAGAGCAACAGAAGGATTTTTCAGGAAGAGTATATATTTTATCACGAAGCTTGTGTAGAGTTGTTAGCATCTGGTGATACACAAAGCATATGGACTTCCAGTTGGTTTTATTATTGTTTTAGAATTCTTTATAGACAATAAATCACTTTGTTTTCTGCACGTCGATCGACCACTCCCATTGCCCCACCCACGGATCACCACTGTGCATGACATCAAACCAAACAGTCTTGAAGATGTACAGATGTTTATACATTTAACTTTCAGTTACTTAAAGTAGGTCACAAATCTTCCAATTAAACTATTGTTTTGGAATTCTTCACTTTTTGGGAAGTTGAACTAAAGATCAGAATGTTAGCTTTAACACCTCAAATTTTCCCAAGGAGGAAAATGTTCAAAATCATGCATAGCATCCATCATAAATCATTTTGAATTCAGACATAAAAGGAATATAAAGAGTATGAAGAAAAGAAACCAAGGGTTTTTGTTGTTGTTTTTAAAATGTATCCACAAAGATCTTCCTCCTCCACTGGCTTCAGCAGATGGTTTCAGGTCTTCAGTTCAGCCCTGAGACTCCCTGGATTCCACTTTTGAAGAGTTGGCTTTGGTTCTCACTCACTCTTCAGATTTCTCACTTTCATCTATGCTTTTGACCTCTCCATATTCCTTACTTTCCTCCAAACTCAGATAATGATTAAAACCATTTTCAAAATATTTTCAGTCTGATTCAACTTTTAAGCTGTTTACATCTGAAGTGTCAGTCAGGGTATCTCAGCCATCCCTTTGGATGTTGACATTGTCTGAAGACATTTTTCCTTCACTGCCTCCAGTGTGACTCCCAGATGCCCCTAACAGGGTCTTAGCATTGTGGTTTATACTCTCATAGCTCTGTGCGCTTTCCCCTTCGTAACAGCTCCTTATGATATTTGTCCATCCTCTTCATCTAACTCTCAGTTTCCTGAAGCATCTCTGCATTGTTTCCTGTAATATCCCCAAAGCCTTTCCCAGGTGCACTGAAGATGCCCCTTCCTCTCTCTCCTTCTCTTTCCTCTCCCCCTCTTCTTTCTCCATCCTTTTGTTCTTTATTAATTCCTTCAATAAATATTTAATAAGGACCGATGATATGTCCGGTCTATTTAAATAAGCAGCCAAAATATAGTTTCATTCGTGTTAAGATACGGCAATTAGAGGAGGACGTGGAAGGTATACTTAAGCCAGACTTGACATATTTAGGAAAGGACCCCCAAATAATTTAAAGGTGGACCACATCAATTATCTGCTTATTAATATTTTTTGACCTTTCTCGCTCCCTATGTCACTGCCCTCCCTCCGTTACACTTCCTAGAATCACCTCCCAAAGAAACCATCAGCACAAACCCCTTGTCTCAAGCTCCTCAAAAAAAGCTAAACAAGGACACCAATGGGCCATCCTACCTGTCTTGCCCTTTCTCTCTGTAAGGCAATTTCCAGTTCAGATTCTGCTGCTAACCATCTCATCTACACCAAGTTTTTCATATTAAATTTCTGAAATGGAATCTTATTTTCCCAGAGCCTCTTTTCTAGACCAGGCTCTTCTTTCCATCACTGGAAGCCTATGGATTGGCTGTTTTGGGTACGGCGAATACCCTCTTCCTACTTCAATCCACTGTGGTCAGCTGCACAGGCACAGAGGGCTGTGTTCAACAGAATGCATTGACAGAACACTAAGCTTAGATGATTGCAGGCCCTCTAATTGAAACTCACATGCAGTAAGAATTGGATTCCTTCAATAGTGCTGTATAATAGATAGTGTTGTTGTCCCTATCATAGGGGGAACAGACACTCAGTAGTCAAGTGACCAACTCAAGATCTCACACACATTAATGATGATGTCTGGACTTATACCCAGAATTTTCTAAGCCCAGAGTTATTTTCTTTTATCTTTTCTTTTTTTTTTTTTGTTTTTTTTTTTTTTTGTTTTTTTTTTGAGACAAAGTCTCACTCTGTCACCCAGGCTGGAGTGCAGTGGTGCGATCTCAGCTTACTACCACCTCCACCTCCTGGGTTCAAGTAATTATCCTGCCTCAGTCTCCCAAGCAGCTGGGATTACAGGCACGCACCACCGTGACTGGCTAATTTTTGTCTTTTTAGTAGAGACGGGGTTGCGCCATGTTGTCCAGGCTGGTCTCGAACTTCTGACCTCAGATGATCTGCCTGCCTCGGCCTCCCAAACTGCTGGGATTACAGGCATGAGCCACCACACCTGGCCTGCCCAGAGTTACTTTCATTACAACGTAGTGCTTCTTCAGTATGAGGTGTTGGGCCGAGTAGATTAGATTCCGAGCCAATAAGCCTATTTTGATTTAATTATGATAGGCTAAAAAGTAAATTATTTTCTAAAATGAGCTCATGCTTGTTCCTCACATTTCTCATTTTGAGGGGATATCCATAAGACAAAAGTCAGAAGAGATAAACAATGAATTATACCTTTGCAGTAGAACCAGAAACTTGTGGGCTAAGCAGTGGGGTAGGGAATGGTTTGTCTAAAGGTCACAGAGTAGCAAGTAATTGGTGGCATATTTCGGATCTTAACAGGAGACATTATCCAGGTAGCTGGAATAGCCTGTACATGCCAGGTCTCTCTCACTCAGAGACTGCATCTTGCTACACCAATACAAAAGCTTGTAAGCAAAAACCTTGTCTGTAAGATTCCCTGTTGACCAAGTCTTTACTTCTGCTATGGGAAGCAATAGCCCTTCAAAAATATACACAGTATGAGGCAGGATATTAACTTTTACAAGCAAAGAGGGAATGTATTGCCTCAGCACAATAGAAGATCCCAGTGGGGTAGATGAAACTTCAGCTCTGTCAAGAGCCAGGGTCGGATAATATCAACAAGACTCAGTTCCTCTATCCCTTAGCTCTGCCTTTGATTGGTAAGATTTTAATCTCTGCCAGATGAAAGTAGCCATTCAAGACCTTACCTCTCTTTTCCCAGGTTTCAAGATCAGAACAGGAGTTTATTTCCAAGGAGCCTCAGCACTAATTTTAGTGGATACCATTGACTCGGATGTGATGATTTGCCCATCTGTGAACCAACCACTGCGGCAAAAACAATAGGAGTGCCTGGTTGTTGTTCCCGATTCACTGGCTCAGGCATAGCATTAGCTTTCCCTAAAACACTCGAAAGGAGAGTAATAGGGAATCAGAACACCTAACAAAATCAAGGCCTTTTTATCACAAGAAGTGGGAGCAGAGTCCTGGTAACAGAGCACACGCACACACATACCTGCAGCAAACATCCTCTATGCACCCTGTACTCTCCTCACAAAAATGCCGTGGTCCTAATACTCTAGGATATAGACATGTTAAGGAGTCTGTTGAACTTGAGCCATCTTCATTTAAAAATCATTAATGAAGTGACAGGGCTCACAGATGGATGTACAAAAGCAAAAGATTCAACCAAATAAGGCAAATCTAGACTATTTTATTGCTTATCTTGCACATTCCTCCTCATCCTTCAACCCCAGCTTATTGGCCATCTCCTCTGGGAAGTATCCCCTCAACTGTCCTCTAGCCACTGTTCTTTCCTTTCCTAAGAGTGGTGATTTACTGTGCTTCAGTCTTCTGTTTTGTACCCTTGTTCCTTGTCTTATTCATCTTTGCATCATCAGGCTTGCCCCAGGCCTGTCCCACATGAAGTCAACAGCACATGTTTACTGGGCAAATTGAATGATGCACAATACCCAGCACCGTGCTGATGCATAAGTATTCAGCATGCTGAAAGTACTGAGCATGTATTTCCCTGGAATAAAAGCACCACTCATCCTGTTTTGGTGCAAATCTAATTGTGTTGACTCTATTTGATCTGTGATAATTCAATAGATGCATCAGAGCCGATCCTCGGACATCTTGTTTACCCAGTGCTATCTCTCAAGCTCCACAGCCCAAAAGAGCAGTTCTGAGAGGTCTTACTAAGGAGTGCATGGGCGGCAGCACATATTTTATTTTGATGTATTTTGGCTTCAAAGACCCATTTGTGGCTGATTTCCCACTTCAGTGAGGTTGCTGATGAGTGTGTACAGGTTAATACTGAGCCCAAAATTTCTAATCTAACTTCACACATCCAGCAAAATACTTAAAAAAACAAACAAAAAACAAAAACAAAAACACAGCCATTGCCTTCCCACAGACCCAGGGTGGCGTTCCCACGTTTCTACACATTAGCAACTGCACACAGCACCTGTGCCCCTGGGATTGTCATATGTTATTCCCTAGTTCCAATTTATTTATCTGTGAAAGTGGAAAATAACTATACCTACATCATGGAGTATATGAAGAATTAAGAAAAACAGCATTCTTACAACCCTACCCTGTGCTCAGTGAAAGTTATCCTTTATTTCAATTCTTCGGCATTTATTTTGCCCTTGTTCTCTGTTAAGCGTTGCAGCGAAACAAAAGTAAGCAAGATACATATATTCATCCGTGAAAGAGCTTACAACCTGGAAGACAATATATCATAACAGAAATACACAGCTAAATGGATTGAGTAATTATTTAATTTTTTAAAAAAGGATTTAAAAATGAAGAAAACTACAGGTGATTTTTTCTTATGTTAAACTGAGAGCCAGACTTATTTGCCTTTGGATGCTTTTACCTGACCTTCCTCATTTATAGAATAAAAACCAAGCTTCTGATCCTGCCACACATCTGCCCACTGTCTTGTCCCCGAGAGCCTCACCTGCTTCACTCTTAGGACACCCAGTCCTTGGTTTAACAGTGATACACTGACATTGTTGAGTCATGACTTTTCTCATGCTACTCCATTCCCCTCGAGCTCCCTCAGGCTCCTTTTCACCAGGTGAGAAATCCCCCCTCATTTTCCCAGGCTCAGTGCAGGGACTGTATTCACAGTCCACTCCAATACCAGTAGCACATCCTTCCCCTGTGCTCCCACAACACCTTGCATAGAATTAAGCCAGAACACTTGAATTTGTTGATATTTATTTACATGCTTATCTCTCCAACTAGATTACAAGATCTTCCGGAGCAGTGTCCGGGGCTCATTCATTCTCACATCTCTGGAGTCAAGCACAGCCTTGGCCCCTAGCTGGTGCCCAAAGGCACTTTTGTCTTGAAGGCTGGCTGAAATTTACTCATGGCAAGTCTGTCTGTATGCTGATTTCAGTTCACCCTCAGGTTTTGGCCGGACTTTAGTGATAGATACAGCTAGCGGTTCACTTTCAGGAGCAGACATTGAATTCCCTTAGCTCCACAAAACAGTGATCAACCTCTGGGTATTTAACCACACTCCAGCAAAGGAGAAGGAAACCAACATGTTAAAGTATTCATTTGTTTGGAGAAAGCTTGTGGTCAATATTTTCAGCAGCCAGACTGGAGGGCTTCCTTTGATAGACTGAACTGAGAAAGGTGGCAGCTTGCTTGGAAGACAGCAAAGGAAACTGTCATTAATTAATGACATCCTCTTTTCACCAGTGAAAGTACGGCATTTGGAGTCAGACAGATGGAAATTTAATTTTTATCCCAATCTCCACCTGTGTAACATTGGGAAAGTTAATTAACTTTTCTAAGCCTCCATATTATCTTTACTTATAAAATAGAGATGGTTATCTCTTACTAAGAGGGCCATTGTGAAAAATAGGAAATAGAATGAAGTATACCTTATGTATTATCTGTAGCATGTAGTAGTTAGAATATAGTACCTGAAGGAGCCTAGATACAAGACTCTTTATCAGAACAACAGCAGTGGCTATTAGAGAGCTAGACTTTCTCCTAACACTGAATGACCCGAGTCAGCCCATCAGAACATTCTCAATGCTAGAATCACAGATTCTAGGCAACCCAACTCCCTTCTTTTCCGTACTTCACCACTTTCCTTAACAAAACCATATTACCACGTTAATACTTCTCTGTTAGTCAGTTCTCGCGCTGCTAATAAAGACATACCCAAGAGTGAGTCATTTATAAAGAAAAGAGGTTTAGTTGACTCACAGTTCTTCATGACTGAAGAGGCCTCAGGAAACTTGCATTCATTGTGGAAGGGGAAGCAAACATGTCCTTCTTCACATGGCAGCAGCAATGAGAGGTGCTGAGCAAAAGTGGGGAAAGCCCCTTATAAAACCATCTGGTCTCATGAGAATTCACTCACCATCACGAGAACAGCGTGAGGATAACCACCCCAGTGACTCAACCACCCCCAATCGGGTCCCTCCCACGACACCTGGGGAAAATGGGAAATACGGTTCAAGATGAGATCTGGGTGAGGACGCAACCAGACCAAGTCAAGTTCTTAGGGTAACGGTGTAACTTAAGCATGGGGACTTCATTTTCTTTTTTTTTTTTTCGAAATGGAGTCTCACTCTGTAGCCGAGGCTGGAGTACAATAGTGTGATCTCAGCTCACTGCAACCTCCACCTCCCGAGTTCAAGCAATTCTCCTGCCTCAGCCTCCCAAGTAGCTGGGATTACAGGCACATGCCAGCATGGGGGACTCCTTTTGTTTGACAAGACCCAAGCACAGTCTGAGCCCTACCATCCACAAGACTATTTCTAAAGAGACCTCAGCAAATGGCTAACCCCATGTAGCAGCTTTAGAATTTTCCACCTGATAATGACCCTTCTTGACTTTTCATCCTTGACCTTTTTGACTGTTGCTATGATCTGTCAGACTCCTTAGCATAGTTTATAGAGTCCTCCACACCCCCACCTCCAGGACTTTGTATACCTGTCCCATCTGCCTGGAGCCCTGATTTCTGCCCAGCTTAGCTCCCATCCCTCAGGCCACAGGTTAACTGCCATGCTTACCACCCTACCAAGCCTTCACCAACCAACCCTGCACCAGATCGTGGGCCCTGTTGGTGTTTCCATTGCACTGTGTGCTTGTTCTGTCCATCACTCACCACACTGTAAGGTGCTTCTGGGCTATAAGTCTCAAAATGTAGTGTTTTGTAACTTCTGTATTTAAGAAGGACAATCTACATTTGAGCAAAGAAGGCCTGGTCCTGTTACCCAATTTCTGGCAGGCACAAACTGAATATTCCATAAACAAGGAGCACATGAATGGGTGTGGCTAGTACTAGCGCTGTGGGCTGTGGGCATATCTGCTGGAGGGTGTGGGGTGGGATGGAGAAAACCCTGTCTGGGAACCAGGCAGACCTGGTTGGAAATATCAGCTCTGCTGCTTCTCAGCTAGGTAACGGCAGACAAGTTAATTCTCAAAAACTTAGTCTCCTCATCTATAAGATGGGAACAAAAATTTCTCCCTCACAGTGTTGCTGTGAGAATAAATGAAATAAAAACATATGAAAAAGCAAACCCAATCACCCTACACAGAGCAAGTGTCTTATCTATGATAGTGGGTCATTTTAAGAATTTAATTCAATTGAAAGTTCTAAAGGCTGGGCTGCATGGAGTCAACACTGTTAGAACTGTGTGTGCATCCAATGTGTGTGTGTGTGTGTGAGAGAGAGAGAGAACACCTGCCTTTGTGAAAGCAGAGGGCAGAATGAATAGGAATGCAAGGCAACCAACATGGTGCTGTCTCCTCAAGCAGCCATGGGTGTTTAGAGGCTTTGGTGGATTATTGAACTGTCTCTCACCTACTCCCTCTTGCTGCTAACGTGTCATTCATGGTCAGGACTTCCTCTCCCCTGGTTTGATCTGAGCCACTCCCGTTGTGCCCTGGGCACTATCACCAATAAGAAAAAAAATCATTTTTGATATCAGGAGCTAAATAATCTGTATACATAGATATAGATAGTGGAATAATAGACACTGGAGACTCAAAAAAGTGAGAAAGTGAGAAGGTAGGTGGAGGGGTGAAGGATGAGAAATGACCTAATGGGAACAAGGTACACTATTTGAGTGATGGCTGCACGAAAATCCCAGAATTCACCACCATGCAATCAATCCAGGTAAAAAACAAACCAACAGGCTGGGTGTGATGGCTCATGCCTGTAATCCCAGCACTTTGGGAGGCCGAGGCAGGCGGATCACAAGGTCAGGAGATCGAGACCATCCTGGCTAACACGGTAAAACCCCGTCTCTACTAAAAATACAAAAAATTAGCCGGGCAGGGTGGCAGGTGCCTGTAGTCCCAGCTACTCAGGAGGCTGAGGCAGGAGGATGGCGTGAACCCGGGAGGCTGAGCTTTCAGTGAGCCGAGATGGAGGCACTGCACTCCAGCCTGGGCGACAGAGCAAGACTCCGTCTCAAAACAAACAAACAAACAAACAAACCCTGCACTTGTACTTCCTAAATCTATAAAAAAATCAAAATAAAAAATAAGTCAAATCCATACCTGTACAAAGCAAGTTTTCTTCCTGTTCCCTTAATTTCTTTGGACCTTAGTTACCTCCCGTAAAGAAAATAGGAATGGTAACACCTGACTAAGGTAATTTATTTGATTCTTTCTGAGAACAAAAGAAGATAACCTAAAAGAAAGAAATAACTGTGTTCCGTTACGCTTCTGTTAGGTTTACCTAGCTGGGTTGTCTAACCTCTTAATTCATCTGCAAAACACAGAGGGGCTTTCTTCATGGGGTTGTTACATTGATCAAATGAGAAAAAAATGATCTTAAAATATGACATACACAGTGTTAACCTAAAATATGAATGGTGCTATCATTGCCACCCTGTCTCAGAGAACGGAGATCCCTAAATCTAGTCCTAAATAGAATATTCTCAAAATAAAGTTAAGATCTGGAGAAATTGAGTGTGGTCTCAAGCCTCAGGTCTGAAAGTGCTCTGATGTGCACAGAAGAAAGAGGCATATCCCGTGTTCTCTCCAAAATGCTTTTTGCCTCATTTTTTGCAGGTCTTTTGTTAGAGCTTAAACCTTCAAACTTTGGGTAAATGGTAAGCACTTTTTTTTTGTTCTTTTCTTAAAGTCATGAATGCTCTTCAAGCAAAAATTATTAGTTTAACACCATTTTCTTGGCACCAAATTGCAGTTTAATGACAGATCTAGGGTAGGGCTCTGCTAGTTTCATGGCAAAGAGATCTGGACTGCATTTCTAACAGAATATAATAAAAATGGCAAGTGCCATCCCTCAGGTTGCAAAATAGACTGTTAGGTGTCAGCTCACCTGCTCATTTTCAATTGAGGGAGACACCAGATATTAATTTCAATCTATTAAGTGCCTGTGACTATTGGGTCCTTGTCATGTTGACATTGTCTATCCCTCTATGCCTTGGATTAGAGGAAGTGAAACTGACTTGCAGTGAACTATATCTAAGTCCCCCCACATTCTGGCTGTGGGCCCTTTAGGCACCAGCCCTGTAGCCCTCTTTCCTGATCTGCATAAATGTGCATAAAATTATTAACCTGGCCACTGTAAAAATCCCGCCCCAAGATAAATACACCATTAATATTCATTACTTTTCTACTTGCTTCTGGGTACCTGGCGTTTCTTCCTGAAGCATTCCCAGCTGCCTGTTCTCTCCTGAGGACCCTCCGAGGAGTATGCAATGCATCCATCCTCCAGGAGCTGAGGCATTTAGTTCCTAATTTCCACTCCTCAATCCTCATTGGATGGGAGTGTCCTTGGGAGTGTTAGAGCCCCCTTAGGGTGCTCTGAAGGTGGATTGAACAAGCACCCGCCCTGGGAAAAGCCGATAGGCAGACACTGCAGAGATGCTGAAGTGTGAGGAAGGGTGCTGTTAGCCATCAAGAAGAGAAGACAGCACTGGGCAGCGGATGTAGGGCAGGATATCCATAGCCTCTGTCTGTTGCATTGTACACCTAGAATTAAAGTTGTTAGGCTGTGCTGTACATCTAGAGTTAGAGTTGGGAGGCTGCACTGTCCACCTAGAGTTAGAGTTGAGAGGCTGTGTTGTATACCTAGAGTTGGGAGTTGCATTGTACACCTAGAGTTAGAATTGGGAGGTTGCATAGTAACCTAGAGTTGGGGGTTGTGTTGTGCGCCTGCAGTTAGAGTTGGGAAGTTTTGTTGTACACCTAGAGTTAGAGTAAGGAGGTTGCATTGTATACCTAGAGTTAGAGTTGGGAAGTTGCATCATATACCTAGACTTAGAATTGGACGGAATCAGGTGTTAGCAGAAGCAACAAATACAGAACAGAGAGTACTGGGCATAATCCTGAGAGGCAATAAGGGAGCAGACAAAGGGAAATATGAGTTAGACTGAGTGGTCTAGGTGGAGAAGCATAGATGGATCTATAAATGTCCCTGCTGAGATTGTTCAAACCCCCTTGGACCCAGACACATGCTCCATCTGCAGTGTCTATGAGGCAAATTACAACTCTTCTCTATGGTTTCTGCAAGACTCAGTCTTCTCCTCCAACTTAGATTCATCCTTAAATTATCCAACCCTTTATTCCCTAAGCTGGCTTGAGTGACTCTGTCCCTTACCACCAAGAGAGCCCAACCAAAACATTCCTTAAGCCCACAATCCAACCTCATCTAAACCAGAGCTCTAGGGTCTGTCATAGATGTTGGTCAGTGTTCTGTCTGTCTGGCAACATGGTAAGGACGTTAAAAAATGTAGGCCCAGGAATAAGACTACTTGAGCTTAACTCTCAGCTCCTCCACTTATTTGCTGTGCTACCATGGCAAATTACTTAATATCTCCATGCCTTAGTTTTTCTTATCTCTTAAATGAGATAACAATAACACCTACCTTATTATATTGTCCTAAAAATGTAATACGTTAATACAAGATGTGTTGGGAACACTAACTGGCTCAGAGTAAGTGCTTAGTAAGCATTAGCTGGTTTTGTCATTTGACTTGATTGCAACTTTGACCCTCCTCTTGCTGCTCACATCTTCAGAGATAGGCGCAATGGGTTCAGTGCAGCAAAGTGGTAAAGTGTGACCAAATGTCATTGAGCATGCACCCAGAAGGGAGGCCTGCTGAGTGCACAGCAGTGAGCAAAGCCCCCTAACAGTGGGTCCTGGCCTGCGTGAATGACCAGCGCCAATCCCTGCCGCATACTCCAAGTCAAGCACAGCTTGATATTGTTCCAAGCCCTTACTACAAAAAAAGATTGAGATTGCTACTCTAACTTTTATTAATATCTCAATAGATAGGAGGGGAAATTGAAGATTAGGTGAGTTGATCTGGAAAACTAATGTTGTCCCATGATTTAATGTTTCAAGTATAATCCAGAGAACAAACTAAGCAGTAAGAGCCCCACCTTGACAGAGGTTTCCTAACAGGGACTCTTGTTTTGTTCGGACTCTCAGAATTTCTTAGCGCATAAACTAGGGCCAGCCATACAAAGACATAATCGTTCTCTGCTTTGAGACATTGTACTTATCCCAAGCTGGGAGTTTAGCTAGGTCTCTGAACTTGAGCATGTTAGAGATGGCTCTAAGAGTTTTCTAGTAAGAACCCCTAGTAGTCACTGTATGAAGCAGAGGTACTGTTGGGGCTGACACCTCTAGTAAGTGGGAACTGGCTGGTGTTGCACCACCATGCCCAGGGTCAGTGTCATATGAAGCCATTACAAATTTCTAGTCTCTGCATATAGCCTGCACTGCACCCTAAGTTCAGTGACATTCCCAAGACTCAACTCCTGCTGCTTCTCAGGGCTGATGCTGGCTCCGTCTCCTCTGTTTGGCCCACCAGTCTATGACCCCTGAAGGCTGGAAAAGATCTAAGTTGGAGAAGTATTTGGTGCTCAAAAAATTAACAAATATGATCGAACTCCTTCTTACTTGGGGGCACTCACATATGCTGCGATTCCATGCCTCATCTGAAACACTCTTTCAATACAGTGTGGCCTATTAAAGTTATTTCTTCTTTAGCTCCCAGCAAATATGTCATCTCAGAAGTGTAGTCCCAGGCTGAACAATTCACCAAGCCTCCTTGTTGTACTACGATGTTAACCTCTGTAGCAAATCATGATGGTGATTCATTAAGTTAATTGAGTGATTATAATTTTAATATATATCCTCTCACCATTTCTCCCCTCCCAACTATAATCTTTATTATGGCCAGAAACATATCATTTTTGTGCATCATAGCATCTTAAGCGTCCAAAAGAGTGGCTGAAACATAGAAGAGCTCAAAAATATTTGCTGAAAGAATGAACAAATAAAAAGACTGTATACAATAAATATGTTTACTGCAGCAGCACCATAAAAGGTTGAAAAGCCAATAAAAAGACTGAAAAACCAATAGTTGGTTTTTATGGATTTCCAAGGTTGGTCAAAAAACCCCTGAAGGAGAAATGGTTTAGGAAATACACAAGAGCTCTCCAATCATCTTTGTTAAATGGCATCCATTTAGACAGACAATTATCTTCCCTTGTTCTTTTTTCCCTAAACAGGTTTCTAAAAGGAGTTCCATTTCCAAAGATATTTGCCAATTTTATAGTCGGATTTTTTTTTTTCTAGAGCTGATTAGTGAATGCTTACTTTAAAAATAAGTGATTCAAATGGAGGTAGTTTTATCCCACTAAAGTACTTGTTTACTGTGGTATTTTGCTTAATTGCATTGAGAAAAATAGAGTCCTTTATCATTAAATAAATTGAAATGATGAACCCATCAGTGTCCTATGGATACTGATTACAGTAAATGCACCAGCAAGCTTTCTGAGATATGACTCAAGCTCATCATTGTTTTCTTTATTATTTTGTTTTAGTGTAACTGGAACTAAGCTGTCCACTCCCCCACATACATGTGATGTTTTGAATCACTGTCCATGTTAGTTCCAGATATTAACTGCAGTGCTCATGCGACATGTGAATGGGGTGGGGGCTGAGGGTTTGTCTGTAAAAAGAGGTTCACAATCCAAAATGATCTTCTTTAGGGAATACAAAGTATATTTTCGTGCACATGTTTGGCATTACATAGAAACTGTTACAGGCAAGCGGTCCCGATTCAGACCCCAAGGGAGGGTTCTTGGTTCTCAAGCAAGAAAGAATTCAAGGCAAGTCTGCAGTGCACAGCAAAAGCAAGTTTATTAAGAACGTAGAGTGGAGAAAGAACAGCTACTCCATAGACAGAGTAGGGCATTCCCAAAAGTAAGAGGAGGAATGCATTCACCCTAGGTACAATGCTTGTATATATGGGGAGATGTGTTCTGCTACAAGGGTTTGTGACAAAGGATTGATTTTCTTAATTACTATATTTTGCAAGAATTGATAGTATTATCTTTAAAGCATAATTAGGAATGCCTTTGTTCTCCAGATGTTGGGATATCTGGACACTCCCAAGTCTGAGTCTGTTTTAGTAAACATTACTAATTTGTTCCCTTAACCGTAAACATCTAGAGGCTAGGAATGCCTGACTTTTTGGGAATGCAGCCCAACAAGTCTCAGCCTCATTTTCCCAGCCCTCACTCAAAATGGAGTCTCTCTGGCTCAAATGCCTCTGACAAAACTGCCTAACTCAAGCACATAGATGTTTCTTTCATGTCACTTATGTTACTCTGAGAGACTTGCATTCATAGATTTTCACTAAATTAGGCTAGTGATTTCCAACTGGTGTTTTATCTGAAGTATTATCTTATTTTCTCTTTTGACAGGCTTACTGATAAAGCAATGAATTAAGTGAAAACTATTGATTTATGCCTTTTGCTCCTTTGTTCATCTATTTATTCAAATATTTGTTCATTGAGTCAACAAAACGTTATTTAAAATCTACAGCCTGTCAGGAATGGTGTTGCACTCACAAAAACCCTGAATGACATGATGGTATTTTAACTGCAATGCTGGTCCCATTGTTTGCTGCTTACAGAGTTCAATTAATAATAACAAGGTCTGGTATTAATATAAAGAAAATGACTGTTTATTCCAAAACTAGCTTAGAGGAAGAAGTACAGCCTCTTGCATTAAGAGTACCACTTCACTTTTGGGGCAGAAAGGAGGCATTTTTTAAAGGGGGGTTAACATGAGTAGCACGTTGAGGGAGGGGAAAGCAAGGAGGTGGTGGGGAGCACGTGTTAGCTTGGTGCCTTATCTAGTGGGTGGTCAAGGTGGTTACTGTTGGTGTCTCTGTGGGTGGGCATACTTTAGGTTGTAAATCAATTGTTATCTCTTCAGACAACTTCCTGGTGGGTGAGAGTTACTTTCTGGAGCCCCAAAGAACATAGTTAGATCAACTTGCCCTGTAGGGAGTGTCTGGTGAGGGGGGAGTTCAAAGCTATATTTGCATTTCTAAAAGGCTAAGTAGGAAGTGAGGAAATGAGAAAAAGAGAAAAGAAGAGAGAGGGAGAAAAAATAACTCTCAGAGAAGTGGGGGTTCTTGGTTACAGTATTATAGCTCAACATGCAATCCATTGCACGTGGGTAACCTGGCTGCATCATTTTTTCATAGAGTCTGCAGACACTGGAGTCACTCAAGGATTGGTCCCTGCCTTTGTGCATCTCTTTTCTTTTATCAAAGCCTGCAATGAGGATGCAGAGATAAATAAGCTAGAGGGTCTGACTTCAGTTAGGAAAGACAAGTTGTGGCATGCGTTAAAATGGGGCTATGTGTAGGTGTGTGTGCTTGAGTACAAATAAAGGTAGAAGTCCCCAGGCTGAAAGTGTGGGGCTGGAAGAGGAAAGTGTCAGGAAAGCTGAGCGTTGACAGGTGAGCATGAGTGAACATGAGGAAGGGGAGGAGAAAGAGGACTCAAGGCAGGGGATTTCAGTAAGATTTTTACAAAGCATTTACTGAGAATTAAAAAGCAACAAGAGAATATTTCTGGAATTGGGGATAGGCATATTTTTTTAGTCAAACAAGACATGGCCCTGTGCAAGACACAGCATCCTCCTGCCTCCTTTCTTTTCATTCCTCCTGATTCTCTCTCTCTTCTTCTATGTGGCCTCCTATGCTGGGCTTCTTTGTCGCAATGGTACCCATTCAAGGAGGGTGCCTGTAGCAAACATTCCATGACTGTGTCTTTTCAGCCAGTGTAATCCCCAGCTGAAGCCCTTGCCAGCCATCTGCTGAACTTGGCCAGCTGTGCAGACTCAGCACCTCTGGTGGAAGGTGGTGGTGAGTCTTTTGCAAACAGGAAGCACCAGGGCTAATTCTGCTGACGCTGCAGGATGAGAAAGGTGAACAGGCAGTCACTGTTTTTAAGCTGACAGCTGGAAATAAAAAGGCAATGAGATCAAATGTTCACTGGGATAGAGCATCTTGATGGGAATGTTGAAATTGTATCAACTTAATGAGGAGGAGGTGGTGGCTTTAGTCTTACTGTGTTTTTGAACACCATTCATAGCCTGATAAAACCTCAATGGTTGACTTAACAGATATTAAGGAAGGAGATAAGGCCTCCAGGAAGCCTCCTGTGCTTACTCTCTGCATATAACATCACTTTATCAGCACCAACTCACTTGTAAGTCAAAATCTGAAATTCAGGAGCAGAAGATTCTTTTTCAGACAGATTAATACCATAGGACCCAATTAACTGGGGACAGACAGAAACGGGGAGATAAAATAGTGTATAATGAGATCATCAGGGGTATGCAAATGAAATCCCACAGTCTGGTAACATTGTGAAGGAAAAGATATTTATACGAATCATTATATTTGTATGTGGATTATCAAAGAGCTGCCTCAGTCCTGCACCCTGCGAAACCACCCTCCAGGCTGCAGAGAACTCCAGGCTTAGTTAGATCCTGGTGTCAGAGTTGCTTCATCCAGGAAGCCCCGGGGTGAATGCATCACATTTTAGAAGGCTGGAGCTGCACCCAGTCTCTGGGAAACATATCAGAATTCTCAGCATTGTATCCCTACCTCCTGCAACTTTTATTTTGCATGATGTTGCAGAAAAAGGTAACAAAAGGGAATTAAAAAAACAGTAATTTTTATGAATGTAAAACTTGCTGAACAATGCATTTCACGTATCTCCTTTAATTTTCTTTACGTTCTTTCGAGAGGCGATTGTTCTCCTTTTTACAAGTCAGGACCCCAAGGCTGAGGGGAACTAAATAGTTTGTTTAAGGCTGCACAGTGTGAACCCAGAGAGTCATGGGGAAGCATTGCAGAAATACTTGAAGCAATCTGCATGACCCTGCACTGTATGATGGGCGTGAGTATCCTACTGAAAGGCAGGCATGTTGCAGGTGCTAGCAAAGGGTGTGTAGTTTGCCTCTTCCCAGGTCCTGGAGCCTCTATGGGATCCTCTTCCAAGTTCCTGGCTTCTTGATCTCTGGTAGACATGACTTTTGCCTTTTTGTTCAAGCCCCTTCAGGGCTTACACATAGGTGTTGTCCTTTTCAACTTTCTCCCCCTAGAAACCTGCCCTCAGGTGCTTCTAAGATGGGAGGAAAATGCAGAGGCCATAAGCCTTCTAGAGAGATTCAGATTCATTTCAGCATTTCTCTGTAAAATTACCCCATCCAGTCAGTGTCTGACCTCAGACTCCAATTCATTCTCTGTACCTTCAATATTGTCAGTTTAAAAAGAATTTGTTGCCAATTCCAAATGCTTTTTAAAATTATATTCCCCCATCCCTCCTAATTACTAAGGTTAAGCTTTTATTGTTTTCTTCATTCTGGTTTGACAACTCCAGCCTGATGGCTCAGATCCAGGCTGACGTCATTCATGCCTCTACCCTACCTCATTACCTGTCACAGACAAGAGACTTTGGGTTCCTGGGTGCATCTCTGATTTGAAGAGATATTTCTTATCAAACCCTTGTCCTGTCACCCTTATGAGCCCACCCTTCCCAGCAAATAGAAACAATACGTGTTTCCAATTTAAGATTCTCTTGGACTCTCCCACCCCTCAATAGCCCAGGAATAATTAAGAGAAAGGCAATATGGAGATTGGGTTAGCTTAGCTTACTGTTAAATTTTTTCCCTGATAAAACATTTGCAAAAGCAGTTTCATTAGCACATTTCAACTGTACAATACAACATTATTAGCTATAGTGACCATTCTGTATATTCTCCAGAACTTACTAATCTTACAACTGAAACTTTGCACCCTTTGAGCCAACATCTTCCCATCTTTCTCCTTCCTGCAGCCCTTGGTAACCACCATTCAACCCTCTGCTTCTACGAGTTTAGTATTTGTAGACTCCATATATAAGGGAGAGCATGCAGGATTTGTCTTTCTGTGCCTGGCTTATCTCACTTGGTGTAATGTCCTTCAGGTTCATTCATGTTGTTGCAAAGGCAGAATTTCCTTCTTTTTAAAGGCTGAACAGTGTTCCATTATGTATATGTACCACAGTTTTTAATCCATTTATTTATTGATGCACACTTAAACTGATTCTATATCTTGTTTATTTTGAATAATGCTGCAATAAACATGGGAGTCCAGATATCTTTTCAAGATAACGGATTGCATTTCCTTTGAATATATACGCAGTAGTAGGATTGCTGGATCAGTAATTCTCTTTTTGTTTTTTAAAGGAAACTTGAAGTAGAACTTTCAATTTACTGCAAGATTCTGGGATAGGAGATAATTTGTGGCCGTTTCTCTTCACTGTGGCTTAGTATCCAGATTATCTCAGAAATATAGGAGGGCCAATGAGTGCTCAAGGGCACAATTCTCCAATTTTGTTTTCAATCACTTATTTTACGTGATACGTTGTCCACTTGCTTAGGATTTCAAGCCCCCCCTTGTATATCAGGAAAGCTTCTATGTGTGATTTATATCAGAGAATTTCAATCATGAGCCATTATAAGAACTGTCAAAACCCACTGCAAATGCTGCTTTCCATTCAGTTCCCATAGCATTTTGTATGCATCTATTCCCAAGTCTTTACATCAGCACAATCCACTCCTGATCCACTGGCCATTGGCCACTGAGGGTTCAGGTCCATTCATAACATTGGCCAAATCCCTGGCTTGAATCCCTCATTTTTGTTATACCGTATGCTATGTTCTGAATGTTTGTGCCCCTTTATAATTCATACATTGAAACTCTACACACAATGTGGTAGTATTAGGAAGTTGGGCCTTTGGGAGGTGATGAGGTCATGAGAATGGAGCCCTCATACATAGGATTAGTGACCTCATAATAGAGGCCCTGGGAAGCTCATTTCTCCCTTCCACTATATGAAGACACAGTGAGGGGACACAATCTATGATCCAGAGAGAGGACCTTCACCACATAGTCGACCTACTGATGCCTTGATCTTGGACTTCCCAGCTTCCAGAACTGTGAAAATACATTTCTGTTGTTTTTAAGCCACCATCTATGGTGTTTTGTTATAGCAGCTCAGATGGACTAAGGCACTCTATTTATGGCTTTTTAATTTCATTTACACATAATGTCTAATATTTGGTCCCCAGATTTTACTTTCATTGAGGCTCAGGAATATGCTTGGATTTATATAACTTCTTGCCTTTAGCCTGAAGAACTTTGGTTGTCTAAAGTAGACTCTGCATTCCTAAGGATTCAGCTTAACTCTCAACCTCAGTGCTCCTCCAAGCCAGCCAAATTGTGTGCTTTCTGCAACCAATCTGTGTCAGGTGGAGGGCCTCATATAAATAGGAGGTCATCAAATATTTTATTGTATTTCATTTCCATAGGACAGCCTTCCAAACAAGTACAATACATAAATCTAGAAAACATGGGTTTTTTGGTGTTGTGCTCTGACTGGTTGTGTCCACCCAAAATTCACACATTGAAATCTAATCACCAATCTGATGGTGTTAGGAGGTGGGGTCTTTGGGAGGTGATGAGGTCATGAGGATGGATCCCTTGTGAATGAGATTAGTGCTCTTATAAAAGATGCCCCAGGGAGCTTCCTTGCCCCTTCTACCATATGAGAAGCTGCCATCTATGAACCAGGAAATGAGCCCTCACCAGACACTGAATCTGCTGGTGCCTTGATCTCGGAATTTCCAGCCTCCAAAACTGTGAGAAATAAATTTCCGTTGTTTATAAGCTACCCAATGGTATTTTGCTATAGCAGCCCAAGTGACTAACACAAATGTAATTACGAAACTTACCCCATTCCTTGAATTCTCTGTTAGCCAAGTTCAGTGCTCCCAATTATTTTTTGTCTGAACTTCAAGTCCCCTTTGCCATCCAGAACCATCAAGTTTGGCTGAATCTCTAGCTTGAGGTGGGCCTTGCCATCTCTCACAAGAAATATGGTAGGCTTGCTCTTTACCTGGCTGCCTGAGACCTGTTTTTGATACAGGATCGGAGAACCAGGCCTTACAACAGGCTTCAGAATTCATGCCTGTTGTAAGATCTACCATATGTATTTGAGACTAGGCATCAATATATCTACTTGAGAAGCATCTCCCAGATCTAAAGAGGGACTCCTTAACTAACAGAACTCTTTGATTTCTGTGCACCGAGGATGGGAACACACTTTTTTCCCCAATGTTTACACTTTATTATTTATTTATTTTTCTTCAACTTTTATTTTAACTTCCTGGGTACACATGCTGGACATGCAGGCTTGTTACATAGGCAAATGTGTGCCATGGTGTTTTGCTGTGCAGATCATCCCACCACCTAGGAGTTAAGCCCAGTGTCCATTAGCTATTCTTCCTGATGCTCTCTCACCTGCTACCCCTCCACCAACAGGCCCCAGTGTGTGTTGTTCCTCCTTATATGTCCATGTGTTCTTATTGTTCAGCTCCCATTTTTAAGTGAGAACATGTGGTGTTAGGTTTTCTGTTCCTGTGTTAGTTTGCTGAGGATAACGGCTTCCAGCTTCATCCATGTCCCTGCAAAGGACATGATCTCGAGGAACACAACTTTTGACACAAGAAGAAAGCAGCTTCTGCATCAGTTGTAAATTATTAAAAACAAAACTGCAGTCTTATCACCTCCAGATGTTTTTTCTTCTTTCTTGTGTTTGTTTTCTATTTAACAGACTGAAAAATTATGTACAAGGAGGATGCCTTCATTTTAAGCTGGTAACATTGTTCTAGCATTAATTGTTACTAATTTTATTTAATTTTATTAAAACACCCAGGGGGTGTTTGTAGCCAGGGTTCAGAAGACAATCTATGGGGACTTCAGAATGTCTTCACAAATTTTTTGATAATCCCATTGTGACATGGGATAGAATCTTAGAACCTTAGAATTCAGCTGGTTTTAGTGGCTCACTCTTATCCAATAGAACGCAGCAGAGATGATTGGCTTGATTTCTGAAGCCAGAACATACAAGGCAATAAAGTATCCTCTGTGTTAACCAGAACACTTACTCCTGGAGTCCTGAGTTGCCATGTAAGCAGCTGGATTGCTTTAACACTGCCATTATGTAAGGAAGCTCAACCTAGTCCATGTGGTGAGACCATATGGAGAAGTCTCGATATTGCATAGAGAAAGAAAGATGACAAGCCAATTGTCTCAATCTCTCACTACTCCAATTCCATCTATTGTCTGACTGCAACCTCACAAATACTTTGAAGCCAAAATTATCCTTCCTAAATTCCTAACCCAAAGAAAAAGTTGAAGACAATACAATGTTAATTACTGTTTCAAGCTACTGACTTGGGGGCTATTTTATTATTAAAATAGTAATTAAAACATTGTGTTTGTAAAAGGTATTTATAATTTAACCAAGTTATGTATATGATACCTAATGTATGCCATTCTCTAGACTGCAAAGTCAAACTTGAATAAGCCAAGGTCTCCATCCTAAAGAGTTTACACTCTAGAGGTAGAATCAGCTATGCGGATTAGTAGTAGCTAACTTTTTACAGGACGAAGTACTATCTTTTTGATATGAATAAAATGAGAGTCCAACAGGGAGAAAAGACAGAGAAGAGCACTCCACGGACTGTTAGCAAGAGTTCAGGGAGGAGTGAATTCAATGTGTCATCCTGGACAGGGAAGTTTCCATTGTGATTGAAGCTCAGGGTAAACTGTCAGGATGAATTAATCTAGAAAAGTAAGATTTAAAAGGGACATTGAAGTAGTAGGAGACTTGAGTGTTATTCTAAGGTGTTGAAAATGTATTCTGTGAGCAACAGTGAAGCTATGGAGGAATATGATTAGATGGGCATTTTAAAACAAGAAGCACACAAATGCACACAAAGCATATATTATCTCTCTCTCATGTACGGATGCTGCCCAGACTCTTCATATGTATATTCTCTCCCTCTCTCTCTCTTTCTCTGTGTGTGTGTATGTGTGTGTGTGTGAGAGAGAGAGAGAGAAAGAATATGTATATGAAGATCACACTCACCAATGTGGCTGGGCAGCATCCAATCCGTTGAAGGTGTGGATAGAACCAAAAGGTGGATGTAGGTGAGTTTGTTCTCCCTTCTTGAGCCGGCACATCTATCTTCTCCTGCTCTTGGACATCAGCACTGTGAGTCTTTAGGCTTTTGGACTTGAACCGGGACTTAAATCATTGGCTTCCTTGGTTCTCAGGCCTCTGGGCTTGGACTGAAACTACATCACTGACTTTTCTGGGTTTCCAGCTTGCAGATAGAAAATTACAGGATTTCTTGGCCTCTATAATCGTGTGGGTAAATCTCTTATAATTAATCTCTTTTCATAAATTTTTTCATATTCTACTGGTTCTGTTTCTCTGAAGATTCCTGGCTAATATATAGATACATATGTACAAACAAATGTCAGAAAATTTTCATAATTAGAAATATGAAATTAATTTTAGTGTCCATACAGAAGTATATAAGAAGTATATAAGAAAGATATTTAAAATGACCAAAAATCTTAATGGCCAGAGATAAGCACTAACATTTCAGAGACTATCCACCATTATTTCTGCATGCATATTCTTTAATTAAAAATATGTATTGATCATCTAATATGTGTCAGACAATGAGGAATGAGAAATTTGACGGTCCTTGGTTTTGTTGCATTTTCAATATAAAGGCAGGAGTGAATAATAAGCAGAAAAACAACTCAAGAAATAAACAATTAAAAGTTGTAGCAAGTGCTATGTGGGGAGAAAAAGTGCTTACTGCTAGTGAATGGGGAGGTTAATATAGAGTGACTAAAGAAGGCTTTGATAAAAAAACGGTGGTTCAATTGAGACCTAAAGGGTGCCACAAACTAGGGAAGAATGGCTCAGAAGAGTAAAGAACAGACACAGGTCCTGAAGTGAGAAAGATCTTGGCATGTCCACAACACTGAGAGACAGCAGTGTAGCACATGAGCGAGGAAACATGTTAAGACTTAGGGCAGCAGAGGTGGAGCAAAGCTGGATTTGGACAGGACAGCTGCCCTGGGTTGTGAGGCATAATAAAAAGTTTGAATAGTTTTCCCAATGAACAGACATTAAATTCATTTTAAGCAGGGGTGGCAGTTTTTGAAAGTTATATGAGTATATAAATATAAAAACAACTTTAGAGAAATAGGATTATAATAATTATATTGCTTTATTACTACATAAAATGTTTTGAATGCCTTTGTATGTGGGTAAATACAGCTCTACATTGTTATTGAAATGGACATAGAGTATTCTGTTATATGCAGGTACTATCATTAATTTAACCAGCTCCTTATGGATGAACATTACGTTTTTTGCTGTTATAAAAAATACTGTGTTGAACATCCATACAGCATGTGTTATTACAGACTTTCCTGAATAAATTGTGGGAAAAATTAACTGAAAAGAAATGCTGGGTTAAAGATATATGCAATAAAAATTTCATATATTATTGCTTGATTCTCCTCCAAAAGTTACACTGCTTTCCATTTCCTATATCACTGTAGGAGTGCCATGTTTTCCTCATCACCATAGTCACTTATCTTTCTAATCTTTGCTGATATGATAGGCTAAAAAAATTTCATTTTATTTTTGTATTTTTCCATTACCTATGGAGTTGAATGTCTTTTCATATATTTCCTGTCTGTGATTCATGTTTTGAGAATTCTGCATTGGTGTGGTTTACTCATAATTTTATTTAACATAGTTGTCTTATTTTTGCTTATTTCTTTATCATAGTTTTCATGACGAAGCTAAAAAAGTTATTTATTAAATTTCAAATTTCAATTTTTTGTTTCTATGTGGTCCGAATCACCAGTCTTTTCTTTTACGTGTTCTAATTTTTTAAGGTCAACTTTGACAGAGGTACAAAATGATGTTATGAAGGTGATGCAATTGCATTTTGGGAAAACCTAACAAGACTCATCGAATCACCAATGTATAAAATCAGAATGTTCAATAAATTTAGCAGTAATAAATACATAAAAATTAATAGCTTTCTCATAATGCAAACTAAAACAAAAATAAAACCCCCAAAACTCCATTCACTACAGCAATAACATGAACACAAATAAAAATAAACTTAATAAAAAGACATAGAATTTTTAGGATGAAAACTGAAAACACCTCGTGAGAGTAACATGAAAGAATAAGCAGGTGAAGAAACTTGCCTAGCTTGTGAGGAGGAAAGACTCAGTACTGTGAAGGTGACAATTAGCCCACACTTAATCTACAAATTCAATTCACTTCCAATCAAAATCCCAATTACTTTTTAATTGACAATTATTTTAAAGTCTGTCTTGGAAAACAAACTTATAGCAATAGGAAAGACAACTCTGAAATAAAAGAGTAATAAAAAGACAGATTTAATATTACACGTTAAAATATATTATAAGCCTGCTGTAATTAAAACAGAAATTGGCACAGGAATTGTCAAAATGATGAGTGAAAGACAATCTAAATTAGAACAAGGTACATACAGGAAGTTGGGATATGATGGAGGCAGCATTGAAATCAGTGAAGAAACATGGATTATTTAATAAATTGTATTGTGACAACTGAAGAGCCTTTAGTAGAAAAAAATTAATTGGCAACGTGTATTTACCTATTACACCAAAATAAATTTTAAAGAAGCAAAAAATTTAAGTGAAAACCAGAAATGAAGTCATATCGATATTTTGAAAAAGTAAAGTTGTTATCATAATTTGAACAAGGAATGAGAGGCCTGCAATATGGTAGTGACAGTAGAGATTGAGAGGGGAGGATGGGCATGGGTGATATGAAAGAACTGGCATTGACAGACTTGGTGATTGATTAGACAAGGAGCAGTGGGGAATGAAGGAGGAAGGAGGAAAGAGTGACTGGATTCTTTCAGGGAAGACACTGAAGGCACACTAATGTCATAATCACCTGCAGAAACCTTCCTGTCTTTCCCCAAACCTGGGATCTAGACTCCAGTTTCTTGACAGAAAATTCATAAAGGACCCCAACATGAGATTGACTTCTTCTCAATCACAAGTCAATATGTATCTCCTTGTTTTGGTTTACTGTGACTTGAGCCAACTGACTGACCTACCCAGATTCTAGACTTTTGAGACTTTCCCAATCAAAACTTGCTTGCATATCCAGATTTGCAAAACGAGGCTCATGCCTAGTATCTAGTATCAGTGAACATCTTTGTTCCCCAACTGATTATTGGTCATAATAAACTCTTCATCTTGACTGTTGGAGCCAGAGACTGTAGCACTACCTCTTTCTCTGGTTGTCAGTCCCTTTCAGAGTACCATGGCCTGAATAGTACTTACAACCTTGCAGGAGTTAGCTTTCAATAAGCTGATAATCGCTTAGTGGGTGCTGTTTGGGCTGAATTATGTCTCCACAAAATTTATATGTTGAAGTCCTACTCTCCAGTACTTTATCTGTAGTAACTTTATTTGGAGATAGGTTCTTCACAGAGGTAATCAAGTTAAAATCAGGTCATTATGGTAAAACCTAATCCAGTATGACTATTGTCTTTATTAAAAGAGGAAATGTGGAGACACACGCGCGCGCGCGCACACACACACACACACACACACACACACACAAATCACCATGTGAAGATGAAGGCAGAGATCGGGATGATGTTTCTCTAAGTCATGGAACACCAGAGACCGACAGCAGAGCTCCAGAAGCTGGAGGGAGGCCTGGAAAAGGACCTTCACTCACAGCCCTCAGAAGGAACCAATGCTGCCAACACCTCAATCTCAGAATTCTAGCTTCCAGAACTGTGAAGCAATACATTTCAGTTGCTTAAACCACTTCATTTGCGGTACTTTGTTACAACAGTCCTGACAAACTCATACACACGCCAACACATTTTCCCTTTTCCTAAAATTTTCCTTTAAGTCTAAGTGGAGTCAAAGGAAGGAGAAGATACTCAAAACCATCACCATATTGTTACTAATTAAACTTTGCAGAGACTGACTGTGTAGTGGAAATAAATAGAATTAATCCTGGGAAGGGTTTCTGAGAATTTCAGCTTTATTAGTTAGAATCCTTAGATGAAAGCAATAGAATCCCTATTATGGTTAAACAGAAAAGCAATTTATTAAAAGATACCGTGTAGTCCCAGGTATTCCCTGGATGGGCAGAAAGTGGACCTCTGATGCTGTGCAGCCAGGGCTAGTGTGGGGTCACACTGGAGGAATTCTCCAGGCAGTCCCACTCACCTATGAGTGAATGGGTGCCTGAGGGAGCATCTGGGTCTGTTTCCCGATCTGTCACGCCAAGTCTTACAGAAGCGAAGCAGGTCACATGCTCTGACTGTAGCTGCAAGTGGGTCAGGATGGGAATTTTCTGTCTTCCACTTAAGGATGGCAGGACTCATGATTAGCAAAGTAAATTGAGAGTGCTCAAAAATATGTGCCAAGGGTTCTAGCCCTGATCTCATCACTGATACACAATGGAAACAAGAAAAAGGTTACCTGCTCTCTGGAGCACCACGTCATCACTGGTGAAATAGACAACACAATTGACAGCACAAGAAGAAAAGACCCGGCCAGGCACAGTGGCTCACGCCTGTAATCCCAGCATTTTGGGATGCCAAAGTGGGTGGATCACCTGAGGTCAGGAGTTCGAGACCAGCCTGACAAACATGGTGAAACCCCGTCTCTATGAAAAATACAAAAATTAGCCAGGCGTGGAGACGCATGCCTGTAGTCCCAGCTACTCAAGAGGCTGAAACAGGAGAATTGCTTGAACCTGGGAGGCAGAGGTTGCAGTGAGCCGAGATTGCGCTGTTGCGCTCCAGCCTGGGCAACAGAGTGAGACTCCATCTCAAAAAAAAAAAAACCAGAAAGGAAAGACCCTGTCACCCTCTCAGATTCATAATCTCACATAAGCTATGGTGTGGGTTTCCCAAAACTTCGTTTTTATTACTATTACTGTTACTACTATTACTATTAATTTTAAGTTTGTTTGAGAGTAATTAAAAGTTTCTGAGAAACTCCATAGGAAATATATCAGAATTAATTTCTTCAAAGTTTATTTAATACCAAAACTGATTGGGATAACATGGTATTCTAGGTGAGATTATTGAATAGAAAAATAACATTAAGTATAAATAAAGAAACTGGAATAAAGCAGGAACTTATTTAATAATGTTGATATCAGTTTATTGGCTTTGACAAATGTAGCATATTAATGTAAATATGTTAACAACAGAGGAAATTGGCTGTGGAATTTATTGAAATTCTCCACAATCTTCACAAGTTTTCTGTAAATCTGAGCTAAAATTCTACATTAAAAAGAGTTTATGAAAATTGACGAGTCACCTTTTCCCTATAAGAAAGCAACAGAAGTTTGTGATAATGTATATAACAAGAAAAATGAATCTCCACATTGCTCACCTTCACTTACAGAATCTGATGGGGAAGGGGGAAGGAAGAGACCATCCTATCACAGCCACAGCCAGTCCTTGCGGGCCACTAGAGGTGAGGAGTAAAATTGAGGATGTATGGTATCGACACAGAGGGCGAGTGAATACACATATGATGGCTGATGAACAGCACAGCTGTTCTGAATAAGAAATCCAAGGAATCTAGGTGGGCCAGTCTTGAGGGACAGAAGCAGCTTAGCCCCATGGTGGTGTGGCTGAAATTGAGTTTTACAATCCGGGATGTTACAATAAGTAGAAAACCCTCTGGCCAGGTGCGACGGCTCACGCCTATAATCTCAGCACTTTGGGAGGCCAAGGCGGGTGGATCACCTGAGGTCAGGAGTTGGAGACCAGCCTGGACAGCATGGTGAAATCCCATCTCTAATGAAAATACAAAAAATTAGTCAGGCATGGTGGCGGGCGCCTGTAGTCCCGGTACTCGGGAGGCTGAGGCATGAGAATCGCTTGAACCGGGGAGGCAGAGGTTGCAGTGAGGTGAGATTGCACCACTACACACCCGCCTGGGCGACAGAGTGACTCCATCTAAAAAATAAACAAAAAACAAGCAAACAAAAAAAAAAAAACTGCAAATCATCTATCTGCCAAGTTCACTAAAGAGTGCTACATCACAAATGCTGGGTATGATTTTTTTTAATATTAAAAGTAAAGAGTATAATTTCCTTCTCTGGTAACTTTCAGAGTGGAAAAAGGGATGGGCTATGGCTGTTTATTCATGAAAAGAGAGCAAACGTCCAGCAGAAAGAGAATGCAGATGCAGAAAAAGTGCATTCTAAGAAGCCTTAGAAGTTTGTAGAACATTTGGGGAGAGCACTGGACACTCCATGTCAATTTTATGTAAATTTTAAGGATATGGTGGCTTTGGCTGACATTTGTATTATGGAACAGCAAACCAAACCGAATTCTTGAAACTATAGGTGGCCAAGAACTCCCAGGGTGAAGGGAATATTTAAACTGGGCTCAGGAAAGTACTTTCTCATCTCTTCAATGTTGGCCTCTCTGAAACTGATCATAGCTACAAATGATTTTCTGAAGCAAATTCTTGGTATCCAGAGAGAAAACCAGAGGAATGCCTGCTGAAGCACATGGTTTTGATTGCCCTGGTTTTCAGAACGGAGGGCCCCAAGATAGCGTTACTAAAAATAGTTTTCTGAGCAAAATTCTTATTTACATCATTATTTTAAGCATATTAATCTCTAAATCATTCTTGCCATAATGAGACCATCTTTCTAGAGACAGGAACAGTAGGAGTGTGTCACTGGTGAGCCAAAGATGACTTTCATGATGTAAACATATTCATGAGAGACGTGCACCTGAGACTTGACCTTCACATGGCTAATAAAGAAGTTTGTCTTCTGCTTCCCCATGAGTGGCTGTATGGATGTGCGCACGAGATACTGATGGTAACCCATTGAAAATGCTCTTTCATCTGTTATTTGATTGGATTTTTGAAATATTCTGGTACTGCAGAGAGAGCTGGGGCAATTTCCCCTCTATTTGCAAACAGAAAACCTGAAGCTCAGAATTTGCTGAACTATTTAGCACTAATAGACCCAGAAAATGAACACCACAATTTCTAGAGAGGGATTCCATTCCCTTTGGATTAGAGATGCTGTTTGTACCACTTTCTAAGTTTACATATAATTGGTATTTACTTGAAAAATTTTATTTATGAGACCACATACTTGTTTTAACCTCTTGTGAAATTTTTATAATTAAAAAGATTGAACAAATTTAAGGTTAGACGCTGGGCAAAAAAATTTGCTTAGCTGCCTCCAGGGGAAATGTAGTTTCTATTTTAAAAAGCTTAGGAAAAATTTAGAAGCATCTAGATTCTACAAAAGGAGAGAAACAAGAAAATCTGGACTAGAAAGGAAATTGTGCTTATTAGTTCCCTTAAATTGAAATGTTAAAACTTTATTAGAGAGACGGTTCATATTAATTAACTTCTACTTTTTTTTCTTCTCAAGCAAGATTGTATCTGAGTTAAAACAAAGGTTAAAGTAGTACATACTTTTGACTGCAAACACAAATTAATTTTATTTTTTCTAATTAAACATTTTTAGCGATTTTCATCTAAGCATTCACTTCTGTTTATAACTAAGGAAAAACTTTAATTGTTATCTTTCTTTTGCCTCTAAACTTTCTCAAAGCCGTACTTCCATTCGGCATTACTGAATGTTATTTGGAAAGCACACACACACACACACACACATGCACATACACACACACGCACATACACACATACACATACACAGACACACACATACACAAGCATACACACACACACACACGTTTTTCTTTTGTAAACTTCTATACTTAATCTGTGACCTTTAATTATGTTTAATTTCTCTTCTTCAAAGCATTTCTGTTTTGTCAAGATGCGTCTTCTCTCTTTATAGAAATAGGTCCCCCTCCAAATAGAAGCATGTGTGAAATCTGAATTATCACTCCAAGGTTCTATTGTTTTTCTAAAACCTGGATCCTGGTAGGCGTATATTTTGATAAAGAGTCTGGAATTTGTAATCATGTGTTGTTACTTACAACATTTCAAATCAAACATATATGATGGGCTATTTCCTTAAAGTTGTTCAAATGTATGCACACAGGCATTTCCAAACTTGAAAGAATCTGAGTGACCATCAATGATATTTTTCCAACTAGTTTACATAATATCTGCTTTATTCACTCCACACATATTTATTGAGTTCCTTCTATGTACCAGACACTGTTTTAGACACTAGGAGTTCAGCATGAACAAGACACCAAATTTAAGGCTGGGAAAACAATAAAAAGAAAGGCTCCAAGCATGTATGAGGAATGGCATAGACAAACACAAGAGAGGACTAAGGGTAAGTTTCTGAAATATGGAAAATCAGAAGAGAGAAGTGACAAAAACAGATATTGTAACCATGATCAAGGAAGGGTCATGGCTGGGAGAACAATTAGGGCTATTTTTACAGTGTGGGAGAGACATGATGATGGCTGGAGCCAATGGTAGTCATAGAGGATGAGAGACAGGGTCAGAATCTAGGTATTTTTCAAAGCGGAACCCAAATGAACATCTGATACATTGAATATGAGTGGTATGAATACAGGCAGAGCAGTCGTGGAGGATGCTCAGGCTCTTGACCTGAGCCACTTAATGAATGAAGTCGTCATTTCCTAAGATTGGGTCACCGAGGGGAGAAGCAGCTTTGGGGAAAATAAAAGATTGAAATCTCAGTTTTGGCCACATTAAATTAGAAATATCTATTAGACAACTAAGTGGAAATGCCACATAGGCAGTTGACTATGTGAGCTTAAAGTTTAGCACAGGGATCAGTTCAAGGTAATATGTAGATTTCAAGCCATGGAATATTACATCTGGGCCCTGTGTTAGGACAGTGACTAACATAGCCTGCAAACAGCAAGTCATCATTATTGTTTACGGGTGTGTTGCTAATTCTTCCTTCCACATTAAATGTGAAGTCAAGTTCAGAAATGACTTTGACTTCAATAATGTTATTGACATGCTACACAATGGTGTCCATTTATCTGATTGATTAAAATGGAACAGAAAATGATACTAAATTTCTGTAATAGCTCATGCAAGATACTGGGGAAATACATTCTTTTCTAGATGTTTACTGAATATTCTTTTAGCCAGCAGACATTTACAGAAACCTTATTATGTGTCAGCCACTGACTATATCCAGATTACATAATGAAAAATAACAGGCAGTCTTCAGATTTAAAGAACGCAAAACCTGTGGAAGGAACAGCAACAGGACTGTAGCTGACGGTCCTTGATGTAACCAGCTTAAGAGTTGTTGTGAGGTATCAAAGAGGTAATTGATGTATATTGTTAAATTATGTCCATCTATGCATCATTAGTATTCCCTTTTGCAAATGCAAATTTTAAGGCAAGGCATGTCGAGTGGCTTTTGTAAAGCAAAACTGGGTCTCAATTCCAGATTTTCTATTTCTCTATCATAACTTGTGACTACATTGAACTGACCCCTCCTGACTCTCTCCCAAGAATGACATCATTTTGAAAGCATTCTTCAATCTCTGTGAGCCTTCAGTTACTTATTTGAAAGAAAACAAAAACTAGGCAGAAAGAAAAACATTTCCAAGTTAGTTACATGCAATATTAATGAACATTCAATGAATTAATGTGTGTGAATATTTGAAATATTAAACAATGTTGTTCCAGCACTTTCTGAGTGACCTCAGACAAGTTGCTTAATGTCACTGAGCATCGTTTACCCATCTGTAAAATGGAAAATGGAAAGAAGAATAACTATTTTGAGAAGTTGGTGGGAGAGTGAAACAAACAAATCACCCTCAGCTGAACGCCTGGCTCTGAGCATGTACTGGGACAACCAGCTCTCACTGTTGTCAGTTTCCCTATGATCCACAGCCAAGCTCACAGGACTCATTATAACCATTTAAATCTTCTTGTCTTTCATTTTTGATTAGCTAGCCCATTGATTTCTCAAATAGGAGAATAAACCCTTAGGGGAAAAACAAAAACAAACACTAAAACAGCAACAACAAAAAAAACCTCTTCCAAACAGGATTATTTTACTGATTCTGAAGTCTCACTTTTATGTGCTGATCTCCTCTCTGTATTCAGGTTTCTCTTCCTTCCGAAGAACTTAGGTTAAAAATTTAAAAACCACTGAAAAATATAATGTTGGAAAATAATGTCTACACTTTCTTTCTGATTTCAATTCTTATAATCCAACTCCCACTAAAAAAAGTGATTGAGCAGTTGAGACTGATATCTACATGAGGAAAAATTTAAAAAAATTATTTTTTATTGATTCAAAATTAGAAATGAGCGTAGAGTGACTTAATAATGCTGTTTGAGCCACCAGGGTGGGGGTGACAGTTGTGAGAGAGAAGACTTGAGGATCTATTCTGTGTCTTACATGGCTGGCTGCTTGTTATGTGTGTTTACACTACATTTACACCTGCCTTATTTTGACAGATAAGAAAACTGAGGGTCAGAGTGACCATGCCACACACCCGAAGTTACATGGGTAGTAAGCGAAATAACGAAACAGCAGGGCATCCGCTGCTAAATCCTGTTCTCTTTCTATTGTATGACACTGCTCTGACGACCAGCATTTCTCATGTGATAATTGATGTTTATTTTTCATCTAATGATTGTGGCCTTGTTTTAGGTATTGGAAGAACAAACATGAGAAGACGAACTTCAATATTGCAGTTGAGGGGGTGAGGCCCAGCATCATTGACTTTCCTGAAGTGTTTGACCTTGGAACTGTTGATAGTTTTGGTCGGATAATTCTGCTATGGTGGAGTAGAGGGGCTATTCTTGCATTTTAGGATATTTAGCAGAACCCTTGGCCACTCACCACAAAATGTCAGTAGCATTCCCTGCTGTGACAATCAAAATGTCTCCAGATATTGCCAAATGTCTCCTGGGGGCACATTCCCCCCCTGGTTCAGAACTAGACTGAAGCCCACTGGGCGGTTGAATTACTTTGCCAATGCCAGAACATATGTAAATGCCTATCTATAGGCCCACTGCTTCCTTCGGTGGTGAATTATAGTTATTTGTTCTTCACATACTAAGCTTTTTACGCATCTAAAAGTTTATAACTCATAAAAATATCAGAAGACAATTTAGGACAGCACCAGTCAAAGGTCACTGCCCTCAGAGTACATTTGTCTGCCTTTCGAAAAACTAAACTTGTGTCTTCTCTGCATAGTTTTTCAGGGTCTTCCCTTTCCACATTCTTCTCTTCCAGAAGAAAATTTGCACATGCCCCAAACTCAGGTTTTCCCTTGAATTCTGAGTCCCTTGGTAAATCAAGTTGCTCTCCCTCTGTGTGAGGGAGTATGTAATAGGACTCCTTCACTTCTGTCCTTCTTCCTTACAAATACTGGTGACCTTGGGTCAGTTAGTCTATCTCAGTGTCCTACGTTTTTTCCTTTATAGTGCTTACCACTCTCAAAAGTTACTTGTTTGTTAAAAGTTCTCTTTCTATCTCCTGTGACCACCTCATTTCCATCCAAACTCCACATTGAAGGATGGCAAGATTGAGATCTGTGTGGGTCATCTGGGTAATTCCAGGGCCTACAGCAGGGCCCAGGGCCAGTAAAACAGCATGTGTTGAACTCATTAATGTTGCCTTTGTTTAAAGTCATGCGTTGCTTAATAATGAAGTTAGGTTCTGAGAAATGCACCATTAGGTGACTTTATTATGGTGTGAACATAGTGTATTTACAAAAGCCTAGATGGTCTGGTCTACTGCACACTTAAGCTATATGGTACAGCCGACTGCTCCTAGGCTTCTTACCTGTACAGCATGTGACTATACTGAATATTGTAGGCAATTCTAACACAATGGTAAGTATTTATTTGTGTACCTAAATATATCTAAACATACAAAGGTTGTGATGGTTAATACTGAGTGTCAACTTGATTGGATTGAGGGACACAGAGTATTAATCCTGGGTGTGTCTGTGAGAGTATTGGCAGAAGAGATTAACATTTGAGTCAGTGGACTGGGGAAGGCAGACCCACCCTTAATCTGATGGGCACAATCTAATCAGCTGCCAGGGAATATAAAGCAGGCAGAAAAAGGTGAAAAGGAGACATGGGCCTAGCCTCCCAGCCTACATCTTTCTCCTGTACTGAATGCTTCCTGCCCTTGAACATTGGGCTCCAGGTTCTTCAGTCTGGAGACTTGGACCGGCTCTCCTTCCTCAGCTTGCAGACAGCCTATTGTGGGACCTTGCGATTGTGTAAGTTAATACTTGCTAAACTCCCCTTTATATATATACACACACACGTATACACACGCACGTATACACACATATGCACACACATATCCTATTAGTTCTGTTTCTCTAAGAGAACCCTGACTAGTACAAAGGTATAGTAGAAATACAGCATAAAATAAAATAAAATGGTGCACTTTTTTAGGACACTTACTACGAATGAAGCTTGCAGGACTGGAAGCTGCCCTGCAAGTGGTCGTAGGTGAATGGTGAGTGAGTGTGAAGCCTAGGGCATTACTGTACACAACTTCAGATGTACAAACATTGTACACTTAGCCTACATTAAATGTATAAAAAAATTCTTTCTTCAATAATAAATTAACCTTAGCTTACTGTAACTTTCTTACTTTATACACTTTTTAATTTTTTAAACTTTTTTCTCTCGTAATAATATTTAAACAAACACACTGCATAGCTGTACAAAAATATTTCTTTATTTCTATTCTTATTCTATAAGCTCTTCTCTATTTTCCATTTTTCAACTTTTTTTAATGTTTTAAACTTCTTTTTGTTAAAAACTAAGACACGAGCACATACCTTAGCCTAGGCATATACAGGATCAGGATCATGAAAAGGTCACCAGGAGATAGAAATTTTTTGGCTCTGTTATCCTCTTGTGGACCACTTTTGTATACCCAAATAACCTTGTGCAGTACGTTACTATATTTTGTAACCAGATTTTACTAAGCATTTTGGAAGAAGATGCCATAGATATACTGTCCCTGTGCCCTGGGCACTCATAGGTTCCATGGCTATAAGGATTTTTAGTGCTCTGGCCTGAGGAGGCTCTACACTTCAGAAACTGCTGAGCCTGACAGTGTGTGGCAGGCCAGGGAGCTATTTTCCCAGACAGAGCCCATGACCAGTGATGGATGGAGCCTGCTGGGTGGGCACCCAGCTTCTCCACCCTGAGGGTGAGATAACTACATACAGTTACCTAGTGTTCTCAGTGGGATTGAAGCTAGTGGCTATAGTTGGTCCCGTGTTAATCAGTGTACCCAGCGTAGCCTCCTTCCCTTGTATGTTAGTCCATTCTTGTGTTGCTATAAAGAAATACCCAAGATTGGGTAATTTATAGAGACAAGAGGTTTAACTGGCTCACAGTTCTGCAGGTGTACAAGAAGCATGGCACCAGCATCTGCTTCTGGTGAGGCCTCAGGAAGCTCACAATCATGGTGGAAGGTGAAGGGGGGGCAGGCCTGTCACACGGTGAGGGTGGGAGCAAAGTGGTGGGAGGTGCCACATTCTTTTAAACAACCAGATCTCATGTCAACCAGAGTGAGAACTCACTTATCACCAAGAGGATGGTGCTGAGTCATTCACCCTTGGGACCCATTCACCCTGGGGACCTGCCCCATGATCCAGTCATCTCCCACCAGGCACCACCTCCAATCCTGGGAATTATGTTTCAACGTGAGATTTGGAGGGACCAACATCCAAGCCATATCAGGTTGCCTGTGGCAGTTCCCCATTCCCTGTATATGTTTGCTAGGGCTGACTTAACAAAGTAGCACAGACTGGGAGGTTTAAACAGTAGAAATTTATTCTTTCCCAATTGTGGAGGCTAGAGGTCAGAGAACAAGGTGTCAGCAGGGTGGATTCCTTCTGATATCTCTCTCCTTGGCTTGTAGATGGCCATTTTCTCCTCCTGTCTTCAGATGGACTTCATTCTGTATACATCTCTGTGTCCTCATCTCCTCTTTTTATAAAGACCCCACTTATATTGAATTAGGGCTCACCCAGATGACCACTTAATCACCTCTTTAAAGACACTGTCTCCAAATATAGTCACATTATGAAATATTAGGAATTAGGCACTCAACATATAAGTGTTGGCAGGACATGATTAAACTTATAACACCCCCTTATCTGGGTTTTCTGCTTTCATCTCGAAAATTAACTTCTTGCCCTCAAATCCCTCCCTGTCTGTCTGCTCCCAAGGGAACCCAAACTAAGGCAATTTTGTTCTATTTTTTTTTTCTTTTTTCTTTTCCTGTAAATGCTTTATCTTCTCAACACTTCTGCCAAGGTATAATTATCCACATTGTGCATATGGAGAAACAGGCTCAGGGAGGACATATATATTCCCAACAATCTGTAAAGGGAAGAAAGGAGGGAACTGGCATTGAAACACAGATCTCTGTGGGTCGAAGGTCAGCATCTTCACCTCCCTCCATCCACAAGTTCCTAGTGATCTCCAGAAAGTCTCCAGAAAGCTCCTAGAGTGCTCATGATACTACAAATAAGAGGTTTAACTATTATAAGATGTTTCCATTTTCCCAAATGTACTCATATTGATACCTGAACAGCTTTTTCAAAGCTCCTGTATTTCTGTGGAAGGGAAACACAGTTATGGCCCTGGAACTGCATTCCTATCTCTCAGATCAACTTAACCCACCTCTACTGAGCACAGAATCTGGGAGATGCACCAACCTGGCCCAAGGGAAATGTTGGATAAATAAATTCCTGTCCCCATTGAATATGCTGTGAAAAATATCATCTCGATTTTAGTGCTGAAAATGTTTCATTTCCAGTATGGAAAGAGATATTTTCTTTTTGGAGATTTAGAATTAAGTAACAGCTAATATTTCCCTTTCAAGAAAGACTGCCAGGAAATATAAGGTTTATCCATATCACTAGCATATCTGGATTTTATTTTCATTTTCTTTGATGGATTTTGTGTATATATTTACACTCTGATATTTCAGGGTCCAAAAAATTAAACAATGATGACAATAGCAACAATAATGGGTATCATTACTAATATCAATGAAACATGATGTTGTAGGCTCTATGATTTATATGCATTTTATTATTTTACATAGCTATCCGGTGAGGTGTTTGAGTAAACAAACAACACTCAACAGCTGTTTTACAGATGAAGACCAAAGCCTAGAGAATGAGCTTGTTTCCCTAAGATTATACAACTGTAAAATAGTCATTTGAGGTTCAAACTCATGACCTTATGACTCTGAAGCCTGGAGTTAACCTTGATGCTGTTACTCTGCATGCCACATTTTAAGTCACCTGGATCTTTTATGAAAACAAGTGAGCTGTATATCATGGATGTCCCCCAGTTAGATATCCCTTTAAGAGAACCTACTGCAAAGAGACTGAGTCCCTTCAGCCAAACCTGTTGCATCCTCAGATCTTCCCCAGGTGGAGGCGTAAACACTCAGGCCACACTTCCCCGGGGCTGCTCTCAGACGAATACTGAATACTGAGCACGGTCGGGTTCCTAGTACAGGTCCATTCCTGCCCTACAGTGGAAGCCTATTCCAACAGGTGACTTTGGCTCAAAAATGCTGTCGTAGTGCATTCAGGCTGCTCTAACAAAAAATGGCATAGACTGGGTAGCTTATAAACAACAGATTTTTGTTTCTCACTGGTCTGGCAGCTAGGAAGTCTGAAATCAAGGTGCTGGCAGATTCTGTTTCTGGTGAGGGCCCATTTTCTGGTTCACAGGCAGTGCCGTCTTTCTGTCTTTACATGGTGGAAGGCATGATGTGTGTGGGGTGGTGTCTCTCTCTGACCTCTTTTATAAGAGCATGAACCCATCCATGAGGGCTTCATCCTTATCACCTGCCAAAGGCACCATGTCCTGATACCATCAGGTTTGGGTTTAGAATTTTAACGTATGAAATTTGGTGAGACACACCGATTCAGACAATAGCAGATGCCTTACTGACACCTGGCTGAGACTTCCTCTGCGTGGCTCTGAGGTCTGAGGCTCTTCCTGTCTATTCTTCCTTTCCCTATTTCCTTTTACAGGTGTCACATCTGTGTCATGGTCTAAGGGTCTTCCTACCTGCACCTGCTCTTGCCCTCTGTGTCCTTCATGAGCATTTCTTCCAGTAAGTCTTTCGCACTTCCAATCCCATTTTAGCATCAGAAAAAATAACAGTGAGAATAAAAGAAAATAAAAGTACTTATTTTTCTATTTATTGAATGTAATCCCAGAGCTAATGGGATGCCTGAGGCATATTGGGTGCCCACTAAATATTTGTTGGATAAATACCTCCTATGCTCAAGTTGCTGACAAAAGTGTATGAGAGGCACACACAGTAATAGATATTTGAGGCAAGAGGCAAAATATTTTTAAAAAAGATTTGTTTTGAGAGAAGAGTAAGTAAACTGCTTTAGTTATAAAGGATTACATTGAAGAAACCTTTGGGGGCTTCATGGATAAGGCAGCATTCTGCATGATTTTAAAGGGCATATGAGATTTCCATGAGTGAAGAAGTCGTAAGCTTTAGAAAATAGTGTGTGAGCAAAGTAGGGAGGTATATTCTACTATATGCATAAGTTGGACAAGGCAGTGGTGCCACATGTCTAGGGTGGCTGGGGTGGCTTTTTATAGGGCATAAATGGATGTTTTATAAGATGAAGAGGAGAACACAGAGGGAAACTGGGGATAGACTTTGTATATGCGGTGTATATGAGGTATGTATGTTATACATATATGTATGTATATGTACATGTATATATGTACATGGGTGTACGTATACATGTATGTATATGAGGTGTATATGTATATGACATGTATGGCTTACTGTTTGAATGATCATAGAATAAGAATGAAGATAGTTATTCTATAACAGTGCTGTCTTTTTCTGTTTGTATAAATTTATGAGATTCAAGAGCAATTTTGTTATATGAGTAGATTAGGTAGTGGTGAAGTCAAGGCTTTTAGGGTCTACATCACCCAAATAAAATACATTGTATCCATTAAGTAATTTCTCATCATCCACCCCTCTCCAATCCCTTCATTCTTTCTAGTCTCCACTGTCTGTGATTCCACACTCTACATCCAAGTGTATACATAATTTAGCTCTTACTTATGAGTGAGAACTTGCAGTATTGTTTTCCAGTGCTGTCTAATGGAAATACAATGTAATGTACAAATTTGAGCCATATATGAGATTTAAAATTTTGTAGTGGTTGCATTAAAAACCTATATAAAGAAACAGGTAAAACTATTTTAATAATGTATTTCATGTTATCCAAAATATTATCATTTCTGCATGTAATCAATATAATTATTAATGTGATATTTTTCATTGCTTTCTCTTACTAAGCCTTCAAGATCTAGTATTATTTTATACTTAATAGCATACCTCAATTCAAACTAATTACATTTAAGTGCTCAGTAGCTACCTGTGGCTAATGGATACTGTACTGAAGAACATAGTTGTATAATATCTGATCCGGAATGTCCTAACAAAAAATTGCACTGAATTTATAGCTGAGAGATGAAACACTTCCAGAAGATGTCTGAAGAACTCTGCAGGTCATGGGGGGAATGGCAGACCTTCCTGCCTGGGAGGTGGTGGCTGAAAATACAGCTTTTGAGAGGATTGGCTTTGGAGACTTGCAAAAGCTTGTGCATTTGAATCTAGCTCTCCCGATGACTAAGTGTGCAACTGTGAGCACATCAGAACCTCTCTGAGCCTAGCCTGTTTCTCCACCTAAAATGATTGTAACAAGACCATTCAGGTCTTTCATTGCTTCTTCTCCCATCATCCTGAACTTGCTCTGATAGACTAGACTGGGAACTAACTAATTACAGAGATCTCAGACCAAGCCGTCCTCTTACTAAGGTCATGGCACAGTCAAAGCTCTGTCCTTCCTTATTAAAGTGATAAGAGATGACCCAAAGAGAGAGGGAAAACAAAGGCTCCTGTGATAATGACAGTCAGCCAGTCAATCACTGAACAGGGAAAAGTGTGTGTATAGCGGGTACCCAGTGCCACATTCACACAAGCCCTGGGATAGACCACGCCCACAAAGCACCCACTTGAACTGAAGAGACAACAGCGAGAATACAGAGATTTCTGCTGCATGCTAGTTAATCAGGAACTCCAAACCAAAGCCAAAGCGTAGACAGACCACACAAAAGTATTTAGGAAATGCTGAAACCATAGCTCCCTTTATTCTAGGCAGTTACTATTCTAAGCAGTAAGAGATGTATGATTAAAACATGAACAAAGTTTCTTTCTCCATCAAACTCAAAAACAGAGTAAATAAGAAAATGAATATATATTTTATATGCATGTAAAACATAAGACACAAAGATATGAATTTAATAGTGATGAGCAATAGAAAGATGAAGAAGCAGGAGGAGGAGAGGACTGGGGTTCAGAGGGTGTTTTAGTTAAATGGAGTCCAGGGAGCATCGCTGTGGAGGTGGCATTTGGATGGAGACTGGAACTAAGGGTGTGGGGGAGTGGGTCAGGCAGAGAGAGCAGCAGCCTGTGAGGCTGGACAGAGGGAGTGAGGGGGAGGTTGGCAGGAGCCACAGGATGCCAGACAGGGCCAGATTTGTGCAGTGTGGGACCTAATTCTCAATATAGATGGCACTGAGCAGGAGAGTGACATCATCCAATTTACGCTTTAAAAAGATCAACCTGGCAGCTCTGAGAATGACTTGGAAGCTGAGAGGATGAGTTTGTGGGCTGTTGCTGCAGCCCAGGGGAGTGGTGATGCTGGTGTTGACTAGGGTGATAACAGGGATGAGAAACAGTCTGATCTGGAGTCACACTTGAGAAATGCAGTTGTTAGGGAAAGAGTGTAGACTTTGAAGTTAGAAAACCAGAGTTCGAGCCTTCACTCATTACTTTGCAAGCTGTAAGAGGTTGGGTAGCTTATCACTAGTCTGTGATGCTAATTCATTAACGTACCTAAAACCGATAATCATGGCTATGTCTTATCAACTACTAACTAAACGGTTGGCACAATCTTGACTATTAATTTCTGCAGAAACAAACTATCTCAAAACTTGGTGGCTTACAACAGTAACAGTGTATTTTCTTTCATGATTCTGTAGGCTGAACAGGTAATCCTTGTTTTCTGATTAGAATTGACTAGAGCACAAAGATGACTAGAAGTTGGTGCTACAGGCCATTGTCTGGCAGCTCAGTTGTGACTGCTGTCCAGTCGTCTTGATCCTCTTCCATGTGGCCTCTCCACGTGGCTGCTTGGGCTTCCTCACAGCATGGCAGCGGGCTTCCAAAATGTTGTGTTCCAAGCAGGTGAAACCAGAAGCTTCAAATCTAGCCTTATTAGAGCTACACAGTTTCGCTTCTAATACATTTCTGTTTGTTCCAAACAAGTCAGAAGGCCAACCCAGCTTCAAAAAATGCAAAAGTGTCTCTAGCTCTTGATGAGGACATGGCCAGGTCACAAAGCAGCACAGCATGTAGAATGGAACATACTGCTGTAGTCATCTCTGAAAATGCAATCTTAGATGCTGTGTTGAATGTTATTTCATCTAGTCTTCTCACAATCTTAAAGATTAAGCAGTAGAAAGGGGCTCTGACACTTCCCAGCTGCGCCATTTCAACAAGCTACTAAATCTTCTGTCCTTTTGTCCCCTCACATTTAAGTGAGATAAATCATAGTACCTACCACAAGGAATTCTTGAAGACAAAATGAGTTCCTGTATGTAAAGCACTGAGAGTGGTGTGGGGCACACAGTAAACACACTTAGTATTAGTTGTTATTCTGTTTTGGTGGGAAGTGGTTATCTTTCCATGGCACAGTTTGAAAACATCAGAAGTTGGATTCAATACCAGAATTCAGAATCTAGTTCCCTGGCTCCCCAGACATCCAGACACCACAGACATTCAAAACAGATTTGCCAACATCCCTAGGGCCTTAGTGCTCACCTTGGTTGCACTGTTTTGTTTACTTTGAATCAGGGAGTGTGAGTTAATCGGAGAGTATATATACAATCATTTTGTAAGCCATAGATGTTTTGTTCATTCATATTTGATTGCTTTTTCTTATTGAAATAATTAGGTGATTAGCCAAAATGAAAAAGGAGAATAAGGCAAAATAGAACCAAAGAGAATGACAGTTAATGATAACAAGCAGACTATGTGGGAGGAAAGAAGTTACAATGTTTATTTCTCAAGCTCTTATTAGTACTTTGTTGCAGGAACTAATCTATGTACCTCTCAACATTAATTTAATTTTCCTAACAGCTGTATGAGGTAAGCACTACTATTTCTCCCACAGTTTAGGAGAAATAGAGATAAGGATGCTGTGGCATTGAGAGAGGTGAGCGGACTCACCCAGGGTCACCCGCTGGATAAGTGGTGAAGCCAGAATTCAACCCTGTCTTCCTCGCTCCAGGTGCCAAGCCCTTATCATTATGGCCTGCTCTCTCTCTAACAGGGCTTTGAGACCTCAAATTTAAAAGGTGGGTATTTCCAGGAGTAACCAAGAACTCTTTAGGTAGCAGAGCTGAGTCCTGTACCAGAGTTTATATAAACACACTCTACTCTTCCAGATCATTAACAGGAACCAGACAGCCTTGTAATTAATTTCTATCCATATAGAGGTTTTCCATATTATATTCTCTGATATTGTAAAGCATTGAATGGGTAACAAGCACTTTCATGTGCATTTGCACTTTGCATCTCTAGGAGGAGGGCATTATTCATTTTCTTTTCTGGAGAGTGAGGGCAAGTTTCAGAGTGCAAAGAGACTTGTCCAGGATCTTGAAGTGCAAGTGGTCTTGACACAAGGTCTCTAAATTCAGGTTGGAGATCTTCCACCACATCCTTAGTTCTGTGTACAAGGCATGTATACACTTGAAGGAGTGCTATCGCATGGATTGTTGTTTCAAAAAACTACATGCTTATTAACTCCCTCTTGCCTTGGGGCCTTGGCTCTTTGTGTTCCTTTGCTTCATAATACATGTGGCTCATTGTTATGGATTAAATAATGTCCTACCAAAAGACACTGAAGTCCTAACCCCCTGTACCTGTGAATGTGACTTTATTTGGAATTAGAGTCTTTACAGATGATCAAACTTGGATGAGGTCTTTAGAGTGGACTCTAATCTTACATGTCCACATTCTTTACATAAAGAGAAAATTTGGACACAGAGAGAGAAATTCACAGAAAGAGGACAATATGAGGACCTCAGGAGAAGAGAACTATCTACACCTTGATCTCCGAGCTAATCTCCAGAATTGTGAAACACTACATTTCTGTTGCTTAAGCCTCCCAGTTTGTGATACTTTGTTACAGCAGCCAAAGGAAATAGATACCCTATGATGTTTCCGTGGCTGGTTGTGAGATTGAATGTGATCTTATTTGAAAGGCCCTTCCTGGGTGCCTTCAAAGTTGACCCTGACTCTTTAGTGTCTCTTTAGTGTCTATCATTTCTTTTCTTTTTCTTTTCTTTTCTTTTTTTTTTTTTTTTGAGACAGAGTCTTTCTGTGTCACCCAGGCTGGAGTGCAGCAGTGCGATCTCGGCTCACCACAACCTCCGCCTCCCTGGTTCAGGCAGTTGTCTACCTCAGCCTCCCGAGCAGCTGGGATTATAGGCACCCGCCACCACACCTGGCTAATTTTTGCATTTTTAGTAGAGACTAGAGACATCTTTGCCAGGCTGGTCTTGAACTCCTGACCTCGTGATCCACCCACCTTGGCCTCTCAAAGTGCTGGGATTACAGGCATGAGCCACCACACCCAGCCTTAGTGTCTATCATTTCAACACTTTGCTTGTCATAATTTAAAACAAAAAATCTTGCTTAAGTAATTATTTGTTTAAAGTCTACCCCCTCTACACACACATCAGAATGTTTGCTTTGTGAAGGTAAGAACCCTGTCTGTCCTGTTTATCAAGAGAGGTAGGCGTAAAGTGCAAATAATGACCAGGTGCAGTGGCTCATAGCTGTTAATTCCAGCACTTTGGGAAGCCAAGGCATGTGGATAACTTGAGGTCAGGAGTTCAAGACCAGCCTGGCTAACAGGACAAAACTCCTTCTCTACTATAAATACAAAAAAATTAGCCGAGTGCGGTGGTGTGTGCCTGTAATCCCAGCTATTTGGAGGCTGAGGCAGGAAAATAGCTTGAACCCAGAAGCGAAGGTTGCAGTGAGCTGAGATTGCACCACTGCATTCCAGCCTAGGCATCAGAGTGAGACCCTGCCTCCCCCAGCTCCTCCCCCCAAAAAGTGCCAGTAACGTGACCAGTAAGAAAGGTAGGGAAGGATGAAGGAAGAATGGAAGCACATTAAAAAAAAAATTAGCTGGAACTGGCTGCTTTTGTGAAAGTGCTTTACAGTGAAGCATGTACCTACATTATTATTATTATTGACAATGCCATCATAGTTGTTACATTTTTATTCAAAAGTGAATTCATTTATATGCCATTATATCCATATTTTGGAAACCAGTTGAAGAAATCTGCTGCCTCCCTGGAGATGTTTGCCCACAGTTATATTCCATCATCAACTGTAGATCCTTTTGATTTTGAAGCATACTGATTTCAGGATCTGCTAAAAATAAATATTTGCCTTATTAATGTGCTTGCTCATTTACTAATTGCTTTTTTAATACCAGAGTCTTTTCCAGCTGGGGTTTATATAACCTTTATTGATCTCACTTTACTTCTAATTACATGTGTTCTTCATTTGTAGCTAAAAGTAACTCTTGTCATCATTCTTGTCAGATTTGATCCATGACACTTTAATTATTATAATTTCTTTTCCCTGCAATAGCAGCAAAAGTGTCCACATACATTTTTGTTAGGCCAATTCCTCATCCAAAGGAATGACAATTTGGATTTTAAACGAGCAGATTTTTAGTTGTGGTCCCTATCTGTGCTCTTTAAAGCGCTGGGCTTCCTCCATTCCTTCCTTATTGGGGGCTGATCCATTTACTGCACTATCACTGTGCCATGCAAAGAGAAGCTGAGTTAGAGAGAAAAACCTCGGTTCAACCTGGAGACCTGCAATGTATTCCTGGTATTTCTGTTGTGGGCTGTTGAACAGGTCACTGAAGTTTTCTGACCTGTAGTTTCATCACCTTTGAGATGAACACTGAATCACCTGACTGAGAGCAACTCAACGGGAGTTGCTTTAGATGGAAACCCCAATAACATTCCACATGACATGAACGGCAGCATCCTCGGAAATGGCAGCCACTTACATTGTGTTGATTTCTTCTTTACGTAAATATTCTTTTACCTTATTTTTGATTCCTTGATGAAAGTAGGGGGCATGGGAAAGGCAGGGAAAGAGAGGAAGAGAAAGCAAGAGCAAGCCCTGCTCTGTTGCATCCTAAAGGTGCCTGGATCTTGATCAAGGGCTTTCCAAGCAAGAGTTCCCTCCTCAGCCCATGGGTGTGAAGACGTGGGTTTACCCTCTGGAGTTCCACAGAGTTGGTGGATATGTCCAGACAGAAAACTATTAATTAGTCCTGGTTAATAGGCTGGACTAGGGATCCTAATACATGAGAATTAACCCAGCAAAGTCACAGGATTCGTTCTCAGAAATGGGGATTATGGACCCCTTCATTCCAGACCTTGCCACCTCACAGGATGGAGAATGCTTTGACAACATCAAGAGCATCCAGTGAGGCAGGTGCCATGTGGCCTGGAAAGAGAGAGAGCCTGGTCTGCAGAGGGTCCATTTCACTTCTCACCCTGGAACAGAGGGGAGGCAGTGCCACAGTCTTCCCCCTCCCTTGCTGTGGTATCAGATGGATGTCGCTTTGGGGGGAAGCAGGAAGTCAGTATGATTCTTGCACAGCTCAAGGCTGCTGTGTGTGTGTGTGATTGTGTGTGTGTGCATGTGTGTGAGTGTGCATGTATATGCATGTGTGAGTGCGTGTGTATGCATGTGTATGTGCATGCATGTGTATGCATGTGTGAGTGAGTGTATGTGTGTATGTGTGCATTGTGTGTGTGCACGTGTGTGTGAGTGTGTGTGTTTGAGAGAGTCTGGACATAGAGGGAATGAAGGGAAGGAGATTATGTTTTTAAACACTTCCTATATGCCAGGAACTATGGTGGAAACTGCTCTATTATTAGATGGTGGTGACTTTGATAAAAATTAGAAAGAAATTGTAATTCTTGGACAGCTGGAGATCACAGTGTGTGAGTGTGTGAGGGAGTGTGAGTGTTGGAGTGTGTGTGTGTTTTGGGGGGTGGGGAGGTGCAGAAAATAAAGCAAGACCTATGCATTAGAATTCCAGCTCTGCCACTAATCAGCTCAGAAACCTCAGAATGAGCTATTTAGCTTCTCGCGTCCTTTGTCTCCTTATTTGGAAAAAGTGTGAGGGGAAAGAGAAGAGTCACATAATAAATGTTTGAGGAGTGGGCCTAATACATTGCGCTTAGAGGCGTGCAATTTGTATTAACACAGATTCTGTGGGACCCTCATGGCTCTTGGTACCGGAAACCTCGGGGGTGCATCGTTTGCCTTCCTTGCTCTAAATTGGAGTTGAAATTTCTGATTTTGGGGGGAGTCTTTCTGATGCTGGAGGGTGAGTGGAACCAGGTGGTACCTGAGGAGGAGGTCCGGTTTTGTGGGAAATGAGGAAACACCTTGCCTTAATACTTGCATCCCCTCAGCCAGTAAACACCTATTTCAGGCCAGCTCCACAGTGGCAGGACACACTCTCCAGCACTTCTGCTCACTTGCCTGCCTGCTGTTTCTCCTAGAAAGGAGAGTGTAGGGAGTTAAAAGCAGTAACAAAGTTGCCCCAGGAGACCTCCAAAACCTCCAGTGTCATTTTTTGTTTCTGTTTCAGACAATAGCACATGTGCTGCACAGCATTTCTCCTATCTGCCCCTTCAGTCTACTCTCCACCCTCTGCCCAGAAGCCTAAGGCCACCCAGCACATGTAGTCTCAATGAGCCTTTTGCTCCTGGCTTCTGAGGGGGACCCAGTTGACAGGAGGCATGAGGGTGGATGGGGCCAAGGATGATGGTGGGGGTCTCACTTGGCTTCCTTCTGCATGGTCATGATGGCTGAGTGTGTTAACCGGGGACTGCTTACTCTTCCTGTTAGACAGCACTTTCTTTTCTCTGGGTCCTGAGATCGACCCCTCCCCTGGCTCACTCAAGCCTAAGAATGGCGAGGACCCTCCATACCACGCATGTCCTTGTGTGCTTTTCTCAAAACCTGCCCATCCCTTTGCAAATTGTTCCTTTCTTAAAGGCTCTGTGCATCCCCAGTTTGGGCGTGTCTGCTGTCTGTCATTGCCTTTGAGGGCCCTGACTGATGTACATGACTACCTGCCCCAAATACCTGTTCTCTTTCACAATGCAGAATTGTTGGATGGGAAGAGAACTCCCACTCAAGGACTTCCTTTTCGGGGCACCATGCCCCAAGGTGGGCCACACAGCCAGTTTGGGCCAATGGAAAGCGAGCATGTGAGGATCTCCCTGGCATTCTCATGCTTTCATCTCCTCCTAGGGGAATCCTGGAGGCTACTTCTTGAAGATGAGGTTATCACAAGATGCAGAAGGAGGCTGAATTCCTGAATCACTGCTCGAAGGAGAGCTGTCTGTCCTGGAAAATGAGTGAGACATAAGCGTATAATATGGAAATCCACTGTGCTTGGGCATGGTTCTGTCAGCCCACCCTGAGTCATAGAAAGAAGTCATTTTTATTGTATCTATTGTATTTAGCTTTTTAAAGTACATCATTACTAAAATTGATGACACAACTTTATTTTTTTATTTTTTTTTAATTATACTTTAAGTTTTAGGGTACATGTGCACATTGTGCAGGTTAGTTACATATGTATACATGTGCCATGCTGGTGCGCTGCACCCACTAACTCGTCATCTAGCATTAGGTATATCTCCTGATGCTATCCCTCCCCCCTCCCCCCACCCCACCACAGTCCCCAGAGTGTGATATTCCCCTTCCTGTGTCCATGTGATCTCATTGTTCAATTCCCACCTATGAGTGAGAATATGCGGTGTTTGGTTTTTTGTTCTTGTGATAGTTTACTGAGAATGATGATTTCCAATTTCATCCGTGTCCCTACAAAGGACATGAACTCATCATTTTTTATGGCTGCATAGTATTCCATGGTGTATATGTGCCACATTTTCTTCATCCAGTCTATCATTGTTGGACATTTGGGTTGGTTCCAAGTCTTTGCTATTGTGAATAATGCTGCAATAAACATACGTGTGCCTGTGTCTTTATAGCAGCATGATTTGTAGTCCTTTGGGTATATACCCAGTAATGGGATGGCTGGGTCAAATGGTATTTCCAGTTGTAGATCCCTGAGGAATCGCCACACTGACTTCCACAATGGTTGAACTAGATTACAGTCCCACCAACAGTGTAAAAGTGTTCCTATTTCTCCACATCCTCTCCAGCACCTGTTGTTTCCTGACTTTTTAATGATTGCCATTCTAACTGGTGTGAGATGATATCTCATTGTGGTTTTGATTTGCATTTCTCTGATGGCCAGTGATGATGAGCATTTTTTCATGTGTTTTTTGGCTGCATAAATGTCTTCTTTTGAGAAGTGTCTGTTCATATCCTTCGCCCACTTTTTGATGGGGTTGTTTGTTTTTTCTTGTAAATTTGTTTGAGTTCATTGTAGATTCTGGATATTAGCCCTTTGTCAGATGAGTAGGTTGCGAAAATTTTCTCCCATTTTGTAGGTTGCCTGTTCACTCTGATGGTAGTTTCTTTTGCTGTGCAGAAGCTCTTTAGTTTAATTAGATCCCATTTGTCAATTTTGTCTTTTGTTGCCATTGCTTTTGGTGTTTTGGATATGAAGTCCTTGCCCATGCCTATGTCCTGAATGGTAATGCCTAGGTTTTCTTCTAGGGTTTTTATGGTTTTAGGTCTAATGTTTAAATCTTTAATCCATCTTGAATTGATTTTTGTATAAGGTGTAAGGAAGGGATCCAGTTTCAGCTTTCTCCATATGGCTAGCCAGTTTTCCCAGCACCGTTTATTAAATAGGGAATCCTTTCCCCACTGCTTGTTTTTCTCAGGTTTGTCAAAGATCAGATAGTTGTAGATATGTGGCATTATTTCTGAGGGCTCTGTTCTGTTCCATTGATTTATATCTCTGTTTTGGTACCAGTACCATGCTGTTTTGTTTACTGTAGCCTTGTAGTTTAGTTTGAAGTCAGGTAGTGTGATGCCTCCAGCTTTGTTCTTTTGGCTTAGGATTGCCTTGGTGATGCGGGCTCTTTTTTGGTTCCATATGAACTTTAAAGTAGTTTTTTCCAATTCTGTGAAGAAAGGCATTGGTAGCTTGATGGGGATGGCATTGAATCTGTAAATTACCTTGGGCAGTATGGCCATTTTCACGATACTGATTCTTCCTACCCATGAGCATGGAATGTTCTTCCATTTGTTTGTATCCTCTTTTATTTCCTTGAGCAGTGGTTTGTAGTTCTCCTTGAAGAGGTCCTTCACATCCCTTGTAAGTTGGATTCCTAGGTATTTTATTCTCTTTGAAGCAATTGTGAATGGGAGTTCACTCATGATTTGGCTCTCTGTTTGTCTGTTGTTGGTGTATAAGAATGCTTGTGATTTTTGTACATTGCTTTTGTATCCTGAGACTTTGCTGAAGTTGCTTATCAGCTTAAGGAGATTTTGGGCTGAGACAATGGGGTTTTCTAGATATACTATCATGTCGTCTGCAAACAGGGACAATTTGACTTCCTCTTTTCCTAATTGAATACCCTTTATTTCCTTCTCCTGCCTAATTGCCCTGGCTAGAACTTCCAACACTATGTTGAATAGGAGTGGTGAGAGAGGGCATCCCTGTCTTGTGCCAGTTTTCAAAGGGAATGCTTCCAGTTTTTGCCCATTCAGTATGATATTGGCTGTGGGTTTTTCATAGATAGCTCTTATTATTTTGAAATACATCCCATCAATACCTAATTTATTGAGAGTTTTTAGCATGAAGGGTTGTTGAATTTTGGATGACACAACTTTAATCTGAAAATCGTAATTGCCATTTTACAGATGAGGAAATGAAGCCTCAGTAAGTTCCTCCTCTGAGGTCACACCACCGTTCTGGGCTAAATTGTGACCTCCAAATATTCATGTTGAAGTCCTTCTAACACCTCAGAAAGTGACTGTTTAGAGATAGGGTCTTTAAAGAGGTGATTCATGTTAAATTAAGTCATTAGCTTGGGCTTTAATCCAATGACCAGGGTCCTCAGAAGAAGAGACGATTGGGATACAGATGCACACAGAGACTAGGTGCAACAGAGGGAGAAGAGAGCCACCTAGAAGCCCTCAGAAGAAAACAACCTGCCAACACCTTGACCTCAGACTTCTATTCTCCAGAACTGTGAGGAAATAAATTGCTGTTGTCCGAGCCACTCATTCTGAGGCACTTTGCGATGCCAGCCCTAGCAAATGAATACAGTGTCATGATCAGGATGGAGCCTGGAATGTCCCTGTCATCCAGAGCTACACACAATTCCTGGAACACACTTGCAGCCTCAACCTTAGATCTTGTACTTTCCCAAGACAGCTGGTATGAACAAAAATTGCTAGATCAAATTATTAAGTGAGCTGGCATAGATTTTTGAGTGTCCCCATCTCCTTATATCAACTTGCTCCATTTCTCCATCAGCACTCTTTCCAATTTACTGTTGGGTGAGATTTCAGGGTGACTTAATTTGGTCACCGTCTCCTCTCCCCCATTTGGCAGACGTGGGACTGTAGCTCCAAGACGCAAAATAATATTTCTGAGGTATCAGCTTGATGTCCTGTAACTTCAGTGTACTGCAGGGGAAACTGGAACTCACAGAGGTTAAGTGGCTTGTCCATGGACACCAAGCACCAAGTCTTTTGACTTTGACATCACCTCTCAGCCCTTAAAGCATAAGCAGAGACAGATTGTTCTGCAAAGAATGACACCTCCTTGCAATGACTATGAATTATACAATATTTCTATATTAAAATGATTCTGTGCTCTTTAGAGAGAGGATGGAATTGATATTGAGTGATGAATGAACCCCTGCCAGATCCTAGTGATGTAAATGAGCTAGGTTTTAATATGCCAAAGAATACAGCAAAAGAACTGACAATCACATCCCCACAATGGGAGGGACCAGTGTTGGGGCAGGAGTCTAAGTGCGTTTGTTTCAGAAGCAGCTCAGCTTCTGAGTAGCATTTGAATGAGTTTGGTGGCTTTCTTTGTTTCACTTTTAATACATCATTTTGATGATTTTCATTGGCATAAAAAGTCAGTGACGATTGGAGTCAAATAGCCTGGGGTTATTCTAATTGTGTAACCTTGGGCAAATACTTGAATCTCACTGGGACTTAATTTTCTCTTCAATAAAATGGGAATAGCAAAAGTAATTACACTAGAGGTTTGTTGAGACAATTAAGCATGTTAGTGCCTAGTACAGCATTTGAGATACCATACTTGATCCATTGATTTTAATTCCCCCTGCCCTAAACATCAATTTTTCTATCTACACAACATGCATAACACTTCAATTGTTTAACTCTCGAAACAGTTGTCAGGGTTAAGTTGGGTGACGTATGTGTAGGCAACTAAAGGGTTTTAAACTGTTATACACATATAAGGTTATAGCAGTTATTTTTTTCAGCAATTGTGTTCCAGAATTTGGCACATGAAAGTTGTTCAGTAAATGCTGATTGAATTGAATTATGATAAATTGAACTCCCCTGCAAAAAATGTTATGATTTTATTGACCCAAGAAATGCACAAGTATTTTTCTGAATCAAAATGCTAAAGTTATTGGCAATTTGTATATTAAAGAAAGGAAGAAAAACAACCTGCATATGGACTTAATGTTACTATACCTACTAGAAATGACCAATTAACAATTTTTCCATAAAATGTACAACTACAGATTGTCTGCAGAGCCACCATTTCCTGACATACGAATCATTGTACGGTCAAGGTTAAGTAAATAATTTTCATTTTCAAGATTATGTTGCTTTCAACAAAATTGCAACCATTTTAAGGAAAGCACACAGAAGACCATTTTTAAATGTTTCTGAAGGTGATGACAGAATGGCCTACAAGAGTTCCTGGCACAGATTCTAATCATTTCCCCCATGAGATAGCACAGTAGTCAGATGAAAAACTGTGGCGGGTCTTAACTTTCAAAGTTAAAAAAAAAAAAAGAGTAAAAACACGAAGGTTGCTTCTGTCCCAGATTAAGCAACATAATGGTAGAGAAATATCAGTTGCACTTTCCAAGATTCCTGGAAGAGCAAAATAACTTGGCCATATAGATGTGTTACCTGTTTTACAGACTCTCAGTTCTTTTGCAAAATCCTTACACATGTAGATCAGATTATGGCTTATAACGGAATTTCGAAGATTAACGCATTTTATTCTTACACTAACAATGAAATGTTTCCATTTTCATTTGACAACTGAGAAAACTAAAGCCCAGAAATGTTTCTATGTGATGGATTAGACGTTCAAGCATATGTTTTTAATTTCCAAGCTCATGCTCTTTATGAGCTTGGGAATTAAAAAATTTATGATGCCATTATGCTACCAAAGAAGTCAATTAATATATAGTGTCTTATGCTTCCCACCCTTGGGTCTTTTCTCATGGGGCTCCTAACTTTGGGAAGAGAATTAAGCCTGAGGTAATGATTAGCATTCTGGTAAGTAATTAAGATCCAGGGACCAAGATTTTGGAAGATGGACTCTCTGACTTTTCTAAGAAAGCTGTTGTCCAATTGAAGTAATATTTTGTATTCTTCTATGAAGACATCATTAAGTTAAATTCATGTCAACAACTTTTTTTAAGACGTGGAGGCAAAGGGCAAGGCATTTTTACTTGTGTGTCTACTATGATCCCAGAGTGTGCTCGATATTAAGAGCATAGCAAAGAGAAAGGGACCTAGACTTAGACCTTGTCTGAACCCATTAAAGTCTGGATGAGGAGACTTGATTCTGGGCAGGAATCATCTCTGGAGTTTAAGGGGCAATAAAGCAAAACGCAGTAAAACGAAATGAAAAAAAAGCATATATTTTTAGCCCTCCTTTGACGATGTGAATTACTAGGTCTGGAGGAAGGTGCAGACATCTGTATTATTTAAATACAGATGTGTCCCCAGGGACACAAAGGATGACCAAGCTTGGTAAATGCTAGACAATTAAAAAGAACATGGATTCTGAGCTTGGGTTCTAGTTCTGTTTCAGCCTGGGTTTCCTAGAAAGCTGAGCCTGAGACAAAGCTTACGTGTGAGGGCATTATTGGGACATGTGGTCTGAGGAAGCAGACAAGATAGACAAGAGTGAAGCAGAGAACGAAGGAGGAGCCAGTAGAAGATGCTCATGGGATGCTGACCACTGGCATGGGAACTGGTTGCCCAATCCTGTATGACAATCTGAGAAGTCACATGGAATGAACCTTGGGACCACGTTCCTGGGAAAGAAAGGAGCAACCCTTTTGAGGGCCAGCTCCACGCACTTTCATCAAAGTTACCCACAGCCTCATGGCCAGGTCACACAGGCAGGGCACCCCTAGACCACAGAGATGCCTGGGATAGAGGAGAAACTATCCAGTTTAGGCCTGATAGAGGTGCCATCAGTCTGCACCACCTTGAAGCTGGTCTGTGTGTATGCAGAACTGGTAACTGAGGCAGCTGCAGAAATGAAAAAGGATTAGAAGCAGTGCCTAATGGGTGCCTAATAAAAACCTCACCTTGTATGCCTTCTCTGTGGCCGTAGACTTCTTACCTAAACCTACTCAGCCTCAGTTACTGTAGGGTCAAACTAAGATTATACATACTTTCCAGGCAGGGTTGTTGAGTGGGTTAATCAGATATCACTTAGCTTAGCACAATGTCCAGCAAACACACGAGGAATGGAAAAATGTGACCTTGCTTTCCTTTCCTTCTCCTTCCAAACACGCAGAGTTTTAAGTCTCTCTATGCAGTATGGCCTCCTCCAGTTCCCCACGGGGATCCTCTGTAAGATTCTCTCACTTCATCCATTGAAGAGAGAACATAAAACTCCAGATTTATCACAAGATGAAAGAGAGGCCCACAATCTGGAGCCAACAGCAACACAAAAAGTCACTGTGTTTGTTCTGCAGAGCAGACAGAGAGGCTTGATCTTCAAATAGTTTTTTTTCTTCAATCAGAAAGAAACAACACAGGATAAAAGCTGATTTTTTAAAAACATAAAGTGTTAGATCAAGTCTCAAATTTGTATACTCAAAGAAGAAAGATTAAAAAGACTCCCAGATGCTATGAGGGCCTCTGGTGCAAGATAGATACATACATACATTAATTTTAGTTTCTATACATTTCAGATTGGGATGACAGTAAGTTTGCAGATAGCCATACACAGGTGGATATAGAAGCTTCTTGAGTTCAGAAATAAAGTCATGCTCTGAGTGCGAAAACAAATGTGTATTACCACTCAGACAGGGAAAATGATTAGCCAGCCACGGATGTGTTCCAAAGATTCACTGAATAAAGGGGAGAAATAGGCAAGTCACCAGGGAGAGTAGGGGCAATCTCAGGCAGGCAGAGCTTTGATGTAACCCATTTATTCATTGAACCAAATCAGTGAGCCCATTGTTTCCAGCCATTTGCTAGGAGCTGGGGACACAGGTGAACCGGGTTGTGCCCATTGCCTTCCCAGATGACTGCTATGGTACCGACGTGGACAAGATGCTCGAGGATGTAGATGAAAGACCTTTATCTTATAGAGGTCAGGCAAGGCCTTGAGAGGAGGTGACATTGGAACTCAGTTGGAATGTTCTGGTATTTGCCTGGCACTGTGGGAGGGGAACGGGCTCATTCTATAAGCCCTTTTAAGAAGTTAAAAAGAAAAATCTCAAAGGGCTAAATTTAATTATTTGTATACTCCAGCCTGAAATGTTGGCTCTTATCCATTGAACAACAGATTTTTGAATCAGAAAAACCTACCTTCAGTCCCTTGCTGGTCTACTTCCTATTTGCCATCTCTATGCCTGTATCACACACAAAAAATTTGGAGCTCTGGAAGTTGAAATAACTTGCTCAAAATCAACCTCCCTGGATAGGTTTGAAGACGTAAAAAGCTAGGAGACATGAAGCCTTCCCCAAGACCTGTCGTGTGGTAAAGTCTCAGTATGTGGGACTGTTATTTTGTGTGAGGATGGATGAGGGTGAGCTCCACTGAACCCTGGCCAAGGTGTGCCCTGCAAATAACCCCTCTGCCCTGTGCATCCAGCAGTCAAAAAAAGGGAAGGTCTGGACAAGGGAAGATGAGATTTCTGGTCTTGAGGGAAGGAGGTTCCAGTGAAAGGATAAAGATGGTTTATTCTGGGTCTTCAGGACTATAGCAAACCACCCATTCCCACTCTCCTTTGTCTCTGCTCCCACTAAGCTTACACACCCAGCTTCTCGGGGCTCTTGGTTTCAGGAAAAGCAGAGCTCCGCTCCATGATAGCCCCACAAAAGCGTCCTTACTGAATGCGGCTCCCAGCCCACCATACCATCACTCTTTTTGGTTGCCATGTGTATTTTTTCTTCATGGTATTTAAGCCTCTTTAATATAATATTTTGTTTTTAATTTGTTCTTTTCATATGCCTTCCCACTAAAATGTAAGTTCTAGGAAGGCAAAAGCTTGTTTCCCTCCTGTTTTCCAAAACGTAATATGTTCTTAAAAATAACTATTGAATGGATGTGTGAATGAATGATCAATGAACTGAAGAGTACCATTAACTTGGAAGGGAAAACCCCAAAGGGTCAGCCCCTGTTTTGTCTTATTTATTTTACTGATTTTTACAAAGTTCATTTCATGTATTTCAGTCTCAAACTTGGTTAGTCTCTGACACTTCTCTCCTCCTACATCTCCACAGATAAGAAAACATTCTGTTGCCTCATTATTTCTGTTTTGTAATTACTTGTTCACATCTCCCTGTCTCTGCTGCTGGAATAATTGCTAAGCTGAGGCACCGTCATAACACGTGGACTGCTCTCTCTCTCCTTCGCGTTGGTCTTCACTGGTCTCCGTGCTGTAATCAGAAACATCTTTCAAAAACGAAGACCTGACTGTGCCAACCTATTCAAACTCTTTACATGTTTTAGAAATTTTAAGATCTTCAACTTTTCCAGTTTCATTTTGTTCTTTGCATGTGTACCTTGGGCTCCGGCAGAAATGAACTCCTCACAGCTCTCTGCAGCTTCTCTCTAAGCAATGGTGTATGCATTGCATTGATTGCTGACTTCTATCTAGTTGTCTGTACCCTGTCTGATCCTTAAGCTTCTTGAACCCAAAGACTACACCTGTGAATTACACTGTATATCTACACCTACCAGAATCCTCAGCCCATGTAGGTGTCAATAAATATGTAAACAACACAGCTATTTTACCAATCTCTCATTTGTTTGGTTAGAAAATTCCAGTCTTCTTGAAAATGATCACCTGAGAAAACAGTTTCCAAATGTAAATATTGAGGAGCTGACACTAAACCTTTGATGATCCCTCTAAGGTATAAGCACTTGGTAGAAATATTTCTAGTTGGTTATCAGTCTCCTTTTGGCCATTTCTGTCTCTCTCCTCTCTAACATCAATATGTATTACAACAAGAAAACCAACCAGGAAAAGATCTACAGCTCAATAGAATGGTCTAAATGATGTGTTTCCCCTTTAACTGAAAAAAAGGAAAACAAAACATTCAATTCTGCACTCTCCGTCAGTTCATCTGTTTCTTACAGGCCATCATGGTGACAGCTACCAAAAAGGTTGGCCATGAACAACACCTCCTGCTGCCCGGGAAAGACACATCGGTACGTGTCTGTGTCTAGAAACAGACAGGAGTTTAAGATAAAGCATATTTATCAAAAGTGCCATGCAGCACAACAGATTGAGTGCCTACAAACAGGTTGAACATGTACTTGTGTTTATTTTAAAGAATAGAAAAAGACCAAATGCTTCATTAATTGGTGGACTTGAGGATGTACATAAGAGATACATGGAAGAAAGTAAAAACTGAGACTCAGTGGTAAGAAGAAAATTAATAACAACAACAATAAAAGATATGTTGCTCTGGGCTAAAACTGACGGAATTTTGTAGCAGTAAGGCACCTTGCAGATCACTGGATTCCAGGTGCAGGCTTTTGTAGATGTGAATAAGGAAACCCGGAGAAGTGAAGTCAGTTATCTAAGGTAGCATGGCAGGATGAGAAGGAAAACAGCTTAGAACCCAGCTTAGCCCACACAAATCAATCTTGATTTAGCTGCCTTTCTGGACCAATAGCCTCATTGTACATGAAACCTCATTAACGCTCTCAAGGTCAACTAGTGGCGGCAGTCCAGATCTGGGCATCGAACCCCATTTTGGGTATTCTCCCAACAATTTCCTCTCCATATAATTTTTTCTTTTGTAGATCGAAGTACTTGATGTCTGGACCATGAACAAAGCACAATCAACTTTGCATGATCTACTCTAGAAAGGAAAAGGAAAGAGCATGGACTTGACAGTCCACTTGGATTTAAATTCCAATTCTGCCAAATACTGCCTATAAAACATGGGGCATGTTAGCCTCTTAAATTCAGTTATTGATTTCTTTTTCTGTACAATGATGGGAATAATCTTTACCACGAAGGGCCGTTTGTAAGATTGAAATGAAACTGTGTCTTTTGACTTTGGCACAGTACTTGCACATACCATTTTTCACATAGTGTGCATACCAATTTTTCTCAGCAAACAAAGGGAATGAGACTTAGGGTAATGCACTGTTTTGAAATGTACCTTTGGCTACTACTTTAACATTACCCAGTGACAGGTAGTTGCCAATTTTAAAATGATTAGAATTTATGCCACCAAATAAATACATTAAAAAATTCATAGGTAGCATTTAAAAGTGAATCTGGCAAAATGTGTTACTCTGAACAGAACATAGTGTGAAATCTCAGCAGAGTAAAATGTCAAAGCTCCTCAAGGAGCTACAGGACTTTGTAGGAAAAGCTCAAAATCATATGTATTATACTGTAAATATATGGTATCCACTCACACACATATGTATGTGTGTGCATGCAATTTTATATGTATGTGTGCATATGTAGTACATATATATATATGTAGCTTTCATGTTTAAATGAACTGATTACATTTAAAGCTAACTTTTGCGAAGGAAGTTAGCATCTGAGGGATTTTATTTCCGTATCCTGTAGGATGATCTTGGGACAATTGAACATAATTTATTTCTTTCTCACTTTCTCAGAAGGTGGTTATGGTGAACAATTGGAAATCACAAAAGATCACATTACAGTTCTTGCCCCATATCTTCATAAAGTTTTGTTTTTCGTTTTTTTGAGACAGAGTTTTGCTCTTGTCACCCAGGCTGGAGTGCAGTGACATGATCTCGGCTCACTGCAACCTCACTCCCAGATTCAAGTGATTCTCCTGCCTTAGCCTCCTGAGTAGCTAGGATTACAGGTGCCCACCATGCCCAGCTATTTTTTGTATTTTTTAGTAGAAATGGGGTTTTGCCATGTTGGTCAGGCTGGCCTCAAACTCCTGACTTCAGGTGATCCACCCGCCTTGGACTCCCGAAGCGCTGGGATTACAGGCAGGAGTCACCGCGCCCAGCATTAATAAACTTTAAACTCAGACCTGCCACTTACACTCTCCCTTTCTCAGTTTGCTCATTTGTGAAATGGGGTAATCATGGTTCTTCTCATTTCCCCAATTCCAGCCTTATTTTAAAGGTTAAGTAAAATGCCTAAAATTCAGGCATGAAACACCAAATATGTGTTGATTCATTCTTTTTTTCAAGCTCTGGAGTATAGTGAGGGATAGGACAGCCCTGGCCTGGCCCCATCCTCACAGGACTCACAGGATCATGAAGGATGCAGTGAATGAGGAGCTGGGTGCCATGCGAGGACCTGGGTAGGCTGTGAGGGGTGGAGAGAGGACTCAGGCATTCTCAGGAAGGTCAGCAGAGGCTTTCCAGGAGAGACACTAAGTACATTCCTAAGGTATGAATGGAAGCAACCAACTTAAAAGGAGGTTACAGGTCAGAAGAGGGGTGGTGAGGGTTCCCAGCAGAGAAGAAGTTTGGCACATATAGAAAAAAGGCAAGTTGTCCTTGCACAGACATATTTATAGCAACACAATTTGCAATTGCAAAAATGTGGGACCAACCCAAATGCCCATCAGTCAACAAGTGGATAAAGAACTGTGGTATATAGATATAAAATGGAATACGACTCAGTCATACAAAGGAATGGATTAATGGCATGGGCAGCAACCTGGATGAGAGTGGAGACGATTATTCTAAGTGAAGTAACTCAGGAATGGAAAACCAAACATCGTATGTACTCACCCATAAGTGGGAGCTAGGCTATGTGGATTTAAAGGCATAAGAATGACACAATGGACTTTGGGGACTCAGGGGGAAAGAGTGTGAAGAGGATGAGGGATAAAAGACTACAAATTGAGTGCAGTGTGTACTGCTCGGGTGATGGGTGCAACAAAATCTCACAAATCAGCACTGAAGAATTTACTCATGTAACAAAACACTACTTGTTCCCCAATAACCTATGGAAATAAAAAAAGAAAAAAAGAAGAAGAAAGGCAAGTTGTTACTTGTCCGGGGAAGGGAAAGACATCTGGCCCTTTTGGATCATGGACTTCAAGGGGAGAAAGTACAAGAGGGAGGTAGGATCAGACTGTACCTGTTCTTATAAGCCACCTTTCATTTAGACTTCGAGATCAGACAGAGGCCTTTGAAATATGTTAAACAAGTTATTATTATGACTGGAATTCATTTAGCAACTTAAAAAAATTCAGTGTTTTTTTTAGAGATGGAAGTATGGCCATTTTGCTCAGGCTGGTCTCAAACTCCTGGGCTCAAGCGATCCTCGTGCCTTGGCCTCCCAAACTGCGGGGATGTGAGTCATTTGGCAACTTAAATGCTAGGAGTTCCCTGTGTCAGGAACAATGTGGCTCTCACAAATGGTAGCTTCTGTTTCTGTTCCTTGGTCCCTTCTCTTGCCCCATCCCCAACCTCTACACCTCTTCTCCATTTTCACAGTTTTGTGAACAGCTTCATCCTCTCCATACCCTTGATATTGGTTCTGCCTTCAAGAGAAGACACTTGAGACTTCTGTGTCTGGAGTCAAAGCTGTTCTCCAAAGGCTAAAAACCTTATTAGGAAGAAGTTTTAGAAGCAGCTCCATCTTTTCCTTGACTTAGAGCTGCTGCACCCACTGTGATGGCTGCTACATGATACATAGAATTGAAGGTTAAAAGCGTTCTAGAAGTCACAGCATTTCCATGGCCATCTCCTCTCCTGTGCCTCATGGAGAAGGACTGAACTATGGCCATTTATTTATTTATTTATTTGTTTATTTATTCATTTATGTTTTAGAGACAAGGTCTGTCTCTGTCACCTAAGCTGGAGTGCTGTGATGCCATTATAGCTCACTGCAGCCTCAAATTCCCAGGCCCAAGGATCCTCCCACCTCAGCCTCCCAAGTACCTGGGACTAGAGGCTTGTTCTGCCATACCTTGCTAACTTTTTAATTTTTTTTTTTTTTTTGCAGAGACAGGATCTTGCTCTGTTGCACAGGCTGGCCTCTAACTCCTGGCCTTAATTGGTCCTCCCACCTCAGCCCCCTGAGTCACTGGGATTAGAGGTGTGAGCCACTACACTCAGCTCTTATAGCCATCATTTTAACCCAAGTTCCATTTATAACAATGCCTGGTCCAAGATGAATACTCCTTAAATGTAGAAACAAACAACAGATGAGGAAACGGAGGCCCAAAACGTGAGTTAGAACCATGGCTTCCTGACTCCCAGTTCTCTGTTTTCGTTAAGAAAATACTTGGGCCACCCTTAATTACAGGGCAGGAGTGTACTTCTTCCCCACTCCAGAAGTTCTATTCCACAGGCTGAAAGCACCACGAGGCTAATGCTCTGGCTCCTCTCTGCTCCCTCACTCTCTCACCTCCTGGTGGGCAGGAATGACATCATTCCACAGCAGAGTTGAGAAGCTCCGAGTTTAGAGGAAGAAACAGGGCAAGTCCTGCCTAGTCAAGCCCAGACCCTTGTTCTCCCCTCATCAGTAGGTTCTCTGCTCAGTGCCTTGATCTCTCCATAGAGTAAACATTGCAGTTAGGGCCTGCTCCTCCCTGGGGTGGCCTGTGGGTCTCCACCCTTTCCATCCTCTTCTTCTTCTCCCTCTTGGACTGAGTTCCTGCAGGGAGCACACATTTATTTTTTAGTCCATATTCAGGTGCAGCAGCCTCTGCCCTGCCCAGGAAAGCTGCTCTGGCCCAAAATGACCTATGACTGCTGGATGAGTCTGGCTGATTCTGATTGTTCAGATATAAGTGACATTTCCCAAGACAATCTTTACTTGCAATAAGGCAGAATTTTTTTTCTCCCATCTTCCTTAAGTCTTGTTTATAGCTCTACCTGTTCAAGACTCAAGCTCCACAAGTTGATGCTATTTGGACCCCCTCAGAAAACCCTGAAAAGCAAATTCCCCCTGGCATCTGAGGGGCTCTGTTCAATGGGACATGTGGGATGTCACGTCAGTATGGCCCCGTGCATGCCTCGCTGACAGTGCTGGCATGCGTGGAGACACATTCGCATGACATCTTTCCTGGGCTGATCAGGGTTAGCTGCACATCAGGATTTGCAAGAACTACAGACTAGCAAAGGACCAAGATCACCTGGCCCTGGGAATTTCCAGAATGGATCCAGCAAAAGCCTTGCAAATTATGAATAGGACCAGCCCCCCACTACTGGTGCTGGAGTTTGTAGATAAAACCCAGGAAGGGCTCAGCTGTGTTAAAACAGATGTGTCTCATGACTTGCAAAGGAGCTCCCAGGCTGAAGTATTGTGTACTGAGATTTGTCAGGCTGCCTGGCCCGCTGACCAGAGGGTTTGGAAGGCAGCTGGGCCACTTAGAAAATCTATTGCCTTACATTTGACAACGTAGGAAGAGAGCATCTCATCTCTCTTGTAGGGTGTGAGGGTCAGTATCCAGGACACTGCTTTTGCACTAGTGGCCAAAATTTAAATCATGTAAAACACTCCAATTTCTTTCCCCACAATGTTAGAGTGTTAAAGTTAGGGAATAGCATTTCTTATACAATGGCAAAGTAAAATTAAAACTTATACTATAAAATATTGGTTTTAAAGTGATGCATGTTTGACAATTAAAAAGAGAATTACAGACAGGCTGTTATGCGCACCAATATATTTCAAAGAGCATCTGACTTTTGAATTCCTCTGCATCCTGAACATTCATTGAAGGAATACGTAACATTACTTTCTGACAAAAAAATGAAATAACCTTAATTATACAAAATGTGTAAAATGAAAGCATACACAAGAAACTAAAAATCAGCCTTAATTCCATCATCAGAGTCAACTACTTTTAATCAGAGAATACTGTATTTTGTAACCTGCCTTTTATCATCCAAAAACTAAATTGTAAACAAATTTGGATATCCTCAGATAGTTTTAAAACACTATTGTCAATGGCTGAATAGAATTACATTGTGTGGCTGAAAAGTGTATATACTGTTGGTCACACAAACTAACCCTGATACAATGTGGAAGAGGCATACAGCATCATTAACATACAGTGAGATTATTAGTGGGGCTTCTTTGAGGATTGCTACCAGAAGCCCCCAATTGACTATGGTTAGGAAGCATGCAGGGAAAGCTGTATATACCCCAAGAAGGCGTTTGTGTCCAATGCTCCCTTAGATATGTCCAAACCTCATACATGTTAGAATGGCTACTATTTTTGTTTTTTGACGGAGTTTCACTCTTGTTGCCCAGGCTGGAGTGCAATGGTATGATTTTGGCTGACTGCAACCTCCGCTTCCTGGGTTGAAGTGATTCTCCTGCCTCAGCCTCCTGAGTAGCTGGGATTACAGGCATGTGCCACCATGCCTGGCTAATTTTGTATTTTTGGTAGAGACAGGGTTTCTCCATGTTGGTCAGGCTGGTCTCGAACTTCTGACCTCAGGTGATCCACCCGCCTTGGCCTCCCAAAATGCTGGGATTACAGATGTGAGCCACTGTGCCAAGCCTAGAATGGCTACTATTAAAAAGGCAAAAGGTAAGTGTGGGAGAGGATGTTGAGAAAAGGGAACCCTTGCACACAGTTGGTCTGAATGTAAAGTAGTACAACCATTATGGAACACAGTATGGAGGTTCCTCAAAAAATTAAAAAGAGAGCCACCATATGTTCCAGTAGTCTCATTACTGGGTATTTATCCAAAGGAAATGAAATCAGTATGTCAAAGAGATACCTGCACTCCCATGTTCATTGCAGCAAAATTCACGATAGCTAAGATATGAAATCAACCTAAGTGTCTCAACAGATAGATAGATAAGAAAAATGTGGTGTGTGTGTGTATATATATATATATATATATGTGTGTGTGTGTGTGTATATTATATATATATGTGTGTGTATATATATATGTGTGCATATATATATACACATATATATATACACACACACAATGGAGTACTATTCAGCCTTAAACAACAAGGAAACTTTGTCACTTGTGACAACATGGATAAACATGGAGGAAATTATGTTAAGCGAAGTAAGGCAGTTGCAGAAAGACAAAATACCAAAAGATCTCACTTATATGTGGAATCTAAAAGAGTTGTATTAGTCAGTTCTCATGCTGCTAATACAAGACATACCCAAGACTGAGTGATATACAGGAAAGACGTTTAAGGGACTCACAGTTCCACTGGTCGGGAGGCCTCACAATCATGGTGGAACGCAAGGAAAGAGCAAAGGCATGTCTTACACGGTGGCAGACAAGAGTGTGTGCAAGGGAACTGCCCTTTTTAAAACCATCAGATCTCGTGAGACTTATTCATTATCACGAAAACAGCACAGGAAAGACCCAGCCCCATGATTCATTTGCCTCCCACCAGATTCCTCCCACAATATGTGGAGATTATGCAAGCTACAATTCAAGATGAGCTTTGGGTGGGGACACAGCCAAACCATATCGAGGGTTGAACTCATAGAATTAGAGAGTAGAATGGTGGTTATCAGAGGTTTACAGGGATGTGGAGTAGTTGAGATGATGTTGGTCAAAAGATACAAAATTTTACTTAGCAAAATTTTAATTAGCTAAATTTAGCCATTCCACATGTATACATATTTCAAAACAACTTGTATACCATAGCAGTTTTTATTTGTGAATTAAAATTTTTACAAAAATTATAATGGGAAGAAAACACATTGCAAAGATTGGATTCAAGGGCCAGAAGAACAGTGGGCTGGGGAGCTACTCCCAGGGAGAACCAGGGACTGATCAAGGAGCCTTTCCCGTCCCAGGACAGTGGATGATCACTGTTTGCCCAGGAGAATTTCAAAATTGTTATTGCCTGGTGACTGCTCTGTTTCTTCTTATTTTCCCCTTTACAAATGAGGGTGTTGATTGTGGTTATCCTGTCCCTTTCCATCCAGCACATTTTGGGTGTGTGGAGAAATATCATCTATCATTTTAGTTTATAGGTCTCTGGATAAGAGGAGCCACCTTCAGATCTGAGGTGGAAACCATTGTAAGATGGACCTTGAGCCTGGTAATATTTTTAGATGAGACATTGTTTGGGTATTTTGTTTCTGAACGGAAGGGAAGTGAGTATTTGTGTCTGAAAGGGTGGACTGCAATATTAATATAGTTTGACTATGTCCCCACCCAAATCTCATGTTGAGTTATAATCCCCATAATCCCCACTTGTTGAGGGAGGGACCCAGTGGGAGGTGATTGGATCATGGAGCGGTTTTCCCCCATGCTGTTCTCGTGATAGTGAGCAGGTTTCCACGAGATCTGACAGTTTTATAAGGCAGTTTTCCTTGCTCTTGCTAGCTCTCTGTTTCTTACCACCATGTGAAGGAGGTCTTTGCTTCCCCTTCACCTTCTGCTATGATTTATAAATTTCCTGAGGCCTCCCCAGCCATGCAGAACTGTGAGTCAATTAAACCTCTTTTCTTTATAAATTATCCAGTCTTGGGCAGTTTTTTATAGCAGTGTGAAAACAGACGAATATAAGTATATTTCACTGTTGCTTAAAAAGTAGTAACTTCCCCTTTCCTACCTTCCTGGAAAGAGTATATTTTGGTTGCACCAAAAGATTTGTACTCTTTTGTACAGAGGACCATGTCACATGGCCAAGCCCAGTGGTTGTTGGGCTTGGTCATGTGACATGGTTTGGCCAATGGAATGGGAAGAAGTGTGGATGTGCCCTTTCTAAGCAGAAGCTAAGACAGTCACTGCAAGTTTCCCCCAGGTCCACCAGGACTCTTGCACTCCTGCCCTCTACCTTAAGAATGTCACAGTCTTTCTCCTTGTGAGTCCTAGAATGAGTAGATAGGGTAGGCCATCCTGAATGAACCCATTGCTTAGAGCAGAACCCAAGCACCTGATATGAATGTGAACCAAACACTAGTTGTTGTAAGTCACTGAAACATTTAGGTCATTTCTCACATGACATCACCACAGTGCAACTTAGAGAATACAAAGAGAAGACATTTAGAATGGTGGGTAGGTTGAAATAGATTTTGGAGGACCTTGACTAGTTATCTGAAGAATTGTTTAATTTGTGTATGATCGAGAAACTACTTATTAGTTTTTATTGCAGCAAAATATGCAAAACATAAATTTCTCCATTTTAGCATTAAGTATTCAGTCCAGTGGCATTAAGTACATTCACCTTGCTATGTAACCATCACTGCTATCCATCTCCATAACACTCTCATTATCCCAATGGAAAGACTATACCCATTAAATAATCGTTGAATATTTTTGTAGAAAGGAAGACCTGTTTTTACATTTTTGAGCAACCAACACTTTATAATGTGTGCTAAGACAAATGATCACAATATTTTCATTGATGTTTTCCCTTTCTACATTTCCTGTGGCCCTGATTCAAACTGTGGAAAAGCCATCAGCAATGCCTCACATCAAGGAATTTCTTACTAATATAAAAACAGAAATTCCCAGACATTAATGTCACTTTCTGTTTTTTTGTAAAGGTCTAGGCTCATTGGGAACCATCTTTGTGGAAAAGAGGGGGCAGAAATAGTGAAGCTCCCGGGGCAAGGAGTGAAGGTGGGGAAGAGAAAGGCAGAGAAGAAAAAGGCAGAACAAGGGAAGTGAGAAAGTGATTGTGTGAGTTTGAAAGGAGGTAGCTGCCCTCTGGATGAAGAGCACTGGCACCTTCCCTTATTATGGTCCGCTCTGTTCTGCCACAGACCCCTGGATGGCCAGCAAAGCCATCAGACTTCCAGGAGCCACAGTGCTGGAGGTAATGAGGGTGTCACAGTGGCCAGGACAGCATGAAGGTCAGAGGCCCTGGCTCTTTCTTCTAATTGACATTTAAACCTCCAGACATCTGGAACCCACCCTGCAGATGATGAGGTTCAACATAGACTGAGATTAGATTTCCCACCAAGCTAGGGGGAGGCGTCATATTTAATTTGATTTAAATAAGGTAGGGCTGTACATCTGACTTTGTGGATAACATTTTCACCTCTTTTGGATGCATTACATCTTTTTTCTGAGGTTGGTGTTATGAATCTCACTTTTTTCACAAAAGCAGAGAGTAAAGCTGAAGGGGCTAGGGCAACTTAAGCAAAGCCATTTTTTTCTTCTACATAGCATGGTTATAATTAGAACCCAGCCCAACTGGTAAATGCTAACATCTAGCTTTCCAGAACCTCATCCGAAGAGTTCTTCAGGGCATAAATGCCTATTGTAGGGTTATTATCTAAAGGACATTAGAAGAGAACCAGATGATTATTAATCTGCAGAAGAGCCCTGTCTCCTCCTTTATATATTTGCCAATATCAATTGCCCAGGAATCTAGAGATGAATTATTCTTTGTTCTAAAGTCTTTCTTCAATCACTACCAGCCAGTGACTTATAAATATAAAACACGTTGACTAAGAATAATTATAGAAAAATATATTACAGAGCATGACAATAAAAGCAACAACAACTGACACACTAAGTTCAGAGGTAAAGAGAAAAAATAATAAAAATTTTTTAAACAGATCAAACAGTTGAACATTCATATAATTGAAAAATAACTTTATGTGTTAAATTTTAAGATAGAAAAACAAACATTTGGCAAATTTAATCAAGAAAATATTATAAACAAACTGGAGGCTGGAAGAGTAATACAACAAACATATGATTCACTATTGTAAAAAAAAAATGTGTACTAAGCTATCTTAAAAATGTACTGCTGAGTTTAGCACATTGTACTATAATTGCCAGTTTATTTGCCCATCTCTTCAATACTAAGTTTTTGAAGGCGGAGTCTCTGTAGTCCTTGTCTTTGTTACCCCAAGTACCATGACCAAACACAATAAAACTAAATAAAAACCCATGTAGTTCTAGCAGTTGGGGGCTTTCAATAAATAATAATGAGTGTGTTATTTTTTCAAAATGTATATATCTCAAAGTAACTGAAGAAAATGGAAACATAAATAGGACAAGAACAAAGAAGCAACTAAAAAGTTATAGAAAATTGTTCCTATTGTATGATTTATGAGTTATTTAAGACTTAAAAGGAGAAACATATGTTATTTTTGAAGGCACACAAAGTGAACTCAATTCATATTATAAAACTAATATAATTTAGAATTAAATAATAATTTTAAAAATGTCTCTTAGATTGATGCTAAATGAAAGACACATTGCAGAGCTAAGTCAGGGTCTTTACATATAAAAAGTCTGAGCTTTAAATACAGCTTCTACTTTTTACTAAGCATAAGGTCTAATGTGAGTTTCTGAGTTCCTGTCAGAACTCAGATTCTGCATTCATAATGTAGCAATGACATTGTTTTTGTTCAGCTGATTTTCCTAGGTAGCAACCTAGTCCATCACAAATGATAACGTTGCCTTATTTAAAATAGGCATCATTTTATTGTTTCGTGGTTTATTCCATTAGCTGGAAATTATAGGATGTGTTTATATTCTATGTCAGTGTTCGATACTATAGACCATAAACTGTTGCTGTTTGCTGTTAAGTACCTGACAAGTCTGATGGGGTGGGCATTTATTACCTGCCTACGCCAACAGTTAGTCACTTCATTAGCTAACTAGACCTCCAGTTTCTTCATCTATAAAGGAAAGTGGAAGAACTAAATCAATTTCTATACAGCATTCAATTTCAAAATAGTTTGGAAAATATAAGTAGAGTTTGGACCTTAAAGCGATACTTTTGTCATCTTTCAGAGGAAATCATTTTTATATTCAAAATTACAGATGTATTCAGTGAGAGAAATTGGCCTAGAATGCACATCTCATGAATTCAATGTTTTGTACCTTCTACCAGAATAGTAGTTCCTTCTAAACATTTGAATGGCTTAGGTCCCTTTAAAAATATAATGAAATCTGTTGACCTTTTCTCTGTGAGTGGGGAAGAATATACAAATTTATATATGTATGTTATATATGTTTATATATACAATTTATATATAATATATAATATTTATATATTATATATAATATATATACAATATATAAATTGTATATATAAATATATAATAAAGTATATAAAATTATATGTATTAAAATCATATGCAGATTTTATTTCCACTTGTGTTTCTATATGTAGATGTGCATGAATTTATATACATATTTATAATATATATTTTATATATTATATGAATTTATATATATGTATATAAATTCATGCACATCTCCATATAGACAAACAAATGGAAATAAAATCTGCATCTGATTCCTGGGAATCCCCACATGTCTGAATCCTGTCCTTGGAAGTCCAACACCATAGGTTAGGAGCCTTTGTCCTAGGCCTTTGTGGGTTTGACAAAATATAAAAGCAGTTCTGAAATTTTAGAAATATTTTTTCAAAATTACTTCCAATATTTTAGTGTTGAAAGAATTTAAAAAGAATGGTTGCGGATATTTTTCTTACAAAACTGGTATGATATCTTCTGAGTAGGACATCCCTCTCCCACACTCTATCCTTCCCAGAGTTTGGGTGAAGTGAGAGGGTTTGTTGAAGGCCACATGCTTTATATCCTATACAGGATCCCGTCAATTCAAGGACAATCATTATTATATCCTTCATACTGCGAATGGTGGACCTGGAAGTGACTTCAGATCTCCTCTAGTTCAGATCCCTTACTTGGCTAATAAAGGAAAGTGAGGCCAAACAAAGGGAAGACATGTGCTCAAGGCCGCACAATTCATCTTAGTCTTTCCCAGTTAACTAGCTTCAGACTCTTTGGGAAATGTTGAATTAATATTCTTATGATTTATTAAGAGCATTAAACTCCAGTATTGTTTCTTATAACCTATTCTGCTGCAGAGATAATGCAGTAATTATCCTGCATTGGAGTATACTTGTTGTGCTTGGAGTATACTTGTTTTGCAGTTTTTTGCTTTTATTTGGTAGAATGCATAACAGCACCACAAAATGATTACTTCTTCAAAACTTTTTCCAGTGTTCAATACCTGTGATTCATCCCCAAAACTGAGATATCCTGTTTCTCTACACTCCATCTGCACTTGGATAGAAGGGCATGTATTCATTTTCACCTCATCAGTCTTACTGAAATTGCCTTCTCTCAGACATCCTTGAACTTGTGAGTTTATGACAATGGGGCACATTGTGTTGTAATGGAGAGGAAAAAAATCTGTGATTTGAAAGTGGTAAAATGCAAGTATCATATGCAAGGCTTCAGCAACCAGAGAAAAGAACAAAAAATTCTCCTGGTTGAAGTAGGACTAAAGGTGGTCCAAGAGTTTGTGAATAAATGATACCGAAGGAGAAAAATTAGCATGTAATCAGAAGAAAAAAGAAGGCCAACACTCTGGGGTTCTGACTCCTATATTGAACTGAATACAATTTCAGATTTCCTGGAACATTTTGCAGTTACATTAGGAACACCAGTTATATGTGTTTGCTTCACATAAGAAGGGCTCAAGTACCACAGCAGTAAACAAATAAATAAATAAAAGAAGGTGTAGGGAAAATTGGGCATTTCTCAAAATCAAGTCAAAAGAGGAATGATTGAATCAGAAGAGGGAAGCAGGTAGCAGCCTATAGATGTGTCAAGACCCCAGAGGGGTCTTGCAAAGGCCCCAAACCTTTGCAGAATCCCATTAAGACACACAACTAATAATTTTCTAGCATTTCAGCAGCTCTCCAACTCAACTAGTTGACAACTGCTGTGAAGTACTTTGCTGGGATATTAAATTCTACTTTATTCTTTGTTCTTGCTGTGTTTTTTCTGGCTTTGATTTAAGCACTTGGGCCACCCTTTCCTTAGAGGCAGTTGGTGTTGCAAGACTAAAAGCAGAATTGTCCGAAGTTAATCTCCTTTTGTAGCTTCAGCCTTTGCACCAAAACAAAAGCAGAGTTTTCTCTTTGACCTGGAAGCCTAAAGGATCCTCAGGAACCACAGATAAAAATTTGATACCTTATCCAAGCCCAAGGGAGCTTATGGTTAGGTTTAAATTGATTTGAAGAAACGATCACAACCCACAACCTGTCTTAAGTATTTGTGACTCGAAATTCCTAATCTCTAACTATTTCTTTCTCCGCTTTCTGCCTTCATGTTGCCCTCCACCCTGACGCCCACTGTGTCTTCTGTGGCTGGCTCTGCACTCGAAGGAAAGCCAGACAGGCCATGTGGCTTGGAAACTGAAGGGACCTAGAGGTCATTTGATCCACGCTATCAATTTACAGAGTGAATGGAGAATCCGGCCCACTTTCCTGGGATCACAGGGCTCTGTTCTTTATTGCAGATTCCAGACTAATCCCGTGTTTCCCAACTCTCTTCAAGACATATAAAATAACTGGCATTCCTATATGAAGGGTAGGTTCTCCAAGGAGACATGATGCTCTCTAGGTTCAGTATCTTCTGCTCAGTGAGACCAGGCACTACTCAATGCATTGGAGAGGGGAAAATGACTATTGGTACATAAGCCATTGGGGTATTTATCAAAGACTCAGCTCCAATGCCACCACTTCCTCCTACATGGAGATGTTTCTGGCTCCCACAGTCAGAATTCACTGCTCTCTTGTCCGCATATCCAGAAACCCTTTTCATCATCATGCTGCATTCCAAATAGTGAGGGTGCTCAGTGATTTTCACAGAAAACCAGGATTGTGCTGTATTCATCTTTGTTCTAATCATAGTACTCAGTTCATTCTCTGGCCAGGAGTAGATTCTACCTAAAGGCTTGATGAGTAGGATTAAGCTAATAGAATCTAATTATATCTCAAATTACATTTCTGCAATGACAACCTATATAATCAATTTCATAAAATGTTTGAAAGACTGTCATATGAAGCTTAAAACTTAAAGAAAACCCTAACATTAGTGAGCACTTACCATGTGTCAGGTCGGATGCTAAATCCTTTATATGGATGATCTCATTTAATCTTTACAGAAATCTTATGAAGTAGATGTCATTATTACCCTCTCTTTACCGAAGAAAAAGCTGAGACACAGGAAGCTGAAATAAATTTGCTCACTCATACGCAGCAATATGACATTTTGGATTTGTTCCACGTGAAATGAAACACCAAATAGAACATGAATTGAAGACTGGAAACCCCAGGGATTAGGATTTTGGCCTCATGCAAAGAAAATTTCCAATCTTTAGAGTTGTCTTGAGAGGTAATAAGCTCTCTGTTCCTGAAAATAATTTGTAATCCAAGGCTGGGAAATTACTTGACAGGCATATTGTAGGGGAGTTCAAGTATAATACCATAATGTTTAAATGTTTAAAAGAATCTTTTTTAATCCTAAAGCAGTATGATTTATCAACATCATTTTATATATATATATGTGTGTGTGTGTGTGTGTCTCCTATTCATATTTTGTATGTCTTTTTGTTAGCTAGACTAACCACTTCTGTGTTTATAGGATCTTTTTTTTCACTAACTCACAAAGATAGGGGTCAAGCCTGCTATCTGCTACAGCCTCACATAAACACAGAATATTTTGTTGTTACTTTAGCTTTGAAAAACAAAGCTAAGTTTAGCTTAGGGACAGAAAATGATTTTCAGAGAAGCCAAAGCATAGGCCTCTGGGAGCCACAAACCACCATCTCCAGGCATGTGAGAAAGCTGCCTCGGAGCTTCCTTTTTGTTGTTGTTGATGTTTGGTTTTGCTCATGTCTTTTCTGTTCACCTTGGATGACGCGCTGCCCGCACAGGGAGGCGCTCCTGGCAGCAATCTTCAAGTGTTTACAGAAATGCCCCTCATCCCTGGACCTCTTCAGAGTGGCTGCTGGCCAACACCCATTCAAGGGGGCTCTTTCCTCTCCACCCACTTCCTCACCCTGCCCACTGTTTGCCCGCTCATGGGAAACAACCAATATCAATCAGCACAGGGTGTGCTGTTTATGCGGCCACCTAATGAACTTTTGAACTATATGTGCTTTCCAAGAATAACTGTTAAGCACCCCTTGATTACCCTGAACAGGCTAGGCCAGTGTTGAACTCTCTTGCTGAAAGAAAGCAGACTTCTGAGAGGTCCACTTTGTACAGAACCCCAACTTCATTCAACGAGCAGGTTAATATGACACCCGTGGGCAGGCTGCCCCCATCATGGCAGCTGTATACCTGTCTCCAGGCTGACACTTCATGATGCTTCAGAAAACCAGGCCCTAAAGTAGACATGGCTTCTAAATGTGTCTCCTGATACACCTACTCCTATTTCAGGCCACTAGTAGAGGAGGCCTCACAACTTCTGCTCAACATTTTTTGAACTGCTTCCTAAATTCCTTTTAATTGGGGAAATAATAATAGCTAATGTTGTTAGAACTCATATATAATGCATTATTGCTGCAATTAGTACTTGGCTTATGTCAGTCTATTTTGTGCAACTGTAACAGAATATCTGAGACTTAGGTAGTTTATAAAGGACAAAAATTTATTTCTTACATTTCTGGAGGCTGGGAACTCCAAGATCAAGGCACCAGCAGGTTTGGTGTCTGGCAAAGACCTGGTTTCCACTTCCAAGACAGCTCCTTGAACGCTGCAACTTCTGGAGGGAGGAACACTGTTTCTCCCGTGGCAGAACAACCAAAGAGAATAAACACATTCCTGCAAGCCATTTTTATAACGGCATTAATCTATTTATGAGGGCAGAGGCCTCCTGACCTGAGCACCTCCCATTAGGCCCCACCTTCCAACACTGTTCCACTGGGAATTAGACTACCAACACATTAATTTGCAGGGGAAAAAAACATTCAAATCATAGCAACATCTTTGAAATAATTGGTGTCTATTATAAAATCCTGTGAGTATGAATTATTAGCCCACTTTTTAAAAGAAGAAACTAAGACACGTAGAAAGGTTGTGACTTTCCTTGTACTAGGCAACTGGTTTTAAAATAAAGATTCCAACTCAGGCTCTTTATCTCCAAATGCCAGGCCCTGAATCATTACCTACTGCACTGCTTCCTATGATCTTACCTGTCATAGCCTTGGGCAGTGTGATGTCTTAATCAATCTTTTTCTTGTATTTTATTTCTTATTTGTAGTACTGCCTGCATATTGGATACTGCCCTTGCAAGCAATTCTGAGTGGAGATAATAGTTCTGTCCCAGAGACTGGTACAATAAAAACCATAAATGTATAGATAGTGTCATTTATCTTGTCACATGGCATCACTACAGAAATGATGTGACTTCTTTTCAGATACAAAATTTCACCTGTTGGAACAGTCTCTGCAGAAAAAAAACTTTTAAAACACCTGGAGACTTTTAAACATGTGGCTGTACACATAAGTGCACCTTCCTCTATGGTCCTAGGTTGTGATTCCTGGCATTAGTGATAGCTATGCTAGAATCTGGGAATGATACGCATTGCAACTTGGAGTGTAGCATTACAGACCTTACTTTAAATGGGACCATATTATTGATGCTTTTAATATTATTTATTTTTATTATCAGAATTTCTTGCATCTTCTTATTTTTATTTTTATTTTTTTTGGTTCATTTTCTTCCTTGCTTTTTGACTGGCATCAGCCTTTTACTGAGCCTTGAAATTTTCATTTTGGATGAAATGAAAAGTTTTGCATCTGCTGTAGAAAAAGCAGATATCCAAGGTGGTTTGAATTTACAACTACAGATATAAGTGGAACACAGGATGAGCAGATTTCCAAGGAATTTAATAATAAAGGTGATAACAGATCAAATATTCATTCCAAATATACATGATGTGATCATTTGCCTTACTAAAAATAGATATTACACACTATGGAAATGAAGAACCTTATTACACTTACTCCTTCTCCAGTCTACCATTGCACTCACTGCTTTGAAAACCATATCATACCTACCTTCCAGAAGTTCTGTGTTTTTTCTTTTGCCATAGAATTTAGAGAAACGATGCTATCTTCATCTGAAAAGAGTTCTCCTTAACCTACTCAAACCCACTGTATAAGTTTTAATGGGCTCACCTTGTATCTCTCCTTCATCCTCGAAAATTATTTCCATGGCGAATCACTGTTAGTAAAAAGAGTATTTTGTTCTTAAGACAAAAAATAAATAATGGGAACCATTTTGTAAAAGGTAGTGTGATGTGTTGAAATTTGTGCTTGTTTTAGCACCATATGGGTCAGCTCTGTTACTGTAATGAATTTCTAATGTGTCAACTCAGCTACAATCTTTATCTATTTCAACAAACACTAACCTAGGTGCCAATGTGAAGTGATATTGCAGATGTGCTTAAAATTCCTCATCAGTTGTTTTTAAGTTAGTCAAAAGAGAGATTACCCTTGTTGGGCTTGACATAATCAACGGAACCCAGCTCAGCTACTGTAAAAAGTTTGTGTCCCAGGGGATTCAATCCACCTGTGAAACACAATTATTTAATAGTTATAGAGAGGATAGTTAACCTCTCAGTTTCTAATTCATAAGATTGAGACTTGTGAAAATAAGTGATAGTATTTATGAACTTGCAGGAACTCAGTAGGTTCTGAATAAATAGACATTAGAATCATAAAAGTTCAAGGTTAGGAATTCAGAAAGAAGCAAAAGAGGCCTCAGTTTAAAATGTAAACTTGTTTAGTGGACTTTAAGTGAGATAGGTGCATTTTCTCTAAAAGAGAGAATGAAATCAAGTACATACAAATCCCTTGGAAATATATTTATTCCCCTAAGATTAACACTACAATTCCTTGATTTCATTTTGCTATCCAGGGAAGCTACATAGTAAACATGCTTGGAGACTTCACTTAGACCCTCCATGCTGGGTTGCAATTTTAATGAAGGCAGTCCAGATTTACTTTTCCCATTAGAAAATTGTTTCAGACTCTCTGTTATAACAGATGTAACACAAACAGGGACAGCTGAATAGAAGGCTAAGGGACACACTCATGGTCAAAGTCCATTGAGCATGTGACATTTGCTTGGCGTGAGATGGCATCTCGTTGTGGTTTTGATTTGCATTTCTCTAATGGCCAGTGATGTCGAGCTTTTGTTCATAAGTTTGTTGGCTACATAAATGTCTTCTTTCAAGAAGTGTCTATTCATATCCTTTGCCTACTTTTTGATGGAGTTGTTTTTTTTCTTGTAAATTTGTTTAAATTCCTTGCAGATTCTGGATGTTAGTCCTTTGTCAGATGGATAGATTGCAAAAATTTTCTCCCATTCTGTAGGTTGCCTGTTCACACTGATGATAGTTTCTTTTGCTGTGCAGAAGCTCTTTAGTTTAATTAGATCCCATTTGTCAATTTCAGCTTTTGTCACCATTGCTTTTGGTGTTTTAGACATGAAGTCCTTGTCCATGTCGATGTTCTGAATGGTATTGCCTAGGTTTTCTTCTAGGGTTTTTATGGTTTTAGGCCTTAAGTTTAAGTCTTTAATCCATCTTGAGTTAATTTTTGTATAAGGTGTAAAGAAGCGGTCCAGTTTCAGTTTTCTGCATATGGCTAGACAGTTTTCCCAACACCATTTATTAAATAGGGAATCCTTTCACCATTGCTTGTTTTTGCCAGGTTTGTCAAAGATCAGATGGTTGTAGATGTGTGGCGTTATTTCCGAGGCCTCTGTTTTGTTCCATTAGTCTATATATCTGTTTTGGTACCAGTCCCATGCTGTTTTGGTTACTGTAGCCTTGCAGTATAGTTTGAAGTCAGGTAGCGTGATGCCTCCAGCTTTGTTCTTTTTGCTTAGGATTGTCTTGGCTCTATGGGCTCTTTTTTTGGTCCCATATGAAATGTAAAGTAGTTTTTTTTTCTAATTCTGTGAAGAAAATCGATGGTAGCTTGTTGGGGATAGCATTGAATCTATAAATTACTTTGGGCAGGATGGCCATTTTCACAATATTGATTCTTCCTAACCATGAGCATGGAATATTTTTCCATCTGTTTGTGTCCTCTCTCATTTCCTTGAGCACTGGTTTGTTCCTCTCCTTGAAGAGGTCCTTCCCATCCCTTGTAAGTTGTATTTCTAGGTATTTTATTCTCTTTGTAGCAATTGTGAATGGGAGTTCCCTCATGATTTGGCTCTCTGTCTATTGTTGGCATATAGGAATGCGTGTGAGTTTTGCACATTGATTTTGTATCCCAGGACTTTGCTGAAGTTGCTTATCAGCTTATGGAGATTATGGGCTGAGACGATGGGGTTTTCTAAATATAGAATCATGTCATCTGCAAACAGAGACAATTTGACTTCCTCTCTTCCTAGTTGAATGCCTTTTATCTCTTTCTCTTGCTTGATTGCCCTGGCCAGAACTTCCAATACTGTGTTGAGTAGGAGTGATGAGAGAGGGCATCCTTGTCTTGTGCCGGTTTTCGAAGGGAATGTTTCCAGCTTTTGCCTATTTGGTGTGATATTGGCTGTGGGTTTGTCATAAATAGCTCTTATTGTTTTGAGATACATTCCATCAATATCTAGTTTATTGAGAGTTTTTAGCATGAAGGGTTGTTGAATTTTATTGAAGGTGTTTTCTGCATCTGTTGAGATAATCATGTGGTTTTGGTCACTGGTTCTGTTTATGTGATGTATTACATTTATTGATTTGTGTATGTTGAACCAGCCTTGCATCCCAGGGATGAAGCTGACTTGATCATGTTGGATAAACTTTTTGATGTGCTGCTGGATTCTGTTTGCCAGTATTTTATTGAGGATTTTAGCATTGATATTCATCAGGGATATTGGCCTGAAATTATTTGTTGTTGTTGTGTCTCTGCCAGGTTTTGGTATCAGGATGATGCTGGCCTCATAAAGTGAGTTAGGGAGGAGTCCCTCTTTTTCTATTGATAGGAATAGTTTCAGAAGGAATGGTACCAGCTTCTCTTTGTACCTCTGGCAGAATTCGGCTGTGAATCTGTCTGGTCCTGGAGTTTTTTTTATTGGTAGGCTATTAATTATTGCCTCAATTCCAGAACTTGTTATTGGTCTATTCAGGGATTTGACTTTTTCTTGGTTTAGTCTTGGGAGGGTGTATGTGTCCAGGAATTTATTCATTTCTTCTAGATTTTCTAGTTTATTTTTGTAGAGGTGTTTATAGTATTCTCTTATGGTAGTTTGTATTTCTGTAGGATCAGTGGTGATATCCCCTTTACCATTTTGTCTTGTGTCTATTTGATTCTTCTTTCTTTTCTTCTTTAGTCTGGCTAGTAGTCTATCTATTTTGTTAATCTTTTCAAAAACTAGCTCCTGGGTTCACTGATTTTTTAAAGGGGTTTTCGTGTCTGTATCTCCTTCCTTCTGCTCTGATCTTAGTTATTTCTTGTCTACTGCTAGCTATTGAATTTCTTTGCTCTTGCTCCTTTAGTTCTTTTAATTGTGATGTTAGGGTGTCAAATTTAGATCTTTCCTGCTTTCTGCTGGGGGCATTTAGTGCTATAAATTTCCCTCTAAACACTGCTTTAGCTGTGTCCTAGAGATTCTGGTACCTTGTGTCTTTGTTCTCATTGTTTTCAAAGAACTTATTTATTTCTGCTTTTATTTCATTATTTACCCAGTAGTCATTCAGGAGCAGGTTGTTCAGTTTCCATGTAGTTGTGCAATTATTAATCCTGAGTTCTAATTTGCTTGCAGTGTGGTCTGAGAGACTGTTATGATTTCTGTTTTTTGCATTTGCAGAGGAGTGTTTTACTTCCAATTATGTGGTTAATTTTAGAATAAGTGCAATATGGTGCTGAGAAGAATGTATATTCTGTTGATTTGGGGTGGACAGTTCTGTAGATGTCTATTAGATCTGCTTGGTCCAGAGCTGAGTTCAAGTCCTGAATATCCTTGTTAATTTTCTATCTCGTTGATCTGTCCACTATTGACAGTGGGGTGTTAAAGTTTCCCACTATTTTTGTGTGGGAGTCTAAGCCTCTTTGTAGTTCTCTAGGAACTTGCTTTATGAATCTGGGTGCTTCTGTATTGTGTGCATATGTACTTAGGACAGTTAGCTCTTCTTGTTGCATTGATCCCTTTTCCATTATGTAATGCCCTTCTTTGTGTCTTTTGATCTTTGCTGGTTTAAAGGCTGTTTTATCAGAGACTAGGATTGCAACCCCTGTTTTTTTTCTGCTTTCCATTTGCTTGGTAAATGTTTCTCCATCCTTTTATTTTGTGCCTGTGTGTGTCTTTGTACATGAGATTGGTCTTCTGAATACAGCACACTGATGGGTCTTAACTCATTATCCAATTTGCCAATCTGTATCTATTAATTGGAGCATTTAGCCCACTTATGTTTAAGGTTAATATTGTTATGTGTGAATTTGATGCTGTCATTATGATGCTAGCTGGTTATTTTGCCCTTTCATTGATGCAGTTTCTTCATTGTGTCAACGGTTTTTACAATTTGGTATGTTTTTGCAATGGCTGGTACCAGTTTTTCCTTTCCATGTTTAGGGCTTTCTTCAGGAGCTCTTGTAAGGCAGGCCTGGTGGTGACAAAATGTCTCCACATTTGCTTCTCTGTAAAGGATTTTATTTCTCCTTCACTTATGAAGCTTAGTTTGGCTGGATATGAAATTCTGGGTTGAAAATTCTTTTCTTTAAGAGTGTTGAATATTGGCCCTACTCTCTTCTGGCTTGTAGGATTTCTGCAGAGAGATCTACTGTTAGTCTGATGGGCTTCCCTTTGTGGGTAACCCGACCTTTCTCTCTGGCTGCCCTTAACATTTTTTCCTTCATTTCAGCCTTGGTGAATCTGACGATTATGTGTCTTGGAGTTGCTCTTCTCGAGGAGTATCTTTGTGGTGTTCTCTGTATTTCCTGAATTTGAATGTTGGCCTGTCTTACTAGGTTAGAGAAGTTCTCCTGGATAATACCCTGAAGAGTGTTTTCCAACTTGGTTCCATTCTCCCCGTCACTTTCAGGTACACTAATCAAATGTAGGTTTGGTCTTTTCTTATAGTCCCATATTTCTTGGAGGCTTTGTTTGTTCCTTTTCATTCTTTTTTTCTGTAATCTTGTCTTCTCACTTTATTTCATTAAGTTGATCTTCAGTCTCTGATATCCTTTCTTCTGCTTGATTGATTCAAATATTGATACTTGTGTATGCTTCATGAAGTTCTCGTGCTGTGCTTTTCACCTCCGTCAGGTCATTTATGTTGTTCTCTAAACTGGTTATTCCAGTTAGCACTTCCTCTAACCTTTTTTCACGGTTCTTAGTTTCCTTACATTGGGTTAGAACATGCTCCTTTAGCTTGGAGGAGTTTGTTATTACCCACCTTCTGAAGCCTACTTCTGTCAGTTCATCAAACTCATTCTCTGTCCAGTTTTGTTCCCTTGCTGGTGAGAGTTGTGATCCTTTGGAGGGGAAGAGACATTCCGGTTTTTGGAATTTTCAGCCTTTATGCGCTGGTTTTTCCTCATCTTTGTGGATTTATCTACCTTTGGTCTTTGATGCTAGTGACCTTCAGATGGGATTTTTGTGTGGATTTTTTTTGGTTGAATTTGATGCTATTCGTTTTTGTTTGTTACTTTTCCTTCTAACAGTCAGGCCCCTCTGCTGCAGGTCTGCTGGAGTTTGCTGGAGGTCCACTCCAGACCCTGTTTGCCTGAGTAGCACCAGTGGAGGCTGCAGAAGAGCAAAGATTGCTGTCTGTTCCTTCCTCTGGAAGCTTTGTCCCAGAGGGTCACCTGCTAGATGCCAGCTGGAGCTGTCCTGTATGTGTCTGTTGACCCCTCCTGGGAGGTGAGATGTCTCCCAGTCAGGAGGTATGGGGGTCAGGGACCAACTTAAGGAGGCAATCTGTCCTTTAGCAGAGCTCGAGCTTTTTTTTTTTTTTTTTTTTGACGGGTTTCCTCAGTCACCCAGGCTAGAGTGCAGTGGTGTGATCACAGCTAATTGCAGCCTCAACTTCCTTGGCTCAAAGGATCCTCCCACATCATCCTCCTGATTAGCTGGGACTACAGGCACACTCCACCACGTCAAGACAATTTTTTAATTTTTTATCAAGATGGGGGGTCTCACTGTGTTGCCAAGATGGTCTCGAACTCCTTGGCTCAAGTGATCCCTCTGCCTCAGCCTTTTGAAATGTTAGGATTACAGATATGGCTACTGCATCCAGCCACAATTCATATATTCTTGCATTCAATTATACAACTGTTTATTTATGCAAAATTTTTTAAAGGAGCAGTTAGCATGATCCTGGCAGGTGAAGTGAAGGCATGAGGTGGGAGTTGGAGGAAAGTGACTGATAGATGAACATCGACTATAAAGGAGGCAACAAAATGCTTGAATTTGAGAAGTGTGCTTTGTATACATGGAATGAGGTCTAGACATAAGTATTTTATGATGCTTCCCAGTAAATTTGTTGCCCTCTCGATTTTGAGAACCATGCTAGTTCCTCAACACATGCACATATGAACATAGGATACAGTCCCCAGGGTACGAGTGAGGGTCTGGAGCAAACTGCTTAGGTTCAACGTCTCGTCCAACCTTACCAGTTGCATAACCTTGAGTATGTCCCTTTGTTTTAATAACTCCATCTAAAAATAGAGGATAATGCCATGTCCCTTATACAAGGGACTCTTGAGAAAACGAAAAGTTGAAATTACTTTTAGCAATATTTGGCCCATTGCAAGTCCCTGATATATGTGCACATGAGAGGAAAATAAAGTACAGCTCCCTAATGACACCAGAATGGCAAAAACCATCTGGTGGAAACAGGTTTTCTAGACCTGTGCTTTGCAACCAGTTACCTTTCAGCTGTCACCTGATTAACAAGAAACTCTTTCTGTTTGACTATCTTAGATACTTGATATACCCTCTAGTGCCTTGAGTTGGCAATAAGGTATTGTGAACTTAAAAATTTGTTTGTTAAAAGAGTATGTCTCATGCTGTGTTCTTATCACACACATACACAAGGGTCATAATGAAACTTTTAAAGTCAATGAAAATGTTTTTTACCTTGATTGTGGCGATGGATGATAACATAAGTCTATACACATGTCCAAGCTCACCAAATTGTACACATTAATCATGTGCAACTTTTTGTGTACTAATTGTGCTTCAATAAAGCTGGGGAAACAAAACAAAACAGAACAATACTCCCTTGGCTGTCCTACTTTGTCCAAATTACAAATTACTTTTTGTCCCTGGCTCCTCAAATGAGCTGTTAGAATGGGGAACCCCTGCTGAGGGTGGAAAATTCTAATAGAAACGTAATGGAGTCAGAGCAAACTGTAATCTCTGCCTGGCTACAGACTTGGATGGGGAGTTTGGAACAGCTGGAACAATTTGTAAGTATGCTCACATGATGAGAAAATTGTCCTGCAGAAGTCTGGGAAGAGTGCACCATCTGTTTAAGGTGAAACCTCAACTGGAATTTGTCTTATATGCAATTCTTGCACATTTGTGTTGTTGCCTTTTGTTTTTCGCCATACATGGTTTAGTACTAAATATGAGATAAGTATAATTATTTTCATATTACAAGAAGAGAAAACCATGGCCCAAAGAAGCAATGTCCCATCAGGTGTGTGCCCACCCTCTACCGTACACTCAGGGCACCAGATGAGCCAGGTGTCACAGCACCTGATTCAAGGCCTTGGCTCTGAAGCATCCATAATTTTAGCCCTATATATGCAGCTGTTTTTCTCCCCCCATAGCCCTTTGAGATTAATTTTTTAGCCATTTCTTTCAGATTCAACTGTGCTTTATTGTTCAGATTAAGCACTAAATCCTGTTTCCTTTGATCCAAACTGACTCCTATTCATCAGAATTCTGGTCCTCCATCCCCCAGGCTTCATCATGTAGAACTTCTCTCAGTTTGGTTTGAAACCCAGATCCTATTATCCCAAACCCCTCTGTGTGGATGTGAGCCTCATTGGTGTTCTCTGGCCCAAGGATCTGGAACTGATTATTTGCTAATTATGACAAGGGTGTTAAACCCAAACCTTCTAATTTATTTAATCAAGATAGACAAAACTTTACTGTAATAAAACAACCCCAGACTCTTGGTGGTTTCAATAACAAATGCTTAATTCTTTATCATCCTATGTGTCCCCCAAGAGCAGCTTATGTGCCTGGTTCACAGGTAATATAGCATGTTTGGACTGGGCATTTTTGTTTTTGTTTTTGTCGTTCATACCAGAGAATAGATTTTAAATGGTCGACCTGGAATAGAAAAGTCAAATAAGCATAAGCTCTGGATATGGCCTGGATTAAGTACCAGAGATAGATGAAAACATGCATTTTAAAAGCAGAGTTGTACACAGGTCACCATGCTGAGAGTGTTATCAGAATTTAAGGGACAGATTTCAAGATAACCAGTACGTGAGTTAAAAAAGGAACAACATAGTAGCAACTGAGTGACCTGTAATGGATTTTGGAAACCTCACTTGGCCAATAATATTCTTCAGGGTCAAGACCTGCCCAGTGGGGTGTCACTGTTGCTTAAAGGTCACCATGCTCAGAGACTAATGCCTAATTCCTTTCAGTACTTTCTCTGTTATGTGACTTGAGATGCCAAGCAAAATGGAAGGAAGCTAACCTCTACCATGAACAAGATAATTTTCAAGTAGACTCTTATTTAATTGTGACTACAGTCATTCTAGTAGTTATTGGCTTATCTTAAAAAATACACACACAAACACACACACACACACACAGAGAGAGAGAGAGAGAGAGAGAGAGAGAAACAGAAGTTCATGAAAAATATAGGTATCAAGCAACTGGGGTTTGAACCTGGGTCAGTCCAACTCTAGATAATACAAGCGCTGCCCCCTTCGCCATGCTGTGTTCCATTCTGGGATTTATGAGGTGGGCCCAGGATAACAGGTAATGATGATGCTCAGTATTAGGTAGTGATGCTCATTAACAGGTAATGATGCTCAGTTATGATCAGGTGAAGACTCCTGTGCATAGCAATGCAAATGCAAGCTCCTCCAATGATCCTGATGATGTTGTTCAAGAAAAGCTGGCAAGGTATCTGCTGCCATAAGGCTTCCCTCAAAGTGTGCCCAGCCTTGGCTATAATCACCAGAACCCAGGAAGATTGCATGGGCTGTCAGCTCATAGTTTTCGCTCACAAGTATCGTCATATCTTAATTTCTACTTGTCTAGAAGGCAGAGCTTAAGATGTTCTCTCAAGGGGTCTTTGAGTAAATTAGTGCCCATTACCCTGCAATGACATGCATTTTGCTCATAATAAATGCATATTGAAACATTGAACAGTCTCCTACCTCCAGGATTTGTCAAGCTGCCCTACTCCTTTGCATTGCGCCTAAACCAATTTTAGTTGTGGCCACTTTGATCAGGTTAGACTCCTGCTGAAATGTGTCCAATAATCTGCTGTTGACCTCATTGCTCCCTCCTCCACTGGCATCTGTTTTTTGCCTCTCCCTGTGTTCTTTCCAGCTTGAGTCTTCTACCCCATGCCTTCATCCATCTGTCTTTCAGATATGTGTCTCTCCTTCCTCCCTGCCCTCGCACCTGTTATTGCCACCTTTCTGCTTACCCAAATAGAATATACTCATTTGGAAGGATCACAGGAAGTTCCTAGTGACATCTCATTCCTCTCTGCTCTTGTGGTTGGAACTGATGGCTTTAAAATTTACCTTAAACTACATTGGGATAGATATAGAAACACAGAAGTAAAAGTACAAGTAGAAATAGAAATAGAAATACATATGCATATACATATAGGAAGCCAGCTGCCATATCATGAGGACATTCTAGCAGCTCAGTGGAGAGGTTTCTGTGGCAAGAAACCGAGTCTTCCTGCCAGTTGCCAATGTCGACTTGCCAGCCATGAGGGGCCACACCTTGGAATCAGATCTTCCAAATCCAGTCCAGCCTTCAAATGGCCGCAGCCCAGTTGTCCTCTGATATCTCATGGGATACTAGCCACCAGAACCAACCAATCAGGTAGCCCCTGAATTCCTGACCCTCAGAAACTGTGCAACATAATACATGTTCATTTATTTTATTAGAACCACTAAGTTCTGTGGTAATATATAGATAGCAATGGATCACTAACATAAATGTCTAGAGTTCACTAGGGACCAGCTGTATGCCTAGCCATTTGCTAACTGCTTTACCTACCTCGTTCTGTTCATTCTTACTCCACTTCAGAAAAGGATTGGAGTGTCTTTATATCCATTTTCCAGATGTGGATGCCGGGACCAAGAGATTTTAGGCAACCTATCCAAGAATCCAAAATGATGCCAAGGCCCAGAGAATGGTGAGGAGACTCTTACTTACCATCCAGCTCCCAGTGCTATCTTGATAGCTCATACTGGGGCCTTAAAGTCCACATAACTGGCTGGGCATGGTGGCTCATGCCTGTAATCCCAGCACCTTATGAGGCCAAGGCGGGTGGATCACAAGGTCAGGAGTTCAAGACCAGCCTGGCCAAGATGGTGAAACCCCATCTCTACTAAAAATACAAAAATTAGCCAGGCGTGGTGGCACGCACCTGTAATCCCAGCTACTTGGGAGGCTGAAGCAGAGAATTTCTTGAACCTGGGAGGTGGAGTTTGCAGTGAGCCAAGGTCATGCCACTGCACTCCAGCCTGGGAGACAGCGAGACTCCATATATATATATATATATATATATATAAAATGCCATGTAGTTTCTGCCAATAATTTATACTTTTCTGTTTTTTTTTCTTCTAGTTCAAAGTTAACCTTTTGAAGGCAATGTTGTTTCTTAGATACCCTTATTTAATGCTTGAGTTTATGACATACCTGAAGTGACAGAGTTATGGAGTGGCCTTGCTGAGACCTTTCCTCTGTGTGTATGTGTGTGTGTGTGTGTGTGTGTGTGTAGGTGTGTCCCTCACATTGGAGAAGTCACAGATGCAAAGGCACTTTGCAGTCTGTGAAATACTACAAATGTATTAAAAACCTCTGCATCCTGGAGTCTTTAAGTATCCCTCCCCAAAACAGCACAATTCTTCTCTTCCGAAACCTAAGTGATTTAAGAAGTAAAACCAGATAAGCATAGAGGCCCAGACAGAAGCTTTGTTGCCACCAAAGCCTCGAAGGCTTAGCTTGCTGTCAGCGCAAGATGGGTGAGCTCACTGAATTTATAGAAACAGGCAGTGTCTCAATCTGGGTTCCCCACAAGTCAGAAACCATGACAAGGATTGGATGTAGGTTGATTATTTGGGAGATGATTGCAGGAAGCAAAAATGAGGGTGGGTGGGGAATGAGACTAGGGAGAAGAAAAAGCTGGCATAAAAGTGTCTTATCAAGGTCAGTTCTAATGGAGGCGTGATTGTTCCAAACACCCTGAAAAAAATAAAGCACGCTCACAGAATTGTCATCTCAAGGAGGAGAAGCTGGAGCATAAAGCCACTGGCTCCTTTTCCCATGGACTAAGTGTTGCCTACAGAGGTTTAACTCTCCAGCGTTTCTTTCTTTATTCTTTATGAGACAGTGCCTTGTTCTGTTGCCCAAGCTGGAGTGCAATGGTGCCATCGTAGCTCACTACAACCTCGGCCTCCTGGGCTCAAGGGATCTTTCTGCCTCAGCCTCCCAAGTAGCTGGGACTACAGGAGCACACCACCATGCCTGGCTGATTTTTTAAATGTTTCATAGAGAAGGGATCTCACTATATTAACCAGCTGGTTTCAAATTCCTGGACTCAAGCGATTCTTCCACCACAGCCTCCTGAGTATCTAGGACCACACGTGTGAACCACCATGCCTGGCTATGCCCAGCATTTCTGCTGCACAGGTTTGTTGGCCAAACAGGCTTATTCAGCTTCAGAGTGTCCCAGAGGCAAAAAGTGGCAAGACTTGGAATGTGTCTTGGAGGGAGGATTCTGCCATACTAGTCTGAACTTGAATTTTTGCAGCTGTGAGCCAAAAAGATGGGGTGCAGAAACCAGAAACCTCTGCCACAGCAGACTTCTGCACATGGCCCATTGCCAGGTGAGAATGGACCAGAAAGATGCCACTCCTAGCTCCTTTCTCCAGCTCACCAAAGGCGATGAGGACTGGGTGAAAATGAGGGACTGAGCTAAGCCAGTACAATTTTCCAGAATTTGTCACTCTGGTGAATCATTCCACCTCTTCAGGGAGGATGGAGTAAAGTGGACAGAGAAAGATCTTAAATGCGTTTAGGAAAACAAAACTCCGTCTTTATGGAATCCACAAGTGGCACAAGGCATCCCCTCCTCTAGCCCTGAGACTCTAGGGGCCTCTGTTGGGAGGGCCAAAGGAATGAATAAAAACACATGTCAAATCTGCAACTGTGATGCTCCACTGAGTCTCCTGACAGGACACCGTTAACATCTCCGCAACACCAAAGTCAATGAAAAATCAAACACGATAAGTGTTCCTTCTCCATTTCCTCCACTTTATTAATTTTTTTGCAGAGCCTTAGAAAAGGTCATTGTAGGAGATTACAGTATACCCCAAAAGTCTTTAGAGTTCCCCAGAGGAAATATTGTAACCAATAGATTTCCTTCCATTTGATGCCTTTTTAGTAGTTGATGCCAAAAAAAAAAAAAAAAAAAAAAAAACCTGTTGTTTTTAACCAGTTTCCAAGTGAGCAAATCCTGTGTGATTAAGAGAAGAAAAAATAAGAACAACAACAAAAATACATCGCTAGGATATGTTTAGGTGTGAGAAAGGGCTGAAATATGCCCAGTATTGTCTTTTATTCACAGTCTCAGGCAGTGTTGAAAAGTACAGACCCAGGAGGCCCATGGCCGGGTTCGCACCTCCAGCACCTCTGCACACAAGCTCTATGATTTCTTTGTGCCTCAGTTTCTTCCTCATAGGATGAGATAATAATAGTAGTTCACATGAAGAAATAATGTAAGCATTAAATAAGCTACTGTATAAAAAAAGCTCAGTGCAGAGTCTGACGTGTGGCAAAGGCTATTTAAGTGCATGTGTACTTATAGCACTGTGGCGTATGGAGCGGCCTGAAGAACATCTATTCCAGGTAACTGAAGCAGCAGATTTTATGAGGACTTATATGTTTCGTCAAGTGGGTCCCTTTCTCTGGACACCATTAGGCCATGGATGAAGGCTCTCTGAGGCCTCTGCAAGGTGTATTCAGCCCAGAGCTTGGCCTTACAGGTGCTGTGCGCATCTTGGTTCAGAGGGTGACAGGATTGAGTCAGGAAGAACAAACTTTTATTTTTTATTTTATTTTATTTTATTTTATTTTATTTATTTTATTTTATTTTATTTTATTTTATTTTATTTTATTTTATTTTATTTTATTTGAGACGGAGTCTCACTCTGTCATCCAGGATGGAGTGCAATGGCAAGACTTTGGCTCACTGCAACCTCCGCTGCCCGGGTTCAAGCAATTCTCCTGTTTCAGCCTCCCGAGTAGCTGGGACTACAGGCGCCCCCCACCATGCCTTTAGTAGAGATGGGGTTTCACCATATTGGTAAGGCTGGTCTTGAACACCTGACCTCAGGTGATCCACCTACCTCGGCCTCCCAAAGTGCTAGGGAAGTTCTTCGGTGCAAACACTGAAATCAGATGAGGGACACTTGGTACAATGGGGTGCTGATTTTCTAGAGCCACCTTCACTCTCGGGAACAGAGGCAGGTCAGGACAGGGAGAAGAGAAGGGAATGATGCTTATTGAATATAAAGTGTGTGCCAGGCCACTGTGTTGGGCATGGGTATACATTTCCATATGTATATATGTATGTGCATATAAATTGTATATGTATATGCATGCATGCATGTGTGTGCATGTGTGACTGTGTGTATTTGTGTGAGTGTATAGTAATTTGTTTCTTAGAGCTGCCATGGCAAATTACTGTAAATGTGGTCCCTTAAAACAGTAGGAGCTTTCCATTTCACAGTTCTGGAGGCCAGGAATCTGAAGGCTCAATGAGAGAATCCCTTCTTGCCTCTTCTCGCTTAAGGTGGTTCCTGAATTCCCTGTTGTGTGGCCACATCGCCCCACCCTCTGTCTTTGTTTTCACATGGCCTTCTCCTCACTGTCTCAGACCTCTTCTGCCTTTCTCTTGTAAGGACATTTGATGTTAAATTTAGGAAAAAACTGGATAATTCAGGATAATCTCATCTTGAGATCCCTAATCCCCCAATCTCCCAATTACATTTACAAAGGCCCTTTCCCAAATAAGGTCATATTCAGAGGTTCTGGGGGTGAGGATGAGGACTTATATTTCAGATGGGGCTCACCATTCAATTGTCTCTGTCTCTGTCTCTCTGTCTCTCTCTATATGTATATGTATACACATACATATATATATATATCTGTGTATATACACAAAGATATAAATACACATTTATACACGTACATATATATACTCTATATATTTAATTTTATTTGATGCTAACAGAAAATACTGAGCTGGCAGAGAAGTGTAAAGCAAAAATGCTTCTGAAGAAATGGAATGTGCATTTAGATCGACCCTCTCCCAGCTGCATCCAGGTGCAAAGGTGCAGAGGTGCACCGGCACAGGGAGAAGGAAGGAGCCTGAGCTGGTACCTGCTCGCCCTGGCTCCCCTTGGGGGTAACTTGCTTCCATGCAGAGGCCAGGCTGGAGATTCTGCACATTTCTAATGAAAATACTCACACAGATATCTGAACTTATGAGTGTCCCTATTTCTGCTTAAATAAAATTTCAGCATACATATTTTGATTAATGTCCTTTTTCCAGCGAATGGCAATGTCAAAAGATCAGAGAATTAGAGAGCACATTGCTGAGAAATGTGACAAGAATGAAGAAGGCACAGAGACCCAGGAAAGGGATGTCCCTGTCCTCGGCAGCTTCATCTGTGGGCGGTAAAACTTATGCTACTGCTACCTGCCCAGGAAGGCTGACAACTGTGTTAATGAACTGAAAATGAATTCTGCTCATTATTTTAAGTCATTTGAACTTGAAACTATACTGCCTTTAACAAGCAACCTATTTAATGGGCTGTAGATAGCTAGAAATACTAATTAATAACCTCTTTGTTGGACTGTTCACAATATTAAAATTCAGTCATGGTAATTTGAGTACAATGTTAGAGTTAAACATGCACAACCAAAGACAAAGCACATAACAAAGTGAATCTATTTTTCAATAATGGCTTCATTTTGATATCTGTTTTCCCCTTAAAAACAATGTCTTGTGTCTGCCTAAACAACAGACATGGAAATTCCCTTTTGGATGACATACATGTGGAATCAGAACTCAATTTTGAAAACTATACTTCTAGAGAACATGAGTTAAACTGGCCCAGTTAAGATGGATCCAGGACCTGCCAGGCCATGCAGTGTTTCACTGCCCAGCTTTTCAGTCCACGCTCTGAATGATCCACAGCCTCTTGTCCTGTGGTACCATCCCATAAGCACCTTTTCACTCTCACTGGTACCCTGGTCAGCAGAAAAGAGTTAATGGAGCAGAGCAGAGACTGCTCTCCTTAGAAAAGCCTTCTTGCCAAGCTGGCCTTTGGATTGTCTCTGGGAACTTTGCTGGCATATAGTTCCCTACACGGATATAAACTTTCCCTAACTAAGTGTGGCTCATTGTGACTAGATGGTTTGTACAAATAGTATGGTTTATGCTGCTTTCCTTCTGGGAGTGTGGCATTTGGTCTGTGCTAGGCAAAGGTGCCATGTGACCAGCACTCAGTAAACATGTTGGGCACTGACCCACTGATAGATTTCTCTGGGCAGATATATTGTACACAGGTCTCTGTGTTTTCACTGCTGGGGGAAGGTGTGCTCTGAATGATCCTTCGTAGGAAATAGAGAACATAAGGAAGCCTGACATGGATTCCTACACACTCTTCCTATGTGTATTTCCTGTATTCTCTGCCCATGTATCCTTGCTATATCACCGTAATAAATCATAGTTGTGAGTGCAATCATACATGCAGAATCCCACAAGTCCTCATGAACCTCCAAATGCAGGTGTGGTCTTGTGGATCCCTGGCATACAAGGGTTTGGTGATGGATTATCTTGACCGAGTTACACAGTGACCCCAAAAGTAGTTAAGGGCTAAAATAAGTATTTTAATTTTAAAGATGAGAGAAAGAAGCTCAGGGAGAATCTATAAGACTTGCCCAGGCTCACCCAGCTCTTATGTAGGAGAGACAGGATCGCAACCTGAGCTTTTTATCTGCAGGTTAGGAGAATTTCATGTAGAGGAAAGTGATGTACCAGGAATTAAACCTCACTTCACACTTTCTAAAGGGAGAGATGGAATGAATGGCTATTCTCAGAGAATCAGTCTTCACCTTTGCAATGAAGGTCATCACATCCAAAATAATGATTACAGTAAGGATGGAGAACACAGGATGCCCAGCCCACTGCCTGACACACGCAGGACACACGCTAAGAATGTTAGCTACTTGCTGCTTCTCCCTTGTCCCATTCCCATTGCTGGCTCCAAGTACCAGCATCCCCTCTCTAACAGCAAAGCCTGAAGATCCATTACAATACAGATCACACTAACAATCTGAGCTTTTTTGTGTTATGGTGCTTTAGAGAGAAATAAAATTGTTCAGATGAAATGTCAGCTTTTGTTTGATAAACTGCTGAGCTCTGGTCACTGGGGCTGTTCAGATTTTCACACATCCTGTCCTAACAATAACAAAGACAGAGCAAGTTAGGAAGCGATGAGCATGTTACCCTGGACAGGCTGATGGCTTGAGCATCCAGAACTCCCCAAGTCGGTTTTGTCAAAGGAGACAAGCTGGGATGATGACAGCTGATTTGAGATTGGAAGAACCATCTCTCCCTCCTGGTCTGCTCTCTCCTACCCAAGGGCAGCCATTGTCTTCTTGTTCCCGTGGCTCTGACATTTATGCCTTTGTGGAGTAAAGTGATAGAAGAGAGAGGAAAGCTGAACCCTAATTCATCATGGACATCAGAGCTCTTAGACATGAGAGCTCTTCCTGGTAGGTTCACGGCAGCAGCAGAGGCTGAGGCAATTAGCTGGAAAATAGAAGCAAGAGTATTAGAAAAGCGCTAACATTTACTGTGCACCAAAATTGTGTGAGAAGACACTGAATCTCTCTTCCACACAACCTTCCTGTGGGGTAGAAATTCCCATCTCACAGATGAAGAACCAAGTGTGTCCCAGGTGGCTAAGTGATTTGACCAGAAACACCCAGCTAGTAGGAGAAATAGGATCAAAGACTATATATAGTCTTTCGATTACTACATTTTTTTTTTCTCACAACTTCAGCAGCTTTACTGGTCAATGAGCTTCTTACAGGTGCTAGGCTTTGTGAAAAACAGCATGGATAGAGTGACTGGATCCTGGTCTACGGAGGAAGATAAATTCAAATGCTCACAAGATGGGTATTACTAAAAGGTCAAAAAATAACAGATGCTGGCAAAATTGCAGAGAAAAGGGAACACTTACACACTGTTGGTGGGAAAATTTGGTCAACCATTGTGGAAAGCAGTATGGCAACTCTTCAAAGAGCTAAAAGCAGAACTACCATTTGACCCAGCAATCCCATTACTGCACATGCACCCAGAGGAATGTAAATTATTCTACCATAAAGACACATGCACGTGAGTGTTCACTGCAGCACTATTCACAATAGCGAAGACATAGAATCAACCTAAATGACAGCTTGGATAAAGAAAATGTGGTACAGATACACTATGGAATACTATGCAGCCATAAAAAAGAACAAGATAATGTCTTTTTTCAAAACATGCATGGAGCTGGAGGCTGTTATTATTAGCAAACTAATGCAGGAACAGAAAACCAAATACTGCATGTTCTCACTTATAAGTGAGAGCTAAATGATGAGAACTCATGAACACAAACAAGGAAACAACAGACACTGGAGTCTACTTGAAGGTGGACGGTGTCAGAGAAGGGAGAGGAGCAGCGAAGAGAATCACTGGGTACTGGGCTTAATTCCTGGGTGGTGAAATAATCTGTACAACAAACCCTTGTTACATGAGTTTACCTATGTAACAAACCTTCACATGCACTGCTGAAACTAAAATACAAGTAAAAAAAAAAAAAAGATGGGTAATCTGTACTATTGGTGCTCTTTTTTTTTTTTTTTTTTTGGAGATGGAGTTTCATTCTTATTGGCCATGGTGAAGTGCAATGGCACAATCTTGGCCCACCGCAACCTCTGCCTCCCAGGTTCAAGCAATTCTCCTGCCTCAGCTTCCCATGTGGCTGGGATTACAGGCATGCATCACCACTCCCAGCTAATTTTTTGTATTTAGTGGAGATGGGGTTTCATCATGTTGGTCAGGCTGGTCTCGAACTTTTGACTTCAGATGATCCATCTGCCTCATCCTCCCAAAGTGCTGGGATTACAGGCATGAGCCACCACGCCTGGCCTACTATTGGTGTTCTTTATGCTGCCTCAGTTAAGGTTGGTTTCAGAAGCAGAGTCAAGACTGGGTTGTGATGAGGTGGGGTCTTTCATTTGGGATAGTTGTGAGAGCCAGAGAAGGTGGGAAAAGGAATAAAAAGCAGTGTATGGACCCACCTCCTCGACCCTCACTGTCTCAAGGCACCATGATGAAGAGCTCCTACTGCACTGAGTGTACAGCCTGGTTAGGTGCTAGCCCAGCACCTACTAGAAGTAACTCCTGATTCTAGGCAAGTCATTCCCCCTTCTAGAAATTGTTCTCAACTTGCGTGCTTTATATTGGGTTGGTGCAAAAGTAATTGCGGTTTTTCCCACCAAAAGTAATTTAAAAAGTTAATATTTTAAAAGTTCAAATTTAAAACTAATTTTAAAATTAAAAGTAAGTTTTTTTTTTTTTGGATGTCAGGTAAGTTTATTGAATCATTATTTTAAAAATCTTATTTGCTTACTCACAGAGCCTATTTTTTCAGAAGTCTTAATAATCACATTTTACATGCTTACAAATGCTTGCTGGTGTCAGGCTCTGCTCTATGAATTCCACATGTACAGCTCATTCATTCTTGTAGCAGTCCCAGGAGGAATGGCTTCTTGCTTTCTCCATTTCACTTTTTTTTTTTTTTTTTAATTATACTTTCAGTTTTAGGGTACGTGTGCACAATGTGCAGGTTAGTTACATATGTATACATGTGCCATGCTGGTGGGCTGCACCCACGAACTCGTCATCTAGCATTAGGTATATCTCCCGATGCTATCCCTCCCCCCTCCCCCCACCCCACAACAGTCCCCAGAGTGTGATATTCCCCTTCCTGTGTCCATGTGATCTCATTGTTCAGTTCCCACCTATGAGTGAGAATATGCGGTGTTTGGTTTTTTGTTCTTGCGATAGTTTACTGAGAATGATGATTTCCAATTTCATCCATGTCCCTACAAAGGACATGAACTCATCATTTTTTATGGCTGCATAGTATTCCATGGTGTATATGTGCCACATTTTCTTAATCCAGTCTATCACTGTTGGACATTTGGGTTGGTTCCAACTCTTTGCTATTGTGAATAATGCCACAATAAACATATGTGTGCATGTGTCTTTATAGCAGCATGATTTATAGTCCTTTGGGTATATACCCAGTAATGGGATGGCTGGGTCAAATGGTATTTCCAGTTGTAGATCCCTGAGGAATCGCCACACTGACTTCCACAATGGTTGAACTAGTTTACAGTCCCACCAACAGTGTAAGTGTTCCTATTTCTCCACATCCTCTCCAGCACCTGTTGTTTCCTGACTTTTTAATGATTGCCATTCTAACTGGTGTGAGATGGTATCTCATTGTGGTTTTGATTTGCATTTCTCTGATGGCCAGTGATGATGAACATTTTTTCATGTGTTTTTTGGCTGCATAAATGTCTTCTTTTGAGAAGTGTCTGTTCATGTCCTTTGCCCACTTTTTGATGGGGTTGTTTGTTTTTTCTTGTAAATTTGTTTGAGTTCATTGTAGATTCTGGATATTAGCCCTTTGTCAGATGAGTAGGTTGTGAAAATTTTCTCCCATTTTGTAGGTTGCCTGTTCACTCTGATGGTAGCTTCTTTTGCTGTGCAGAAGCTCTTTAGTTTAATTAGATCCCATTTGTCAATTTTGTCTTTTGTTGCCATTGCTTTTGGTGTTTTGGATATGAAGTCCTTGCCCATGCCTATGTCCTGAATGGTAATGACTAGGTTTTCTTCTAGGGTTTTTATGGTTTTAGGTCTAATATTTAAGTCTTTAATCCATCTTGAATTGATTTTTGTATAAGGTGTAAGGAAGAGATCCAGTTTCAGCTTTCTCCATATGGCTAGCCAGTTTTCCCAGCACCATTTATTAAATAGGGAATCCTGTCCCCATTGCTTGTTTTTCTCAGGTTTGTCAAAGATCAGATAGTTGTAGATATGCGGCGTTATTTCTGAGGGCTCTGTTCTGTTCCATTGGTCTATATCTCTGTTTTGGTACCAGTACCATGCTGTTTTGGTTACTGTAGCCTTGTAGTATAGTTTCAAGTCAGGTAGTGTGATGCCTCCAGCTTTGTTCTTTTGGCTTAGGATTGACTTGGCGATGCGGGCTCTTTTTTGGTTCCATATGAACTTTAAAGTAGTTTTTTCCAATTCTGTGAAGAAAGTCATTGGCAGCTTGATGGGGATGGCATTGAATCTGTAAATTACCTTGGGCAGTATGGCCATTTTCACGATATTGATTCTTCCTATCCATGAGCATGGAATGTTCTTCCATTTATTTGTATCCTCTTTTATTTCCTTGAGCAGTGGTTTGTAGTTCTCCTTGAAGAGGTCCTTCACATCCCTTGTAAGTTGGATTCCTAGGTATTTTATTATCTTTGAAGCAATTGTGAATGGGAGTTCACTCATGATTTGGCTCTCTGTTTGTCTGTTGTTGGTGTATAAGAATGCTTGTGATTTTTGTACATTGATTTTGTATCCTGAGACTTTGCTGAAATTGCTTATCAGCTTAAGGAGATTTTGGGCTGAGACAATGGGGTTTTCTAGATATACAATCATGTCATCTGCAAACAGGGACAATTTGACTTCCTCTTTTCCTAATCGAATACCCTTTATTTCCTTCTCCTGCCTAATTGCCCTGGCCAGAACTTCCAACACTATGTTGAATAGTAGTGGTGAGAGAGGGCATCCCTGTGTTGTGCCAGTTTTCAAAGGGAATGCTTCCAGTTTTTGCCCATTCAGTATGATATTGGCTGTGGGTTTTTCATAGATAGCTTTTATTATTTTGAAATACGTCCCATCAATACCTAATTTATTGAGAGTTTTTAGCATGAAGGGTTGTTGAATTTTGTCAAAGGCTTTTTCTGCATCTATTGAGATAATCATGTGGTTTTTGTCTTTGGCTCTGTTTATATGCTGGATTACATTTATTGATTTGTGTATATTGAACCAGCCTTGCATCCCAGGGATGAAGTCCACTTGATCATGGTGGATAAGCTTTTTGATGTGCTGCTGGATTCGTTTTGCCAGTATTTTATTGAGGATTTTTGCATCAGTGTTCATCAAGGATATTGGTCTAAAATTCTCTTTTTTGGTTGTGTCTCTGCCTGGCTTTGGTATCAGAATGATGCTGGCCTCATAAAATGAGTTAGGGAGGATTCCCTCTTTTTCTATTGATTGGAATAGTTTCAGAAGGAATGGTACCAGTTCCTCCTTGTACCTCTGGTAGAATTCGGCTGTGAATCCATCTGGTCCTGGACTCTTTTTGGTTGGTAAGCTATTGATTATTGCCACAATTTCAGATCCTGTTATTGGTCTATTCAGGGATTCAACTTCTTCCTGGTTTAGTCTTGGGGGAGTGTATGTGTCGAGGAATTTATCCATTTCTTCTAGATTTTCTAGTTTATTTGCGTAGAGGTGTTTGTAGTATTCTCTGATGGTAGTTTGTATTTCTGTGGGATTGGTGGTGATATCCCCTTTATCATTTTTTATTGCATCTACTTGATTCATCTCTCTTTTTTTCTTTATTAGTCTTGCTAGCGGTCTAGGAATTTTGTTGATCCTTTCAAAAAACCAGCTCCTGGATTCACTAATTTTTTGAAGGGTTTTTTGTGTCTCTATTTCCTTGAGTTCTGCTCTGACTTTAGTTATTTGTTGCCTTCTGCTAGCTTTTGAATGTGTTTGCTCTTGCTTTTCTAGTTCTTTTAATTGTGATGTTAGGGTGTCAATTTTGGATCTTTCCTGCTTTCTCTTGTGGGCATTTAGTGCTATAAATTTCCCTCTATACACTGCTTTGAATGCATCCCAGAGATTCTGGTATGTTGTGTCTTTGTTCTCGTTGGTTTCAAAGAACATCTTTATTTCTGCCTTCATTTCGTTATGTACCCAGTAGTCATTCAGGAGCAGGTTGTTCAGTTTCCATGTAGTTGAGCGGTTTTGAGTGAGATTCTTAATCCTGAGTTCTAGTTTGATTGCACTGTGGTCTGAGAGATAGTTTGTTATAATTTCTGTTCTTTTCCATTTGCTGAGGAGAGCTTTACTTCCCAGTATGTGGTCAATTTTGGAATAGGTGTGGTGTGGTGCTGAAAAAAATGTATATTCTGTTGATTTGGGGTGGAGAGTTCTGTAGATGTCTATTAGGTCTGCTTGGTGCAGAGCTGAGTTCAATTCCTGGGTATCCTTGTTGACTTTCCATCTCGTTGATCTGTCTAATGTTGACAGTGGGGTGTTAAAGTCTCCCATTATTAATGTGTGGGAGTCTAAGTCTCTTTGTAGGTCACTCAGGACTTGCTTTGTGAATCTTGGTGCTCCTGTATTAGGTGCATATATATTTAGGATAGTTAGCTCTTCTTGTTGAATTGATCCCTTTACCTTTATGTAATGGCCTTCTTTTCTCTTTTGATCTTTGTTGGTTTAAAGTCTGTTTTATCAGAGACTAGGATTGCAACCCCTGCCTTTTTTTGTTTTCCATTGGCTTGGTAGATCTTCCTCTATCCTTTTATTTTGAGCCTATGTGTGTCTCTGCACGTGAGATGGGTTTCCTGAATACAGCACACTGATGGGTCTTGACTCTTTATCCAATTTGCCAGTCTGTGTCTTTTAATTGGAGCATTTAGTCCATTTACATTTAAAGTTAGTATTGTTATGTGTGAATTTGATCCTGTCATTATGATGTTAGCTGGTTATTTTGCTCGTTAGTTGATGCAGTTTCTTCCTAGTCTCGATGGTCTTTACATTTTGGCATGATTTTGCAGCGGCTGGTACTGGTTGTTCCTTTCCATGTTTAGTGCTTCCTTCAGGAGCTCTTGTAAGGCAGGCCTGGTGGTGACAAAATCTCTCAGCATTTGCTTGTCTGTAAAGTATTTTATTTCTCCTTCACTTATGAAGCTTAGTTTGGCTGGATATGAAATTCTGGGTTGAAAATTCTTTTCTTTAAGAATGTTGAATATTGGCCCCCACTCTCTTCTGGCTTGTAGGGTTTCTGCCGAGAGATCTGCTGTTAGTCTGATGGGCTTCCCTTTGAGGGTAACCCGACCTTTCTCTCTGGCTGCCCTTAACATTTTTTCCTTCATTTCAACTTTGGTGAATCTGACAATTATGTGTCTTGGAGTTGCTCTTCTCGAGGAGTATATTTGTGGTGTTATCTGTATTTCCTGAATCTGAACGTTGGCCTGCCTTGCTAGATTGGGGAAGTTCTCCTGGATAATATCCTGCAGAGTGTTTTCCAACTTGGTTCCATTCTCCCCATCACTTTCAGGTACACCAATCAGACGTAGATTTGGTCTTTTCACATAGTCCCATATTTCTTGGAGGCTTTGCTCATTTCTTTTTATTCTTTTTTCTCTAAACTTCGCTTCTCACTTCATTTCATTCATTTCATCTTCCATCGCTGATACCCTTTCTTCCAGTTGATCGCATCGGCTCCTGAGGCTTCTGCATTCTTCACATAGTTCTCGAGCCTTGGTTTTCAGCTCCATCAGCTCCTTTAAGCACTTCTCTGTATTGGTTATTCTAGTTATACATTCTTCTAAATTTTTTTCAAAGTTTTCAACTTCTTTGCCTTTGGTTCGAATGTCCTCCCGTAGCTCAGAGTAATTTGATCGTCTGAAGCCTTCTTCTCTCAGCTCGTCAAAGTCATTCTCCATCCAGCTTTGTTCCGTTGCTGGTGAGGAACTGCGTTCCTTTGGAGGAAGAGAGGCGCTCTGCTTTTTAGAGTTTCCAGTTTTTCTGTTCTGTTTTTTCCCCATCTTTGTGGTTTTATCTACTTTTGGTCTTTGATGATGGTGATGTCCAGATGGGTTTTTGGTGTGGATGTCCTTTCTGTTTGTTAGTTTTCCTTCTAACAGAGAGGACCCTCAGCTGCAGGTCTGTTGGAATACCCTGCCGTGTGAGGTGTCAGTGTGCCCCTGCTGGGGGGTGCCTCCCAGTTAGGCTGCCCGGGGGTCAGGGGTCAGGGATCAGGGACCCACTTGAGGAGGCAGTCTGCCCATTCTCCGATCTCCAGCTGCGTGCTGGGAGAACCACTGCTCTCTTCAAAGCTGTCAGACAGGGACATTTAAGTCTGCAGAGGTTACTGCTGTCTTTTTGTTAGTCTGTGCCCTGCCCCCAGAGGTGGAGCCTACAGAGGCAGGCAGGCCTCCTTGAGCTGTGGTGGGCTCCACCCAGTTGGAGCTTCCTGGCTGCTTTGTTTACCTAATCAAGCCTGGGCAATGGCAGGCGCCCCTCCCCCAGCCTTGCTGCCGCCTTGCAGTTTGATCTCAGACTGCTGTGCTAGCAATCAGCGAGACTCCGTGGGTGTAGGACCCTCCGAGCCAGGTGCGGGATATAATCTTGTGGTGCTCCGTTTTTTAAGCCCGTTGGAAAAGCGCAGTATTCGGGGGGAGTGACCCGATTTTCCAGGTGCCGTCTGTCACCCCTTTCTTTGACTCAGAAAGGGAACTCACTGACCCCTTGCACTTCCCAAGTGAGGCAATGCCTCGCCCTGCTTCGGCTCGCGCACAGTGCGCGCACCCACTGACCTGTGCCTGCTGTCTGGCACTTCCTAGTGAGATGAACCCGGTACCTACGATGGAAGTGCAGAAGTCACCCGTCTTCTGCGTCGCTCACGCTGGGAGCTGTAGACCAGAGCTGTTCCTATTCGGCCATCTTCAAAAGTAAGTTTTTAAAAAACCTGCATGCGATACAATAAGATTTCTATAAATAAGGATATTGGAATAAAGGTAAAATACAGCTGGAATGCTAGGGTTTAGGTAGAGACATTTAGGTAGTAGAATGCACCCCCTAAAGCCCTATAATTTTTACCTTGTTCTGAGCTTCCTGAGAACTAAAGAAAAGTAAGACAGGGTTGGTTATATGATTCATGTCATCTATAAGCTAAAAATAAATCAGTTGATCTCCACAGTGGAGATCAAGATTGCATTAGATTAGGTCTGCCATGACAAAGTACCACAAACTGGGTGGCTCCAAACAGTAGAAGTGTATTTTATCACAATTCTGGAGGCTAAAGCTCTGAAAGCAAGATGTTGGGAAAACCAAGCTCTCTCTGAAATTTGCAGTGGAGAATCCTTCCTTGTCTCTTTTTAGCTGCTGGTGGTTCTTGGCATCCCTTGGCTTGTAGAAGCATCATCCCACTCCCTCCTTCATCTTCACATGATGTTCTCATTGCAGGTGTCCACATTTTCTCTTTTTACAATAACACTGGTTATTTTGGACTAGAGGCCCACCCTACTTCAGCATGTCTCCCTCTTAATTAATTACATCTGCAATGACCCTGTTTCCAAATAAAATCACATTCTGAGGTATTGGAGGTTAGAACTTCAAAGTGTGGGAACAATTTTTAACCCATGACAAGGATTAAGAAGGTTATGAGTGTAGGCTATGAGGCCAGACTGTCTTGCTGAAATCCAGACTCTAATACTTCTTAGCTGTGTGACCTCAGACAGTTTACTTCACCTCTCTGTGTCTTCATCTCCTAATTTGTAAAATGACATTCTTAAGGACATTTAACTCATGGATTTTTGTGAGAACTAACTGAAATAATATATGTAAAGTGATTGAAAAGTTGCTTAACACATAGAATGCACTCTATTCGCATCACACAGGTTGATAAAGACCAGGGGTCATTTCCAAGTTCATACTGCTACTGTGTGGTAAAAATGCATTTTGGGCCTTGGGCTTTCTCAGTGTAAACAAATGTATTTTCCTTTATATTCCAGCTTAGTTGATTGCTTTTGATATATTAGAATACATATGTATTCTAATTATATCTATATTATAAATATAGATATTTTAAAGACTGATGAAAGAAGAGAAGGAAAGAAAAAGGAAGGGAAAGAAGGAAGGAAGGAAGGAAGGAAAGAAAGAAAGAAAGAAAGAAAGAAAGAAAGAAAGAAAGAAAGAAAGAAAAAATGAAAGAAAGAAAGGAAGGAAGGAAAAGAAAGAAAGACAGAAGAAAGAAAGAAAAAGAAAGAAGAAAGAAAGAAAGAAAACTAGTTCCTTAAGAAAGTAGTGAATTGAATAAAGGCAGTTGTAAAATTAGCGCCAAAAGTAGTTGAACTATTGGTAAAAGACAATTAACCACCAACACACTACATAATCTGAAACTCTTGAGAATGGCTATTTTTTTTTCTGCTTTGTTCACTAATAAATTCTTGCTACTCAGAACAATGCCTGGCACAAAATAGATACCTAAGAAATATGTACTGAGCCCTGAATGTAAATGTGGAACTACTTTACAAATGGGCATATGCTTTAATCAAGAAATCTTGCTCTTAGTGATTTTCTTTAAGGAAACAATGAAAGCTAAGGAAAGGTTTAGTTATATTAATTTTTACTGAAGGATTGTATATAAAGCAAAAATGTTGGCAGCACCCTAAATGTACGTTAACAGGAAACAAGTTAAATAGATGACAGACCTGGAGTGATAAGATGGTATACCATCTCCAGCAGGGAAAATAATGGCTCCAAAGATGCCCCTGTCCTAATCTCCAGAACCCGTGACTTTGAAGATTTGATTAAGGTTAAAAAGCTTGAAACAGAGAAATTATCTTGGATTATGCAGGAGGGCCCAATCTAATTGCATATATCTCTAAAAGTGAAGAACGTTCCTGGGTGTGATCAGAGTAAGAGGTGATGGCGGAGGAAAGTCAGATAAATGCTACTTTGCTGGCCTTGAGGAAGGGGAAGGGGCATTAAGTCCGTTAATACAGATGGCCTCTAGAAACTAGAGAAGGCAAGGAGACAGATTCTTCCCTAGAGCTTCTGAAAGGAATGCAGCCCTGCTGACACGTTGATTTTAGCCCTGTGAGAACGATGTCAGATTCCTCACCCATAGGACTGTAAGAGAATAAATATATTTTTATTTAAGCCACGAAGTGTGTGGTCATTTGGTACAGCAGCAACAGGAAACTCATGCAGCATTCAAAGCTTTCTCATAACTAAGTAGGGCAGGAGCCTCACATAGATGCCTACAGCAGCCAAGCAGTTACATGCAATTGTGAGTCTGGACTATGATAAAACAGTAAATGATAAGCTTTTAAAATTGATACCAAGTCTGCCACATGCTGTCCAGTTACTTAGTCTGTCAAGATACTATGCAAAAAAACAGAAAAATAACTGTGAGCCATGCATCTCTAACCTCTACTGTAGTGGAAAATTTATGAGCATGAGCGAATGCTCACAATATATTTTTAAAGAAAAGTAGCTGCTTTTAAAATAGCAGATGCAGTAGAATTTTTTTTTAATCTTGTAATTGTATTTACATAGAAAAAGATTTGGAAGGATATGATCTCACACAGTAATCGTCTGGGAGGATAAGACAAGTTTTAATTTTTTTTGCTTCTCTGTATATTTTAATTTCTTTATAATGGGTGTATATCATTTTAAATATAAACTACAAGTTAAATAGAGAAAGGGGAGGTGAATCACCCCAACCTGGCAGAGTAGGCAGTGGACCAGCTTGCCTGACCTGACAATCTCAGTGTGAGCTGCATTCCAGGCTGTCACCAATTATTCCCTTCTCTCCTGGGTGCTGGTGACAATTGCTTTTGGTGCCATTTCAGCCATGCCTTATTCATTCTTCTTTGGGGCCAATTCACTTAAAAGTGTGCTGACCCCACAGAAAAGCTAGTGCTCTCAAACTACCTCCCTGGAGAAGCTCCACATTGCAGCTATGAAACAGGACTGTGCAAAACTCATAAATCTCCCACCTTTTTGAATTAACAATTCTGCAGGGTAGCAAATACAATACATATTAACTGGGTCACGTCATCTATCTCAAAGGGCTGAAAACAACAGAATTGAAACCAGAGACCTGAATGAAATCTTTCCTGTGACCATTCACTGTCTGCTTCACTATCCCTCCTCCCCACCTCACTCTACTGCTCAGCTTCTTTCAAGACCTAGTGGAGGAAAAGGTGAGGTCAGGAGGCAGAGAGACCTGGGATGGGACCCTAGCTTCACCCCTTGCCAGGCGGTGGCCTTGGACAAGCTCTGATCTTGCTAACATTCAACTTCTTCATCTGTCAAAAGGGTTGGTTATATTTACTTCTAAGTTTATTATGGAGATTAAATACATGGGAAGAATTTAGCACAATGAGCACATTGTAAACACACGACATGTGATCACTTATTAATTATTCATTATTTTTATTGTTATCATCATTGTTGTACAGTTTATCTCTCTGGATGACTTCCTAGAAAATATCACCCCCAAATGTAGATTGGCTTCTGAAGATGGCTTGTTTCATGGTCTGTGGAAATATTAAACACAAATATAATGTGCTTTTTTTCTCACCCAACAACAATCAGCAATAGACTTCTGTGACCCCCAAATGTGTGGGGATTTCTCTCTCCCAAAAAGCAAACAATTAATTCCGCAGCAGATACCAGCTGGTTGTCCTCCAATTAAACTTCAACGCTATCTACCTGGAGATACTAGCTGGGTGTCCTCCAATTCAACTCCCAACACTATCTACTGATTGACTTTAAGTTTGGTTCCCCACAACTCCCTCTTTGCATTCAGTTAGTTTTCTGGGGTGGTTCACAGAACTCAGGGAAACACATCTGCCAGATTATTATAAAGGATATTGCAAAGGATACAGATGAACAGATGCACAGGACGAGGCATGGGGGAAGAAATGTGGAGCTTCCATGCCCTCCCTGGGAGCACCACCCTCCAGGAACCTCCACCCATATGTGTTCAGCTATCCAGAAGCTCTTCATACACTGCCCCCATGGGCCTTTTATGGAAACGTCACTGGATAGGCACAATTGATAACTGTGTAGAAAGGTGATTAGAATAAAAGGGAATGAAGTAATAATACTAGATTGGGTGGGGAAACGCTGCATGACATATCTGTTCAGATTTATCTTGGCCTGTCTGTGCAGTTATCCTTTCTCTAGGACACGGGACAGGGCTGCTTCTGAAATGAGGGTCATATGATTCATAGTCAGAATGGTGGGAAAAGATTAGAGTCTTTCCTTGGACTGGTGAAAGGAGGGCAGGGGAAAGTCAGATATTCTTGTGTTTTCTGAGTCCTGCTTCTGAAGCCTAAAGCACACCAACATTTTAACAAAAGACTGTAATAAGGGCTAGGGCTGTGGGAGGTGTGAGCCAGGAACCATGGATAGAAAACAATATATGTATTGCAACATTATACATGGGAAATGTTAGTTATTGTTTACATATTTAGTTACATATTTAATACATAATAATATTGCCTATAATACATAATCATATAATACATAACAATATTTTAACATATTAATACATAATAATGAACACCAATGTTTATGTATTTAACTCAACAAAATGCCAAGATGATATTAATATAGCATATGGTATATAAGAACATTGTTATTGAGAAAATTGAGACAAAGGAAAAAAAAATAGGATAGGAAAATAGCCTAAGCTATTGGTCCCTGCCCAAAATGGCTCATTCCCAAAAGGGGACTGAATGGTTGCTAGTCTTGTAATTCTGTATACTTGCTAAAGATACGCTGCAAATTCTTTTCTAAATTTATCAGTGGCCAAAGAAGAGAAAGACATTAAGTTAGAAGAATCCCAGAGATCATCTCATATAAACCAATGAATGAGCTGATTAGAAGAGTCATGGATTTCTCTTTTGTGGTAGTGAAGCTTAAAAAAAATTCTCTCATAATAATAATAAAATAAAATAAAAAATTCTCTCATGTGCTGTAAGGACAGGGATCCTGATTAAATGAACAATATTTTCCACCAGCTCAACAATAAATAAAACGTGTCACTTTTTGAACGAAAGAATATATGGACAAATGCAATTCTTTAAGGGGCGTGATCATGCTGTCCTGGAATGCATTTCTCAATGAACTGACTTGGTCCAGCAGCACAATTTAGAATATCACAAGAAATGACTGGGTTCTCCACCCACGGGGTACATTATCTCGAATCTAAAAGAGAATGGTGCTCAGCATTTAACAAAAAGTTCAAGTCACATCTCAGTCACTCAATGGTCTTGTGCCTTGAAGTCGCTGAACATTTTTGAGCTTCTGTTTCCTGACCTTCAAACTGGAGAAACAAATAGTATAAGGTTATGTCCTTTCTGAGAGTAGTGTGAGAAATAAATCCAATTTTAAAAATAAAGTACAGAATATGTAGTAGTTGTTCAATAAATAATAGATCTATCTTTCTTCTACAATTTCCTAACCCTTCAGTCATTAAAAAAAAAAAAGTCACTGCAGATGAGCATGAAACTTATTTCACAGACTTTTAGGAAATACCAAATGAGACCAAGAAGGTGAAAATATTTCTGACCAAGGAAACATTGAAACCAACCATCCTGCGGCTTCATTCTCACAACCGAGGCCCTTACAGTCACTTACATAAAGCCATCTGTGTCTCCGTTTCCTCATTTGCATAGCAGAGATAATTAGAATACCTACACCTTAGGCTTATTGCAAGAATGAATTGGATCACCACTCTTCAACATTTAGTTGCTGCTGGATATAAGAACGGCATTCTTGGGAAATCGCTCTTGAAATCTCAGGGAGTGAGAAATTAAATAGATTTCTGCTATAATGTGGCAGAATGGAGACCACATTACACCAGAAAATGATGCAGAATTGAAAATAATGGGATGTCAAAAATGCACATTGTCAGCAAATGCACAAATAAATTATTCAGTTTCAAGGCATCATATTATTCCAGAAATTGTAGTGATGTTTTGGTGATATTGCAGGTGATTTTGTTAATATGTTAGAGAGAAACCTTCATATTTTACAGCACATTATGTTGCAGTTTACAGAATGACTTCTTTATTTTGACTTGGAAAGCTAAGTAGGTCATTGAAATTTTGTAAGTGAGCGTGGAAACCGCATAAGCCCGTCGCAGTTACGTGATAAGACCCTGTGAACTGTGCCTGCCGCCAGCAACAGAGCTCTTCGCAGACTCAGCACTTTTTACCAGTGAAAACTGCTGAACTCACTCATTTTCATCTTCAACAAACATTTATTGAATACAGGTTATGTACCAGAGACTGTTGTTGTCGGATCTGGGGATGCAGACATTAATCAGGCTGCCCTCTGCCTTTGAGGATAGTAACTTCCAGTGTGGGAGGCCTCCATAGAGGATCATTTCAATCCACGGCCCATTCTATCACACTGACTCCCTGTTTCCACCTGGGGCTCAAGGCTAACTGGGTGACTACAGATGGCATATTCTATTTTGCTTTTATAATTATGTACCCACTAGACTATAAGCTCTACGAGAACAGGGATTTTGTCTGTATCCATCAGCATCCCACTTGGAGCTGACTCTCGAGATGTTAAATGAACTTATGTGCCAATCACAACATGCACTTTTCTTAACAATATTGCAAAGTTGGGTTCATTCTGAGTCATGGCGAGGATCCACGCCAAGGCCTACACAGGCGATAAGCGTTAGAGCAGGAATGCAAACCAGGTCTTCTGGGCTTCCAGAGTTGAAAGCCATTGCAAGCTGTTCTTGTTTTTAAGAGGAAAAGTTGCCAAGACTTCCAACAGGGACTTCAGACCCAGCACTGAACAAGGCATGTTTCCCCAGTGCCAACCCCTCCCTTCAGTGAATGACATCATCATGATCAAGTTGAGTAAATCAGGAAGTTGGGAATTAGCCTAAACCTCATTTCTCTCTCCTTACCCCAGTCAGCCACTAGATCCTGCTGATGCTGTGCCCGAATATCTCTTACCCCAGCCTCCCTGTGCTATTCCTTCCTTTGCGGCCCAAGCTGCTATCTGCTCTCATGAAGACTGTTGCAAATAGCTTCCAAACTGTTCTCTTCTCTTCCAACCTCTCTCCCTCCATGCTCTTCCACAGGCCTTGTATTTAAAAGTGTAAATCAAATCCTATCCCTTCTTGCCTGAGGCTTCTTGCGGCTCCTGTAATCATCAGAATGAAGTCTGAAGAGTCTCATCTGGAGAACAAAATCCTTTGTTGATACAACCCTTGCTACCTTGTTCTAACTCTCCTCAGGTTTTATCTCTGCCTCCAGTGTCCTGTATTCGAGTTACCCAGGCTCACTTCTAGTTCCTGAATGTGCCCAAAGGGCTCACACTGCCTAGCCTTCGCTTGACATTTTATCCTTTCAAAATGTTTTCCCCACCTGTCCATCCAGAGACTCCTAAATGTTTTTGGTTAATTACACAGACAGGGACAAACTCCTGAGTTCCCCAGTTTGAATCCCAATTGTTTGTATAACCTTGGGCAGCTCACTTTACCTCTTGTGCCTTTACTTCTCTATCTGCCAAAGCGAGATAATAGTTTATCTACTATTCATACAATTCTTGTGAGGGCTAATAGGGTGAACATGTGCAAAGCACTTAGAACTGCAACTGTCCCGTGGAAGGCATGGTATTTACCGTACCCAGAGTGTGGTACCTGGAGCAGAAACATCAGCATCACCTGAGAGCTTGATAAAAATGCAAATTCTCTGACCCTGCCAAGACCTACTAAATCAGTCACTCTGGGCATGCGGCCCAGCAAACTGTGTTTTAATAATCCCTCTGGGTGATTCTGATAGTGCCTAGGATTTGAGAACCACTGCACTATGTAGCATGTTAGGCACTAGTATTGATATCAGTACAGTATCTCTAACAGTATCAGTATCAGCGTGAGTGTTAGTATTAATATTGCTATGAATGTTGCCTATGTTTCAAGGTACAGATGTTCTCTGGGGTATACATGCACTAGCTAAGCTTCTGGCTTGTTTCTTACAATGCCAGTGCAAGTTTAAATGGATAGGTCAATTGCCCTGTTGTTTACCAAAGTGCCTATAAAAATTTATACTCACACAGCAGAGTGTGTAAGATTTCCTGATGATTTGCATTTTCATCAGCCCCAGATAATGAAAGGCTTTTAAATTTTGTCAATCTGGTAAATGCAAAATCATATATCTTTGTGTTTCTACTTTACATGTATTTGATGAATTATGACACTAAGTATCTTTTCAAATATGTGTATTTCCTCATTTGAGAAGTTTCTGTTCATAGCTGTCACAAGTTTTTGGCCTTTTTAAAATTATTTATTTGTATATAACATTCATATTCAGAAAATTTATGTGATGTGAGGTTTAAATGAAAAGTGTATATAAAGAGCTTAGAATAGGGAATATGACAAGTATAATTTAAGTGTTGATCATTTAATAATAATATTTAATATTCTAGCTTTATAAATGGGTCATTTTTATTAATTTTTATATCACATGGATATATCATGAATGTTTTTATCTGCATCTGTTGATATAACCATATTTTTCTCTTTTAATACATTAATATAACTAAGTACAATAATAGATTATCTAATGTTGAATTAACCTTGAATTTCTAGAATAAATCTTATTTGGTCACAGCATATTTTTATACAATACTGCATGTAGTTTCTTAATATTTACTTAGGATTATGTAAAACCATTAGGGTCTGGCAATTTATTGGCAGAGATCATAACTATTCATTTATTTTTAAAACAATAGAGTTATTTTGTTATTTTATCATTTCTTAATGTTTATAAATAATGAGATCACTGATTTTTTTTTACTTTCTTAGTTTTGAAAGTTTATTTACATATACACACATACCCGTACACATATTTGTATATATATGCATACATATACACACATATATCCCAATATTAAAAATTTGTTACCTAAATTTTGAAACGTATCAGGGTAAATGTTTTTCTAAATTTCCTAATCCTCACAAAGCCTGTTTATAATTTTAGTCACCAATGCACGTATATAATTCCAGATTATTTCTTAATGCTAACTTTTCATTACTAGTCCTTTAAATTATGCTATTACTTTTTTTTCTTAAATCTCACCAAATGATTGTCTTAATTTTCATTTTTTTGTCAGAGTACTGATACTTCTTTTGGTGATTTTTCTCATCGTTCATTTGGACTTTCACATTTTTCATTACCTTTGTTCATCTCTTTAGTTATATTGACTTCTAAATTTGGAAGTTTATTCTGTTAATTCCCTATTTCTTCTTTTTAATAGAACCTTTTAGAGCTGTATACTTCCTCCTGAGTACTGTTTTAGAAAAATTCTACAAAAATAATTTTTATATTTAAATTCTAAGTGTTTTATAATTTTTATGACATCATTATATTTAGTATACATTTCAAAGCATGTGTGTGTGTCTGCATGTCATGAACTACTAAATGTTGGAGTTTAAAGTCACTGCAATTTAGTGGCAGTAACTGGAGTGGTGAGAGGCAGGAGCCTGGAGCGAGACTGCTGGCATTGGAATCCTAACTCTCTACTCCTCAGCTGCATAACCCTGGGAAGACATTGTAAGACATTTCTCCTTTTTTGGCCTCAGTTTCATTAACTACAAAATAGAGTTGTCATGAGGTCTCAGTAAGTGTATACAAGTGCTTAGAACAGTGGTCGGCACATACTGAGTTTCATATAACTGCTACTATATTGTTACTTATTTTGTGTGGTCAAAAAATGTTACCTGTATGTTATTCTTTGAAACTGAAGAGACTGTTGCTTTATAATTTAGTAGTAGATCAGTTTTCATGAATGTTTCCTGTGTGTTTATCAATGATCTAACTCTTTTTTTTTCTCCCAAACCCTGTGATTTCTCCTCTTCACATTTAGCCCATTCAAATTCAGACACTAGGTCACCAGGCATCCGTGGGGTCCTTCTCCACCCTGTCATGTCAGTGCAGATACTGTGTTCACTCCACCCCCAGACGCACACTGTCTTATCACTGTTGCCCACTGGAGATCAATTGCCTTTACTCTGATACCAACTCATCCATGCATTTTAAATATTTACTATATTTTATCAAGCATTTTTAGGTTTGGCATGTTAGGAGGGACTTCTATGAACATGGAAAATATACGATCCAAAATATAGGAGAATGAGAACTCTTTTTTTTTTTTTTGCCATAAGAGAAATGCAATTTATTTATTTATTTATTTTTAATTTATTTTTTTATTATTATACTCTAAGTTTTAGGGTACATGTGCACAATGTACAGGTTAGTTACATATGTATACATGTGCCATGCTGGTGCGCTGCACCCACTAACTCGTCATCTAGCATTAGGTATATCTCCCAATGCTATCCCTCCCCCCACAACCCCACAACAGTCCCCAGAGTGTGATGTTCCCCTTCCTGTGTCCATGTGTTCTCATTGTTCAATTCCCACCTATGAGTGAGAATATGTGGTGTTTGGTTTTTTGTTCTTGCGATAGTTTACTGAGAATGATGATTTCCAATTTCATCCATGTCCCTACAAAGGACATGAACTCATCATTTTTTATGGCTGCATAGGATTCCATGGTGTATATGTGCCACATTTTCTTAATCCAGTCTATCATTGTTGGACATTTGGGTTGGTTCCAAGTCTTTGCTATTGTGAATAATGCCGCAATAAACATACGTGTGCATGTGTCTTTATAGCAGCATGATTTATAGTCCTTTGGGTATATACCCAGTAATGGGATGGCTGGGTCAAATGGTATTTCTAGTTCTAGATCCCTGAGGAATTGCCACATTGACACCCTAACATCACAATTAAAAGAACTAGAAAAGCAAGAGCAAACACATTCAAAAGCTAGCAGAAGGCAGGAAATAACTAAAATCAGAGCAGAACTGAAGGAAATAGAGACACAAAAAACCCTTCAAAAAATTAATGAATCCAGGAGCTGGTTTTTTGAAAGGATCAACAAAATTGATAAACCGCTAGCAAGACTAATAAAGAAAAAAAGAGAGAAGAATCAAATAGGTGCAATAAAAAATGATAAAGGGGATATCACCACCGATCCCACAGAAATACAAACTACCATCAGAGAATACTACAAACACCTCCATGCAAATAAACTAGAAAATCTAGAAGAAATGGATAAATTCCTCGACACATACACTCCCCCAAGACTAAACCAGGAAGAAGTTGAATCTCTGAATAGACCAATAACAGGATCTGAAATTGTGGCAATAATCAATAGCTTACCAACCAAAAAGAGTCCAGGACCAGATGGATTCACAGCCGAATTCTACCAGAGGTACAAGGAGGAACTGGTACCATTCCTTCTGAAACTATTCCAATCAATAGAAAAAGAGGGAATCCTCCCTAACTCATTTTATGAGGCCAACATCATCCTGGTACCAAAGCCGGGCAGAGACACAACCAAAAAAAAGAGAACGAGAACTCTAAATGAGGCTCATTGACTAACAGTGGTCATGGAGATCCCCACTTCTCTGCTTGAATCTTTGTGCTTGTTAATAACATTCTCTAATTCTTTGCTTTATCATCTGAAAACTGAGAAAAATGTGTGCATTGCGGTGCCAAATCAAAGAATACTCTGAAAATACTTACGTAAATCATGAGCCAGAACAAACAGTCCTTTAGTTAATATACATATATATATGTATATATATATAAAGAGACACATATATACACATATATGTGTATCTGTATATAGTATAGTGAAGTGGCCCATTGTGTATTGGTTTTATCCAGGGTCAGGAAAAATACATTGTTATCGGTCATATATATCAACTTAGGACTTCAAAACATGGAAGAAAGAAAGAAATGTGGGAGGGAAGAAAGAAAGGATGGCAGAAAAAAAAGGAAGGAGGAAGACAATTAAAGAAAATTATTAATTCTGCTTCAGAACTGGATATGTTCTTATTTCTCACTAAAGAAACTGACCCAGTGTGGTAGAGATGAAAAAACTGTGGAACAGAAATTGAACATGACTTATCTAGCATCACTTAATTGGTAAGGCTTGACCTATTAGTCTATGTGTCAGCTCATCTTTTGATGCTATAAGATACCTGAGACTGGGTAATTTGTAAAGATCCGAAGTTTATTGCTCAAAATTCTGGAGGCTGTAAAGTCCAAGGTCAAAGTGCCAGCAGAATGTGTCTGGTAAGGGCTGCTGTCTGCTTCCCTTGGTGCATTCTTCAGAGGTGGCAGAAGAGACAGAAAGGGAAAACTCTCTTCAAGTCCTTTTATTATATAAGGGCACCTAATGCTATTCATAAAACTGGAGCCCTCATGACTCATTCACCTCCTAAAGGCCGCCCCTCTTAATACTATTGCATTGGGGATTAAGTTTCAACATGAATTTTGGAGAGACAAAAAGCACTTGAGTCATAGAAGTCTACAAATAGGATTCACAATTGTTCCATGCAAGTGCTGGTCATCCTGAGAACTACAGGAATTAGCTGTTAAGCTAACATCTGGTGATAATTATTTTGCTTTAGTCATTGAATAAAGTATCAAAACATTTTATTTTTGTTAGTATTCTAGACAAACCTAAGAGGTAGATTCTATTCTTTTTATTTGACAGATGAGAAAATAGAGGCAATGAGAAGTTATGTAATTTTACCATTCTCTCCCAGCTAGTAAGTGGCAGAACCAGGATTTGAATCCAGAAAGCTGGGCTCCACAGTTCATGTTCTTATCTATTCCATCCAGGTTTACAGCTGGGAAATAGTAAAGTCAGTATCTGAGCCCAGAGAGTTTCTCTCTAGACCACACACTTAATCCCTAACCTGAATTGCTAATGAGAATCTAACAAAACATCTCTTTATTCAACAATCATTGAATGAGATGACTTTATGCATGTATTTTTATACATTTCATATGCAAACAGAATATTAAAAAGAAAATTAAAAATTAATAGTAGCCACAATTTATGCCACATAGTGGATGCCAAGAATTTTTCTGAAACCTTTACTTCTTTAAGCTTCAGTTTCCTCATCTATAAATTGCACACAGATTCTAATTTGTGTGAGTTATGGAATTTTAAAAAGAAAAAAAATGTAAAATATTTTTGTACAATGAAGTAATGCTAGGAAATGAGAAATCTAGTATCCAATCCAGAATATCTGACTCCAAATTCCATTACAGTAATCACTACACTATATTTTCTAGTAGCTCCATTTCACAGCTAAAGATGAGGATTAGAAAATAAAGTATTTTTTCCTTAGTTCACAATATAGTGTAATTAGTTGTATTAGAATTAGGTCTAACTTTGGGAATTACAATGGCCATTTTTTGGGTTTTTTTGTTTGTTTATTTGTTTGTTTTCACTCTCTGAGAGATTCTCAGAACAAAAAATTTTTTTTTTTTAAATACATTGAATTAGGCATGGGGCAAAAAGTATTTTCCAAAAAGAGTATCAGAACCCAAATAATGAGATAGATTAAAAAAAAAAAAACACGAGATGATGAGAGAGGAGACCAGGATCCTTACAACTTGACATTTCCTATATCAGATGTGGTAGGTGATGCTGTGGTGTAAATTTTTGTCTTCCCCCAACTCACATGTTGAAATGCTAACCCCTACAGTGATGGCATTAGAAGGCGGGATCTTTTGGGAAGTGGTTAGGGAATGAGGGCTCTTCACATGTGAAGGGCATTAGTGCCCTTATAAAAGAAACCCTGGAGAACTAGCTAGCCCCTTATTCAATGTGAGGATGCTGGGAGTGAAAAAAAGCTTCACCTATGAACCAGGAAGACAGCCCTCACCAGACATCAAATCTGCCAGCATGTTAATCTTGGACTTCCCAGCATCTAGAACTGTGGGCAATAAATGCTTGCTGTTTATAAGGCACCCAGTTTATGGTATTTTTGTTATAACGGCCCAAGAGAACTAAGACAGGCAGCCTACTAAAATGGCCCCTGCAGACCTGCACTTCCTCATATTCAAACCTTCTTTATATTCCCTTCCTAGAGCAGGGGTTTGACCTAATGACCCATTTCTAATGAGTAAAATCTAACAAAAGTAGTCAATGTAATTTCCATGATTTTGGCTATAAAAGACTGACTTCTGTCTTGCTAGCACTCTCTCTTTTGCTGGTACTCTTTCTCTCTTACTTTCTCATGTGATAATTTTGAGCTTTCATGTTGTGAAATGCTCTATGAAGAGGGTGATGTCAATACCAACAGAGGAAGGCATCTGGCCAAGAGCTCATGAGGAAGTAAAATGCTGCCAGCAATCATCTGATTGAGCTTGGAAATTCATCCTTCTCCACTTGCACCTTCAGATGAGACTGTGGCCTTGGCCAGCACCTGGATTATAGCCTTGTAAGAGACCATGAAGCAGATACCCCAGCTAAGTCATTCCTTGATTCCTGTCTCACAGAAGCTATAATATAATACATGCATACTGTTTTAAGCCATTGCGTTTTGGGGTAGTTGCTACACAGCAATAGATAATCAATAAATCAAATATGTCTGGGAGTTAGCCATGATTCAGGTCTTTCTTCATCCTCCCCACCTCAGTGGCTCCAAACCCTTGTGAGAAATCAGGGTGCTGTTAAGTGCTAGAATTTCTGTTGCTGAATGTGATGGTATTACAATACCCAGAATTTATCAATAATTACAGAATCATCCCTAATATGGGCGAGCTGGCTCTTGCACTTGTGCACCAAGCTGCTGTTGAAGAAGAACTGGGCATTGTCTTCCTGCAGTTTTTTTTTTTTTTTTTGAGACGCCACCCAGGCTGGAGTGCAGTGGCATGATCTTGGCTCACTGCAAGCTCCACCTCCTGGGTTCATACCATTCTCCTGCCTCAGCCTCCCAAGAAGCTATGACTACAGGTGCCCACCACCATGCCCAGCTAATTTTTTGTATTTTTAGTAGAGACGAAGTTTCACCATGTTAGCCAGGATGGTCTCAATCTCCTGACCTTGTGATCCGCCTGCCTCGGCTTCCCAAAGTGCTGGGATGACAGGCGTGAGCCACCGCGCCCAGCCCTTCCTGCAGTTTTATGTACTTGCCAGGCAAAACTCCTGAGCTTTCCAGAATTAGCTATTCATCACACTTTGCTTCTTACCACTTATCCAAGGTGTTCTGCAGCTCAGGCTTTTGTACTGTAAGACCCACTCAGCTCCATGTTTAACCTGGCAGGCATCATCCTATAGTGTTATACTCCCTGATAGGGTTTGGCTCTGTGTCCCCACCCAAATCTCATCTTGTAGCTCCCACAATTCCCATGTGTTGTAGGAGAGACTCCACAGGAGATGATTGAATTATGGGGGCGGGTCTTTCCCATGCTGTTCTCATGATAGTGAATGGGTCTCGCAAGATCTGATGGTTTTAAAAATGGCAGTTGCCCTGCACAATTCTCTTTGCCTGCTGCCATCCATATAAGATGTGACTTGCTCCTCCTTGCCTTCCGCCACGATTGTGAGGCCTCCACAGCCATGTGGAACTGTAAGTCCAATTAAACCTCTTTCTTTTGTAAATTGCCCAGTCTTGAGTATGTCTTTATCAGCAGTGTAAAAATGGACAAATACACTCCCTTTGACCTACACCTAATTTTGCACATGGATGTATGGTAGTTGGTGCACCTATGAAATTTTCGTATTTTACAAGGTAAGGTCTATAGTCTCAGATCCTCTCACTAATTCAGAGAGGCCCTCCATAAGCTCCCCTTGGCTGACTGAAGTGTCAGAAGACTCATCTACCTAAGGAAGTAACAGACAGAAGCTTTCACAAGCTTTAGGAAGATGCAAGGTGGCTTTTAGAGTCCCAGAGTTCTCTGATTTTTCCCAGTTTCACACAGTCTTACTAAGGTCCATTGGGGATATTTACATGCTCAAGCACTTCTTTTCCTAATGAAATTATTAAAGCCTCACTCTCCAGTTTCCTCCTGGGCCATTATCTCATATCTCTATTCTAGATTTCCAATCTCTTAACTCAATTTATAATCACATGCTAGTGCAGCCTGCAAGGAGGTTTTTTGACAGGCTTCATTTAAAATAAGCAGCTGAGATTAAAAAAAAATATGTACCACATCATTGTCATCACCATCATTAATAGATATTATTTACTAAATGTCTCCTATGATTCAGTGACTACAGGGTTTTTTCTCAACATTAAGTCTTATAGTTATCTCTTTTTTACAAATGAGGAGACAGAGACTCAGAATGGTTTTGACTCGCTCAAGAGCACATGGCTAATTAGAGATGACGCTAAGGCTCCAGCCTCTCAAACCACTGCATATTGTGTTCCAGATATAGCAGAAGAGAGGGAAACATATGCTTGTGCATGATTTAAAATATTCTAAAACTCGGTCTTAATTATTTCACCTGTGAAGTTCACATCACTACTCATTTTTCTAGATTTTTCTAAAGGAAGTGTGAATGATTTTGTTCTTCCTTCTCATACTTTCTAAAATGATATCTTTTGACTGCAAAAATGCTCCTTTCAACTGCAAACTGGCACATATTTCTGGTAGAGGTAGCCATAGAAATGTTCCCAAGCAGGTGAAATAGCCTTTCCAGAGTGAGGATTTTGCTCAACCAATGAAAATCTAGAAAATCAAAGCCACAATGAAAACAGCCTATAATTAATATTGTTCATTTTTGGCACCTTGGCTTATTCAAAGCCACAATGAAATATAAATTGGAAACATTTTCCATCATGAGAAGGCCTGACACGTGAGATCATCTTCAACAGTTCCGAAAATATCACTCAGTGTGTCACCGGAGCATCAGTGAGAACTGGAGGCTCAAGTTCCTTTTTGTTTTCTCCCAGAGGTCAGGTGCTCTCATCACACTCTTTATATGCCTCCGTTTTCAGCACTTGCCAGCGTCCTGAATCTGATGGCACCTCTGCCCTGTACTTTACCCCCGTGAGCTCCTGAAGGACAGTCACCATGTCTGACACTTCTCTAAACTGCCAGCAGTGCCTGGTATGCAGCCATTGCTCCGGAAATGCTTCTTGAATCTATGCTTAAGTAACCTTTTTTTTTTTTTTTTTTTTTGAGACAGAGTTTCACTTTTTTGCCCAGGCTGGAGTGCAGTGGCACAATCTTGGCTCATGGCAACCTCTGCCTCCTGGGTTCAAGCAATTCTCTTGCCTCTTCCTAAGTAGCTGGGATCACAGGCATGCACTACCATGCCAGGCTAATTTTGTACTTTTAGTAGAGATGGAGTTTTGCCATGTTGGTCAGGCTGGTCTTGAACCCCTGACCTCAGGTGATCCACCTACCTCTGCCTCCCAAAGTGCTGGGATTACAGGCATGAGCAGACACATGAATGAACAGGTAAACAGCCATTTCAAATTTAAGTTTCTATTAAAAATCAATTAAAAATAACTAGTAAGTATAGTGTAAGTTGTCAGATGCTGCTTATTCAGTGCTGCCTCCCTTCATGGTCATAACTGCCCTCTGACATGGATAGTATTATGAATCCCATTTTAGAAATGAGCATCTGAAATTCAGAGAGGTCATGCCTCTTGCTCAAGATCATGCCTCTTGCTCAAATTCATGCCTCTAGCTCAAGGTCACATGGATATTTAGTATCTGTGTTGGAGTTGGTAGCTACTTGCTACCTTGGCAGATGGCCTAAGGTTCGTTAGTCTCATGAAAACTGAGATATGAGCAGGTGATGGGGTGGCCCAAGATTTCAGGTGAGCAAATCTGTTGTTTCTATGCTTTTGTTTATATCCTATTATCTCATCCTGCTAACAAAACATGGTCAGGGAAAGCTAGAAGCTGGATGGGAGCTCAGATTTTCTGCCTCCAAGTCTACTATCTTTTCTAAAATAAGGCCCACCCAGTTATGATCAAACTGAAAGAAGAGAGAGAATAAATGGGAGACTTTGATGTTCATTTAATATCACACTAAAAATCTGCAACTCCATTAAAAAAATTTCCATGATACCCCAATGGAATCCCTTTTACATCCTTTAACCTAAGCCAGGGTTGAGCTTCAAAGACATTAGGGAATAGGCTTAAGGTCACATAGAGAGTAAGTGGCAGAGCAGGAGTTGAACACAAGTTTGTGATTCCAAAATTCACACTTTATTTTTCCATGAGAGCGTGATTTTTCCAAAAGGTATTTTAGAATTGGCCTTTTATTCGTGTGTGCATTTGAACGAAAAGGAACTACCATAACCAAGCCATAAATAAACAGTAAAAATAAACCCATAGTGAGTTTATTTGGCTCGCATTACAGGATGAATCACCATAAAAGATAAAGGCAAAAGCAGAAAGAGAAGCTGACCTGTGTCTCTGATTCTTTTCCTACCAGCCTCAGGTACTGAGGAGTCCTTGTGGAATTCCCCTTTGGAGTTGAGAGTTTCACAAGTTGTACAATCACAAGGAGGGCACCTGTCTCTGTAAGCATTTCTTTCTTTCTTTCTTTTATTGTTTTTATAAGCTCTTGTTACATGGTTCAGTTATTTCAAGTTTGCTGATGGCTTTGGGACCAAAATAGGCTATTCTGAAAGACACAGTGAGAGAAGCAACTAACTGGGACGTACGGCCAACAGTGAATCTGATGTGCCTTAGGGTCTGAATGTCACCTTCAACATTCCTGCTCTTGAGCTGGGTTCAGAGGGTGAATGCTTTGCTTTTTCTGAGACTTGTATATGGCCCCTTTATTAGGATTAAAACATACAGCAAATAGCATCAATTAATTTAACTCGTAGGAGAAATTCCTTCTGTCATGTACAAAATACATGACCTTGTGCAGGTGATTCAACATCTATTTGCTTGAATGCCTCACCTGTAAATCAGAATCAATGACAGGAAGTCAGAGGTTGCTCTGGGTGTTAATGAGCTCACATGCAGCACAGCACATGGTACCAACTTGGCACTTGATCAATGCTGTTCTTTTGCATCCTGTATTATCTTATGAGTGAACCCCAACTGTAGATTTAATAAATCCTAGAAAGCACCTCTTCCTGGTGATGTTCGTAAAGAATACACATATTTCAAATGCCATCCTCCATTCATCTGTTTGGTCAGGTCTGCTATATTGGGTGGAAATGAATTATTGAGCACCTAAAGTTAATAAAAATGAAACTTCAAAACTTAATTGGGTCATGACATACAAAACAAAGAAAAGTAAAAATTCTGTTCCATTGAAATGCCATGGAAATGATAATGATAGTAGTGATCACATTATTGCTAATAATCATAATAGTTAATAACAATAGAAAGGGAGTAAGCATCACTAAGAATATCCCACATGCTAGACATTATTATGGTCATTTGTATATGCTAATTTTCAAAATAATCTTAAGGAGTAGTTATTTTAACTATTAGTTGAAGGCAATTGTTTTTCTCATAGGGTCTTTGAAATAAGAGAGAAATAAGCTAAAAGTGAAATCTGTGTTTATTAATCAGGTACTCTCTACACCCTTGCAAATTGCTGCTGGCAAAGCTATTGAAGATAGGGAAGACAAACATATGTCAGGGATGGGTGTCTGTCCCAGTAAAGACATACTGCTTTCAAGCCAACCACTGACCCCAACACAACCTAGGTGCCAAGATGCAGGCTAGACTGCTCAAAGGATGGAGCCATATGAAGGACTTGAAGTCCATCTGTGCCTCTGAAAGTTCAGGCTTACAGCAACAGGAGACCTGTGGTTAGGTATGACAAGAATCCATGCTGGTATACTCAAACTATGACCTGCCTCCCTGCCACCATGGCTATCCCAATCATGGGCCCACTTTCCAAGCACTGGGTGGCTGAGGATACAGGGGCTGGTTGCTCTTCCCTGCATGAATTGTCATGCTTACCTCGTGATTCAGAGGTTCCTCTGAGGTAGATGTTTTCTGGTGGACATTAACATGAAGAATAAACATTGATACCTATTGTTTTCATTTGTATGTGGCCATCTTCAAGTGTCTTTCCCAGAACATTTTGGCTCTAACTTTTAATATTTCTTTTTACTGGTTTCTAGTTAACTACCTAAGTCATTTTTTTTAAATCACTACTCAAGAGTCCATTATTAAACCTATAGCTGAGTCGTTTCTTTTTCTACATAAATTTGAAAAATTCAACTTTCTGAATATGCCTCTTTAGGACAAAAAATTCATCCCCAAACAACAATAAATTCACTGAAACAGTGCCATCTTGAAAGGTTTCATGGCTGCCAATGGCCACCCTCCGCCTTGCTCTATGCCTGTCCCTCCTAATGTCCTGTCTCTCCTCACATTATGTAAATACAATAAGTATACTCTGTCTCCTTTTTTCTCCAGTCTTTAACAATGATGATTATAGTTAACATTTGTTTATTGTTCTCACTTTTGCCATCAGGCAACCAAATGTTATTCCTATTTTGGGGACAATTTCCCCCTCTTACTATGGAAGCTGAAGCAAAGTGAGATTCCTATGACGTGGCAGCCACAGCACGACTCCATTTCATCACATCAGGATATTTCCACTAGAGGTTTTTTTTTTTTATTTTTTAAAATATTTTGAAATGGGGTCTTGCTCTGTTGCCCAGGCTAGAGTATAGTGGTGTAATCTCAGCTCATGGCAACTTCTGCCCCCAGGTTCAAGTGATTCTCCCACTTCAGCCTCTCAAAGAGCTGGGATTACAAACGTATGCCACCATAATTGGCTAATTTTTATATTTTTAGTAGAGATGGGGTTTCACCATGCTGGCCAGGCTGGTCTTGAACTCCTGAGCTCAAGTGATCCACCTGCCTGGACTTCCCAAAGTGCTGGGATTACAGGTTTGAGGCACTGCACCCAGCCATCACCAGAGTTTAAATATTGAGTTGTTAGTGCAAAGAAGCATTAATACTGCAGAAATTATGTTCCATGGTTCATCCAGTAGACACAGTAATGAGGTAGTAGCACCAGTAGCAATGGTCATGACCAGTCTTTGTCTTGTAGGCATGACCTTGATTCTGGTTGCTGTTGCCAGATCCCTTTGGTTTCTGCCCATTCTCCAAGCCTTGGTCTCTATTTTCACTTGATTCTGCCAGTGGGTACATAAATTCCAGTAAATTCCTTTCTGTCTACATTATTTTTTCTGTTTTCCACCACCAAAACCTTAACTGAAACCATGTCCAACCAAATTTTATTTAGACGCAAATGAATCCACCAAATGGGGGAAAAGGGTAGTTATGAATGGGTTATAGAAATCATCATAATTTAGTGGAAATGAGATTAGACTCTGAGTCAGGAGATGTTAATAGGTTGCTGCAAAAGTAGTCATGGTTTTTGCCATTACTTTTAATCGGAAAGTTACTTGTTTTTTTTTTTTTTTTTTTTTTTTGATGGAGTCTTGCTCTGTCGCCCAAGCTGGAGTGCAGTGGTGCGATCTCAGCTGACTGCAACCTCTGCCTCCCAGGTTCAAGCAATTCTCTTGCCTCACCCTCCCGAATGGCTGGGATTACAGGCACGTCTCACCATGCCCAGCTAATTTTTGTATTTTTAGTAGAGACGGTGTTTCACCATGCTGGCCAAGCTGGTCTCAAACTCCTGACCTCATGATCTTCCCGCCTCAGCCTCCCAAAGGGTTGGGATTACAGGCTTGAGCCACTGCACCTGGCCGGGCAAGTTACTTTTAATGGCAAAAAACACAATTACGTTTGCACCAACCTAACATTAATGGTAGTACAAATAAGCATCAATATTAGCGACTTCTACTGGTTTATGGCTATAACAACCTCCTTGAATCTTTAAATTCTACTATTTTCTATCTTGCCCTGCCTGTTCCTAATTGTGTGGTGCGGTGGCAAATGTTTAACAACTATTATTCAGTTTTCATTTCTTTGCTTCAGGAAAGAAAAAAAAAACCTGATTGGTAGCATTTTGCCAATTTCCATCATGTAAATACTCCCACAATAGCCAATTTCAAGGTAACAATTTGACAACACTGAAAATGGGGTCAGTGGTAGATGCCCACAGTTGGTTCTCATAAATTGATATGAGTCAGCTCCAACACAAATCTGCATTTGACTTTGATGAAATTGATTAATCTCCTCAGACTCAGTTTCCACACTTTCAACACCAAAGTTGATGAGGTGATCTCTAGGATTCATCCCTGGAGTGAAATAATATAATTTTATTAACTGTGAGTACAAGAATAGTGCAAAAGATGAATTAAGCATAGCATAATCTTTTTACTCAAAATATTTAGTAAGATTTGTAGATTCACTGTAAATAGAATCAGCTGTAAATATTTTTGAATGGGTATAAAATGACAAGAAATGTACTATGATTAAATTTCTATTTTTTAAACAGAAAAAAAGAAATATGTTTCCACTTTAGAAATCCCTTTGCCAGCTTGTTGGAAGTTTGTGAAAACAGTATTTTCAGTTGACAATGTGCATCAGTGGTGGGCAAAATACCAGAAAAGAAGGTCGAGAATTGGAGATGTTACACAAAGTGAAAGACTAGAAATGCAAGCTAAAAACCCTATTTAACTCAGCTGACATCAGAAGGCTTGTCTCACACTCTAGCAAATATTTAAAGCAGTTGAGACATTATCTAAAAGAGCCAAAATAAGTTTATTTAAATGTTTGAATTACACATTCTTATTCTAATAAAATAATCTGTAGCAGCCTACCTAACTACATACTTCCCATGTTTTGCTTTTTTTGTTTCCCCTAAGAGAACTCTATTCTTGACAACTTCAGGCAGCTAAGTGCTTGGGAGAGATGGGAAAAGAGCCATCAACAGAACCTACAGTTTGGAAAGGGAGGGCTGGGATGAAACTAAATATTAACTGGTGTAAGCCAAACTTGGGAATTTCCATTCCCTCTACCACCAATTAATTTGGGAATGGTTACCAATGGCTGACAAAGGAGATGTGGGGAAAGTCATTAAAAAGATTCTAGGAAAGTTTTCTTCACCTTTAAAAAGGGCTAGAGGAAAATAGCATTTCCTTATGATCTGAAAGCTGTCTTTACTTGCTGCTTGGAACTATGGCAGCCATTGGGAACAAAAGAGAGACCAGGCCAAGATGAAAACCAATGCAGTACAGATGACAAAGCAGAAAGATACAAAGAACCTGCCTTTTTGATGATGTCACAGAGCCACCAAATTAACTAATCTTGAAACTACTCTACTTTGGGCTCATTTGTTATGTGAGATAATTTTTTTTTTCTAAGCCACTTTAGTTGTCTAAACATTCATATGCACATGTTATAAACCTGTTTTTACATAATTCTTAAAATGTAACATGATTTTTCTTTTAGGAAATATTGAAACTTCTTGGTGTCAGCACTGTTGTAGGTTCTCAGAATATAATGTGGAAAGTAAACAAGAATGTTGCTTTCAAGGAGCTTACATTTTAATAATTAGCAAGAGAGGAAATATATACAAATCAACTAAGTAATTATTGATGGAAATCAGCGCTATGAAAACAAAAATCATGGCACTGGTACATAAATAACTTGGTGAGGACGTTCTACTTTATTAACATTGCCAAAAGAAGTGTCCTCAAAAAGCTGGCATTAGAACTAAGACCTGAATAATAGGAAGCAGTCACTTTATAGAGTTCTTGGGTAAAGTATTTTAGGCAGAAAAAAAAAAGAGCAAGTCTAAAGGGCTTGAGATGTGAATAAGCCAGGTATGTGCAAAAGAAGGAAAGGAAAACTTAATGAATATGTCTATACATGAAGAGAAATCAGTGCTCATGTGAAACTACCAAAACAAAAAAAAAAATAAGCAGGATATATGAAATAACTCTTTACAAGACTTTATATACCAAGCGGAAAAGAAGAATGAATTTGAAAGACAGAAAATAATCATGAGAAGTCCTAAGAATGCCCCAGCTTAATGCCTTGAGAAAGTTTCCAGGACACATTGTAGGGAGTGGGAACTAAAATAGAGCTCAGTGAACTCCATGAGTTGAGGAGATGGAGCTGAAAGCCCAAGAAAACCAAACAATTAAGTTGACAAGACAGAAAAATGGAGATAAAAGGCATGCACAGAGAAATGATGTTTATTATCTTTAGAGATTTCCTCTCAAATATTCATCTAAGTACTGATTTGAACATACAAGTGAAAAAACTGCTACAGGCCAAGTAAAGAATCACCTGGAAGAACTAGTACCCAGCACATACACAGCATGGTAATAGTCCTTGATTTTACCAGCTGCACTGGTACACCACAAAATCCACAGGGAATAGAATTGAATATTCAGAGGGAGGAATAACCGCCTTAGATTGACTACTGCTCTATTCCCCGATAACACATAATAAAAGGAAGACCTAAAAGAATTAAACTGTTAAGTAACTTAACTGTTTCCCCACAAAAGGCTCAAGTATCCTATAGCTATCAAAGTAAAAATAACCATGTCTAGCATCCTAAAAAAATGAATCAAATATGTAAAGAAGCAGAAAAATATAGTTTATCATGTGGAGATAAGTCAATAGATAAAAATTGACCAAGAATTAATACAGATGTTAGAATTAGCAAAAAAGAAGTTGGGAATCTTCGTTACAACTGTTTCTTACATGTTTAAAAAGTAAAATGAGAAATGGGAGGAATATAAAAGACTCAACTAAATTCTTAGATTTGAAAATAATTTCTGAGATTAATATACAATGAACAGGAAAAAAAGTAAATTACATATTACATTTAAAAAGGAGTACGGCAATAAAATACTATCAAATAATGCATAGGAAGAAAAACAGAATTATAAAAAAGTGAACAGAGTGTCACTAGCCGTGGGAAAACTTAACAACCAAAAGTATGTGACATTGGATTCTTCAAAGGGGAGGTTGTGTGTATAATGGGGGGGGGGGCATTGAAAAAAATAATAGCTAATATTTTTTTTCCAATTTTGAGGAACACAATAGACCTATAGTTTCAAGAAACTCAATGAGCCTTAAAGACAGGAAGAATAAAGCAAACTATGCCAAGACGCATAATAATGCAATTTCTTAAAACTAATGATAAAGCAAAATATCTGAAAAGCAGAGAAAAAAATATTATAGAGAAACAAAGCTAAGGGTAACAACAGTTTTCTCATTGAAAATAATGCATCTAAGGCCAGGTGTGGTGGCTCATGCCTGTAATGCCAGCACTTTGGGAGGCTGAGACGGGTAGATCACCTGAGGTCAGGAGTTCGAGACCAGCCTGGCCAACATGGCAAAACCCTGTCTCTACTAAAAATATAAAAATTAACCAGGCATGGTGGCAGGTGCCTGTAATCCCAGCTACTCAGGAGGCTGAGGCAGGAGAATCGCTTGAACCCGGGAGGCGGAGGTCTCAGTGAGCCGAGTCACACCATTGCACTCCAGCCTGGGCCACAAGAGTGAAACTCAGTCTCAAAAACAAAGAAACAACAAACAAACAACCCAAAGAAAATAAAGCATGTAAGAAGGCAATTGGGTAGTGTCTTTAAAGTACTAAAAAAGAGCAAAGAAACAAAAACCTCTCAACCCATAATTAAATATTTAGGATGCCACTGAAGCAGAATTTAAGGGTAACTTATGGAATGACATGTATGTATCTAATTTGAAGAATGGTCTCAAATCAAAGACCTCAGCTTCTACTTTAAGGGAAAGGAAACCAACTTAAACCCAAAAGAAACAGAAAAGATAATAATTATTAATAAAGATTAAAAGATAAAGTATTAGAAAATTATTAGAATGAAAATAAATACAATAGAAAACAGAAAAAAATTAAAAAATTACTATAAGAATGAGTGTGGTGACATTAGTATAGATATGACAGATTTTAAATATTATTATTAAATAATAATTAAAGATGGATAATTATTATTTGTCAGTTAAGATAAAACTTTTTTAAAAGCATAAGGAAATATTTCAGATAAGTTTATATCTATAAATATGATAGCCTTGATGAAATGGATATATTCCTTGAAAGACACAAATTGAAGCATACTCAAAAATAGGTGGCACAATGAATGGAATGTTTATGTCTTCTGAAAATTCATATGTTAAAATTCTGACCTCTAAGGTGATGTATCAGGGGATGGGGACTTGGAGAGTGATTATATCATGAGAGGAGAGCACTCATGATTGGCATTAGTGTCCTTATAAAAGAGACCTTGGAGAGTTAAGTCTGCCCTTCCACCGTGTGAAAACACAGCAAGAAGGTGTCATCTGTGAGGAAGGAGGCCCTAACCAGACACTGAGTCTGTGGCACCTTGATCTTAGGCTTCCCAGCCCCTAGCCCTGTAAAAATAAATTTATGTTCCTCATAAGCTACCGTGTTTAATGGTATTTTGTTATAGCAGCTTGAACAAACAAAGACTGCATAAATATTCTTCTATCTATTAGGCACTTAATTTTAGTGAAAACATTTCCACAAAAAATATCCAGGTCCAGATAATTTTATTAGTGAAATTCACAAATTACTTAATGAAGAAGTAAAAATAATCTGACACAAACTCTTCTAGAAAATGAAAAAAAAAAATACTTTCCAATTCATTCTTTGAAGCCACGTTATACAGATAACAAATCCAAATAAGCATTTCATAAGAAAATGAAACTACAGAACAATCTTTTTTAAAACGTAGACAAAAATTCTAAACCGCTTTTAGGAAATCAAAACTCTCAATATGAAGAAGGATAGTATATTATTAGTAAAGGAGGTTTATCCCAGGAAGGCAAATATAGTTTAACATTTTAAAATTAGTGAATATAATTAACCATATTAACAAATCACAAAAAAAGAAAGTCTATATTACCATATATGTGCAAAAAAAAGACAAAATTCAATACCTATTTTTAAAACTCTCAGAAAAGTAAGGATAGAAGAGAATGGCCTTAACCTAATTTTAAAAAATCTACAAAATACCTATAGCTAACATCATACTTAATGGTGAAAGACTGAATGCTTCCCCCATGCCGTCAGGAGAGTCTCACCGTCTCACTCAATGTTACTATTTTTATTCAAAATTGTACTAAAAGTTTGAGCCCTTGCTACTGAAGATAAAAAGAAATAAATCATTTACATGGGAAAGAGAGAAGTAATTTTTTTAAAAAATTGCACATGATATGATCATTTATGTAGAAAAATCCAATGTATCTTTTATACTTTTTAAAAAAATGATAACGACTAAAAGTAATAAGTAAGTTTAGAAAGCATTTAGGATATGATATTAAGCTACAAAAATCAGTTGTATTTTTTGTCCTAGCAAAGAACAATAGAAATTAAAATGTAAACAAAGTACCATTAATAATGGCATGAAAATATAAAATATTTAGATATAAATCTGACAAAAAGATATAAAAGACATCTACACTGAAAACTACACAATATTGCTGAAATAAATTAAAGATCTAAATAAATGTGGAGATACACCATGTTTATATGTAAGGAGATTTTATGTATTTAAAAAGTTGATGCTTCACAAATTGTTCTATGGACTAAATGCAAACCAACAAGATCCCAACAGTCTTTACTATTTTCTAGGAATTGAAAAGCTTATTTAAAAATTTATGTGAAACCCCATCTCTACTAAAAAAATACAAAAAAATTAGCTGGGCATAGTGGCGGACGCCTGTAGTCCCAGCTACTCAGGAGACTGAGGCAGGAGAATGGCGTGAACCAGGGCAGCGGAGCTTGCAGTGAGCCAAGATCGCACCACTGCACCCCGGCTTGGGCAACAGTGCGAGACTCTGTCTCAAAAACAAACAAATAAACAAACAAACAAATTTACGTAAAAAAGCAAACAATCTAAAACAGCAAAGCAGTTTTGAAAAGAAAGAAGACAAATAATACTTTATTTTGGGACCTCAGTTCTGATTACAAACCTAGAGGGATAAATTTAGTGTAGAATTAATATAAAGATTGACAAAAAATCAATAGAACAGAATAAAGAGCCCAGAAATATATCTGTACATATATGTTTGACAAGGATGCAAAAGCAATTCAATGGAGAAATAAAAGTCTTCAACAAACAGTACTGAAAAATAAAATACACATATGCAAAAATTATTGTTCAATTTATAGCTTGTACCATATAAAAATTAAATCAACATGGATCATGCATCTAAATGCAATGAATAATTATAAAATCTCTAAAAGTAAAGGTAGTATAATTCTTTGTAACCTTAGGCTATGCAAAAACTTCTTTGTAGATACACTGCCAATAATACAATTCATAAAAATAATAATTTAATAAATAAGACTTCATCAGAAGTAAAATCTTCTACCCTTCAAAAGACATTGTGTAGGGAATAAGACAAGCCACAGACTGGAAAAATATTTGCAAAGCATATATCTAATAAATAACTTGTGTCTTAAATATATAAAGGACTCATGATACTCAATGATATGAAAACAAACCAATTAAAAAAATAGAAAAATGATTGAACAGAATCATTACTAAAGAAGACATTTGAATAGCAGATGAGCATATGGAAAAACGTACAACATCATTTACCCCCATGGAATTGCAAATAAACCATTATGACTTACCATTATACACCTATCAAAGTTTCTAAAATTAAAAAGTTTGATGATCAAAAGTGTTGACCAGGATATGGAGCAAATAGAACTTGCATACACTACTGGAGGGAATGTAAAGTGCGCAGACTCGTTGGAAATTGTTTGGCAATTTCTTAAAAACTTAAACTTATACTATCATGTGACCGAGCCATACCACTATTAGGTGTTTTTAAAAAATGAATATATATGTCTACATAGACACTTGCATATAAGTGTGCCTAGCAGCTTTATTTGCAATAGTTAAAATCTGGAATTAGCTCAAAGGTTCATCGACAAACTGTGGCATATCCATGGAATAGTATAATACTCAACAATAAAACAGTGATGAACAATTGATACACTCTATAGTAGGGATAAATTCAAAATAAATACTCTGAGTGAAAGAAGCCAGATAATAATGAGCACACAGTGTATGATTTTATTATAGAAAATCTTAGAAAATGCAAACTAATGTACCACGACAAAAAACAGATTAGTGGCAGCCTGAAGATAGAAAAAGGGGATGTCAGGGAAGGTATTGAAAGAAAACATTGCAAAGGAGCACAAGGGAACATTGTAGGGTACGAATTCTTAATTATTATGATAGTGGTGATTGTTTCACAAGTGTATATATATGCTGAAATTTAACAAAATTTACACTTAAATATGTGCAGTTTATTGTATGTCAAATATAGACAAATAAAGGTATTAAAAACAAACCAAAAAAAAAAAGTGAGGTCAAAGAGAAGTAGGAGTCAGATTATGTCTAGCCTTGTCAGCCCTAATGAGAAATTTGCATGTTATTCAAAGTGCAATAAAGAGGAAAGTCGTCAACAGATCTTATGGGTATTCACTAAAAGTAAGTCTAATAAAACAAAAGTGCTCCATGTTCAGAGCAGAGTGCTAAGCGCTTTCACTTAGATGATCGCATTTTGCCTTTCCCATATTCCAGTGGTTATTAGTTTTACTGATAAGGAATATGATGATCATGGAGATTAAGTGATTCCCCCAAGGATGCAGCAGCATGGCTGGAATTGGATCATGACTTGGCTTCCTGAAAAACCCATCTGTGCTCAACTACACAGAACATCCTATCCTAAGGGAAAGGTGCTTGCATTCCAGAGGGGCAGAGGAGATAAATTGCTAAATAACTATAACACAAGGTAGAAAGCGTTCGCTGTTATTCCAAAGTACAAGCAAAGAGTTTTAAGAGCTCATTGGGAAAGGGAGAGAAGCATCCAGATGAGAGAAGGCAAGTTGGAAAATAGGAACACTTTGCAGAGCTGATTGTCTTTTCCTAGACCTTCAGGGATAGATAGGATATGAACAGGTACATGTGGAGGAGAGAAACTTTCTTGGTGTAGGAAACTGCATAAGCGAAGCTACAGAAGTCAAAAAGCAAATAGAGTTCTTAGAGAATAGTACATCAACTCTTTTGGGAGTGGCATAAAAGAGTTGACAAAAAACAGAGTAAAAGGAACAGTTTGAAATTTAGGTGGAGTCATATAATTTGGTCTAACCCAAAGCACCAAGCTAAATTGTGTGTTTGCTGGCTAGATAACCAGGTTAGTCTTGAGGACTAATAAAGACGCCTTATTTTGGGTTCTGCTGGTTTAGCGAAAACTATGGTTTCCCAAATCGTGTACTTGTCATAAGAACTTTCTAGGCCGGGCATGGTGGCTCATGCCTGTAATCCCAGCACTTTGGGAGGCTGAGGTGGGCGGATCACCTGAGGTCGGGAGATCGAGACCAGCCTGACCAACATGGAGAAACCCTGTCTCGTCTAAAAATACAAAATTAGCCAGGCGTGGTGGGACATGCCTGTAATCCCAGCTACTCAGGAGGCTGAGACAGGAGAATCGCTTGAACCCAGGAGGCGGTGGTTGCGGTGAGCCAAGATCATGCCATTGCACTCCAGCCTGGACAACAAGAGCAAAACTCCATCTAAAAAAAAAAAAAAAAAAAAAAAGAATCTTCCATGCATGCATAGAGAATTAATGCTAACCACAAATCATCTAATGAAGTTGTTACTTTATTGATAAAATAGTGGCTGATAGAGGTAACATGTCCAAGGTGAGTTAGACTTAAAGATACACCTAACACTATTTCTCAATTTCTTAAACAATTTTCCTTTCTACTGTATGATATTGTCAGATACTCTCAGCCCATGGTTTTATTTTCCCTGAGCTTTCTGTACACAATTTTAATAACAAGGAGTTAAAGATAGGAACATTTGCTGGAGGTGAGATTATCACAGCAAACAACACTTTGTAGGAAACAGATTGATGCCTGTGCTTGTGGGCAGAAGTCTAAAAGTAGTCCAGCTGGATTGCTGAATTGAGAATCTTTTAATATATTTAAAAGAAAATTTTCTGTTGGAAGCTGAATACTGTATATTGTGAGCTTGAAGAGAGTCTGGGTCTTGAACAAAGGAGTGAACTTACAATCACAAAACACATGGGCCTGAGCTGTTTCTATGTATATGTACATCATTGACGGGATGAAAGAAAGAAATTCCAATCCATGCATGAGCAAATTCATTCCGTAAGTGAACATCTACTAAGCACTCCCTATATGTCACACACAATGCTAAAGTAATTAGAGTAACAAACAACTCTTGTTTTTTTTCTATTGAAGGTCCCTTTTCTGCTTCTTTTGGTCCCACTCAATACCTTTCTTTGGCCCCCTGCCCCACTCTGTGTGGTTTGTTTGTGGCTGATAATCAGAGTACTCTATAGCTGTTGGGGTGGGCAGATCTCTCTCCCAGAACTGCCCCCAACAATCTTAGCTTATCCATGTAACTAGCGAGTGCCCTCAGGGGTCAGCATTGAGACCCAGTCCTGACCAATCAGAATCTCCCCTGGGAATTTATATATGATCACTGAGAATTTATATATGATCACATGTTCTTTCTTTTCTTTTATGTCATAAAATACAAGAATGTAATCCCAGAACATCATGCCACCACTACTTAGCAAAAGCCCATTTAAACTGTATGTGAATAAGGCCAGTCCTCAGAGAAGAGTGGTGCCAGAGTCAAATGATGTCAAGTCCTAGAAATTGGAGTCACTGGATGGAGTTACACCTGAGATCAGCACAACCCAGTGCTTCCCACTCGAGTGAATCAAAACTCTCTTTTCAGTGCTTCAGTGATTCTGAAAGCTGTTATTCCCATGAGAAAGTGTTCTGACTAAAGCAGAAATACAACAGATTTGTAGTGAGCCCCCACTCTGTGCCAGGTGTATACTGAGGGAGGAGCTATAGAGATGAGTACGGTGCATGCTCCCATCTTTGACGATGTCAAATCTGTTTGGGGGGATGTGCATGCAAATTATACTGTGAATGCTGTAGGGTAATAACAAGAATAGAAGTTAAGTGCCTGGCACACTGAAAAGACAAAGAATGGGTCAGGAAAATCTTCAAGATCTGGAGACACCAGTGCATGTTCTCCAACAATGAATAGTTTATTGCTCTGAAGCAAAAGTTGGGAGCAAATGGTTTCCATACAGAAGATGAGTATCTGCAAAATATGGGGTTTTAAAGTAGCTTGGCAGATCTGGGGACCCCTTAGAGGGTTGGTATTGTTGTGTGGGTTGGGGTTGTCACTGGAAATGAAATGAAAGATGCAGAGAGATGCCAAATGGTGGAGTGCCTTGATGGACACTAGCCTTCCACATTGAGGACACATGGATGTATTGCTTGTTGGAAAATTATGAGCAGACTCAGATAAATGATACAAGTGCGGTAAAGAATGTCAGATGTAAATCTGTACAGACCATGATCAAAGCAGACATCTCTGCTATGTTTGCCAACTAAAGGGAAAACTCTCCTGTCCATGAATCAAGTCTCCAAAAAAGGCACCTCATTTCCCACGATACTTACTGATCTTGGAGATCACATCAGAAAATTTTTATCAACCTGCCATTACCATTCAAAGGAAAATTTCCCGGTTACACTTTCATCCTGTAGGTCTAGGCAGGCCTTGAGCTTGTCAAAAGTTTATTCCTACAACTACTCCTCATTCAGGAGGAAATGTTTATGTGAGGTCTATGGAATCTATCAGCTTTGTTATTTGATATTTAGGAGACTTAAGTTGCTGAAGAGGTGGAGCTGTTTCCTGCTTATCTCGGAATCTCAATACTTTAGTAGATACACAGTGAATGTTTGCTGAATGGAATTGTTGGGTATCTACCTTCCCCACCATGAGAATACCTAGAGTGGAAAATGTATACCTTCAATTTCTTGAAAGTCTTGATGTGTTATTTTGCTATTAATTATCCAGCAATCAGAGGTCTGGGTTTAATATTTTAAGAAGGAGAATTTTAATGAGAAATGAAGTGTAAATATTTATGTCCAAAAATAACATAGCAGCAATTAATAGGATCTCCAGCCTCTGAGTGTCAGAGTTTCTAGGCATTATTTTCTCTAATTATATTCTCTAGCTGGCATCCGTAGGCACAATCTATTTCTACCTCTCCTTTTGCATGGCCTCATTTTTATAAGTATAAAAGTTCAAGAATAAATATAGGGTCCAAATCAGACTGCAAGAATTAATCTAGCATAAACATGCTGAATCTGTATGAGAAAGTCTATTATATTATCCATTTTTAAAGACTGGCTCTTTGTGCAAACCTGCTATCACTTTCTATGTATAATTGCCTAAGCAGGTATTCATCTTCTCAAACATCTGCTAACACTGGCAGGCCCCAAAATAAACTTCCACATTAGCAAGTTGCACTTGAAAAAAAAATGTATCCGGAAACATCTGCTGAGCTATTTTCTGTTTTCTTCCTCCCTCCCTCCCAGGTTTATTGAAGTGGAGTGAGGTGTAAGTTGCAGCTTGAGATTTCAATCTCAAGAAGGGGAAGCTCTGAAGGGAAACAGCTACTTGGCAGAGATAAAATAAGGGTTAGAAAAATCTCAAGAGAGTCCAGGCACAGTGGCTCACACCTGTAAACCCAGCACTTTGGGAGGCCAAGATGGGCAGATCACCTGAGGTCAGGAGTTCGAGACCAGCCTGGCCAACATAGTGAAACCGCGCCTCTACTAAAAGTACAAAAATTAGCCGGTGTGGTGGCACGCACCTGTAATCCCAAGTACTCAGGAGGCTGAGGCAGGAGAATCGCTTGAACCTGGGAGGTGGAAGTTGCAGTGAGCTGAGATGGCACCATTGCACTGTAGCCTGGGCAACGGAGCAAGACTCTGTCTAAAAAAATAAAATAAAATCTCAAGGGAAGGAAATGAGGTATGGGGTAAGATGGAAACTGTAGGGGAGTGGACATAACTCTGGGAGTATATGGTACAGTGCCAAGTTCAAATCCCTCCTCTGTCTCTCTTTACTTGGATAGTTTTGGGCAAACAGGTTCACTGTGAACCATACATTGCCTTTTTAAATGACTGTAGTAATGCCAGTCTCAGAAACATATTGTGCCATACACAGAATGATATATGTAAACCTATTCAGTACATAGTAACATTCAATATAAATGAATCAAATCCACTTTTGACAGACAAATTACTAGGACAGGAGAAATAATCTGTGAATGGAGATTCTCCTTCTGAAATCTCAGTGATGTCTGGTTTATAGTCACTCGAAATGTCCTCTGGCTGTTGTTACTTACATTCCAACTCATGAGAGAAAGCCAAACAAAGGTGAGAACACATGAAAGAAATTAACATTACCACCCACCACCTCATTCAAGGCCAAGTCCATTCTTCCTTCTTTAAGATGGAAAGTTCGTGAAAGAAAAAATGACTGTTGGGAGGCCAATGTGGGTGGATCACCTGAGGTCGGGAGTTCGAGACCAGCCTGTCCAACATGGAGAACCACTGTCTGTACTAAAAACATACAAAATTTAGCTGGGCCTGGTGGTGCATGCCTGTAATCCCAGCTACTTGGGAGGCTGAGGCAGGATAATCGCTTGAACCCGGGAGGCAGAGGTTGCAGTGAGCTGAGATTGCACCATTGCACTCCAGCCTGGGCAACAAGAGTGAAACTCCATCTCAAAAAAAAAAAAAAAAAAAAAAAGACTGAATTTTACTTGTTTGTTTGTTTTCCCATTAGCTTTAACACAGGGCCCTGAGCAAACAGCAGACGCCCAGGAAAGCACATTGAACTTAACGCAATTGGATGAGAGTAGGAAATAGAAGATGATGCACGCTTCCAGTGTTGGCCTTTCCTATCAGTGCATGTCTTCTGGACAGCTTGGGAAATTCTAGCAATTTTGAGTCCTTGCCTACTCACAAAGCCCTTTATCTTCCAACCCAGATTCTTTCTAAAATGCAGTTCACTTTGGGAGAAATTTTCAGGACCTTTTTTGTTGTTTCCTTTTTAAATTTCAGATATTACCTCTTCCGGGGAGATTCCCTCAGACATCCAGTCTCACTTCTGTACTTTTCTACTACATTTTTCATCTCTGGATATATTAGTTAAGATGGCACTAGTTGTTTAATGTTGACAGTGGGGTGTTAAAATCTCCCATTATTATTGTGTGGGAGTCTAAGTCTCTTTGTAGGTCTCTAAGGACTTGCTTTATGAATCTGGGTGCTCCTCTATTGGGTGTATATATATTTAGGATAGTTAGCACTTCTTGTTGAATTGATCCCTTTACCATTATGTAATGGCCTTCTTTGTCTCTTTTGATCTTTGTTGGTTTAAAGTCTGTTTTATCAGAGACTAGGATTGCAACCCCTGCTTTTTTTTTGTTTTCCATCTGCTTTGTAGGTATCCAGGAACTGAACTCAGCTCTGCACCAAGCGGACCTAATAGACATCTACAGAACTCTCCACCCCAAATCAACAGAATATACATTCTTCTCAGCACCACATCGCACTTATTCCAAAATTGATCACATAGTTGGAAGTAATGCAATCCTCAGCAAATGTAAAAGAACAGAAATTATAACAAACTCTCTCTCAGACCACAGTACAATCAAACTAGAACTCAGGATTAAGAAACTCACTCAAAACCGCTCAACTACATGGAAACTGAACAACCTGCTCCTGAATGACTACTGGGTACATAACGAAATGAAGGCAGAAATAAAGATGTTCTTTGAAACCAGTGAGAACAAAGACACAACATACCAGAATCTCTGGGACACATTTAAAGCAGTGTGTAGAGGGAAATTTATAAAGCAAGAGCAAACACATTCAAAAGCTAGCAGAAGGCAAGAAATAACTAAGATCAGAGCAGAACTGAAGGAAATAGAGACACAAAAAACCCTTCAAAAAATCAGTGAATCCAGAAGCTGGTTTTTTGAAAAGATGAACAACATTGATAGACTGCTAGCAAGACTAATAAAGAAGAAAAGAGAGAACAATCAAATAGACACAATAAAAAATGATAAAGGGGATATCACCACCGATCCCACAGAAATAAAAACTACCATCAGAAAATACTATAAACACCTCTACACTAGAAACTAGAAAATCTAGAAGAAATGGATAAATTCCTGGACACATACACCCACCCAAGACTAAACCAGGAAGAAGTTGAATCTCTGAATAGACCAATAACAAGCTCTGAAATTGAGGCAATAATGAATAGCCTACCAATAAAAAAAACTCCAGGACCAGACAGATTCACAGCCGAATTCTGCCAGAGGTACAAAGAGAAGCTGGTACCATTCCTTCTGAAACTATTCCAATCAATAGAAAAAGAGGGAATCCTCCCTAACTCATTTTATGAGGCCAGCATCATCCTGATACCAAAGCTTGGCAGAGACACAAAAAAAAAAGAGAATTTTAGGCCAATATCCCTGATGAACATCGTTGCAAAAATCCTCAATAAAATACTGGCAAACTGAATCCAGCAGCACATCAAAAAGCTTATCCACTACGATCAAGTGAGCTTCATCCCTGGGTTGCAAGGCTGGTTCAACATACGCAAATCAATAAAAGTAATCCCACATATAAACAGAACCAATGACAAAAACCACATGATTATCTCAATAGATGCAGAAAAGGACTTCGACAAAATTCAACAGCGCTTCATGCTAAAAACTCTCAATAAACTAGGTATTGATGGGATATATCTGAAAATAATAAGAGCTATTTATGACAAACCCACAGCCAATATCATACTGAATGGGCAAAACTGGAAGCATTCCCTTTGAAAACTGGCACAAGACAGGGATGCCCTCTCTCACCACTCCTATTCAACATAGTGTTGGAAGTTCTGGCCAGGGCAATTAGGCAGGAGAAAGAAATAAAGGAAAAGAGGATTAGGAAAAGAGGAAGTCAAATTGTTCCTGTTTGCAGATGACATGATTGTATATTTAGAAAACTCCATCGTCTCAGCCCAAAATCTCCTTAAGCTGATAAGCAACTTCAGCAAAGTCTCAGGATACAAAATCAATGTGCAAAAATCACAAGCATTCCTACACACCAATAACAGACAAACAAAGAGCCAAATCATGAGTGAACTCTCATTCACAATTGCTTCAAAGAGAACAAAATACCTAGGAATCCAACTTACAAGGGATGTGAAGGACCTTGTCAATGAGAACTACAAACCATTGCTCAATGAAATAAAAGAGGACACAAACAAATGGAAGAACATTCCGTGCTCATGGGTAGGAAGAATCAATATTGTGAAAATGGCCATACTGCCCAAGGTAATTTATAGATTCAATGCCATCCCCGTCAAGCTACCAATGACTTTCTTCACAGCATTGGAAAAAACTACTTTAAAGTTCATATGGAACCAAAAAAGAGCCCGCGTTGCCAAGACAATCTTAAGCCAAAAGAACAAAGCTGGAGGCATCACTCTACCTGACTTCAAACTCTGCTACAAGCCTACAGTAACCAAAACAGCATGGGACTGGTACCAAAACAGAGGTATAGACCAATGGAACAGAACAGAGCCCTCAGAAATAATACTGCACATCTACAACCATCTGATCTTTGACAAACCTGACAAAAACAAGAAATAGGTAAAGGATTCCCCATTTAATAAATGATACTGGGAAAACTGGCTAGCCATATGTAGAAAGCTGAAACCTGATCTCTTCCTTACACCTTATACAAAAATTAATTCAAGATGGATAAAAGACTTAAATGTTAGACCTAAAACCATAAAAACCATAGAAGAAAACCTAGGCAATACTGTTCAGGACATAGACATGGGCAAGGACTTCATGACTAAACCACCAAAGCAATGGCAACAAAAGCCAAAATTGACAAATAGGATCTAATTAAACCAAAGAGCTTATGCACAGCAAAAGAAACTACCATCAGAGTGAACAGGCAACCTACAGAATGGGAGAAAATTTTTACAATCTACCCATCTGAAAAAGGGCTACTATCCAGAATTTACAAAGAACTTAAACAAATTTACAAGAAAAAAATGAAACCGCCCCTTCAAAAAGTGGGCGAAGGATATGTACAGACATTTCTCAAAAGAAGACATTTATGCAGCCAACAGACACATGAAAAAATGCTTATTGTCACTGGCCATCAGAGAAATGCAAATCAAAACTACAATGAGATACCATCTCACACCAGTTAGAGTGGCGATCATTAAAAAGTCAGGAAACAACAGGTGCTGGAGAGGATGTGGAGAAATAGGAACACTTTTACACTGTTGGTGGGACTGTAAACTAGTTCAACCATTGTGGAAGACAGTGTGGCGATTCCTCAAGGATCTAGAACTAGAAATATCATTTGACCCAGCCATCCCATTACTGGGTATATACCCAAAAAATTATAAAACATGCTGCTATAAAGACACATGCACACATATGTTTATTGCGGCACTATTCACAATAGCAAAGACTTGGAACCAAACCAAATGTCCATCAATGATAGACTGGATTAAGAAAATGTGGCATATATACACCATGGAATACTATGCAGCCATAAAAGAGGATGAGTTCATGCCCTTTGCTGGGACATGGATGAAGCTGGAAACCATCATTCTGAGCAAACTATCACAAGGACAGAAAACCAAGCACCGCATGTTCTTGCTCATAGTTGGAAATTGACCAATGAGAACACTTGGACACAGGATGGGGAACATCACACACTGGGGCCTGTCGGGGTGGGAGGAGGGGAGAAGGATAGCATTAGGAGTATATATCACCTAATATAAATGATGAGTTAATGGGTGCAGCACACCAACATGGCACATGTATACATATGTAACCAACCTGCACGTTGTGCACGTGTACCCTAGAACTTAAAGTATATTAAAAAAAAAGATGATGCTAGTTGTTATGGTAGATGAATGTTTAAATCTCAGTGCTTTGTCATGGGAGAAATGTACTTCTTCTGTAAGCAGATATGACATTGACGGGTGAGGGGTTGTGTTCCACACAGTCATCCAGGGACCCAGGCTGTTGGAGATCCTAGTGTCATCAACATGTGACTTCCAAGTTCACCCAGGGCATTGATGTCCTGTATGCAGGTGGTGAAAGAGGATGCATGAATAATCATGCAGGTTTTGAAGGTTGAACTCAGGAGGTGTATGCATCCTTTACCCAGTTCACTGGGCAGAGGACGCAAGAGTGGCTGGGCTATGTAGTAGCTGACTGAGCTGCCATTTCCTCAGTGACAATTTTACACAGGGTTTTCTGATTGCATAATACAGGCACAATTTCATGGTAATTAACAGAGTGGCCTCTGGAATCTGACGGCTTGGCTTGACTCCCAATTATATATCTTATTCATTGATGGTTTATGTATAAAATTAACAAACTGTTTATTTTATAGATAACAGTTTCTTTCTGTTGAAAGAAAACAAAGGATTTATTATGCTTAAAGGGAGTATTGGGAATATTGCAAGAACTCAATGAATGCATCCTATTTTTATAGGCTCTTAGAATAAAGTTAGCATCTAATAAGTGATATTCAGTTTTATAGCATAGTTACCTGGATTCCTACCAAAGTCCTGTTTCTGAGGTTGGTTTCTCAGCTATTCTTACTCATCTGTGAGTCATGTATATCTATCCAGTTCATTCTTCTTTTGCTACTCTTAACCACAGTCACTTACTGTTGCCTGCAACCAAAAGTTTCTTACCTTGCACTCTGGAGTGCTATTTATTCATCTATACTTTGTCAATATGAACTAGGTAAATTCAAGTCTAAGCACTGAGCTTCCTGCATCTCAGTTCTGCTACTTATTTATTTTAAGCAACTGATATTTTGGATATATAGATAAAGAGACTCTCTACTTATTACATCTAATTTACACATGCAGCTTAATCTAAGCTATTGCAGCTTAGATTAGCCAGATGGCTGCTTTTTTTTTTTCTTTTTAAAATTTTCTGGAAAATGTTGCTTCATACTCTATGGTTATAATCACAGGTTATAAGAAAATGCTGTGTTTGATTCTTCTGTTGTCCTTTTTCACTTCTCTTCATAATCACATTTCCCTAGATGAATGCTTTAAAAAGTAAATCAATTTAATGCTAATACAAGTAACTGTTAGAAGTTTCACGTGATGCTCCTAAGAACTGGGAAAAGAAATGTATACTCTTGTCACTCCAGCACGTTCATTCACTTCTTTTTTTTCTCTAAATTATGCAACTTTCCAGTCTGTTGCAACATGTTCAGTCAGTCTGAATTTCATTTAAACACTGCACACCAAATGAGATTCTCTTTAACTCCTGGCCTCAGGCCCCTCCACTCTCCAGAGGCAATTTACAGTGACCTGCTAGGTGTAGGGCCTCTTATCTTTCCAGCCTGATATTAAAAGCCTTTATGGACATAGTGTTGTTTGCCCATAGGGTTTTTTTTTAACTGTGATTTTTGACTATAAACATTTACAATTGGAACCATACTGCTTTGTTCAATTAGCAATATGTCTCAGAGAATTATACGTAATAATATAGATGTATCTCATTATTTTGGGGGCCACTTAGTGTTCTATCCAATGTCCAGGATGACTAGGCGTTTTCTTATTAAAAGACATTAGTTTTCTGATTTTTGCTTCTTAGCAATGTCACAGTGAGCATCTGTATGCATGTTTCTCTAGGTCCTAATGAAAATGTTTCTTCAGGATAGATACCTAGAATCATAAATAATGCCAATTTGCCCTCCCGATGGATTCTGCAAATGTACATTCCTGCCAGAATGTGAAAGAATCTTTGTTTCCCAGCCCCCTTCCGAAAATGGCTATTATAAATTTTTCCATTTTTGCCAAATCGGTGGGTGAGAAGTAGTGTTTTATCATTGTTTTAATTTGCATTTTACTGGGCTTGAACAACTTTTCATACATCTATTGATCTTTTCTATTCCTTCTTCTTTGGACATCATGTTTAATTTTCTATTGGGCTAGCTACTTATCTTTACCTTGTTGATTCAGGAGAGTTATTTATGTATCCCTGATATAGCCACTTGCTTGCTACATACACTGAAAATTTTTTTTTCTTCTGCAGCTTTCCGCTCACCCTTGGTTCCTTTGACCTCTTCCTTTGAATCCCGTGCTTGTCGTTAGGCTCTAAGTGAAATGGGAGAGTTCCCTGAACTCGTTCACAGGATGTGAGACAGAGGTGTGGCTCGTCTCTTTGGCTGCCCACACAAAAACTCCTTTTGTAGGGGAGAGCATGCAGATGTGCAGGAGCCAGGGCGAGTGCTTTTGGGCTCTGGCCTCATGGCAGCATCTAGGTGTGGGTGCCTACCATTCCTGAAGTCCCAATGTGTGTGCTACATAGATCTTTTAGCTCTGCTGCCCACAAACAGCTTAAGTGTTAACCAGCTCAGTGTCCTCTTGGTACCCAGGTTCCTGGCTGGCATCCAGGGACAATCAGGTCATACATGGACTTGAAGGATGATGAATGTGGGGTTTTATTGGGTGATGGAGGTGGCTCTCAGTGGATGGACAGGGAGCTGGAAAGAGAATGGAGTGGGAAGATGATCTTCCCCTGGACTTCTGCTGTCCTGCAGCCCATCTCCTCTCTAACCAACTGCAGCCAAACTCCTATCGATGTTCAGACAATCCTTCTCGTCTCTTTTTCTCTGTGGCACCGCCCTTCTGTTCCTCTGCTCCTCTGTTTGTCTGCTCATCTGCCCATGGAGCCGGAGTTTGGGGTTTTATGGGTACCAGATAATGGAGCATGGAGGTCCAAAAGGCAACATTTGGGTTTGAAAACAGAAATGCTTGTTCTCATTTAGGGCTGTGGGTTTCCAGGCTTGGGGGTGGGGCCTTTGCTGGGGAACTGCCCTTTTCTACCCAGTATTTCCCGGTCTTTTGTGCATATCATTTGGCTCTTTATTCCTTCTGTCAAAATCTGTGCTCAGCTCTATTTACCTCACATGACTATAAACATTTACGATTGCCTAGCTTTTGGTCTTGGAAGTGCCCTTTTGTTTTCTAATAGTCATACATTTGCCACTGGCCTTATATCCAGTTGAGTATTTTTGGTTGACTGATCAACATCCTAAATTAAAGACTCCATTTATCCCAGGGCTCTGCTATCCATTCTGGAAAACTACAGGATGGATCACATGGCCTGTGCCCCACTATTTCCTTAGCCAGCTTCTCGCTTTCTACTTCAATCTGTGAGAGAAGAAGCTGATATCACAATTTAAATACACTCAGTCATTACTAAGGCATAATTACTATTGCTCCCTAAACAATCATATTTTTTCACCATTGCTTCCAGTTTACCAGAATAATGTTAGTTTATTAACATGTTCAAGTAAAGAAAGACAAACTAAAAACATAGTGTTACAGTCGTTGTCACTCCTTTTCCTTCTCACTTCCAAGTTTGTAGAAAGTTCTATTTATTCCAGCTATTAAAAGTGTGGAACTTTAGGTGTACATAGTACAAAGCCTAGAAAGAATATTGAGTGTTTAGGAAGGAATCTGGAATAGAATGGCAGAGGTGAGGCACAGAAGAAGATAAAAGTCTAGAGACTGGAGAAGTTTCAAAAGTAGGCAGAGAACATAATGTGAGCTTTGTGGGACAGAACAAAACCTTTGAATTCAATTCCAGATGAAATGGGGGCCATTGGAGGGCATTAATCAGGAGAGAAGTACACTCTAACATTCTTTTCAAAATATCCTTTCAGCTGCTGAATGAGAAAGATAATAATGGGGCAAGAGTTTTGGAAGAATAAATGGGTGAAGTTTGAAGTTGTGTTTAGTGGACAAAGATAGGATGCAAGGGATATGTTTTCATTTGCAAATTTGTCCACTGGTATATAAATCAGAGAAAAATCAATTAAGTCCTTGAGCCATTTTATCCTCAGTATTCCCTTCTTGTGCTCTGCTTTTTAACCATCTGCTAGAACCTAAAATTTTGCTTTTGAAGGCATGGCCAACAGGAATGATATTTTCAAGAATAAGAAATGATAGTCATTTTTTTAATTTTTCCCAACTTCTTTGCGTTATGTTAAAGCTATACTATTTACACTCACTACTATTATTCTAAAATAATAACTAATCATGTCAACCCAATAAAAGTAAATTCATGAGCAGAGGGAATTCTGGTTAATTCAATCTAGGTCAAAGAATGATAACTTCCCCTTTGCCTTACATCATGCTTTGCAATTAAAAAAATAAATTTCTTTCAGATAAAATTGATTGAAGCAAAAATTATTATTTATGTGAATTTTCTATAACATTCTTTCAACTCTTCATGGTGCTATTAGAGGTCTAATCATGATCAGATTAAGTTATAATTATGTCATAGGCACAAGCTTAAACTTTTTTTTTTACATGGTGGAAAAACCTAAGACTTAAAGTTTAAAAAACCTGCATATGCGCACGTGCACACACACACACATACACACACACACATTTACCCACATACCGTGTCATTTACTCAAAATTTGACCTTATTGAAATTTCTTACTTTGTACAAGCATCATTTTCCTCTTTTTATTTTAAAAATGGGGATGGTTATAACATCTTTCTTGATCATAGGGTTTTGAGATGATAAAGTGAATTTTATGGTCATAAAGGTTACAAGAAATAATTATTGTTGATGTCATTATTGTTATTCAACTAAACTAGATAAAATTCAGCATGCTGAGATAAAAACACACTTCACAAGTGTTCTAAAAACACTACATTGACTGGACATTTTCCAAAGTATTTTCTTTAATAACCTGACATGACTGTTGAACTTAATATATTTTGAGTTATTCTTTAACTCAACACATGTTTGCTGACTTAGTGACTGATTCCATCAAATAATGCCAATATGACTTTAGAAATAGCCCTTAATTCCATCCACTCCTTTTCTTCCCAAGACCTTGGCTCACCATCTCCTGCTCTGACTGTCCTATCTCCCTACTAGCATCCCTTCCACCCATTCTTGTTCTCCCCTCTTCCCAGAGGACATCCTACATACAGCTTCCCAAAAGGGTTAGTGAAAATATATCTTGTTAAGTCACTCCTCATTTATAAATCTTCCATGGTTAACTCATGACCTCCATTATGACAAAAGTCTACCTCCACACCATGTATTGCAAAACCCTGTACGTATTTAACCAGGCTAAAGGGTCAATTACTGAAATACACCATATTGTTCCTACTGATGTGGTTTCACTCTGTTTCCACCTGAGTCCCACCTTGAATTGTAATAATCCCCACATGTCAAGGATGGGGCTAGGTGGAGACAATTGAATCATGGGGGCAATTTCCCTCATACTGTTGTCATGGTAGTGAACAAGTGTCATGAGATCTGACATGACATAATGTCATGTCATATAAATGGGACATATAAATGAGACTTTATATGGGAGTTCCCCTGCACATGCTTTCTTGCCTGCTGCCATATAAGACATGACTTTGCTACTCCTTTGCCTTCTGCCATGATTGTGAGGCCTCCCCAGCCATGTGGAACTGTGAGTCCATTAAACCTCTTTTTCTTTATAATTACTCAGTCTTGGATACGTCTTTATTAGCAGCGTGAGAACAGACTAATACACCAACAATCAATACAATTGCACATGCTGCTTTTCCTTGCCTAGAATGTTCTTTCTCCTCTTTTTATCCAACTAACTGTTATCCTTTAATAACCCAGCTCTCAAGTAACTCAAAAGATGTCTTTTGTGTCCTCTTACCTTTCTCTCCATTTGACTAGTTGTGTACTTCGTATATATCTCCATCATGGCATGTATCACACTCTGATATGACTCTTCAGAGATAACATGAGACTTAGGGGCTAAGAGTCCACATGCTGCTCTTACTGTGGAACTTACATGCCTGGCATCAGCCACTCAAAAATTCTGGTGAACTGATTTCCATTGGTTTGAATTTCTTTAGCTAATTCATTTAATTTCAGTTTGACTAATATTTATTTGCACCTGTTACATGACACACGTGGGGAAAGACCTAGAAGATTAATTGTGAACAAGGCAGATGGATCTCTGCCTTTGTGGAACTTTTATCTAGAAAGAGATACCAGCAACATACCCATAATTGCAGTTGAGGTTGTTCAAATCAACAGAAAGTTCCATGAGAGCAGGAACGTGTTTCTTTTCTAAACTGCCCTGTACACAGCTTGAGCACAGTGTCTGCATTTAATATATGTCATTGAATAAATGATTGTGTTGACTAGATCCACCCCCACCGTCACAATTAGGTTAATGATTTGCAATTATGTCTATTTGCATTTTTAAATCTGGAATCCATTTTGTGCAATGGATCACACGGGAGTCTCTGGCTCTAATTTTAGGAGACAGAATGTCACAGGGCCAACAGCCATCTGTTTCCTCTGAGCAAATCTGCAACTGTGAAGTGTGACTGCAGATTTTTACAGCATTTATTGCATTTTTATTATAAAATATTTGCTTTATTTATTGAAAGAAATTTAGAATATCTTTTAAAAGGATAAAGAAGAAAATAAAAATATCTAGAGGTAATCTCTGTGAACAGTGAAGATGTCTATATTTTTCTTTTTAGCTCCTATGCATGCATATAAAAATTGCGTGTGTGCACACACACACAAACACACACACACACACGGGGTCACTAAGGAGTCTGGAAATATAGATGACTACATAGTAAATGGTTCATTTATAGTACATTAATACTTGATAAAATACTATCTTCTCTGTTTCCAGAATTTATGGTATATATGCTAATTGGCATGTGTTTGGTGGGTATATGCTGGGAGAGCTCTTCTCTGACAACTTAGGGGGGTCAATAGGTTACATTAAAGTGTTTTGTTACAATATGTCAAGAGTTCCAGAAAATTCTGCCAAATGTACAGCAAGTCATTGTACAAAGGCACAAAAATACAACTTCACTACCTTGTCGTTAGCTCAAGAAACTCCCCTTCCCAACTCCCCTTCCCAAAGGACTCAGACTAATACTTGTCATGAAAGTTGAGCTCAGAGATATCTGGATGCAGGGTCTACCAGTCTTGTGGTTGGGTTTGATGATAGCCCTCCAGGACCTGCAGATTTAGAACCAGTGCAACCCTGGACCTCAAATGCTGCATAGATGACATCAGGCAGCTGGATTTACAATTTTCATGTAAACTTGGTAGATGTCCTAATCATTTTGAACATTACTCTCCTTGCCAATAACATTAATTTCTACCAAACTTTTTGTTAATTAGCTCATTCTCCAGTGTAGATTTTAGCAACAATATTATAAGTGTCATGTAACCACTCGAAAAGGGATGATTCTTGCTAATGATAATTTAAATGTTAAATAATAGCCTAGAATTAAATTAAATTTTCCCCACAAATATTAAATTTTATCTACAAACATTACATTATTCATACAGAAGTAATTTTAAAGTGAATTATGAGGCAGACAATAAAAGGCATTAATAAACATTTTTGAATTTAATGCTCATCTGTAGTAAATACATATATTTGTTATACAAGAATCCATCTGTAGATTATACATGTGACCACGCAGCTATAAACACAGGCATTCCCGAACATAACAAATTTACATTATTAAATGTCAGTTTCAAATATTTTTTTTTCAAAATGGCATTGCACGGTTTACACAAATATCTCCATGTCTGCATTCTATCTTCTCCAATAAGCATTATACCTTGAGCATTGTTTCTATGCCATGAGTATTCTTCAAGCACAATTTTTTTAAAATCTGCCTTTTGGAGTTTTTCTTTCATAGATATTATACAGCCCATGTCTTAAAATAAGAAAATGTTCTCATTTATTGCAAGTTTGCTATGTGTCAGAAGCAGTGTTAGGAATTTTCAAACATCATCTCACTTCATTCTCACAAATGTAGCTCGGAGGATTTATGTAACTTTCCTAAGTTAATATTATAATGCTGTTCAAATGTTTTCAAATATAAGATAGATTCTTATTTTACTAAATTACCTTAAAGAGCTTTTGAGAAATTGGTAATTACGCAGCAAATATTGAATGTTTACTCTCTTCTAGGTGGTATGTGGGGCCGTTTTTAAAAGCTAACTTATTTAATATTTATTCTCTCCTATAGTTGAGAGCTTGTCAAAGCCTTTTTACATCCATTCTATCCTTTGATCCTTTAATCAGCCAACTGAGGTGGTCTCATGGAATCAAAGAATCTCAAAGCTCAGGGGATGAACTGTCCAAGTGTTACCTAGTGCTCACCCATCTCCAGGAGCCTGGGCCCCACTGCTCACTGAGACAGCCCACACTCCAGCTAGCTTGGCTCTAACTGCAGAAGTCCTTTGGATACAGATAGAAAAGAAGGGGGTGAGTAATGTCAGAGGATTGCCTGGAGATCAAGGTGGCTGTTACCAAAACATTTCCTTGCTGAAATCCAAACTCTTCAGGATTTACCTTTCAACTTCATCATACCCCAAGAAGACCAAAACAGCCTCTCTGCTTAGGGGAATTTCTTTTCGAGTTTAGATGGAACCTGCTGCCACGTGGAGGTTAGAATGTAGGCTTTGGAATAAGACAGACTTGTTTTGTGTCCCACCTGCTGTTAACTAGAAGCCAGCAGCTCATTTTTCCTTTACAAGTTTTGGTCTTCTTAGAAGCAGGATAGAAACACCAATACTTTCTTTGCAATGCTCTTGTCAAGTCTGGAGAAAACTGTATGTGATACTCTTCAAACTGGGCTTAGGAAGCACTGGGTACTGAACACCCAGTAGCGGATACTTAGAGTTACTAATGACAAAAATGGCTGCCATATATTCATTCCATAAGTGTTTATTGAACACCTGCTGGGGGTCAGGTTCTGTGAAAGTAGTCCATGGGTCACATGGAAGGCATGGAATCTGAGCTAAATAGAGAAATAAGCTTGAGGAATACTATGGTGAATCCTTCCTTCCTCCATTTTCCATAGGGAAGAACATTTATTTAGTGCCCAAAAGTTCTTGTTTTAGATTCACTGGGCTGCAATAATAAACTACAGCAAACTTCGGGGCTTATAGCAGCACAAACTCTCTGCTTTCACAGTTCTGGAGGCCAGAAGTCTGAAATCATGATGCCAGCAGGGCCATCTTCCCTGTAACTGCTCCAGGGATAATCCCTCCTTTCCTCTTCTGGTTTCTGGTAGCTTCTGGTGACAACAGCACTGTGTCCCTGGCCTCCATCTTCACATGGTCTCCTCTGTGTCTTTTTGTCTGTCAACTCCTTTTCTGCCTTTAATAAAAACACTTGTTATTGGATGTAGGGCCTACCCTAATTCAAAATTATTTCTTCTCAAGATCCTTACCTTAATTCTATTTGCAAAGATTCTTATTCCAAATATAGTCATGTTCCATGGTTCCAGGCGGAAATATCTTTTGGCAGCCATTATCAATGCATTACACCATAGATCCACATTCTCCATCTTCTGGAACATGCTATAAAACTCTGCCAAGTTCGGGCTTTTCTGTATAGATGATGAAGCAAAGGAATAGGATGGACTATCATCTTTATAATAAAATTATTCTCACTAGGTTGTTTTTCATAAAATTTTGGCTGCCTTCCAGCTCCATCTCTCTGAGCAGTGCTTTGAATCTAGAAACCTGCATTTAACTTGCTTCTCTGCCCCTTCACCTGCTGTGAGAGTTTGGGCAAGTGATTTAACCTCTATGGGATTCAGGTACCACACATGTAAAGTAGAAATAATGAAGCTGGATGTAAAGGGTTGTTGTGAAGATTAAAATGACACCACATGTGTAAAATATTGAGTTTCCAAACAGACACATCACAAACCTTTGTATATGGACAGTATTTTCATCCCTTGCTTTTACTGACTTATAGTCTCAGTCTGGGTTTCTCTCACTGGCCATTGACAGAAAATCACATCGCTGAGCATAGATTTAGCTTTAGATTTAGCTTTAACTCTCTGAAAGCAATTTCATCTATTTCAAAGTTCATATGCAGTAGCTAACTCTTGGTCCCATGTCCTGCCAAAAAAGATGAGGCTAAATCTGTCATTCTTAGAGTTTCCATGCATTTCTCCAAGGCCATTCTCCTAGCCTGTTTGGAATCTGTTTAATTTCTTTGTTTGAATTAATGGTTCCAAAAGGCCAGAATAGCAGTTCATTCTTGAGTCTTGCAAACCACACTGCACCTGAAATGGGGTGGGTGTCAGGATGTGTTCGCTGTCAGCCTCCATTTCAAAATAACTAAAAGATGTCCATTCTCCATGCTTATTTCCTCTTTTTTTTCCTCTCGACATTAAACATTGTATTTCCTTCTCTGTTCTTCATAAATGTGTTTTTAAACCCCAGACAATCCTCTTCCTTCACCCTGCACATGCAGCATATTTCTTTACCTTATCTATCCACTTACTGCAGAGCAAAGCCCAGAATTACAACAGGACTGGGCTGAGCATCAGGTACAGCTCTGCCGTCTTCCACTTGCTCTGTGCCCTGAGAGGAAGCTGCTCACAATGGTTTATGTGAATGGGCAACCATGCCCTTGGGCTTTGGGTCATGGAGGTGCATTTTGGAGGGTGGTCGTGGGGAGAGTAGAAGAGGGGGAGCAATAGTAAGACCTTAAAACCACCAAGAAAACAAAGTTGGAGATTTTATTTTCCTGGCTCCTTTGCGGCTGAGGTGCCCAAGTTTGCTGATCCCACTCCCAAAGCCCCAGCTCTTGCCAAAGGTCCTTTAAAGCAATTCTCTCATTAGGTGCTAGAACCACTTCCTCCTCTCTTGCCTTCTGGCCTGTGGGTGATAACAGGTCCCTGCTATCACCAGCATCCAGAACCGAGACATCCCTCCTTGCCCTCCTTAAACCTTGACCACATCATCGTAACAAGTTTCTTTCCAAATATCTCCCCAAATTCCTCAACTTGATTATGTCATCTTTTTGCTGCTTTCACTCTAGAGATCCTCAAAATTATGATGATGCTGCAGGTCACACATGCCCCCTTTCCGTCCTCCCACCAAGAAGAGGCTATTTGTGTGTTTCCAAATAGGCCAACATCTTAATGAAAATGGGATTCTGGGATTGGGATGCCAGTATATTTAGAAACACACAAAGAGCCTCTTGCTGGTGGGAGGATGGGAAGGGATATCTGTAACCTGCAGCATCATCATGACAATGAAATTATCATCCGTAAAGGCAAGGTGGGAAATGCAAGTGCAGAGCAAAGTATTGACAGAGACAAGAAAACGGAAACCATGAAAGTGTGACTCTGTAGTGCTCACCTCACCCCCGTGGAAGCTCGTGCTTCTGGACTTTTTAAGCACATGATTAAAATCAAGTGCTTGGCTGTTCTAGCTGTCATCAACCGAGGTTTTTACTGTTGTATTGTGCGTGCGCATGCACACGTGTATACACACATACACAGTAGGCCTACACATGTTAGCAAAGGATCAGAGGGGTAGAAGAAAGAAGGAAAGGAGAAAAGCAAACAAACCAAAGAGTTGTGGGAGGTTTGTCAAAACTCTCAAAGCTTGTAAGCAGTCACATGTAAACCCAGACCCCTCACCCCGCACCTGCCATTCTTTCTGCTCTCCGCACCTGCCCCTTTCAGTGAATATAGGTTGTCTCTGTAGATGCTATCAAATCAGTCTTGGCTGAAACTGTTCTTAGTGCTCTCATATCCCTAAATAAAGTGTTGTAGTGGAAAGATTAGAATCCAAATTGGTCTTTTCTATTTGCGGCTTTCAAAGGATAGGCTTATTTCCCTGGATGTTCTCCTTGTGGGCAACATCATCCCTGATACACCATATCAAACATTTAATCTCCAAATGCTGCCCTTTATCTCTGACTCTCTCCATAAACATCATCGCTACTTTTGAAGGAGCACACCGAGTACTTAATACCCTTTGATGAAAGGCCCCTAATTGAATTCTTTGAAGAATGAGTAATTATTATCCTTTCATGAGAAATTTTCTGGGCAGTGCCCCATAATGGGACTTGACAAGATCTGAGAAGAGAGTAAAGTTAGATTTTCCAAACCAGGGTTGCTCATAATTAGTATAGAGAGACCATTAGCAAGCTCCATGTCCCCCACTTACAAGAGGAGCACATGTTAGATTGTCTCAGGAAATAGTGCAGATGAGACGTGCACAGAAACTCTAAGCCAGCCAGGGATAACTGGATGCAGATGTCACACAGAAGGACTCCTTCTGGAGTCAGAAGACCCTCACACAAATCTCAGGACTGCCTGTGACCTTGGGCAAATGATAACACTTCTGAGTTTCAGTTTTCTTATCTGTAAAATGGGAATGAGTTAAAATTTGACAACTACATGAGGAACTGTTGTATTTTTAAAAATACTGTTTGGGTGCAAGTTATTCTCATTGCCATTATCATTGCAACATGATGATTCTATGTAGCAACATGGATTTAGAATCTGCTTTATTTTTTGGCTTGATTATTGGATTTTGTTAGTTGCTCATCTTATATGGCCTAATCCCAATTACTTTAGGCATACCAATTCAGTAAAAAAGCAGTGTGTCATAATATTCTCTGTCTTTCTCTCCTCTCTCCATCATCCCTCTTTCCTTCTTTCCTCCCTTCATTTACATTTCTAAATCCTCCTACTGGAATGACCAAAGCAATTTCTTGACATTTTTACTAATATCAAACATAATTTCAGTTAAGTATCAATCATCCTATGTAGCAAACCTTCTTAAATTCGGTGGCATACTTTGTAATAATAAAAATAACTTCTTGTTCACTTGTCTATGTGTTGGCTCGAGTTTGGCTGATCTAGGCTGGGCTTAGCTCCAAAATATAGGCCTGCTTCACTAGTCTCTCATCCTCTCTGAACAAGCAGTTACACAAAGTATGTTCTTTTCATGGTAAAAGACAAGTATGCAAAGAGAAATTCTTACCATGTGAACATGTATTATGCTATTGCTCAAAAAAATATTTGTAATTGATTAAAGCAAGAAATGTGGCTAAGTCTTAAGTCAAGGGCTGAGGAAATATAATTCACTCACCGTGGCACCAGAGCTAATCACGTGACAACCTTCAACTCAATGGATTGGCAGGGAATGAATATTTGCTGAGCAATAATCTAATCCACCCCAGATAATAGTATTTAAATTTTTTTGCCAGACTTATATTAGAAAAAGAGCAAAGTTTAATTGCATTTCTTTAATAGATTCTGAGAAAGGCTTTTTATATTATGATCTTAGAAAACATTTCTTGCATATCTTTTTTCTTCAGTTAATCTTTTGTGTTGTTTCTGTGGGGGGTGTCTTTGTTAATGAGTTGTTAGAGAACTTTAAAAACTGAGGCTATTCATCAATTCATGGATCTAGGCAAATTATGGGTTATCATCTGCTTTTTAATTGTGTATGTAATGCTTTAATATGTAAATTTAATTTTTTTCTATTCTATGTTCAATTCTATGATATTTTTGTTTATGATTTCTGCCTCAGATACAATATTTAGAAAGACTTTTCCTATCACAAGATCACACACTTATATTGTTTCTAGTTCTATTTGGTTTTTATGGTTTTATTGCTTATATTTACCTCAACAGGATTTTTTTCTCTAGTACAGGTTTGAGAAAGAGATTCTTCTATATTCCCAAATAAATAACTATATTTTATGTTTAAGATGAGCCTTAAAGAAGGAATTTACCAAGGAGGTGAATAGGCTGTACTGAGGGGGAGATGATTAAGGAAATTAAGGTGACCCAGAGCACAGGGGTCTGCATGAGCAAAGCGAGTGTCTACCAACAAGGCGTTCCCAGAGAGCTTAAATGTTCACCACTGGGGCATTGGCTTGGTATGGGGCAGTGGCACCAGAGGCCAGGGGCTAAATCAAGGTGGGCTCAAGGTCTTGATGAGGAGCCCAGAGTTTACTTCAAGAGCAACAGACAGTCATCTGGCAGTATCATCTGCTCTGGGCACCTGCCAGTCACTTATGACTCCAAGGACCCCTCCAGCAGGAAGCAATTTAGAGCTCTAGCCCCAAGACCAGACAGTCTATTCTTAACAACCAGCTTCTCTTTTTCTGCTAACAGAGAAAGAAAGAGCACTCTGTTGCGCACAAGTCACTCACCAAACTGAAGCCTTGGCTCTGAAGAAGAGAAGAGCTCAGAGATGTCATTGGGAGAGGAAGCCAATCTGTTTGCTGCCCCCACAAAAAGAGGTCCACCTCTAGTAAAAGAGTTCCACCTTTAAGACAGCAACAAAACGAGTGTCTTGTCCTGACTGCCTAAGATCAAAAGACTGACACCAAAATGTCAATGAAAACTTTAAGAACAGTGATGTCATGATGCTTCTAGGGTATTAGGTTGATTCAATCAAAATGTAGCACCCTGGTGAATCCGTGAAGAAAAATTCACATCTGGATGAGCAGTTCCCACAGATGCCAATGATTCAATTCAGAAAGCATTAACTGACCAGTGGCATGGGCTGACAGTGAGGCTAAGAATTCTGGGACTCATATTGCCAACCCTAAGGTGGACACAGTCTAGTTGGTGAGACAGAAGTATATACAAATCATGCTGAGGGCTTGTGCTAAAACAGAAATCTAATAAAAGTTATACAGGGTTAAGCAAGAGAGTGAAAGAGAGAGATTGATTGTGACCAGGCAATCAGGGCTGCCTTCCTGGAGGCAGTGGCATTTAGGAATGCCTAGATTCATTCTCAGAATAAAGTAATAATAATAACAGCAACAAGAGCACATTTCTTGTTGGGCTCAGTAAAAACTGAAAATGCAGCTCCTTTAATCAAAATACAGGAAAAACAGTGCCATTAGAGGTACTAAAATTAAAGCGTTTTCCTTTCTTCTGTGGTCTCTGTCTCTCAACTTGTCATGTTTTTCATTTGCTATTTAACATTCTTCTCAGTAAAAGAAAATTAACATTTCAAATTATTAGCATGAGTTTTCCCATTTTCTTCATATTGTGCAATACCAGTTTTCAATGTTGGTATAAGAATATTTATACAATTCATATTTTGTAACTCCTATGTAAGTATATATTTCATTCTGACCACATATAGTGGAAATGATACACAAAACTAACTCAACTGTTTTTCTCTTAGTTCTTCGTTTGGGCATATTCAACCAACACCTTCTGTCTTCAGCTTGATGAGTAAGGAAGGACTGAAAGGTAAAGGAACTAAGTATGATTGCCCTCTCTTTTCCTTTCCTTCTGTGTCATCATTTTCAGCATAAATTGTTGTCTAATACAGGGAAGAAACAGGAGTAGGAAAGGATGTAATAGGGTTACTTAGTCTTTTGTGTTTCTTTAAATGACACATTTCTGTGCTTGAAGCAAGTTCTGGTCAAAACCAAAGCATGGTCTCTCTGGTTTGTCAGTATCTCTACTTACTCAAAGGTGTACACTCTTACCTCGTGCTGACTTTGAGTTTCATTGAACTACCATGCAACGCAAATCTAGAATTCTGTGTTCATGGGGATTTGCAGTGCTCTATGGCATGGGTGGCAAGGAATGATGGGCATACCTCTTGCTCTTGTCTTCAGTACTCAAAGCATGCTCTGTTGTCCCATTGAATGCCGCTTACAAAACACAAGCTGAGATATAAAGTTATTAAGAATTTTGAGACAGTAACAGCAGAGAATTAAACCCAGCAAGGAACTCTTCTGAGAACCAGGTTCTGCGTGACCCCACAGGTCACTCATTCACAAAGCTGGCCGTAACAACAGCTGTCAGTTTGGGACTAAGCATGTAGACTTGGCACCATGCTGTGTACTCTTATACAAATTATCTTATGTAATTCTCACAGTAACCTTATAATTATCCTCATTATATTAATAAGAGAACCAAGGGTTAGGAGGATAACTATCTTGACTAATATCCCATAGCTGGAAAATGACAGAATTTTACTTAGACTCCCAATGTCTGACCTTGGAGTCCAAGCCCTGGTTCCTGTTCTCTCCTCTTGGGGGTAGAACCAACAGCAGAAGGCCCTTTTAAACAGAGTGGGGATAATGTGAGCCTGATTATGTGTGCTTCTGCATTGGCCATCACAGAGGGGTTTACACACTCATCATTTACTCAGCATCTTATAGAATATTTGGGTTAAACTGGTATTTCAGTTATTTTTTAGGGTAGAGTGGAACTATCCCTTTTTTCTTATTTTCACCAAACTTTACTTATTCTATTTCCACTCTGAGAGAATCCCATTAATTCTGTGAGGTTCAGAAACAATAATTCTTAGTATGTAAGGTCACTGTGAGAATCAATGGGTATACATGTGCCATAGTGGTTTGCAGCACCCAGCAACCTGTCATCTACATTAGGTATTTCTCCTAATGCTATCCCTCCCCTAACCCCTAACCCCCTGACAAGCCCCAGTGTGTGAGGTTCCCCTCCCTGTGTCCATGTGTTCTTATTGTTCAACTCCCACTTATGAGTGAGAACATACGGTGTTTGATTTTCTGTTCCTATGTTAGTTTGCTGAGGACAATGGCTTACAGCTTCATCCATCTCCTTGCAAAAGACATAATCTCATTAATTTTTATGGCTGCATAGTATTCCCTGGTGTATATGTGCCGCAATATCTTTAGCCAGTCTATCATTGATAGGCATTTAGGTTGGTTCCATGTCTTTGCTATTGTAAATAGTGCTATAATAAACATGTGTGAGGCCAGATGCAGTGGCTCACACCTGTAATCCGAGTAACTTGGGAGACCGAGGTGGGCGGATCACCTGGGGTGAAACAAGCCTGGCCAACATGATGAAACCCCATCTGTACTAAAAATACAAAAAATTAGCCAGGCATGGTGGTGGGTGCCTGTAATCCCAGCTACTTGGGAGGCTGAGTCCGAATAATCATTTGAACCCGGGAGGCGGTGGTTGCAGTGAGCCGAGATCGTGTGACTGCATTCCAGCCTGGGCAGCAGGAGCAAAACTCCATCTCAAAAACGAAACAAAACAAAACAAAACATAACATACATGCGCATGTGTCTTTATAACTGAATGATTTATATTCCTTTGGGTATATGCCCAGTAATAGGAATGCTGGGTCAAATGGTATTTCTGGTTCTTGATCCTTAAGGAATTGCCATACTGTCTTCCACAATGGTTGAACTAATTTACATTCCCACCAACATTGTAAAAGTGTTCCTATTTATCCACAGCCTTGCCAGCATCTTTGTTTCCTGACTTTTTATTAATCACCATTCTGACTGGCATGAGATGGTATGTCATTGCGGTTTTTATTTGCATTTATCTGATGATAAGTGATGTTGAGCTTTTTTTCATGTTTGTTGGCCACATAAATGTCTTCTTTTGAGAAGTGTCTGTTCATATCCTTTGCCCACTTTCTGATGGGGTTGTTTTTTTCTTGTAAATATGATTAAGTTCCTTGAAAATTCCGGATATTAAACCATTGTCAGATGAGTAGACTGCAAAAATTTTCTCCCATTCTGTGGGTTGCTTGTTCACTCTGATGATACTTTCTTTTGCTGTGCAGAAGGTCTTTAGTCTAATTAGACGCCATTTGTGAATTTTGGCTTTTGTTGCAATTGCTTTTGACGTTTTTGTCATGAAGTCTTTGCCTATGCCTATTTCCTAAATGGTATTGTCTAGGTTTTCTTCTAGGGTTTTTATGGTTTTAGGTTTTACGTTTAAGTCTTTAATCCATCTTGAGTTAATTTTTGTATAATGGGTAAGGAAGGGTCCAGTTTCCATTTTCTGCATATGGCTAGCCAGTTTTACCAGCACCATTTACTGAATAGGAGATCCTTTCTTTATTGCTTGTTTTCGTCAGGTTTGTTGAAGATCAGACGGTTGTAGGTGTGTGGTGTTATTTCTGAGGTCTCTGTTCTGCCCTCTTGGTTTATGTCTGTTTTGGTACCAGTACCATGCTGTTTTGGTTACTGTAGCCTTGTAGTATAGTTTGAAGTCAGGTAGTATGATGCCTCCAGCTCTGTTCTTTTTGCTTAAGATTGTCTTGGCTATATGGGGTCTTCATTTGTTCATTCATTCAATTATGTATTGAATCACTCAATGTATTTTTGCTTGTCATCCCTGTCCCTGCTATGTGTTAGGTGATGTGCATACAAATTTATTGAGTAAGTCTGACAAATAGTGACACAGTCTGCTACTCAATCATTCCAGTTAGCTGTACTCTTATAATTTGTATAAGAGTACACAGCATGGTGCCAAGTCGACATGCTTAGTCCCAAACTGACAGCTGTTGTTACGGCCAGCTTTGTGAATGAGTGTTTACACCTGTCATTCTATAATTTTTTATTTCTATTTCTACCTTTTTTTTTGAGACAGAGTCTCACTCTGTCACCCAGGCTGGAGTGTAGTAGCACAGTCTTGGCTCACTGAAACCTCCGCCTCAAGTGATCCTCCTGCCTCTGTCTCCCAAGTAGCGGGGATTACAGGTGCCCACCAGCAAGCCCATCTAATTTTTGTATTTTTAGCAGACATGGGTTTTTACCATGTTGGCCAGGCTAGTCTCAAGCTCCTGACTTCAAATGATTCACCCGCCTCAGCCCCGCAAAGTGCTGGGATTATAGGCATGAGCTACCCCACCTGGCTTAGCCTATAATTATTAATAACATGCCTTTTACTTTCAAAATAGTTGAGGTTTGGAAGATAAATCATATGGTCTCATACTATGATGGCACCGTATGTAAGATGCAGTGGCTGATTAATAAAAATAACATTTAAGGATGTAAGCTCCTTCAGGACAGGGGTTTTATCTGTTCCATTTACTGCTTTGCTTAACCCTGCCTCACCAAAACCATCTGGCATACAATAAAGGCTCAATAAACATTTGTTGAATGAATGAGTAAAAATGCAGCCTGGGGAGTCAGTGCAAAGAAGGTTTGTACTAGATTTGAGACATGAAGGTTGGGGAAGGAATTTTTCATGTGAGAACAGATGGAGGGAACAGTGTTTGCAAAAATAAAAGGGGATGACAAAGCATGCCTGTGTAGGGGGCTAGACACCATCTGATGTTGCTGGCCCACTCAAATTGCAAGCTCTAAAAAGATAAAGTGAAACCACCAGAGAACAGAACCCCAGAACCTAGAGAGTTTGCTTTAGGAGAGAGTATCAACTTGATTCTGAAGATAATGGGAACAGGGGGCTTCAGAAGCTTTTAAACAAATGACTACTTTGCATATTTAAGAGGATCATTTTGGCTGAAGTAGTAAGAAGGATTCAGGGTGGGAAAAAATGGTGTTTGGAAGACCTGTTAGAAGACTGTGTGAGGATCAGTTGGAAGAATTTTTATTAATCTAAAGCTTTGCTGGACTCTGCTGCTCCATAGGGAATTTTTCACAGATCTCTGGCATGATGAGAACAATAAAGCCTATACTGAATTCATTTCATTTACTAAAACTCAATGCACTAAATTGAAAAGAACACACTTTTGATGCTGACATGATAATTAAACATGTATACCATGTGTATCAAATATCAGTATCAAAATATCAGATATAACCCCAAAATGTGTACAATTATTACACATCAATTAAAACATTAAAAAAGAACACTTTGTGAAATTATATTGTAAACATTTTTTTCAACACTAAATCTATCATTTGTTTTACAAAACACTGGTGATGGTGGATAATGTACTTTTAAAATATTCTTATTTTGGTAAAATAGAACGATGCCATTTCTAACCAATAGTGACCCTAATAATCCCTACAATTGGTACAGTCCCTACAATTTGGGGGAAATTTTACACAACCAGTAAATCACTAAGTTTATTCTCTTTGGTATAGAGAAGAGTTGATAAATATCTGAACTCAGGAAGTGGCAGTGGGGTTGCAAATAAGAGATGAAAGGTTTGAGAGATATTTAATAAATAAAATGAATAGGCAATGGTTGGTACAATATCAGGTATAGGCACTTTTAATTCAAATATCTGGATGCTTCAAGTGCAATTATAAGTTCTTGTTCCTAGTCCAAATAATGCAAATAATTCCCTTGGCTCTCCATTTTTGTTTCCATGTGTAGCTATTTCCTGCATTGAAACAATCATATTTTTTCCTTGTTGAATATAAATATTTCTATCTCTTGAATGAGTAAGAGAAAAAGTGATATGTAAAGCCACGCTCATACATATCATCTGGCACTATATATTCCAGCAACAAAACACATTCCTTTTTTGTATAATAGCATGCCATTTGATATATATTGATTTATGTAAACGCTTGGGAAACCAGAGTTCGGTTTACATTTTTGAATGATTTCTGCACTCTTTAAAGAGAGTATCTTTCAAAGACGAATGACCCAGGGGCCAATATTCATCTTTCAGATTTCAATTTTACTCAGCAGAGAGAAAGTTTGCTGCTGCTAAATCATTGTCTCTTATGAGCTCTCTATTGGGACCATGAAGCTTTATTGGAGTAAATAGGCTAGTTTCTGCTCACAGAACCCCTCCACCTCCTACCTCTCTAATCTAGCTGTCTGCAATTCCTTCAGTAAGACAAAGTGGGAAACATACTTATTCAACAGTTATTATCACTGTTAACTGTGAGACCCCCTTTGACATGAGTGTTGTAATGGAGAATTATCCATCTGAGAATATCTCCACACTTGTCAGTCACCTTCAGAAGTAAGATACAGATGCCAGGTGTTTGTTTTTATTTGTTTTGGTTTTATTTGTTTGTTTATTGTTGTTTTCCTGATGAGTGGAGAACAAGCTGCCGAAACTTAAGAACTCACTGTCTTGAAGACTTCTACCCTGAAGCTACGGACAAAAGATACAAGAATATATAGGACATGTTAAAAGAAGAAGGGGAAGAAAAAAAAAAAACTTCTAAATCAAAGGGGCAGGACAACAATTATGTAGCTGCGGTCACTCATGCAATGGGAAAGTAAAGCTCAGATCTTGTTTGGGACTAGCACCAGCAGTCTGGATAGAAGACAGAACCATGGACGGAGACTGATCACACCCATGGGGGAAGGAGGAGAACACCTGGGGAGAGAACAAGCAGAGAAGATGAGATCATGATTCATCTTCTGAACCAGGAAGCTGAATTTGTGAGCTGTGTAAGGCAGCACAGTCCACAGGTAGCTGCCAACACCAAGGCCACCACTGTGATCTAAGATTAAGAAATGGGGAAGGCTCAGAGACAGCCCAGCCAGAGACCAGGAAGAATCCTGCTTCAAAGACCCAGGATCAGAAAAGTCTGTCATCAGGAAAAGGAAGAAGCAGCAGAAGATGAATGTTGGGGGTAATGAGGGAAAGAACCCAGATAAAGGAGGTGCAGGGGCCAGGCATGGTGGCTCACACCTGTAACCCAGCACTTTGAAAGGCCGAGGCTGGTGGATCACCTGAGGTCAAGAGTTAGAGAGCAGCCTGCGCAACATGGTGAAATCCTGTCTCTACTAAAAATAAAAAAATTAGCTGTGCATGGTAGCCCATGCCTGTAGTCCCAGCTACTTGGGAAGCTGAGGCATGATAACCACTTGAACCCGGGAGGCAGAGGTTATAGAGGTTACAGTGAGCCAAGATCATGCCACTGCACTCCAGCCCGGGTGACAGAGCAAGATTCTGTCTCAAAAAAAAGAAAAAAAAAAAAAAAAAGAGTAAATTATCCTAGTCCAGCAGAGGCTCTAGTGCTAGGAGAACCAGGAGTACAAGATCAGTTTCTAAGAAGTGTGTCTGAATCCACTCCAGGCTTCTAGTGGTCCCTTCTCAAAAAGATTCCCTAGCAGAGTTGCCATAAAATGAAGTATGTTTCTTCCTGCCCATTGATGCCTCAGGACACCTCAGCAGACAACCTCTCTGTTTTTTGTTTGTTTCTTTTTTAAAGACTGGGTCTCACTCTGTCACCCAGACTGGAGTGCAGTGGCAAGATCATAGCTCACTGTAACCTCAAACTTGTGGACTCAAGGGATCCTCCCACCTCAGCCTCCTGAGTAGCAGGTACTAGAGGTGTGTGCCATCACACCCAGCTAAATTTATTTTGTGCAGAGATAGGGTCTCACTATGTTGCCCAGGCTGGTCTTGAACTCCTGGCCCCAAGTGATCCTCCCCACCTTGGCCTTCCATAGCTCTGGGACTTCCCAATTTTTTTTAATTTATTGTTTTTAGTGATAGAGTCTTGCTATTTTGCCCCTCAGTCTGTTCTTCATCTCAAGTCACTCCCCTTAATGTCACTGATTTAGATCTGTCACTTTGGAGTCGTTCTTATTTTTCTGCCTGACTTCTTTGACTTGATTCTTCCCTATTGGAATTGGTTTCTCTCTCACCACCCCTAACCAGTAGACTTAACGCTCCATGAAGCCCAGGATCACCTCTGTACTCCTCCCTGTTTTTCCCAGTACCTGGTGGTGTATCCCTAGCAGAGTGAATGGGTGAATGATTACACATTTTGACATTATTCTTTAAACAAGTATTGATATCTCTGCTAGAATAAAAAATATCAACTCTGCTGCCCCTTTGCTTAGCACAAAGGCGACATCTATTCTTTTTTTTTTGTGACAGAGTCTTGCTCTGTCGTTCATGCTGGAGTGCAGTAGCATGATCTCTGTTCACTGCAACCTCTGTCTCTTGAGTCTAAGCAATTCTCCTGCATTAGCCTCCTGAGTAGCTGGGACCACAGGTGTGCACCACCACCCCTGGCTAATTTTTGTAGTGCTAGTAGAGACAGGGTTTCACCATATTGGCCAGGCTAGTCTCAAAGTCCTGACCTCAGGTGATCAGCCTACCTCGGCCCCCCAAAGTGCTGGGATTACAGGCATGAGCCACCATGCCTGGCCGACATCTATTCTCTATATCAGAAACCTCCACCTGTAATGATAATTTAGAAATATGGACAAGACAACAGTGAGCAAGATAGCAATCCCAGGAATAAATCAGGGGAAAGATACAATCCCAACCACCATAATCCCAGTTGATGAAATTTCCAAAGAACGAAACCCCCAAAATCTAAAATCTTGAAAATATAATTCTGGAAAAGCATAATTTTAAAATCATTTGAAATACATTCACTTACATGTTTAAAAGGGGATTTAGTTGAGAACCATATAAAAATAAAACAGAACACTTCATGGTCCACTTTCCACAACAAAATAGTCAATATAACAAATATTCTTGCAAGCATAAACATGGGCAGACAAACTGTATTCATGAGGAAACAGGTCAAAAAGAGAAATGTATGAATGCATATCACTATGGTGGTTAATTGTGTGCACCCAGCTTTATAACTGCAGTCATCTGAAATACCATGATGGACAACCCAAGTCTTTTGATGAGACTGTTCAAAAACCTTGATAGGTTATCACCGCATCACCCTACCAGTCACTCAGAAACATCCAACATCTCGAGAAATGTTATATTTCACAAATGCAGGCATACAACAAGAACATCCCTTTATTTATTGAGGAAATTTCAACATTTTTACATACACACACAATGTTTACATGCAAAGCCAATGTTGTGTTAATGCATTTTCATGGAATCACATTTGCGAAAAATGTGTAAAATGAATCAGCACTGTCTAACATGATTTATATGTCCAGTATTAGAAATGATGCAAAGATGAAATCTATAGCATAACAAATTATATTAAAAAAAATGCTTGGAATTTAGAATAGTAAAAAACCTTTAAAAAGATAAAAGAAAAGAAACAAAAATAAAACAATTTGACAAATAAAAAAGAGTAATTACACGGATAGATTATGTGCAATTGCATAGATAGCTCATAAAAGCTGGCCAAGTTTTATAATCATTAACCATATTTTGAAGTCTTTTTTTTTCATCATGAATAGCTGTTTGTTTGTCTGTTTGTTTGTTTTTCTTTTAGGATATGACTCTCCTAGTGGAATATGTTCACATTCATTTTCTACATGGCACTGCTCCTTTCCAAAATTCTTCTATGATTCAATATACACTGATGTGAGCTTTCCCTAAGTTATCCCATCTTCTGTGTCATGCTTCTATGGTGTCTTGGGTATGCAGAAATCCATTCTGTACGTACTCATATAGAGGCCACAAATTTGGCAGGAACAATACCAATGATCGAACAGCAATACAATTGCAAAAGTGTCTTATCCTACCAGGCACAAAATTGTTTTTAAACCAGTCAGTAACTTCAATGGCTTTTTCAGAAAAATGCAGTTTTAATTCATTAAAAGCTCCTGGAATGTCATCAGCTGGAAGGAATGCCTGTGCAAATAAATACATGTTTAAACTGAAGTTTTTCTTGTTGCCTTATCATGTGGCAAATCCACTCATCTGAATTTTCCTCCAAATGTATTGGGTTTAATGAAAATAAAAAGAGACAAGTTTTGGTAACACCTTGACATTCACTTTTAGATATCATGATCATACCCAATTTCAGATCTGTCATTATGGACTGTGGATTCACTTGAAATCTATTTTCTTCTGCATAAAGACAATAACAAGCTAATAGTTCTGCCTAACATGATGCACAAACTCATCCTGTGATTGTGATTTTCAGTATTTTAGAAATTGGAGATTTTGATCTTTGGAGACTTCATCATTTGGGATTGTGTCTTTTGATCCAAACTGTAAATCAGATTTGAGGAAAAAGACAGAAACCCAGGTCCTACCCAAAGTCCCAGGGCATCAGCTGGACTGGAAGCAGGCCAACCAGACAATAAAAACACAGAAAAGGACAAGGTCTTCAATGGGTGCTAATTGAGTCTCAACTCTAGGGAAAGGAGCAAGTAGAATAGACAGCACCTACAACTTAATTGCCTTTTTTGCAAGTCATACTTCTCTGGTGATGGCGTAGAGTACAAATGCACATAAGTGACTGTACCCGGTCCATGACTACCCCATCCCCTGCACCTGCAGCTCCATGTGCATTGGAACCTTCTACATCATGAGAAAACTGAGCTCAACATTACAGTGCTGCTCCTTTGAGACTGAATCAGGTCAACAGAGGTTTAGTCGATGCTTCCCAAGTACACATGCCTCATTCTGGCATTGTGAGAATGGGTGAAAATGATTAGAAACATGTTCCCCTATCTGGACCTAACAGATTATCAGTTGAGAGAGCTCTTGAAAATGCCAAAGCTGACCACATCATCCCTTTCTTTTTATCCCTGCATGACTCACCATCAGCTTCACTGTAAAAGTACAGATTTCTGGCAAGAGTAGCCCTCAGGCATTGCCTTTCTCCATGAGCTTGTTTCCTTTTAGGCCTGTTTTTTTCATGACACACTAGCCACACTGGCCTATTTTTGATTCCCGAAAATGCCAAGCTGGCTTTTCTCTAAGAGTAGTGCATTGGCTATTTCCTCTATCTAGGAACATTTTACATCAAACTTTAGCATGAACAGTCCAGTGGTATTTTTGAGGTCTTAACTCAAATGTCACCTCTCCAGAAAGACTTTTTCTAACTATCCTATCAATGGGGTCATATCCCATTCATTGCTATGCTTCATCCTAGTACGTTGTTTGTATTGTCTCCATTCCAGCTATCACTCAGTAAAATTATATAGCAGCCTCTGCTTACTTGATTATTTGCTATTACTCAAAAATGTAAGCTTAGAGACAGTGGGAATCTTGTTCCTTGTTCTGTCTGCATTATTTAGAAAAGAGGGCTTGGCTCAACATGAATGCCCAATGAAATTGCATTCACTAGATGGATGAGTGACTAAATGTATGAATGAATGAATGACTCAGGCCTGGATGACAGTAGCTGCACCTTGGAAGACAAGGTCTTGGAGATGACAATAAACAGAAAGCAGCAAAATGTGCTGATACTGTTCAAACCCAGGTCTCTAAATTTAAAACCTGTGCTCTTTCTTCTTTGCCATGCTTCAGTATGGACTCTGCTGTTCCCAGAGTCAGTTGAATGAATGCTTATCCAGGTAAATGGATCCAGGGGACCACCAGATAAATCCCAAATGTGTCCCTGTCTCATTTCTTATCCAGCCTGATAAAAGTCTAAATGTTCATGGAAGCACGCAGCTGCATCTCCTTGCTAAGTTTTGCAGATGTCCTGTGCATCTGGCTTGGAATATTTTATTCGTCATTACAAAACTCTCTTAATCATCACTCCTCCAAGAAGTCTGCAGGGAACTCCATCATCCCATGTGTGTTAGGTCATTTCTGCATTGCTATAAAGAAATATTTGAGGCTAGGTCATTTATAAAGAAAAGAGGTTTAATTAGCTCATCGTTCTGCAGGCTTTACAGGAAGCATGGAGCTGGCATCTGCTCAGCTTCTGGGGAAACCTCAGGAAGCTTACAATCATGGCAAAAGGTGAAGGAGAGCAGTCATCTCACATAGCAAATGTGGGAGCAAGAGAGAGAGTGGGGGAGGTGCTACACACTTTTAAATGACCAGCTCTCTCAAGAACTTACTCTCTATGGCGAAGACAGCACCAGCCCTGAGGGATCCACCTCCATGACCCAAACACTTCCCACCAGGCCCCACCTCCAACCCTGGGGATTAAATTTCAACATGAAATTTGGAGGGTATATCCAAGCTATATCACCATGTCTTCCCCTGGGTTGTATGAATACACTGTATTTACTTCTACCGTTGTCTTTAAAAATTCTGAATTTTAAATATTTATAAGCATGTTAGTCTCCTGTCTTTTTGAGTGAGCTCCTGACTATCAGGATCTGTGTATACTTTATTTCAAATGACTGTGTGCAGAGTGATTGCTTAAGCACATTGTTTCCAGAGTCCTGGTTTCAAATCCTGACTCTGACAATTACTAGCTGGATGACTTTGGGCAAGATACTTACTTTGTGATCTAGTTTCCTCATTTACTTACTAGATACTTTGCGATCTAGTTTCCTCATTTATAAATTGAGGATGAAAATATTAATAGTGCCAATCAAATGGTGCTGTACTTTAAATAAGTCACTTGGAACATTATCTGCCACATAGCAGCACCACTTCAGTACCAGTTAGTATTACCTTTGTATTCCCAATAACTTGCATAATTCTTGGCATAGAAGCACTCAATGCATTTCTGAACATAATTGAGGAAGCAGGAGGAGGAAATACCATGTTAGTTTTCTAGGCCTGTCATAAAGCCCCACAAACTGGGCGACTTAAAACAACAGAAATTAACTGTCTCATGGTTGTGGAGATGGAAAGTCCAAAATCAAGGTGTCAGCAGGGACTTGCTCCCTTGGACACTGGGTAGCATTCTTCCTTGCCTCTCCCCAGCTTCTGCTGGGGGCTGGCACTCCTTGGCATTTCTTGGTTTATAGCTGCAGCCCTGCAGTCCCTGCCTCTGGCTTCACCTCATGTTCTCTGCTGTGTCTGTGCCTCCATATCTATGTCCATTGCTTTGTAAAAGGACACAAAACATGTTGGGTTTAGGAACCATCCTATTCCCGTATGAGTCCATCTTAATTAATTACATCTGCAATGACCCTATTTCCAAATAAGGTCACATTCTGAGGGACTGGGGTAGGGGAGGTTAGGACTCTAACATATTTTTTACGGGGGAGGCACAATTCAAACCATAACAAACACTCTCATTTGGGTAATAACTTTTAAGCTACATATCCTTACTCAGTGATTTTGCATGATCCTCCCAAATGACTTTTGAGTTAGTCAGTCTCCTCAGTTTACAAATAAGAAAAGAGCACTTATCTACCCTTTCTTCTCACTCTTTCCTCGCATTTTTTTTCCTGAACACTCATTTGAAACTATTGACATATATCCTATGATATATGTCAATATATATGTAAGAGAAAGAGAGCTCTTTGTAAGAGATCTCCCAGGGATCCAAGCTACTAAATGACATAGAAGAAAGCAAACTTGTGTTTCCCAGTCCTACCTCCTGGAGAGTCCTCTCCTCCACCATGCCTCTTATCTCCATCAGCACATGCCGAGGCAGATGTTGAACAATCATTCTGTGTCAGGCCCTGCACTGCCTGCTATGGAGAAGTCAAGGAATGAGGTGCCCATCCTGCCTGCAAGTCTCTTGTAATTGGTCAAAGTCCTAGCAATTGATTCAGAGTCAAGATTCCAAGGTTCAGGGGAAGATTCTCTATGTGGATGTGATCAGTAACAGCTCCCAAAAGAGGTGGCTGAGATTCTTCCACCCTCTCTTCCTCCCTTCTCTCTATCCTTATTTCCCTTCTCTTCTGTTTCATTTTCTTCTTTCTTAGAGTGTGGCTGAGATTCTTCCACCCTCTCTAAACTTCCTGCTCTCTATTCTTATTTCCCTTCTCTTCTGTTTCATTTTCTTCTTTCTTCCTCCTTCACTCACCTAACTCTCCCTTTCATTCTACCCTTTCTTCTCACTCTTTTCTTGTATTTTTTTTCCTGAACACTCATTTGAAACTATTGACATATGTCTTATGACTAATTTCTTTTAATACAGCAATTTCTGGAGTACAGTAATTTTGCTCAACATCAGTTTGTTACAATGTCGACCAGAGAAAAAAATCCATTTCTGTCTGGGTCAGCTGTCTGTGTGGAGTTTGCATGTTTGCCCCACATCTGCATGGGTTTTCTCTGGGTATTTCTGTTTTCTCTTACGTCTCAAATATGTGCACATTAGGTGAGTTGTCATGTCTAAATTGTCCCAGTCTGAGTCTGGTGAGTGTGTGTATGTGAGTGCATCCTGTGATGGAATGCTGTCCTGTCCAGGGTTGGTTTCCACCTGACACCCAGGGCTGCTGTGATAGGCCCTGTCTACCTGCAACCCTGAGCTGGAATAAGCAGATTGGAAAATGAATGAACACAAAATATTGTACGATAAAAATGCGTAAAGAATACAATAGTCACAGAAATGCATAATAATAAACAATGCACTTTGAAAGTGCTCAGCCAGGCCAGCCTGTTGGTTATTGTCTTTGAAGTACGTGGTGATAGCAGATGTTTCTTACAAATTTTCTTTGCAAACAAGCAATACCTTGATTTAACCTAGCATCACTGTGACTAACATGATTCACTGATTCACCACAAACTGGGCAAATGCATTTATTTGCTTTTGTTAACTTTTCTTAACTCATTGATAGCTCACACTTATTTTAATGTTTTATATTGTGTTTTGGGTCTTTCTTTAGAAGTTTGGTGATGTTTGGGTACCAGAAATATACAGTAAAAACTTAACTCTTGTTTGTATCAATTAGCCCATGGTAAAATTGGTTTTGTTACATGTCATTTTGCCTAAAGTTGCAGTTTGGAAGAACTTTTCAATGACCTTAAGTGAGCACTTACCATACATATTTCTTGAGAACTGCTATCTTAGGGTATTTCCAGGCTGTTCCATTCATTTTGCTCCCTTTACTCTAAGCTATACTTCTAAGTAATAGTATCCTGCTTTTATAGACAGACACACTCAAAAGATTATTTACCTCACCCAAGCCAACCCAGCAAGCTCATGGTCTGCAAGACTCTAAGTAAGCCTAGAGCTCTCACCCCTTCCCTCCCCTCCTCTCCCCCTCCTCCATTCCCCTCCTCTCCCCTCCCTTCCCTTTCCCTCCCCTCCCCTCCCTCCCCTCCCCTCCACTGTTCTGATGTGAAAAGGCTGTGAGCTGCAAAGTTGCACTTGAAACCACACAGGCTCTAAGATTACTCCTGGGATTGCTCCTTTTCGAGAAATACAAAATCCTTTGAAGACGGCCCCAAGAAGACCATTGAGGTGTCTCATGATCTTTTCTCTCTCGCCCCTAAGACACCACGATATATATATGTGTGTGTGTGTGTGTGTGTGTGTGTGTGTGTGTGTGTGTGTGTGTATGTGTGTATATATATGTGTATATATGTATGTGTGTATATATATGTGTATATATACATATATATATATTTTTAGTTAAATGTAGTTTATTCTGAGTAAGCCACAGCACATGAGCATTCTGAGGGGTTGATTCACAGGCCATCCTGATCGGTCAGTGGGGATGGCTTCCTCAACATTTACAATTTAGCTGACTATTACCATTGGAACTAGTCCCATAGTCTACACGGAAAACCCATCTGTTGCATTATCTTCCCCAGGAGTGAAAAGGAAGACGGCCGGCATCCTCTGGTCTTTAGTAATTTTCTTTTGTAGTGAGAAGTCACTCTGAACTCTGCGAACACTAACTCTGGAACAATAAATGCTGCTTGTGAAATAAAATGACATACCTTCTGCTATTAACAGAGTACAATAAAAAGCATCATTTTATCCTACTATGTTGGAAATTTATTAAACAAGACCTACTGTAGTGAACAGAGCATAATCAACCTTACCTCACTTCTTAGGAACAATGTCTCTTTTTTTTTCTTTTTTGAGTGGTTCAAAAGACTCTTAAATATTTAAAGTAATGTATAATCATCTTTAAAATCGACTAGGGACTCTCAGGACACAATAAACAAAATAAAGTGCTGGGAATATTCATCATTTCAAGTATCTACATTATGCAATGTATTTCACAATGTGCTATTACTTGTCTATTTTTCATTTTTGCTAGGAAAAGGTAGGTTAGCCTTAAGCATAATTTGGCCTTAGAGTTTATATTTTAATATGAAGAATTAACATTTTATTTTTACTGTGATTTAGCATCATGATTATCTTATTGAATCTACCCTTTTAAACTAATTGCACTTTCTTCCGAGATTGTGGCTTGGCCCTTTAGTTTGCACAGAATCCATTTCTTAGGCACATGGCTCTACAAAATAGTAGAAAATGTAACATCCCCACAACAGATTATTTGAATTTGTACAAAAAGTGACATGGAAAGAATAGCAAGGACCACTGGATTGTTTGTGCTGCCAGACTTTTAGATCTGGAAGTAACTTTCAAGGTATTTAGTTTGAAGCTCTTATTTGTTGACGGGATCATAGGCTCTGATTAAGTAAGAGTCTTTGGGTCACATGGCTTGCCAAGGGGCATGTACCTCATCCAAGAGTTGGATTCTTCCAGATGATCTATCTGGAATCCAAACTTGCTCTTCTGGTAGGTAACAAACCTCTAGAACTCTGGTCTCTCCCTTGCACAGAATTTATTTCATCAGTCAGTTCCTTCCTCTGGTCACTAACCCTGAGTGTTGGGGTTCTCACTTAAGATGATCTGATCCATCATATCCCAAAACCATTCATGGTGCAAGTTCTTGCCTCTGGAGAAGCACAGAGAAATTTCTCTCCATGTATCAGTGGACATTGTTCCCACATTTAAAGAGATATCTCATGTCCCACGTGTTCATAGGAACTACTTTTTCACCACTTTTGTGATTCTTCTCAGCCAGAATTGACTCAAACACTCCTGGCTTCTGACCCCAACCGAACACCATCTGTTAAGTGTCACATGGCTGTCCGGAGAGTGGGTGTGGATGGGAATAGCACCTGGAGGCCTTGGTCTTGCCTTCTTCTTTAGACTTGCTTCAATCAAAAGAGATATGATCCAATATATTCTCAGCCAGGCCATGAAATTAGAAAAAGAATACAAATAAATTATACCCATTTAGGTTGAAGGCTGTGCTTCTTTGGTGCTGACTGTTAGAGGGGAGGCAGGGAGTAGTATTGGTTGGATTTAATACTGTAAACCCTGGTGTTCCAAAATACCTATTGCATGCCCTCCAACCAACCTCATTTCTATTTGCAGTCATCATGGTGCCAGAGAGTTTTATCCTGCATCTTAAGAACTCCTCACAGTGCTTCTTATCACCTAACTAACCCATTAATTAGGGGTGCAACAGCAAGATTTTTAAGACCAGAAGAGCATAAACGTATAAGAATGGGCTCTGGATAACTGTCTTGGTGGAGGATGGAATTAAAAACTACATTTATGGAGTATATAAGTTAACTTTTTTGGTCTTCACAAAAAAAAGTACATTTGAAAGATAAATAGGCTTCAAGAACTTAAGGCACTGAAGATAAAATATGATAGGATTGTACTTACAGAACGGTTTTCTGATGCCAGATATTATGTTTTAATATCCAACAAACAGAGCCTTAGGTCTTGGGAAGAGAATGTGGTCGGTGGCAGGTAGACATCCAAGAAAAGCTCATGAAAAAGCAAAGAACGGCGGAAAAAGGCACTAGAACAATATCTAAGGCAGGTGCTAAGGCAATTTTCCCTAGCCTTTCAGTAGAACATCAAAAATCTTGTGTAAGTTGCTCAACTTATCTGTAGCTTAGAATCTTTATATAAAAAAAAAATAGGGGCAAAAATTGTCATGCCCAGTGAAATAATCTTAGTAAAGTATGTAGCATAGTGACAAATACAAAGTAGGCAATAGGCAAATGTTAGCTTTTGTTATTTACCAGCACTTTACTCACTGGGGTATGAAATGATACTTTCTATTTCCTTCTCTTCATTCTTTTTTCTTACTTAGAAACTCCCTTCTGCTAATTTCTGAATATCTATGTGCCATGCACTATATTAAATACTGGAAAGGTACGTTTCAAATAGTCAATTTGGTGGTAAGAAAATGTTCCATTTAGTTTAGGAATGTCAAGGAAGATTTTGAAGAAACAAACTCTTGAATTGGGTTTGGGAGAAAGCATAGGAGTTTCCCATATAGGAAAGGCATTTACAACAAAGCAAGAATTTTTGTCAAAGTCATAGACTCTTAGAGCAATATGTCAGGTTTACGTGGATCTGAGAGCAATTAAAGCAGGGCACAGAGCACAAGTGGAGGGTGAGTGGAGGGTGGCTGCAGGAGGTGAAGCAGGACTCCAGGTTGTCACATGCCTGGGGAATGTGGTAGGATGATAAGTTGACACCTTAACAAAGGTTTCCCACCCCACTCCAACAGGCCTGTGCATTACACTCCTGGACTTCCATGCCTCAGGTAAAGTAGTTGTTTTAGTGGAAACAAACACACATGTACACACAAGTTAATGTTCAATTTCTGCTTTTCCAAATAATCTTTTGAAACTCATGGCATAAATAGTCTTGGAAGTCAAGGTTTTATTTCAAAATAGCATAAATATTGAAAGAATCAGAACATGAAAGGTACTGTGACCAATAGTTTGCCAAGAACACATGATGAAAGAGTTACTTTTCACCCCTTGAAGTCCATAAAATTCCCATAGACAGAACGGGAGAAACTATATAGAGAAATAACATTTTAGACATGGGTGTTGTCCCACAAATAAGATCTAGCCTCCAATTTCTCCCCCTACTTTTTGGTCTATGAGAGGGGCACAGTGAAAGAACTCAAAAATATAAACTATGGAGACATATTTGAGAATCTAATGACCAAACGCCGTGTGGTTCATTATCACAACCAACCAATAGGTGGTGGGAGCTGGCCGGGAACATGGCAAAATTTTCTTGCAGAGCATGGCAGTGGTATGCATAGGCAGTAATGTGGAGTGGCATGTGGAAAAAAAGAAGGTCTGAGCTGGGCTCTTGAATTTTCCCAGCCTTGGAGTGTCAGAGGAGAGCATGCTCAAGTGTTCCATATTCATGGAAAGGAACAGAAGTCAGGAAAAGAGCAAGTTGGCTGAGTGCCCTAAGGATCAAGAAGGTAGATATACAAAGACCTCTGTGGGCCAATAACTGGGGACCAGGAGAGACATAGACAAGGTCAGTAGATGCCAGAGTGGATAGATTACAATGAGCAAGGACCACATGCTCTCACAGTCATATGATTGGCATGGCTCAGTGATCTGAAGCTTAAAGAGAACCAGTCCAAAGACATAAAGACAGACGGGAATCCCCAACTTGTCTGAGAACAACTAAAATTCTTTTGTTTATTCTGAATGAATTAAAGTTAAGTTCTCCTCACTGAGGAGGAGGAAAAGAGGTCTCAAATTAGAAGTTAGATGTGTTTATTAAAATAATTTAACTATATTTTGTATGATCTCCTCTCTTACTATTTAGGAGTAACATAAGATAAACATGTATCACAATGGTAAGAAAGACAACTTTGAAAAATACATATGGTAGAGGTGTTTGGATGGATGGTTGGATGGATGGATGGATGAATGGATGGCTGGGTGGATGGTGGATGGTGAGTAGATGAATGGATGGATAGACAGATGGATAGACGAATGAGTGAATGAAGAATGAGTGGGTAGATAGATGATGGATGGATGAGTGGATGAATGGATGGATGAAGCATCAGAAACTTTACATTGGTTTTAAAAGAGCTATTTTTTCCTGTACTTTTTCTGAGCAACTGTATACACCCATGATATGTACAGAAAATTCCTGCCTGAAACTCTGTTGTGTGCATAGAATCAAGCCTTGCCATCTCTCTTGACAGAGTTTGTCTGAGCTTCTGACAGCAGTAGATTTATTCTGTGTAGATTTGCATCTTCCTCCCTTGGCATTTTGCCTTTTCTTGTAGTCTTACTCTGCACATTCATCTGGTGTTGGCTAATGGATGCTAAGGCCATTTCAGAACACAAAATCTGCAGTGTCTGTATAACCTATCATGTGTAACTGGGCACACCCCACCGTAAAAACATTAAGCAGCCTACATTATGCTCATATCAGGGACAATTATTCCTCAGACTGCTTTATAGTAAAAAATCCATTAGATTAGCAATAGCAGCCCTTATACAGATAAATAAAATGAGGATCAGGAGATAAAAACCTTGGAACTGTTGCATAAACTGCACCAAAATGGAAAAACAGGGATTTGTAACATCCTTGCCAGATGTTAGCTGTAAGGTATGTTTCTGTAAGAAGTGGATTTAGACACAGACTAGTGCAGAGACCATCTTCCAGGCAAGATACTGCCTGACTCCTGGGCAAACTCCTTTTGTGGATGCCTCCAGCCTTTTTTCTTGAATTTTTTCTCTTACTCATTTTCTACTGAACTTGTCTTCTTACTTGCATATTCACTCTGGCCCTAACCTAGTTTTTATTATCAGTATCTCGCTTCTTCTCCTTCTCCTTCTCCTTCTTCTCCTTCTCCTTCCCCTTCTCCTTCTCCTTCCCCTTCCCCTCCTCCTTCTCCTCCTCCTCCTTATTCTTCTTCTCTTCTTCTTCCTCTTCCTCTTCCTCTCCTCCTTCTCCTTCTCCTCCTCCTCCTCCTCCTTCTTCTTCTTCTTCTTCTCTTCTTCTTCTTCTTCTCCTTCTTCTTCTTCTTTTCTTCTTCTTCTCTTCTTCTTCTTCTTCTTCTTCTTCTTCTTCTTCTTCTTCTTCTTCTTCTTCTTCTTCTTTCTGTCTTTTCTCTTTACTGAATTGTATTCACTATTTCTCTCACCATTTTCCTTGGAACCACTCTAGGTGGGATTTGTCTGAGGTGTTGATTCAGTACAAATTCTCTCTTATCAAACAAACAAAAATAACAATAAGGGGACAGAACTATGGCTGGTTAAGTGGGGGTCCCCCAGGATAGAGTCATCCAAGAAAACTGGTATGGAATGCTGTGAGCATGGGAAGAAGAGCTTCACTCGGAATTGGGAAAAGCTAAACAAAATTGAGGCTCACAAAAGACAGAGCAGGAAGACAAGCCACTGGTTGGCTAACACTTTACTGCCTCACTTGGCTCTTGTTCTACCTACATAAGCAGTGAGCTCACCTGTCATATTCAGGGACGTCACATAGAATCTGTGGCACAATAGCCATATCCACGTAGCTAAAGCATAGGGAAGCTTTTCAAAGTAGGAGATTGCAAATATGGAAAAGAAAACCCATTTTGTAGTGATCTAATATTTAAAATTATATTATGATTAGGGGATTTGTTGTCCTATAGAGTAGTCCTTCTTAAAGTATTCATGGGGGAGTACCAGTATTGATTTAGTTCCCCCCCATTTGTTTTTACAAAATTTTACAATAAAAATGAGGAGAATCCTATGTCCTCTCACCCATACTTGACTATCCCAGCATTATCCAGTTGCTCTAAATGTTTCTAAGAACCTTGTTTTAATTTCTATATTTCTTTCCTTGTTGAACAGAAGTACATACTGAAGGACTAATACAGACCCACAGACCCCGGCTGCTCTCATTTGCTCCCACACCCTCACCTCCTCACCTGCTGAGGTTGCCTGCCTTCCTACACCCACCATGGACACAGCTTCCACCCTTCTTTGCCAATGAAGGAGCTCCAGCAAGTGGGGCTGGGAAGAGTCTTCTTATCATACAGATGAGAATACAGAAAGTGAGAAAGATTGTCATCCGGCCAACCAGTAACAGATACAGAACTCCTTTGGCATTCATCTAAGCCGGCTGTGCATGTTATAGGGATTCAATATTGGGTGATGCTTTATGAAGGAAGAATGCTTTAGGGAACATCCTTTGTCTAATGCTGCTTCCTATCCCCTCTTCCTGAACTTCACAATATTTATTAAAGCAGCAAATGAAAGATTTCAGTGTGTCCTGCAGAAGAGACACTTGTCTGAATTTTGTTTCCCAGACATGTTTTACCAGGAAACACTTAATGTTATTCAATCAGTAAGAAAGACCCTGCTACCCTATCTGACTGGTTGACAAGTGGGATGAAAAATGGATCTTAAGAGCTGTGAGGATTTACTAATTAGTGCAAGAGGTCATTTTGAAGAAGTCATCTTGCTTTTCACTTGTCCCCTTTATGATCCCATCATGTTAATGGGCAAAAATGCTTGATAGTTAGATATCTCTTCAAAAGTTCTGGAAAACTCCAAATCCCAGGCTGAGGTGGGCAGATCAAGAGGTCAGGAGATCGAGACCCTCCTGGCTAACACAGTGAAACCGCGTCTCTACTAAAAATACAAAAAAATTAGCTGGGTGTGGTGGCGGGTGCCTGTAGTCCCATATACTTTGGAGGCTGAGGCAGGAGGGTGGTGTGAACCCGGGAGGTGGAGCTTGCACTGAGCCGAGATTGGGCCACTGCACTCCAGCCTGGGCGACAGAGCGAGACTCTGTCTTAAAAAAAAAAAAAAAAGAAAAAGAAAACTCCAAATCCCAATACCTATAATGACTGTGAGTCTGATAATCACCTACTAGTCATTGGATATAAAGGCCATGAGATTTTGCTGCAACTACACACCAGAAGTTTTCTCTGTATTCACAGTTTTCCCCAGAGTTAAATGTGTGCCTGTTCAGTGCATGAACATTGTGTGTGTACAGATTATGATCAGAATGACAAATGTGCCCACTGCACACACGATCCCAAAAAATCTTTGCAAAGCTAAAATAAGGCACTTGCTTGTTGCCTGCAGGTCAACAGGATGTTACTTTCATTTACCAGCCTGGGAAGAGTGTGAAAAAAGTGCGAGAGGCTAAAGAGGAAAAGGGGAAACAAATTGTGTCAAGGGAGGTTACTAGTTCAAATTAAATTGAAAGTGTGTTGCTATCTTGCAAGTGTGGGGAGTACACTGCTCAGTTCTCCCTGGGACAGAGTGAGACCATCCCTTTAAAAAAAAATTAAAGGATAGAAATCCATCCCAAGTCATGTGGTGTATTCCCTGGTCAGCTCCCAGCTGATGACCAAGCACGGCCACGTACTAAAGTTACTATGTTCGAATGTGTCTCCCAAACTTAATATGTTGGAAACTTAATTCCTAACTCAGTAGTATGGAGAGATGAGACCTTTCGGAGGTTATTAGGTCATGTGGGCTCTGCTTTTATGAATGGGTTATCCTGTTTCTGCAGGAGTGGGTTAGTTATTGCAGGAGGGGATTCCTAATAAAAAGAGGAGTTCGGCCGCCTTTCCTCTCGCTTACTCATGTGATGCCCTCCACCATGGTATGATGGTGCAGGAAGGCCTCCATGAGATGCCAGCCTCTCAGTCATGGATATTCCAGCCTTCAGAATCATGAGCCAAATAAGTGTATGTTCATTATAAATTATGCTTACTCTGATATTCTCTTATAATAACGCCTAACAGACTAAGCCACGAGTCAAACCATTCCTGCTCAACATGAGACCCCCTCTAGGCACTCTTCGCTCTAGGACTTTCCATCAGCCTGAATGAGCTGCTTTCAGTGCCGGACAGAAGTCCTCCCTCCTTGCTTCTCTCCATACGTAGGTGCCATACCTGCACCCCTGACTGAAGGCTCTCTGTGCATAATCTTGCTCAATCTTCCCATTATCCTTAGGAGACATTTTCCCAGAGAAATTTCTTTTTTTCTTTCTTCTTCTTCTTCTTCTTATTATTATACTTTAAGTTTTAGGGTACATGTGCACATTGTGCAGGTTAGTTACATATGTATACATGTGCCATGCTGGTGTGCTGCACCCACCAACTCGTCATCTAGCATTAGGTATATCACCCAATGCTATCCCTCCCCCCTCCCCCCACCCCACAACAGTCCCCAGAGTGTGATGTTCCCCTTCCTGTGTCCATGTGTTCTCATTGTTCAATTCCCACCTACGAGTGAGAATATGAGGTGTTTGGTTTTTTCTTCTTGTGATAGTTTGCTGAGAATGATGATTTCCAATTTCATCCATGTCCCTACAAAGGACATGAACTCATCATTTTTTATGACTGCATAGTATTCCATGGTGTATATGTGCCACATTTTCTTAATCCAGTCTATCATTGTTGGACATTTGGGTTGGTTCCAAGTCTTTGCTATTGTGAATAATGTTGCAATAAACATATGTGTGCATGTGTCTTTATAGCAGCATGATTTATAGTCCTTTGGGTATATACCCAGTAATGGGATGGCTGGGTCAAATGGTATTTCCAGTTCTAGATCCCTGAGGAATCGCCACACTGACTTCCACAATGGTTGAACTAGTTTACAGTCCCACCAACAGTGTAAAAGTGTTCCTATTTCTCCACATCCTCTCCAGCACCTGTTGTTTCCTGACTTTTTAATGATTGCCATTTTAACTGGTGTGAGATGGTATCTCATTGTGGTTTTGATTTGCATTTCTCTGATGGCCAGTGATGATGAGCATTTTTTCATGTGTTTTTTGGATGCATAAATGTCTTCTTTTGAGAAGTGTCTGTTCATGTCCTTCGCCCACTTTTTGATGGGGTTGTTTGTTTTTTTCTTGTAAATTTGTTTGAGTTCATTGTAGATTCTGGATATTAGCCCTTTGTCAGATGAGTAGGTTGTGAAAATTTTCTCCCATTGTGTAGGTTGCCTGTTCACTCTGGTGGTAGTTTCTTTTGCTGTGCAGAAGCTCTTTAGTTTAATTAGATCCCATTTGTCAATTTTGTCTTTTGTTGCCATTGCTTTTGGTGTTTTAGACATGAAGTCCTTGACCATGCCTATGTCCTGAATGGTAATGCCTAGGTTTTCTTCTAGGGTTTTTATGGTTTTAGGTCTAACGTTTAAGTCTTTAATCCATCTTGAATTGATTTTTGTATAAGGTGTAAGGAAGGGATCCAGTTTCAGCTTTCTCCATATGGCTAGCCAGTTTTCCCAGCACCATTTATTAAATAGGGAATCCTTACCCCATTGCTTGTTTTTCTCAGGTTTGTCAAAGATCAGATAGTTGTAGATATGCGGCGTTATTTCTGAGGGCTCTGTTCTGTTCCATTGATCTATATCTCTGTTTTGGTACCAGTACCATGCTGTTTTGGTTACTGTAGCCTTGTAGTATAGTTTGAAGTCAGGTAGTGTGATGCCTCCAGCTTTGTACTTTTGGCTTAGGATTGACTTGGTGATGAGGGCTCTTTTTTGGTTCCATATGAACTTTAAAGCAGTTTTTTCCAATTCTGTGAAGAAAGGCATTGGTAGCTTGATGGGGATGGCATTGAATCTGTAAATTACCTTGGGCAGTATGGCCATTTTCACGATATTGATTCTTCCTACCCATGAGCATGGAATGTTCTTCCATTTGTTTGTATCCTCTTTTATTTCCTTGAGCAGTGGTTTGTAGTTCTCCTTGAAGAGGTCCTTCACATCCCTTGTAAGTTGGATTCCTAGGTATTTTATTCTCTTTGAAGCAATTGTGAATGGGAGTTCACTCATGATTTGGCTCTCTGTTTGTCTGTTGTTGGTGTATAAGAATGCTTGTGATTTTTGTACGTTGATTTTGTATCCTGAGACTTTGCTGAAGTTGCTTATCAGCTTAAAAAGATTTTGGGCTGAGACGATGGGGTTTTCTAGATATACAATCACGTCGTCTGCAAACAGGGACAATTTGACTTCCTCTTTTCCTAATCGAATACCCTTTATTTCCTTCTCCTGCCTAATTGCCTTGGCCAGAACTTCCAACACTATGTTGAATAGCAGTGGTGAGAGAGGGCATCCCTGTGTTGTGCCAGTTTTCAAAGGGAATGCTTCCAGTTTTTGCCCATTCAGTATGATATTGGCTGTGGGTTTGTCATAGATAGCTTTTATTATTTTGAAATACGTCCCATCAATACCTAATTTATTGAGAGTTTTTAGCATGAAGGGTTGTTGAATTTTGTCAAAGGCTTTTTCTGCATCTATTGAGATAATCATGTGGTTTTTGTCTTTGGCTCTGTTTATATGCTGGATTACATTTATTGATTTGCATATATTGAACCAGCCTTGCATCCCAGGGATGAAGTCCACTTGATCATGGTGGATAAGCTTTTTGATGTGCTGCTTTTTGTGTGCTTTTTGCCAGTATTTTATTGAGGATTTTTGCATCAATGTTCATCAAGGATATTGGTCTAAAATTCTCTTTTTTGGTTGTGTCTCTGCCTGGCTTTGGTATCAGAATGATGCTGGCCTCATAAAATGAGTTAGGGAGGATTCCCTCTTTTTCTATTGATTGGAATGGTTTCAGAAGGAATGGTACCAGTTCCTCCTTGTACCTCTGGTAGAATTCGGCTGTGAATCCATCTGGTCCTGGACTCTTTTTGGTTGGTAAGCTATTGATTATTGCCACAATTTCAGATCCTGTTATTGGTCTATTCAGAGATTCAGTTTCTTCCTGGTTTAGTCTTGGGAGAGTGTATGTGTCCAGGAATTTATCCATTTCTTCTAGATTTTCTAGTTTATTTGCGTAGAGGTGTTTGTAGTATTCTCTGATGGTAGTTTGTATTTCTGTGGGATTGGTGGTGATATCCCCTTTATCATTTTTTATTGCATCTATTTGATTCTTCTCTCTTTTTTTCTTTATTAGTCTTGCTGGCGGTCTATCAATTTTGTTGATCCTTTCAAAAAACCAGCTCCTGGATTCATTAATTTTTTGAAGGGTTTTTTCTCTCTCTACTTCCTTCAGTTCTGCTCTGATTTTGGTTATTTCTTGCCTTCTGCTAGCTTTTGAATGTGTTTGCTCTTGCTTTTCTAGTTCTTTTAATTGTGATGTTAGGGTGTCAATTTTGGATCTTTCCTGCTTTCTCTTGTGGGCATTTAGTGCTATAAATTTCCCTCTACACACTGCTTTGAATGCGTCCCAGAGATTCTGGTATGTTGTGTCTTTGTTCTCGTTGGTTTCAAAGAACATCTTTATTTCTGTCTTCATTTTGTTATGTACCCAGTAGTTATTCAGGAGCAGGTTGTTCAGTTTCCATGTAGTTGAGCGGTTTTGAGTGAGATTCTTAATCCTGAGTTCTAGTTTGATTGCACTGTGGTCTGAGAGATAGTTTGTTATAATTTCTGCTCTTTTACATTTGCTGAGGAGAGCTTTACTTCCCAGTATGTGGTCAATTTTGGAATAAGTGTGGTGTGGTGCTGAAAAAAATGTATATTCTGTTGATTTGGAGTGGAGAGTTCTGTAGATGTCTATTAGGTCCACTTGGTGCAGAGCTGAGTTCAATTCCTGGGTATCCTTGTTGACTTTCTGTCTCGTTAATCTGTCTAATGTTGACAGTGGGGTGTTAAAGTCTCCCATTATTAATGTGTGGGAGTCTAAGTCTCTTTGTAGGTCACTCAGGACTTGCTTTATGAATCTTGGTGCTCCTGTATTGGGTGCATATATATTTGGGATAGTTACCTCTTCTTGTTGAATTGATCCCTTTACCATTATGTAATGGCCTTCTTTGTCTCTTTTGATCTTTGTTGGTTTAAAGTCTGTTTTATCAGAGACTAGGATTGCAACCCCTGCCTTTTTTTGTTTTCCATTTGCTTGGTAGATCTTCCTCCATCCTTTTATTTTGAGCCTATGTGTGTCTCTGCACGTGAGATGGGTTTCCTCAGTACAACACACTTATGGGTCTTGACTCTTTATCCAATTTGCCAGTCTGTGTCTTTTAATTGGAGCATTTAGTCCATTTACATTTAAAGTTAATATTGTTATGTGTGAATTTGATCCTGTCATTATGATGTTAGCTGGTGATTTTGCTTGTTAGTTGATGCAGTTTCTTCCTAGTCTCGATGGTCTTTACATTTTGGCATGATTTTGCAGCGGCTGGTACTGGTTGTTCCTTTCCATGTTTAGCGCTTCCTTCAGGAGCTCTTTTAGGGCAGGCCTCGTGGTGACAAAATCTCTCAGCATTTGCTTGTCTGTAAAGGATTTTATTTCTCCTTCGCTTATGAAGCTTAGTTTGGCTGGATATGAAATTCTAGGTTGAAAATTCTTTTCTTTAAGAGTGTTGAATATTGGCCCCCACTCTCTTCTGGCTTGTAGGGTTTCTGCCGAGAGATCTGCTGTTAGTCTGATGGGCTTCCCTTTGAGGGTAACCCGACCTTTCTCTCTGGCTGCCCTTAACATTTTTTCCTTCATTTCAACTTTGGTGAATCTGACAATTATGTGTCTTGGAGTTGCTCTTCTCGAGGAGTATCTTTGTGGTGTTCTCTGTATTTCCTGAATCTGAATGTTGGCCTGCCTTGCTAGATTGGGGAAGTTCTCCTGGATAATATCCTGCAGAGTGTTTTCCAACTTGGTTCCATTCTCCCCATCACTTTCAGGTACACCAATCAGACGTAGATTTGGTCTTTTCACATAGTCCCATATTTCTTGGAGGCTTTGCTCATTTCTTTTTATTCTTTTTTCTCTAAACTTCCCTTCTCGCTTCATTTCATTCATTTCATCTTCCATTGCTGATACCCTTTCTTCCAGTTGATCACATCGGCTCCTGAGGCTTCTGCATTCTTCACATAGTTCTCGAGCCTTGGTTTTCAGCTCCATCAGCTCCTTTAAGCACTCCTCTGTAATGGTTATTCTAGTTATACATTCTTCTAAATTTTTTTCAAAGTTTTCAACTTCTTTGCCTTTGGTTTGAATGTCCTCCCGTAGCTCAGAGTAATTTGATCGTCTGAAGCCTTCTTCTCTCAGCTCGTCAAAGTCATTCTCCATCCAGCTTTGTTCCGTTGCTGGTGAGGAACTGCGTTCCTTTGGAGGAGGAGAAGCACTCTGCTTTTTAGAGTTTCCAGTTTTTCTGTTCTGTTTTTTCCCCATCTTTATGGTTTTATCTACTTTTGGTCTTCGATGATGGTGATGTACAGATGGGTTTTTGGTGTGGATGTCCTTTCTGTTTGTTAGTTTTCCTTCTAACAGGCAGGACCCTCAGCTGCAGGTCTGTTGGAATACCCTGCAGTGTGAGGTGTCAGTGTGCCCCTGCTCAGGGGTGCATCCCAGTTAGGCTGCTCGGGGGTCAGGGGTCAGGGACCCACTTGAGGAGGCAGTATGCCCGTTCTCAGATCTCCAGCTGCGTGCTGGGAGAACCACTGCTCTCTTCAAAGCTGTCAGACAGGGACATTTAAGTCTGCAGAGGTTACTGCTGTCTTTTTGTTTGTCTGTGCCCTGCCCCCAGAGGTGGAGCCTACAGAGGCAGGCAGGCCTCCTTGAGCTGTGGTGGGCTCCACCCAGTTCGAGCTTCCAGGCTGCTTTGTTTACCTAATCAAGCCTGGGCAATGGTGGGCGCCCCTCCCCCAGCCTCGCTGCCGCCTTGCAGTTTGATCTCAGACTGCTGTGCTAGCAATCAGTGAGACTCCGTGGGCGTAGGACCCTCCGAGCCAGGTGCCGGATATCATCTCGTGGTGCGCCGTTTTTTAAGCCCGTCAGAAAAGCACAGTATTCGGGTGGGAGTGACCCGATTTTCCAGGTGCCGTCCGCCACCCCTTTCTTTGACTCGGAAAGGTAACTCCCTGACCCCTTGTGCTTCCCAGGTGAGGCAATGCCTCGCCCTGCTTCGGCTGTCGCACGGTGCGCGCACCCACTGACCTGCGCCCACTGTCTGGCACTCCCTAGTGAGATGAACCGGGTACCTCAGATGGAAATGCAGAAATCACCCGTCTTCTGTGTTGCTCACGCTGGGAGCTGTAGACGGGAGCTATTCCTATTCGGCCATCTTGGCTCCTCCCGAGAAATTTCTTATCTATCTAATTCTGTCTTGGCATCTTGGTGTTGCTTCTTGGAGGACCTGCAGTGTTGATACTGAAAGTGGTTTGAGAAGGGAGGCAGTGAGATGGAGATTGGGGGCTGCATTACTCACTCACTGCTTAGCCAGCAAAGAGGCCTCTGTTCTGAGGGGTATGTGCATCGGGGAAACTCCCCAGCACAGACAGATTTATCAATTGCTAAATATGTCCTTTGTGGTGATGTGAAGGGGCACACCCTTGTGTGTGCAATGATGCAGATATTGGAAAGGGATTTAGCTAAAAAATACAAAAACAGAGGAGGTGTGGGTTATTACTAAGTCCTGGATGTCTATGGAGGGATAATGAGAACTGCTGGGGGAGCAGCAGCATACTACAGTTCTGTGATTAGGTTTCAGTTTTATAGTGAGCCTATGCACTGTGAACTTCACCAGTGTTGTGCAGGCTCCTCCCTGCCTTAGGCAAGATAGGATGGCTAGAGGAAGCTGGGATTAGGTATTACTTTTCTCTCAGGTAGGCTAGGCTCTGATAAAACAACAGCAGGTTAGGCTCTGGTGGAAAGTTTCTCCTGAGGGCAGTTCTTCTTAAGAACAGAATGCTCTTCTGTTTTTCTAAATGGTTCCCTTTCCTCTCCCTCTGTTGGAATCATGAGGGAATATTTCTCTGGTATTCACTGTGAGGATTTGGTAGAGCTCCTGAAGATAAAAGTCACAAAAGTGAGGGGACATCTCTATGTTTTGGTCCCCCTGGCATTTTTAACTCTTAGAGTTGCCTACCAGGATGATTTGTCAATTAAAGTTTAGGTTTTCCTGCCTTACTGGTGCTGCTTCCAAAAAATGGTTTATGCTCTGGCAAGTTGCGATTCTCTGTATGCTGCTGTCTGTCTCTCCAGTTTGGGGAAGAGCAGTTTGCCCTGTGACCTCAGTTTTTCTGATGGCTCTAAAGATTATTAACCTTTTCAGTTTGTTCAGGTTTTACTTTGGTCAGGATGGAGTAGTATCACCTCAGCCCCTTGCATCCTGGACCAGATCCTGGAAATTTGGAACTGGATTTTGAGAGTGCTTAAGCAGGTGGATTGAAACACAAGCCTGGGTGAGCAAAAATGCATTGACTGAGAGCACTCTCACAATATAAGATTGAACTCTTTGGCAAGGACCCCGAAGTATGTGGCAAACCATCTGTATTAGTTTGTTTTCATGTTGCTGATAAAGACATACTTGAGACTGGGTAATTTATAAAGAAAAAGAGGTTTAGTGGACTCAATTCCACATGGTTGGGGAGTACTCACAATCATGGCAGAAGGTGAAAGGACATCTTACATGATGAAAGGCAGGGAGAGCATTAGAGCCAAGTGAAAAGGGTTTCCCTTATAAAACCATCAGTTCTCAAGAGACTTATTCACTCCCAGGAGAACAGTATGCAGGAAAGAGTCTCTATGATTCAATTATCTCCCACCAGGTCTCTTCCACAACACGTGGGATTTATGGGAGCTACAATTCAAGATGAGATTTGGGTGGGGACATAGTGGAAACACATCAGCATCTGCTAGAGTTGAACTCAGAAGCCAGGATAAAATGATGCCCCATGCTGAACAAAACAGGGTTCCTGAAGGATAAACATTCTGAAAGAAATTGTCATAGTGGAATGATGAGGTCACATAAATCTAGAAGATTCACAAGAAGATCCTCATGGAGATCCTGGAATACACTCCACTCCTCAAGGCCACAAGCTGTGCTTGGGAGAGAGGCAGTGACATTTCTAAGTATTTTAGTGGTGACTGTTGTCTTTCTGTCAGAGCAAACAGTAGAAAAGCTGTCATGGAACTGAGCTTTTTAATATCCATGGAGATATAGGGGCCACACAGTAATACAGGCCAGGTAACAGCACTTTCAAGAGGAAGTGGGCTTTTGACCCTAGTAAGCTACTACTTGTTACAACTACAAACATCTGGCTTTAATAATTTAGGGCAGAAACATTTTCGGTTGTTCAGCCGAGGTGATGTGTGCTTTGGGCACACCCCTCTCTGAATGAGCTCTCACTCTCTGTGTTTGGACACATCTGGCACTTCCGCTGCCACAACCCATGCAAGCAACAATATAACTGCTTGTTTTGCTTGTTTACTTGTCTCTTCCTACCATTAGATGGAAGAGAGAACTCAATATGCTTGTTTTTTTTTTTTTTTTGGACGGAGTTTTGGTCTTGTCGCCCAGTCTGGAGTGCAATGGCACAATCTTGGCTCACTGCAACCTCCACCTCCCAGGTTCAAGCGATTCTCCTGCCTCAGCCTCCTGAGTGGCTGGGATTACAGGCACCCACCACCACGCCCAGCTAATTTTTGTATTTTTAGTAGAGACGGGGTTTCACCATGTTAGCCAGGCTGGTCTCAAAGTCCTGACCTCAGGCCATCAACCCGCCTCGGCCTCCCAAAGTCCTGGGATTACAGGCATGAGCCACCACACCCAGCCCAACTTGCTTTTTAATCTGTATTTTGAAAATGTTTCTTGTATCCTGTCCCATCAAGAAGCATTCTCTCAAATTTGATGCTAACTTTCATCTTATGGAAAATGAAACTGAATGAAGTTTAGCCTCTTTAGGGTTGTGTCCTCAAAGCTCTAAGTAATATAAATATTTGATAGATTCTGATGAAGTTATTTGTAAAAAAAATAAAAACAAAAAAACAACGAATCAAAACTTCCCAGTCCATCTCTAAAGCTCTGTTCCTCCAGCCTTTGACAAGGCCTTCTCAAATGACAGAATAATTGCCACTCCTCTTTTCTTTCTGTGGTGCAAATGACACCACATATGGACCCATTACTAAGAGAAGAGCATCACATTTAATGACCTTCAATTAAATATCAGGTGTGATGCCAGGCTCTTTCCAAACATCGCTGTTGGATAAATAATATACCATCATTTTCAAATAAGGCTAGGTTAAATTCAAGGATTCCAGCATTGATCAAGGGAAAAACAAGGATATGAGAGGCACTAACATTGCTTTGTTGGGCTGTGCTTGCATAGAGTTGCATGAAAGAGTCCCTTCCACCAAGACATCTTCCAGAGGCAATGGCACAAAGCCACACCCAGAAGCAAAATAGAGAAAAGGATCTCTTTAGGAAAAGGAGAAAATCATAGAGGGAGCTCACCTAAGTGATGTTCTTGTCTCAGCAGCTACTGCGGAATCTCTGAGTGAAAGAGCTATAAAAAGAGGCAGCAATTGAGGGTTTAGCTACAAAGGTCATCTGCTTATCTGTAATTAGCAGATGTTGAGTGTAGTTTTGCAGGGCGTGCAAACTAGGTAGGCTCTAAATGGCTAAAAATATGATTATTTGAACTATATTTGAAGAAACTGGGTGTGTACAAATTTTAGTTTTAACATCAGTAGGCTTTAGCTAATTGTCCTAGCTTGCTGTGAAGATGTAAACAATATGGGGATAGTTTGGGGCTAATACACTGGGGCCATCGCTACTGGTTTATTTCTGTAACAGACTGAAAATGGCTTGTCTCATATGATGCAGCAGGGGGAAGGTAAAACTGGAAGATGAACCCACACTAACGTTTATCATTCCATCAGATGAATGTTATATATGCCATTCCTTACAAGAGTGCCTTTTCCTGGTGTAAAAATTTTTGCATTCTCAAGCATTAAAGGGAAAACTTTATCTCCAAAGTGTCATAAAGAAAGACAGTAAAACAAATGTTCAAAGAGTAGCCACTCTTCTTGTTCTCTTTCATTAGAATCCTGAACTGATAACAGGATTTGAGAGAGATTATTAAAAAAAAAAAACAACAAAAAAAACAGAGGCAGTGCATATAAGAAAGTAAAGAAAGTAGAGAGAAAAGGGCTGTGCATATGTGCGTGGGCAGATGTGAGAGATAAAGAGAGATAGAGGGATAAAGAGAGAGCAAACTGGTGTGTTTACGTTCTTTAGATCTTTAACTTCTTTGAGAATGTTACTTTTCCCATTGTCTTCCAGCTTTACTGAGGTATGGTTGACAAATACAAATTATGTATATTGAAGGTATACAACATAAGGATATATGTACACATTGTGAAATGATTACCACATCAAGCTAATTAATATACCAATCAGCTCACATAGTTTTTTTTTTGTTGTTAGAATATTCAAGTTCTATTCTCTTAGCTTGCAACTATACATTATTAACTAAAACCACCATGCTATGCTGTATATTAGAATTCAACAACTTATTCACTTTATAACTGAACATTTGTACCCTTTGTGCCTCTTTCCACTGCTTCAGTGAGATTTTGAATTAGTTGAAGTCAGCCATCTGGGAGACATCAATGATATATCTTTTTGAATTAAAAGACTGATGTTGTGACAAGACATATGCAGTAAAATGTTTTATTAGAAACCTATATTAAGGGAGTTTCGTGATAATAAATTGTTAGGATTTATTCTTGCTCCTGGCCAACGTGAAAGCAGGTGACCCCTTTAGTGCAAGGTTCATTTAACATTCACCCTTCCAAGGAAGGTTTAGCCTTATTGGGATGTCACGTTTAGGAGTTCTCCTGTTAGGATGCCTACTGTGTACTGGACTTGGGCTTTATTTCCTGTCTCCCTGGATGGCATCAAAATGCAAGTTCAAGGTCACCATGGTATTTCAGACATGCTCAGGAACTTTGGCACTTTGTGTCCTCGGGGTGACCACCTTCTTCACCTGATCTGGGGACTCTGGGGCTTTTTAACTCCTAAGTTCATAACTCTTTCCTCTAATTGAACTAGTAAAGCTTTTTTTCTTCACCCCCTCCCCACCCTTATTAACAATGTAGATGCTTTTCTTTTCCCTTGATTGAAATGTGATTCAGGAGGAGTTGAAGTTTTTCTACTCCATTTGGATGATTTTCAACCCTTTGAAGCTTCTTTAAGAAAATAAATTGCATGAAATGTTTGGCATTAAAGTATTCCTTATTAAGAAGAAAGGCAGGAAGAAATGGAAGAAGAAAAAAAACCCATTCCTTTATATTATAATACAAATGCATATTCATATTCTGAATTTTAAAATTAACATTATAATAAAGCTGTTTTTATCTTTAGGAATATCATGAGCACCACTGTCAATAATATTCTACCCTAAAACAGATCCATGCATATATCCAACTTTGAAAAAAATACATGTCCCATTCTCTTATAGGTGAGAAAATTAGAAATCACTTGGGAGCTTTGTTTTTGTTTTTAGCTATAGCTTCTCAAAACCCTCTTACCAAAGAATCTGATTCTGTACTGCTGGTTTGGATCTTAGCAAACACATTAAAAAAAACTCTTCAAGTGATTTGGGGAGTTAGGTTTTTCATATGCTGAATTACTCTAGGTTTCTTTTGATGTTGATCACTATGAACTCAGAGAAAGATGGTGCCTTGCCTAAACTCACAACAGAGCTAGACAGTGATAGATTCCAGATTAGAACTCAGACTCCTGCCCTCCAAAGCAGCACTCAAAATTCAGTCATATCCAAACCATAAAATTTACTCTTTCTCTGTGTAGTCACCAGTCTAAGCACTGCTCATTAGGCAGAAAATTTTTGTTTTGAACAGTGTCTTGCTTCATTGACATAGAATTGCAAAAAGAAGCCTAACAGATTTCCCAAGTCTTGTGCAACAATAAAAAATATATGCAAAAGCAGATTTAATTCCCTGACCTAAACACATGCCCTCCATCCTCCACTCCAGAGAAAAAATAATTTCCATTTAAAAGGTGTTTTGACATTGATTAGTTGAGACTAAAGTCCCACATAACTCAACTGCTTGAAAATGAAGTCATAGCTAATGACTCTTCCTGGCTTCAGCCAAAGAAACATTGAGCAGCGTCTAAAGAAACATCTGTCTTTTCATATGTATGAACAGTTTTTGTTGTAAATCCTATAGGATTCTTGATATTCATTATGAAAGAAAATCCGTATGATCATTTTAAAGACCATCTGCTCAGGGTTTAGGATCATCACCTGGCTGGGCTTCCTGAAGCACTGTGTCCAAAAGGAACTAACAAACATGCTGTAAAAATTCATGCAACTTTGTTTTTTTCTTCAGCACCCCGCCTCCCCGATTAACAATGTAGATGCTTTTCTTTTCCCTTGATTGAAGAGTGATTCAGGAAGAGCTGAAGTTTTTCTACTCCATTTGGGTGATTTTCCTCTCTTTGAAGTAACGCTACCTTAGAGCTAGAAACAATTTTTAGAGATCTAAAGCTGTGGCTATCAACAGTGGGAAATTTATTTTTATCAACTCTTTTTTCTTCCCATTTGATATATGACTGGGCTCTTAAAAGTATCAGTTGAATCAGCTGAATACCATGCAAAGGAATATGTGTGGAGTCATCAGCACCTTGTGATTAATACAAATGTGGCTCAGGAAAACACAGAAACACACAGAGCAAGAGAGCAAGAGTGAGAGCCAGAGAGAGAGTGAGAGCCAGAGAGAGAGTGAGAGCCAGAGAGTGAGAGCCAGAGCCAGAGAGAGAGAGCCAGAGAGAGAGAGCCAGAGAGAGAGAGCCAGAGAGAGAGAGAGAGAGAGAGAGAGAGAGAGAGAGAGAGAGAGAATACAGTTGGTATTATTTGAGTTTTGAAACCACGGGGACATCAAAGTCTTTCTTGATCTGCTGCAAAATGTTACTAAAACAGTTACATCTTACACTCTGTTCTTAGAATAATGTCACATGGAAAACTTTGCAACTTTTAAGATACAAGGATGCTACTGGAGAAACGTATTGAAAACTCGGAAAGCAGTATGAGAAGGGGGTTGAAGTGACCTCTTCCTCTATGTAAAAAAGGTGTCTGATAAAGTAAACCAGGAAAAATCTATTTTTCCCCTACATCCTACTTAAGATGTGTTCTCCAATTGATTTGTCAATGCTACAAACTCACCATTCTCTTGTCAAATGCCAGCAAGCATGGGAATATCATCTTTCAGGTGAGAAGCCAGGCACAGAATTTTCCTATTGCGGAGGCATACACACATCCCACGCCTTTCCTGTGCACTCTTTTTCTTTTTCTTTTTAATGTGTTGTGCCAAAACCCCAATCCCTCCAAAATATAAGCTCAAAACTAGAATAATGAAGTAGGATATATCCTTACTATAAACACTAGCTTGAGATGTCCATATATGTTACAAATTAAAAATACCAATCTCCAGGACGGATTAACTGTGGGATCTCAGGTAAGTTGATCATCTATTCTGAGTCTCAGTTTCCAAAAGAGAATACAAAGCCCATAGCACAGCCCTGGGGCCCAAATCAGCCCAAAAGTGTGTCACAAATATTGGGTACATATATTATAGAACACTTATCCTAAGAACCGAAATTTCTATGCTGCATTATTTTTCTTGTGTATGATTTTGTTCTCCCAAGATTTTTAAACTCCTCCAAGCAAGGGATAAAGTTTATCCTTTCTTTATATTTTATGAGAGTACAGTGTTGAGCCAGAAACATACTAGTGGTAAGTTAGCATTGTTGATTGCTGGGTTCATTCAACTGATTGAATAGCCAAAATAGCAACATTTACTCTATCTTGACTTGAATTTTCTCGTTGCATATTAGTTTGTTTTGTAAGAATGGTTATGTATATTCCTTACCCCCAAAAAATAATTCCAATCAAGCAAAGCTTGACATTGACAGGTTCTGTTGCTCAGCTTCTGCTTTAAGCACTAATAAAGGCTAAAATGACCACGTCTTCAGTCACGCTGTAGAAAATAGAGGGGATCATTGTGCTCATAGAGGAGCTCTGACTGGTAAGACTGCACTTGCATTGCTCTATAAGTTAGTGAAATCAGTTCCCTTTGAGCATGAATTATGTTTTTGCAAAATGGTATTAATCATTTATGTTCTGCATGTTCTATAGATGGCTATTAAGTGTTTGTCAAAAGATGAATTAATAAACAATAGACAAATGTGAAGCTAATTCTTTGATGGTGTATGGGCATTCATGGAGAATGTGATACTAGCTCCATGAAATACTACTTTTTAAAGCAATTTATTAGGAATTGATAGTTCACGTTCTAGCTATTGTAGATCAAAGCCTGTATTTAGAATTTTTATTCCTTCAGGTTCAAACAAGGACAATAGCTATAAGACAGCTTTTTTTTCTCCTACATTATTGATATATATTGGAATGTACCATGTTTTAGGAGGAAGAACAACAAGCATAGCTTTTGAAATTAGAAGTCTACAGAGGAATTTAATTCTCCTATTTGTAGTTGTGCCTCCTTGGGTCAGCGTTTGCCTTATCTGAGTTTCCTCAGCAACCGAATAAATAATAATACCTGCAATATCTGCTATAATGAGACAGATTTATTTCAAAAAAAAATAATGCCACCATTACTATCATAACACACAGAATATGGAAAAATTTCAGGGTGAGGCTCAGAATAGGAAACCTGAATTAGTTTAAAAGAAAACCTAGGGACAGTGGTTATATATCCTATAATTTCCTCTGATATTTTGACTAGCTGACTTTATTAAGATACATGTTTCTACCACCTATAGATGGACGTGAGGGAAGGCACCATCACATCTAATAAGTTTGTGTCTCTTCAATTTATGGGTTGCTCCATTGATGAGTGATTGTCCCCACTAAACCTCACCTGGGAGAAATAATAGAGCCTTTTGGAAGGACCAGGATATCTAAACAAAACAGTCTTATAGAAGTACATAGACAGAGCAAGAATCGCAGATCAGAGATAAAATATAACAGGCAGTCCTGAGACAACGAATACTCATTTCCCAAAACATCAGAATAATGATAACCTCTGGGGAAAGAGAGAAGAATAAAACTGGGAATGGGCTTGCAGAGCCCTTGAAGATACTAGCTTAATCTAGTTCTTAACCTGAGTTTTGATTTCACACACTTTATGATTATTTGTAATTTGCCCATGCATAAATTATATATTTTTCAAATGTACATTTAACATTACATTTATTTATGACATAAAGAAGTATACAGAATGAAATACTGCAAATCCAAGATCTAAAGTGGGATTAATGGCAAACAATTACCTAGCTAAAACTATGAACTGACTCCAGAATAAAATATACTGAGCCATCTGGTAGCTGAGTTAGTGTTTGAGGCTGCCTGAAAAAACAGCACAGACCAAGTCTGGATCAATTTAATTGATTAACATATTTATGTTATCAGAAACTGGCAAATCACTAAAGGATTCATTTGGTCACTATTTAGGAACTTGGGCTGAATAACAATTCTTAATAAAATGTATTTCAGTAAATAGCTGTTAATATGTAAATATAGGAATTTATTGTAGGTATTCTATTTTACTACAATGGCATTCTTTGACATTTAGGCTTTGCTCACACCCAGACTTAGAGACTACTTCTGAGATTAATTCTGGCAGTAGGCAATCAAGCTGAATTTTATCCAGTGAGAGATTGACAACACAAATGGCCAACAGCCGGATGTTATTTCACCATAGAACTCTGACCCCTAATTCCTTGCAGCAACCAGCTCTGGGAGCCAAACCACAACCTTATAGAAATTGGCTCAAAAAATAAGAACTTGGTCAGGGACTGCCAGCTGCCCTAATTTTTGTTCCTATTTCCAACTCAGGACCAACCAGAGGAAGGCAAATGCACTCCCCAAACCAATCACATGCTTCTAGTTGACATTCAACTTTCCCAACCTTCAGTTGAATGTACCAGAAGTCTTCCCATGTTTTCACTGTAAAGCTTCTCTATTACCTTCTGTGCCTTTAAGCCTGTACCAAATACAAGGGACAAGGCTGACTCTCTGATAGAGCAAGTTCTAAATAAACAGTTTGTTCTCATTTGAATTGTCTTCATTTATTTCCCCAGTTACTGCTTTCATTCAATTTTCATTAAAATAACAACAACAACAACAACAACAATTGCATTGGAAACCTTTCACCCTGCCCCTATTTCATTCCTAGTTGCAAAAAAGTAACATTAATGGAGAAAAAGTGTGTTTAATTATCATATCCATTCTTCTGAATACTGAGCAAGAAGTAACCAAGATTATTATAAATATAGTGTAACAATAGGGAAAATGATATGGAGTCATTTTTTTGAATTTAAACATAAATGCATAAATGAGTATGTGTGTACACACACACACACACACACACACACACAAACACACAGAGTAGGCCAATTCAAAAGAGAAACATGGAAAAATAAGAAATGGTAGTTTTGCTTGGTGATTGGATTGTGGATGGCATTTTATATTTTTTATTCTTGTTTCAATATTCTTTAGTGAAATTGTTTTGAAAAATGAAGCAGCATCTCTTGCTTAAACAAATTAAACAGGTGTTCCAGGTCTGCTCTCTGACAGAAGCTTTTGCACCTAGAAATCTTACCTAATTATGACTTCTAAATGGTTCCCTGAGTGTACTTTACACACTGTAAACTTCTCTGCAAATGTAAAAGATGATTATTATTCTATAAGAACTATTTAAATACAGAAATACCTGAATTTGTGTGCCTAAAATGTACACTGGCTGAGATCCCCTGGTTTTGGAAATTAAAGTCTAGTATGTCTGTGATAATGTAGCCAATACATCCTCTGATGTACCATTTTTGCCGCAAAGATGGTCCAGGATGGGATAACAGAATAAAGCTAAGCTGGGGATACACATGATCTGATGGAAACAAATTGTATCAAGATGGGCTGTTAGTATGACCAAAAAAAAACATGTAAAATGCCTATAAAGTACAATATATTCAGTACATAGAGGCAAATCTTAAGGTGATGGAAAGAACCAGGAGTCAAGAGACCTGAAATAATTGTGCAACCCTGTAACTAACAAGGAGTGGGGCTGACTCAGATGGTTCATCTGCTTTTGGGTTCTCTATTTCCTAATAGTTAAGATAAGGATTTGAGATGTGGTATTTCAGGAGGCCATTTCAGATCTGGCATTTTATTCTAGTAGGGCTCTGTATATTGCATTAGATTTCATATTATTTCTGTCTGGCCTTGTAGCACACCATTAATCCTCAATTGTATTGCTACATTGGGAGGAGGAGAGAATCATCAAATCAGAAAAAAAGCTAAGAAAGTTAGGTGATGGGAAAGAAAGAAAAACCTAATTTGTCTGTTACAGTTCATTTCACATGTAGAGGGAGTTAAGATGGGAAAAGTGTATCTCAGAAGGTAATTACATATTGCCTGCAATCAATAGAACACACTGGGGAGAGGAAAGCTACTTGTATTACACTTAGAATTAGGGGCTTCATGTTGTTGCTTGAGTTATTCTTGGTCACAGCAGCTGAAGCAACACTTATAAAGCCTGAAGCCTACTCCAAAACTTTCCAACTCAAGCTCTGTCCTGTCTCCAAATCCGTGTCTCCCCATATGAAGAAGCATACACTTTGGGCCATTCTCAGATATTGCGATCAGTCGTGAAGTGTGACTGGAATCATTTACCACTATTAATGCTTAATTATTTGAGAGTATTGAATCATGAATTTGAAATAGATAACTCGGTGAGGTTGCTGTTGATAATTCCACTTTTACCTTCTTGCACGATGCAATTCTTCTTGAATCAGCAAGAATGCGATGGAATTAGATTTATTGCACTTACACCTGTGCTTAGCACTCATCATTTCCTTGGTCATTTCATGGTCATGTGACCTGTGTGAGTGTTTCACAGTCAAAATAGCATGCTGCTCATTAGCCTTATTGATGGATCCCTCAACTGCTACAAGTTCAAATAGAACTTGTGCTCTCACTCAGACCTTCTCCTCTGCATGTGGTCCTCAAGGCAGTAACATTATCTTATCACTCTTTCCCAAATGCTCAAGCTGGGAACCTCAGAGTTATCTTTAGTTTCTCCATTGTATAGGTCAGGATTCTTGCTTTTAGGTGATATAAACACGATTCAAAAAGGCTTTTGCAAAGAGTGAATTTATTGGTCTGTCTAGCTTGATTACAGCTTCTGACACAGCTAGACTTAAGGATTCTAATAATATCATCAAGCATTTGCTCTTCTCCTCTCTCTTGCCTCTGATTTTCTCTGGGTTGACTTTGTTCTCAGTCTGTTGTCAAATGGTAGTTCTGGGGTTAATTCATGCTTAAATTTCAAATAGAAAATAACAGATCATTATTTCATTTGTTCCAGAAATTCTATGGCAGTACTGGCTGTGCCTGAGAAACCTCCTGCCACTCAAGCCCAGCAAGGTAAGGTGCTCAGATTGGTCAATCTGGATTCCATCCCTCCCCCATGTGACCATGTGATTGGAGGAGTTATCAGTGTGGGAGAGAAAGTTGCTGCATAGGACAGTGATAGACATAGGGGACATCCGTATTTCTTTCACTCGTTAGCCAATGAACTGACAAGTTGTATGGATTTTATATTTTAAATAACTCTTGCATCATTTTCTCCTTCAAATTCCACTGCTATTACCTGAGTTCAGGTCCTCATTATCTCTCACCCAGTCAGTTGTGTTAGCATGTTAACTGATATGGGTTTGTTCCGTGTCCCCACTCAAATCTCATCTTGAATTGTACTCCCATAATTCCCACATATTGTAGGAGGGATGCGGTGGGAGATAATTTGAATCACGGGGGCGTTTTCCCCCATACTGTTCTCGTGGCAGTGAAGAAGTCTCATGAGAGCTGATGGTTTTAACAGAGGTTTCCGCTTTTGCGTCTTCCTCATTTTCTCTTGCTCCTGCAATGTAAAAAGTATCTTTCGCCCTCCGCCATGATTCTGAGCCCGCTCCCCAAGAGCCATGTAGAACTGTAAGCCCATTTAAACCTCTTTTTCTACCCAATCTCAGGTGTGTCTTTATCAGCAGCATAAAAACGGACTAATACATTAACTTTTCTCCTTTTTTCAAGTTCTCTGTAATCCCAACCATTTTCTTAACAACATCCTACCAGTTCTTCTTCATGTCCATTATCCTTGAGGCATATTAATTTACAAAAGGTTCCCTGAAATCATCATGATCCCTGATACTTCATATCTTTGCATAGACTGTTCAGCACGTTTCTTGTTCATGTGAGGAAACAACTCCTTATACATTAACAAAGACAGATGCAACGCTATCTCCCATCCCACATAGTCCTGGAGTTCCAAGGTTGAAAATTAAGGACTAAAATTATTGGTAAAATTATTTGGCCTCAGAATCAGGAAAATGAGAGAAATGAATATGGAAGAAAAGTGAGACTTCAACATAGGAAAATTGAACAGAACTGAGGTTCAAGATGCGAGCTTTGAAACTAAGGTGGAATATTAAGAACAGGGTCAATGCTGGAGTACAAGTCAGGGTAGCTCATGGGAACCGTAGGGCTCAAGCCAAACCTATACTGCAGTCATGTTTGTCCAGATGGGCTTAGAGAATTAACAGAGGACAGGAAACAAGGCAGGTAAGCCTACTGGCTTCAGCTCTATCACTGTAATTTAACCGATTCCATTCTCAAAAGGAACTTGAACAATTTTTCTTCTTTATTTTCTCACTGGCCTGTGACCCTAGGAAATGGTAGAGTTCCTTTTTATAGTTGCACTTCTTTCGTTGTTTTCTTTCTGTCAGGAAGAGAAATTGAATGCATCCAAAGAATGGTTACAAGAAAAATAGGATCTGAAGGGTGAGATATCTGCTTCGTATATTACCCTAATATATATATTATATTAGGTGTGTGCATATATATAATTATGTATACATTTTACTTATTATTTATTATAATTATTAAATAATATATCACATTATATTATTATTAATTTATATTTATTTATTATTTAAATAATATAATATATTATTATAATTATATATGTATACACACCTAATACAATATATAATTATATATATACACACCTAATATAATATATATATATATTATATCACCCTAATATAAGAAGCAGCATCTCACCCTTCAGATCCTATTTTTCTTTCAATCATTCTTTGGATTCCCCATTGAATTTACAAGGATCCAATCTAAGGTGCAAAGTGAAGGCAAACCCAAGAATAAAGGCAAATCTGTTGTTCCATCATCAGAGGGCATCAATGTGTGTTAATCAGAAAGAGTTGCTATGTATTTGGTTCCCTGAAGGCGTGACATGAATTCCCTTATTTCAGAAATCTTGAAAATGGGTCTATTTGACTATATTTGGCTACCTGATGATTGTGCAGTGCATCTAGTATGTTTGCCAATGACATATGTTTCTGCCCATTGGTTAAACTTCTTTTCTCATGCTTAAAAGAAACAACTTAGAGTACAATCAAATGAATGTACTTCTCTTACTCCATCTTCCATTGTTCCCTTCTCACTAAGAAACATACTTCCTGGTTTTTAACTTGAGAATGTTTCCTATCCTCCTATCTTGTTGCTGGTGTGCTTCTACCACATTGCTACCTGGCTAAATATTTTTTACCATTCAGAATTCAGAAGGTATTTCTTCCAGAAAGGCTTTTCAAACTGGGTTAAAAAGCATCTTAATGCGGTCTATTACTGCCCTTGATAATTCGTTAAGGTTATGTGTTGATTTCCCCATTTCAGAAACTGCCCAATGAGTTACCCATGGAGTGAGGAACAAATATCTTAGTTATTGTGCACCTTGGTGGCCTATAGGTGCTTGGGCTCATCCAACTGAGAAAAACTGCCTTCTTCCCATTCCTTTCCTGCACAATATCCAATTTAATTCCTCAGAAGTATCTTGTGAGATAGATTATTGGAGCCATGGCAAAAGCTCAGAGAATGTATGTGATAAACACCATTTTTTTTTCTGATATGAAGTCCACTATATATTCTTTCAGAAACACAAAAGAGCAATGTTTCATGGAGCCACTATTTTGGCTTTATATGGAAAGTCACAGTTTTGTTGAGCTTTTTATATTTTAGGGTTTTTTTTTATTTGTTTGTTTGCCTTTGGCAAACCCTTGATTGACACTTTGAGTCAACATGCAAACTTATCTGATGTTCTTAACTAAACTTACCAGCTGCTAATATATTATCTGACAGTAAATTAAACTAATCTAATGCATTCAATGAAAGCAGTCAATAAAAATGTCCACTAGTTTTTTACGTACGCATTTAACTCTTGGTGTGTTAGGCCCAAGAGTCCAGGTTAAAATACCCTGAAAAGTGGAATTTCGTATTCATTTATTTGTCTGGGTTGATATTTTGACTGAACCATTGCTGTCATTTTCTTTTCACTACTTTTATTAAGGGTTTATTTTGTTCCAGCCACTGGGCTAGGCATTAGGCAATCATTTCATTGTTTGGTTCTCTTGAGTAGGTGTTTTTATTATGCCCATTTTGTAGGAGAGAAAAAAAATTCTTAGAACAATTCAGTTAAAAATGAAAAATAAAGTCTATGAGATGTCTAGGTTAGAATTTTCACAGAGATCTGTCAGTCTTCATAAGCTACACTCAAAACTAGTAAGCTTCTTAAATTTGACTCAAGTGTAAGTACATAATTATAATTCCATGTATTTTTTAAATTATGCTTTTAACATTTTCTGGACAATTTTACATTCATTATCCCAGTGAATTCTCACTTCAGTTCTTGAGCTGAGCCCTGCAAGTAGGATGAAAAGATTGGGACGAAAGAGGGTCATTTAGTGACTAAGAGGCAGGGCCGGTGCTAGGAGCTGGATTTTCTGACTCATCCCCAGGCTCACTCACTTGACAGCGTCGCTTTAATCAAAGGCAGCATCACTTAAGTACCCTAGCGATCTCCCCAAGTGAATGCTTCTTCATCCTTCAATAAATGCCTTCTGTACTTTCTCCATTTTACTTTATTTAGAAAGAGTATCTTTCTTTAATGCCCATTTTTCACTGCATTAAGGATGGAAAGCAGCTTTACTGTGAAAAGAAACAAAAATTGCCCTGAAATGCAAACTGGAGGCTGAAAAAGTTTCAAACTTTGGTGTAACAGCCACCTCTCTGCACACTCATGGGAATTGTACTGCAAGGTAATGGAGGCTTTAGGGGTTTGGTAGACCTTAATACATACCTTTTTGATGCTGTGAGCACAGTAAGAGTCTTCCGAATCACCTATTAAATGGACAGATAGTAGGTATTTGAGTGACCTATTAAATCCTAAACATCAAAATATAAAATGATAAATGGTGTTTGTATGACACCCTGAAATGGTGTCTTTAATAATCATAAAATGCTGATTTGGCTTAAAGTACCCTAATTATGTATTAGTTTTTCAAAAGTGATTATATATGTGTGTGTATATGTGTGTATATGTATGTATTTCAATGTAAAGATGTGTTTTGAATTATAAATATATAAATATAATATATTTCAGTGTTATAAATATAATATATTTCAGACTAAAAATGTCAAAATCAGACCATGCTTTCATAAAGAAAGATAGGTAGAAAGTAGAATCATTTTTTTTGGTGAATCATAAACAAAAAAGTCCTTAAAGGTCTGGTCAAATTTAAAGACCCAGAGAACAAAGCACTGAAGTACTTCTGTTCCCCAAGACGCTGTGAAGAGAAATAAATTAACATGTATTTAGCAAAGCCCTGAGCAAAGGCATTTAAAAAAGATAATTCAATTTAAGTCTTATTACCATTCCATGAGACAGCATTATCTCATTTTATGGATGTAGAAGTTAAAGCTCAGAGAGGTTAAACACATATTATGGTCACATGGCTAGAAGGCAAATTCTCATCGGCTTTACGATGTCATACTCTTTGTGTGGTAGTCATTTGGTTTTTCTTTAACTAAGAAAATGAATTAAACACATACACACACAACACACATACACACACACACACGCACACATTTGTAAACTCAGCTATATTTAAAACAAAAACACATACTATTGCAGGCCAAACAGTATATGTGTATTTATTCCTTATGGACAGCAGCTACATCTGAAGGAGGGCTTGTGTTGCTGGAAACTGACCCCTGCCCCATCTTTAATGGGAGGGAGGTTCCCAAGGAACATGTGTGAAATCCTTGGGACACATGGAACACAATTTGAAAACTGCTAATAATGATGCAAGAGTCTTGTTTTGTTTTTAAGGAGCAAGAATTGGAGATCCAGAAACTCTAAATGACTTGTCTAAGACTACCCTAGAGTCTGATGCACCCCTGAGCCAATGATTTCCATCTATTACACTTAAACCTAATTCATCTAAAATGAGGATTGTCTGTGCTGGCACTCAGCACACAGTGGGAACTTGATAGATACTCACTGAACAGATGAAGCTATGTGAAAATACCTCATCTCTAACTACACTCAATCAATACTGATTTAATTCATTTCTCACCACCATATCAGTTGGCCATATTAATCTTATTTTCTAAAGGAGAGTCTTTGACACAAGTGATGAAAGGGGCTTATTTATGATCACTGAGCTCTTAAGAGGCTGAACTGGGATTCAATCAGATCCAAATCTAAATCCGGTGCACTTTTGAAAAGCAACCAGCTATTCTCCACAGGTATTGAGAGAACCAAATGGTGTAGAAAATTTGATATAAAAGGCACCTCAAAAAAGCATAATTTATTATATAAATATAAAACATTGTATTTATTTCAGTATCACCTGCTTTTCCCAAAAGGTTTTCACTCTACCCATTCAAGTTGATTATGCAGCTGGGGTTAATGGCAGAATGAAATGATGCAAGACACACGAAGTGGAAGGGAATTATCTCCAAACGTCAAATGTGTATATGCAATGCTAGGATTACAAGTTTGGGCAGCTGCTGAGCATGTCATCTTCCACCAGAGGCATCTTTCTCTCAAAGACAGAATGCTGGAGCCTTGGTTTAAGTCCTGAATCTGCTTCTAAACAGCATTACGACTTTAGGCTAATTAAAAGTACTCCATGGGACTCAGTTTCCTCATTCGTAAGCTGAGAGTAATAATACGCCACTCATAGGCTTATTACGGGATAAGCAGCAAGGAAAAGATCTCAGCTGGGAGTCAGATGGCTTGGGATGGAACCCAGTACTCCCACTCATAAACCACTGGCCTTAGGCATGTTACTCAATCTTCCTGTCTTTCATATCAAGTGGGGGTAATAGTGTTAAATAACAGCATCGATAGTCATAGTTTAATATTATGAGAGTTAATACACGGGGAATACTGAGAACCCTCTCAAAACAGAATACAGCTCAAGAGTGGTTGGCTGTGTGTATTTTAAATGATCTCATTACATACCCTAACATAGAGGTGGTGGTATGCAGAATTGACAGTGCAGTTCACAAAATGCTGCCTTCACCGCTGGCTCATTTCATCTTCACAGCTATCCTACTAGGGCTGTTGTGAAGATGCCTTCTGGGACTGGGGAGCCTCCTCTGTAGAGGCTCATCCTACTGTCTCTGCCAGACCTGAAGAGACCTCAGCTTACATGGACCCTTATCCTGCCTGGCTGCCTGCAGCCACAGTCATGTTCCCCAGGGAGCATAGCAAGAAATGCTCATCCCAACTGCACCCCTGAGCTAAGACTCAGCCTCACTTCATTCCTGAATCCTACAGCCTTCCTGTCCTGGGAACTGGGCATCAATGCAGACACTGCAAGTATCCCTTTACATCTTCAGTTCAATGTCTTATTTTCTTTTTTTTTTTTTTAATTATACTTTACGTTTTAGGGTACATGTGCACACTGTGCAGGTTAGTTACATATGTATACATGTGCCATGCTGGTGCGCTGCACCCACTAACTCGTCATCTAGCATTAGGTATATCTCCCAATGCTATCCCTCCCCCTTCTCCCCACCCCACCACAGTCCCCAGAGTGTGATATTCCCCTTCCTGTGTCCATGTGATCTCATTGTTCAATTCCCACCTACGAGTGAGAATATGTGGTGTTTGGTTTTTTGTTCTTGCGATAGTTTACTGAGAATGATGATTTTCAATTTCATCCATGTCCCTACAAAGGACATGAACTCATCATTTTTTATCGCTACATAGTATTCCATGGTGTATATGTGCCACATTTTCTTAATCCAGTCTATCATTGTTGGACATTTGGGTTGGTTCCAAGTCTTTGCTATTGTGAATAATGCCGCAATAAACATACGTGTGCATGTGTCTTTATAGCAGCATGATTTATAGTCCTTTGGGTATATACCCAGTAATGGGGTGGCTGCGTCAAATGGTATTTCTAGTTCTAAATCCCTGAGGAATCGCCACACTGACTTCCACAATGGTTGAACTAGTTTACAGTCCCACCAACAGTGTAAAAGTGTTCCTATTTCTCCACATCCTCTCCAGCACCTGTTGTTTCCTGACTTTTTAAGGATTGCCATTCTAACTGGTGTGAGATGGTATCTCATTGTGGTTTTGATTTGCATTTCTCTGATGGCCAGTGATGATGAGCATTTTTTTCATGTGTCTGTTGGCTGCATAAATGTCTTCTTTTGAGAAATGTCTGTTCATGTCCTTCGCCCACTTTTTGATGGGGTTGTTTGTTTTTTTCTTGTAAATTTGTTTGAGTTCATTGTATATTCTGGATATTAGCCCTTTGTCAGATGAGTAGGTTGCGAAAATGTTCTCCCATTTTGTAGGTTGCCTGTTCACTCTGATGGTAGTTTCTTTTGCTGTGCAGAAGCTCTTTAGTTTAATTAGATCCCATTTGTCAATTTTGTCTTTTGTTGCCATTGCTTTTGGTGTTTTAGACATGAAGAAGTCCTTGCCCATGCCTATGTCCTGAATGGTAATGCCTAGGTTTTCTTCTAGGGTTTTTATGGTTTTAGGTCTAACGTTTAAATCTTTAATCCATCTTGAATTGATTTTTGTATAAGGTGTAAGGAAGGGATCCAGTTTCAGCTTTCTCCATATGGCTAGCCAGTTTTCCCAGCACCATTTATTAAATAGGGAATCCTTTCCCCATTGCTTGTTTTTCTCAGGTTTGTCAAAGACCAGATAGTTGTAGATATGCGGCGTTATTTCTGAGGGCTCTGTTCTGTTCCATTGATCTATATCTCTGTTTTGGTACCAGTACCATGCTGTTTTGGTTACTGTAGCCTTGTAGTATAGTTTGAAGTCAGGTAGTGTGATGCCTTCAGCTTTGTTCTTTTGGCTTAGGATTGCCTTGGTGATGCGGGCTCTTTTTTGGTTCCATATGAACTTTAAAATAGTTTTTTCCAATTCTGTGAAGAAAGGCATTGGTAGCTTGATGGGGATGGCATTGAATCTGTAAATTACCTTGGGCAGTATGGCCATTTTCACGATATTGATTCTTCCTACCCATGAGCATGGAATGTTCTTCCATTTGTTTGTATCCTCTTTTATTTCCTTGAGCAGTGGTTTGTAGTTCTCCTTGAAGAGGTCCTTCACATCCCTTGTAAGTTGGATTCCTAGGTATTTTATTCTCTTTGAAGCAATTGTGAATGGGAGTTCACTCATGATTTGGCTCTCTGTTTGTCTGTTGTTGGTGTATAAGAATGCTTGCGATTTTTGTACATTGATTTTGTATCCTGAGACTTTGCTGAAGTTGCTTATCAGCTTAAGAAGATTTTGGGCTGAGACGATGGGGTTTTCTAGATATACAATCATGTCATCTGCAAACAGGGACAATTTGACTTCCTCTTTTCCTAATTGAATACACTTTATTTCCTTCTCCTGCCTAATTGCCCTGGCCAGAACTTCCAACACTATGTTGAATAGGAGCGGTGAGAGAGGGCATCCCTGTGTTGTGCCAGTTTTCAAAGGGAATGCTTCCAGTTTTTGCCCATTCAGTATGATATTGACTGTGGGTTTGTCATAGATAGCTCTTATTATTTTGAAATACGTCCCATCAATACCTAATTTATTGAGAGTTTTTAGCATGAAGCGTTGTTGAATTTTGTCAAAGGCTTTTTCTGCATCTATTGAGATAATCTGTGGTTTTTGTCTTTGGCTCTGTTTATATGCTGGATTACATTTATTGATTTGCATATATTGAACCAGCCTTGCATCCCTGGGATGAAGCCCACTTGATCATGGTGGATAAGCTTTTTGATGTGCTGCTGGATTCGTTTTGCCAGTATTTTATTGAGGATTTTTGCATCAATGTTCATCAAGGATATTGGTCTAAAATTCTCTTTTTTGGTTGTATCTCTGCCCGGCTTTGGTATCAGAATGATGCTGGTCTCATAAAATGAGTTAGGGAGGATTCCCTCTTTTTCTATTGATTGGAATGGTTTCAGAAGGAATGGTACCAGTTCCTCCTTGTACCTCTGGTAGAATTCGGCTGTGAATCCATCTGGTCCTGGACTCTTTTTGGTTAGTAAACTATTGATTATTGCCACAATTTCAGCTCCTGTTATTGGTCTATTCAGAGATTCAACTTCTTCCTGGTTTAGTCTTGGGAGAGTGTATGTGTCGAGGAATTTATCCATTTCTTCTAGATTTTCTAGTTTATTTGTGTAAAGGTGTTTGTAGTATTCTCTGATGGTAGTTTGTATTTCTGTGGGATCGGTGGTGATATCCCCTTTATCATTTTTTATTGTGTCTATTTGATTCTTCTCTCTTTTTTTCTTTATTAGTCTTGCTAGCGGTCTATCTATTTTGTTGATCCTTTCAAAAAACCAGCTCCTGGATTCATTAATTTTTTGAAGGGTTTTTTTTTTGTCTCTATTTCCTTCAGTTCTGCTCTGATTTTAGTTATTTCTTGCCTTCTGCTAGCTTTTGAATGTGTTTGCTCTTGCTTTTCTAGTTCTTTTAATTGTGATGTTAGGGTGTCAATTTTGGATCTTTGCTGCTTTCTCTTGTGGGCATTTAGTGCTATAAATTTCCCTCTACACACTGCTTTGAATGCGTCCCAGAGATTCTGGTATGTTGTGTCTTTGTTCTCGTTGGTTTCAAAGAACATCTTTATTTCTGCCTTCATTTCGTTATGTATCCAGTAGTCATTCAGGAGCAGGTTGTTCAGTTTCCAGGTAGTTGAGCAGTTTTGAGTGAGATTCTTAATCCTGAGTTCTAGTTTGATTGTACTGTGGTCTGAGAGATAGTTTGTTATAATCTCTGTTCTTTTACATTTGCTGAGGAGAGCTTTACTTCCCAGTATGTGGTCAATTTTGGAATAGGTGTGGTGTGGTGCTGAAAAAAATGTATATTCTGTTGATTTGGGGTGGAGAGTTCTGTAGATGTCTATTAGGTCCGCTTGGTGCAGAGCTGAGTTCAATTCCTGGGTATTCTTGTTGACTTTCTGTCTCATTGATCTGTCTAATGTTGACAGTGGGGTGTTAAAGTCTCCCATTAATAATGTGTGGGAGTCTTGTAAATGGACTAAATCCTCCAATTAAAAGACACAGACTGGCAAATTGGATAAAGAGTCAAGACCCATCAGTGTGCTGTATTCAGGAAACCCATCTCACGTGCAGAGACACACATAGGCTCAAAATAAAAGGATGGAGGAAGATCTACCAAGATAATGGAAAACAAAAAAAGGCAGGGGTTGCAATCCTAGTCTCTGATAAAACAGACTTTAAACCAACAAAGATCAAAGGAGACAAAGAAGGCCATTAAATAATGGTAAAGGGATCAATTCAACAAGAAGAGCTAACTATCCTAAATATATATGCACCCAATACAGGAGCACCCAGATTCATAAAGCAAGTCCTGCGTGACCTACAAAGAGACAATGTCTTATTTTCATGCCAAAATAGGTTCCTTTGATCACCTCGCTACAATATAAACTATGCAGTTTATTTATTCTTGTTCTTGTTGTTTGTTTCTTTGTTTTCTTTTAACTCCTGGCCATGTAAGATTGGTGAATACTGAAGAGTACCTTTTGTTTTTTGAAATACATAATTCATAGCAATTTGAAGCTCATGAGGAATCTTGCATCATTTCCCTAATTATTTGCCTTACAATTTCCTATTTTTCTGTTCTAATACCACTTATACAAATTTTAAAAGCATAAAATGTATATTTTTACATATACATACATGACTGGAAAAAATAATAAAAATTTGAAACAGAAGCGTCTTGATTTAAGGTCTTAAATACATTTGTGAAGAAATTTGATAAGACTAGGATTTGACTAGGTAGGAAAAGCCTTCACCTTCCCCTGGAGATTGTTACTTTCCATGGTTATTTCATGACATTGGATGATCCTACCTTGAGATCGTCCTGCTTAATTGTTGTCTCTTTGTTTTCTTTCAACATTCCCCCTCAATTTTAACAAGTTTCCTGTGAACATCCATTTTGAAGCTCATGGTAGTTCTGGCTCTGCCTTGGGGTTCTCACAGGTTTGCTCAGGGGATGATCCGACGAGAACAAGTATAGGCTTTTCACGGTTGCCTCCTCTCTGTGCAGGTTCTTGGGAGAACAGTCCAGCAGAATCAGTTATCAAGTAAAAGTCACAACCATAAGTTCAATGCCACTGATTCATGCAACAGGTAGAACTATCACAAGTCCCATCATCATCTCCTCCTCTTCTGTGCTTCCTGACAGGACACAGGCAGGTTACTGAGTAGATGGATTGACCAGAGCTTCCTATAATACCAAGGAAAGTTTCACGGAGAACATCTGGAATTAAGTCAACTTGAGTGGATTGAAGGATGCAAAGTATTTTTCCTGGGTGTGTCTGTCAGGGCGTTGCCAAAGGAGATCAACATTTGAGTCAGTGGCCCGGAAGAGGCAGACCCACCCTCTATCTGGGTAGGCACCATCTAATCAGTTGCCAGTGTGGCTGGAATAAAGCAGGCAGAAGAACATGGAAGGACTTGACTTGCTGTCTTCTGGCCTTCATCTTTCTCCTGTGGTGGATGCTTCCTGCCCTTGAACCTTAGACTCCAGGTTCTTCAGCTTTTGGACTCTTGGACTTACACCAGTAATTTGCCAGGGGCTGTCTCTCTAGCATCCTTGCTCCTCAGCTTGCAGACAGCCTATTGTGGGACTTCAATTTGTGATTGCATGAGTCAATACTTCTTAATAAATTCTCCTCCATATATACATCTGTCCTGTTTTTTCTGTTCCTTTAGAGAACCCTAATTAATACAGATTTATTCTCTTCCAGATTCTTTTTAGAAAAATTACAGAGAATATTGGATTATCCTTCTCTCCCACATATAACTCTCTCAGCCTCCAGCACCTCCCAAATGAAAAGCAAACCAGCCCAACATGCACTCCGGTGTCAGGATAATATGGGCCAAGCACAATCAGCAAAATAACGTTGATCCCTTTGCTCCTCCCTCCAATGTTGTATTCCCTTTATGAAGAAGCAGTTTAGTGTCCTTGAGCTCTCCAACTACTACTTGATGCATATCAGTGTTTTATGGCCTCTTCTAAAAGGAGTAAATGATACGTATTTCATATAGGGAGAACCTGAAGCTCAATGATCAACTAATTTTAGCAAATTCCTTCAGTGAACAAATAACAAAATTAGGCCTTGGGACTCAATACCAATAAAATAATGCTCCTACTCTTTCCACCTGTATCCTCAAAATTATGAACAAGGGTGAGGACAGTGATGAAAAATAAGAGAAGGTGACCAACATCACATAATCATCTGCTTGGTACCAAGAACATGTTAAGTAGAGACATTATTCTTCCTCCTGCGGGTCTTGCTCGTAGGATACCACTGAGAGAACCACTTCTAGAAGTGAAGACCTTGAATTTTATTTATTCATTCACATATGCACCAACAATAATTCATTATATCAGAGATTGATGAGTGGCTTTGACCTTAATAATTGTGAAAATGAGGAAAGAGCAAAGTGGGGAGTTTTGTGTAGGTAAATCAAGATCAAGTTCCCAGCAAAAGCCAAGAGACTAATAAGAAGCCTGAAAGGGGAAGCAATAGTAGCCATTATCAATCAACAAATGACAAAAATGACATATCCATGGGCATCTATTTTATATTCCCAGCATTGTGAATGCAGGTTCAGAGTTAATGACTCAAGTTGAATTCTTCTTTGGAATATTTTAACTTTAATTTTATCAGTGTCTTGCATTTATTTTGCATTATCTCACCCAAAGTAACTTCACATCAATTGCTCTATTTGGTTATCAAAAGTGCTATGGACAAGGCAGTGCACAAAAGGTGAACTGCACAAGGGCACTCCTAAGTGGCAAAATAAAAACTAAATAAAAATGCTCATCTCTTTTCATTACCCAATGCTCACTTTTAATCTAAGTGGGTTTTATGGAATCAGATCCTACCAACCAACAAAGCACTGCACTCATGTTAGATGTATGTAAAAAGAGATATATAAATAGATTCAATTACTTGACTGCAAGAGCATTTTTTTTTTCTCTTTGGAATGTTACCTTCTTTCCCTCTGTGGAGTTGTATCAATGACAACCTGCTAACTTCCCCATCAGAGAACAACTCTGTTGTTTGTTTTATCCCAAAGTAGCACAAGAGTGGTTTTTCTATTCTCTTTTACTTTTTTTCCATAGTGGGAAAATCCTCCTGTGAAACGCCCTGGAATATAGGAATTGGAACTTTGATTAGCAGCAGGCTGATTTTATTTTGTGGTGGTGTAAATTAATCTCTCGATGTTCAGAAAGTCCTGTCCCCACAGGATCTTATCTTTTGCGCACTTCAAAGGACATCCTCTGTGTCTGGGAAGCTGTGAAGATTCAGTGTTAAACACTGAAAAGTAATAGCTTTGCTTACATATGACCAAAGACATGTTTTGAGGTCAAATTGGGTTTTTCTGTTTGTTTTATTTAGAATCAAAGACATTCAAAATACTGAACACTTATTAGCATTTCAAGCTTTGTCCTAAGTGTGTATCTGCAGAAATAGCACACCAGTCTTCCACCATTGCCCCAGGCCCGCCACATTTGGCTCACTCTTATTCATCCATCAAGTCAGTGATTAGTTTTCTCTTCCTCAGAAAACAAAGTATCTTGATTCCTTTATGCACTTTCCATGACCCAACACAACCAATGTTACATGTCAAGCCTCTCCTTCACTCCTCAGTGTTCCTGCAGCTTCTGCACATAATCCTATCAGCAGTCATCACACTGTAAATTATGCACTTAACTCCCCCCCAGTAGATTGTGCACTCCTTGTGAATAGGAATGAAAGAACTGTCACCTCTATCATTTATAATGATTGACAGAATACTCAGTATTTAGTAAACCCTCAGATCATATTTATTGAATGGATGATGCATGAGTGACTGAATGAATAAATGAATGATTGTTCTTAATCTCTAAAACAATCTTCCATGATAGATAACAGACCATAAAGTTTTGAGATGGGAAAGCTAGGATCATAATGCTTAATTCATAATAATGGTTATATAAAAAATAAATTATAGGGATAAAATTAAATTCAATGTTTTAGTATTTTAAAATCTCCCTCTACCTAGAAGCTACAGAGGAAAGTTTGTAAAAAATGTAGCTCTGATTGTCAATTCTTGCACAATTAATTAAGCCAGCAAGTATAGCTTGGTGGATACTATATATATGTATGTATTCATAATGACACAAGGTTTGACAACAAAAAATCCTCTGGAAGAGATGTCTCAGGAATAGTACTTTCACTGAAATCAAGAAAGGATCTGCCAACTCTAAGCTCCTAAGAGCCAAAGAAAACAAAAGAGTAAGATTCAAAAAAATATGACCCAGTGTTAAAAACAATAAGAAAGGATTATGGAAGAAAGTTCCCAAGGACTTCTGAGAAGAGACTTCGTGATTTCCCGGGAGCTTTGGTTTTCAGGAGTGATATATGTTTGATTGGACCCTGCTATTTGGCGGGGCAACTTCTTGATCCGCTGGACCAGGGGATCCCAATACAAAGTTCAGCAGCCTACGAGCCTGTCACATTTGCCCCTGGAATATTCACTCACTCTATTTCCAAGAGACTGAGTATTTAAATAAAAATAAGCTTTCTTACAACTAATTTCTCACCAATTATTTTAAAGAATGACATCATAATTTTTAAAACAGAAATGAAATTAACCCATATAAAAATGATAAATTGTATGCATTTTATAACTGTCTTAATGTAAATTTCCGATATAAATGACCATTGGTTTAATTTTAAAAAAGGCATAGTTCTAATAGGAACCCTAGTGATGCAAAACAACATGGGATGTGATGGTTAGAATACTTGGAGTTGAGTACCAGCTCTGCTATGTCCTAACTATGTGAATTTGGATATGTCTTTTAGTTTTTGTGAACCTCAGATTCTTAGCATGTAGAATGCAGAGTATGGGAATCCCAATACCTGTTTCCAAGGGTGAATAACAAGAGTGAATGAGGCAACGTATAATGAAAATGCCTAGCACAATTTATTGTAGGAGGACCACAGGGCTGTCGCCAGCCTTGCTAGCTCACTTCCATGTTTACTAGTTGTGTGATTTTGGGCGACTTGTGTGATCTGTCTGATCTTCATTGAATCTTGTCTGTGAAACAGAGAAAATAGTAACTGTCTTATAGGGTGGCTATGAAAAGTAATACATTAATACAGTCACATACCACATCATAATATTTAGGTTAACAACACACTGCACATAAGATTATAATGGAGCTGACCTATCCAGATAAAAAAAACCATTTTTTTGTCTTTTATAATGTATTTTTACTACACCTTTTCTATGTTTAGATACACAAATACTTACCATTGTGGTACAGCTGCCTACTGTATTCAGTACAGTAGCATGCTGTGCAGGTTTATAGCCTAGGTGCAGTAGGCATTACCATATAGCCTAGATGTGTCATAGGCATTGCCACCTAAGTTTATGTAAATATACTCTATGATGTTCCCACAAGGGAATCACCTACCAACACATTTCTCATAGTCACAATGTATCACCATTGTTAAGAGACACATGACAGGCTGGGCGTGGTAGCTCACAACTGTAATCCCAGCACTTTGGGAGGCCGAGGCAGGTGAATCACAAGGTCAGGAGATCAAGACCATCCTGGCCAACATGGTGAAACCTTGTCCTTACTAAAAATAAAAAAAAATAGCCTGGTGTGGTGGCATGTTCGTGTAGTCCCAGCTATTCGGGAGGCTGAGGCAGGAGAATCACTTGAACCTGGGAGGCAGAGTCTGCAGTGGGCCGAGATTGTGCCACTGCACTCCAGCCTGGGTGACAGAGTGAGACTCCATCTCAAAAAAAAAAAAAAAAAAAAAAAAAGAGATACATGACTGTAACTGTAAATCTCTTAGAATGTCTAAACTATAGCAAGTGGTCTTAAAATATTTTGTTCATTTTTTCTTCTCTGGCAGTTTCTTCAGTCATAAAATGGGGATTCAAAATGCCTATCACAAAAGTTAATTTTAAGAATTAGAGTTATATATTAATCACATTCTTTAGCTTGGCAATATTTTAGTTGTTAACATTATGATATAACACCTTCTTATAGGGCATTAAATGACAATTCTCTCTTCATCTTGTGCTTTTCTTAAGGAAAAAATTAGACAAAAGGACTCATGTCTAGTATCTTTAAGGCCAGCATTTTATCCAAACTGCTTGACAGGACATTGCCTTAGAGAGGACTGTTCATATGGGTTTTAGTAATCTAAGTCAAAGTCCATGCTTCTTATCCATGCTCACTGAAGCATGTTGCACAGCCTGCGTTCAGAGGCAGCCACATTCTCAGAAATAGGCTAAAGAGCCTCCGAGAAGCTGACAGCAGCTCCTAGACTTCCCAGACCCTTTCTACAAGAACCTGGTGATTGCAATGCAAATGGGTCATAGATGAGAAATAAATGTAGTGTAGTGTCTGGTAGCTCCACTGGTCATAGAATAATAGGTGGTTTTCTTTTATGTCTCCTTCCGCCACCCAAATTTACTCTCTCTGAGGAAAATAATCACTAAACATTTGAGGAAATCTCATTAGCTTGGAGCCAGAGGACCTGCATTCTAGCCCTGCCTCTAGAAATTGCTATTTGTATCATAGGGACTGCCCGGGTGATGTTTCTGAACCCCCATCAACTCTCTTGATGTATAAAATGAAGAAAAAGTCTACTCTTCAAAGTAAATAGTCTGTATGACATCGTTCTGCAAATTCGACCATGCCAAACACGTTATTATTATAATTATTATACTTACATGATTGCTATTCCCTTCATGAGGTGTGAGGGGAACATATTTTAGTCCCCGTTCTCAAGGAGTTATGACCTTGAACTGGATAAAGTCACGTGATACAATGGATGAAGAGATGAAATCTAACCCCATTTTAAATGCATCTCAGAAAGCATAATTATAGTCTTTAGTCTCCAGAAACAAATGGAGTAAAAATCCTCTTTTGTATGAGGATTGTCCTATGGTCAATGTATGGCCAAACTTACCTTGATCTTGGTTATACTCAATGGAATGGTCTGGCACAATGAAGCTTCTCCATACCTAGTTTTCCAGCATGATTTATGGGACCGTCTTCAGACATACTAAATTTCAGTTCCAAGTTGGAGTCCCCATGTGCTTTTCACATGAGCCTGCCTTTGCCTCTGTGCCTCGTGCTCTCTGTTTGAAATAACTTACCCTTGCCATGTGCTGACTGGCTCTGATCATCTCTGCCATGGCTTTTCCCCTTCTTCTAGAGCTCATTGTCTTCTCTCTACCAAAATAATCCTTTTCACATTGTGACAGGTTTGTTCCAAAAGTTCTTTATTTTCTCTGATAGATGATAACTTTTTTTTTTGGCGGGGGGGGATGGAGTCTCGCTCTGTCACCCAGGCTGGAGTGCAGTAGCACGACCTCGGCTCACTGCAACCTCTGCCTCCCTGGTTCAAGCAATTCTCCTGCCTCAGCCTGCCAAGTATCTGGGACTACAGGTGTGTGCCACCACACCCGGCTACTTTTTGTATTTTTAGTGGAGATGGGGTTCCACCATGTTGGGCAAGCTGGTCTCGAACTCCTGACCTCAGGCGATCCACCCCCCTCGGCCTCCCAAAGTGCTGGTATTACAGGTATGAGCCATCGCACCTGGCCGATAGAAGTTAACTTTTTAAGATCAGGAACTATGTCTTATTGATCTGATGTTTTAGTTCCTTGTGAACCCATGTTTTGAGCACATGCATCTATACTGAATGCCAGTATCTGAGTGGCTTGCAGCCCTGCCCTAATGGGATACGAAGGGGAGCTGGACATAGGAGATTGAAGCATGTTCTTCATGGGATACTTATTTTGCCTGGTGGGCAGTCTAATGTTTAGCTGTTTAACTCAGAACCAGGGGATTCCTCACATGGGGAACATATTTATACTGGCAGGATCCTGTCGCTCTTGCCTGCACCCTGTCCAGTTTATGCCTGCTGGACCATCAACCTGATGCTGGGAGTCCAACCTTGTGTTTTCCTTGGCATCCCTGGGAAAACCCAACTGGGTTGGGAAAAGCCAACCCTTGTTCTTCAGAGAGAAAGTGCAAATTTCATCCACCGCCATAACAGGAAAAGGTTTAAAGATTTTTACTTACAGATCCTGGGCAGGGGAGGGTGCAATGAGTCTGAAGGGAAGTCCTTTGTCCCTGAGTCACACAAGGCAGGAAAGAAGTCACATAGAGTGAGAGAGCACACATGTGGCAGTGAGCAATGTACATGAGGGAATGGGGTGTGGACCACTTTAAGGTCACAGGGAAAGGCCTGGATGGTCTGTTTAAAGGAAATGGCTGGAAAGTGGGGAGCCCAGTCTGCTAGTGGTTATCTCCGGCCACCACCTTGAACCATATGAGTTTGGCTTTAGAATTGGAAACTATGTCAAGGGTGGCTGAGTCCTGCTTCTGGTATGAGCAAGTTAAATTTGTATTCAAATTAGATGCCAAGACATAAAATTGTAAGAATGTGCTACAGGCCCCTGGTTTATGGTGAATCCTTAGCAAAGTTCCAGAGAAAGAAAATAAATAAATAAACCAAAAAGAGCAAAGGAGAACCGTCAATGGGGTAGGTGGTTCAGAGGAAGGAGGCATGGGTATGAGGCAACTCTACAGCAACACTGAGGAAAAGTAGATGTGTTTTTCACCTGGACATAGATGTCTGTAGGGTCAACAGGTAGAAGGGAAAGGACTGTATTTGTCCAGTTTGAGTCCAGCGGCCATACCTATGACTGACAGATAGAAGTTAGCCAGCATAATTGACAACTTTCATGGTTGGGAGTTTCTCACTGTGCAAATAGATCAAATGTGGTTTGGGCAATTACAATGTGGAGACTTTGCTAATGGAGTTAATTGCTGTTTGTGAGTGGTGGGAGATGATTTCTACCCCCATAAAATTCTTTCTGTTCGTAACATCCTATTTTTCTGCAATTGCACATTCTATGATTCTCAGATAAATGATTTCTGAGGGAGAAAAATGGGGCATGCAAGAGAGAGAGAAAGAAAGAGTTTCATGTGAGATTGACAAGGAAGAGTGCCCTATGCGGACTCCTGTGATTCTGTCCTATTTCTTAATTTATTAAGCTTATTGCTAAGATCTATGACCAGGCTTTTTGCACTGGGGACTCAGTAAGATTTGAAGTGACTAACAGCTGAACACTTTGTTCAGGTCTCTTCTCAATGCCACCCTCTGGAGAGGCCCTCCCTGTCCGTGCCTTCTAAAGGGGCACTTCTCCATCACCCTGTGATCCTTTACCCCATCTGAGATTTCTTCATAGCACACAATCACAATCTGAAACTTTATCAGATACCTATTTATTGTTCGATTTCAATCTCTTTCAATATAGAATGTTAGCTCCAGGAAAGCAGGAACTTTGTATATTTTGTTCACCTTGATAGCCTCAGTTCCAAAAATAGTACCTGACACATGGGCAGCATCCAGTAAATGTTTGTTGAATGAATGAATAAAAGAAGGAGCTCAATTTACTTTAGCTTGCCTTAGGCTATTTGCCATGCTTGAAGCAGCTGGTGTACTGACACCAGATTCTGCTAACCTTTCAATAACCCCAAATAAAAGATGACTGCCACTAGCTTCCTATGTTCATACTAAAAAGATTACAAAAAGAGTGTTCCCTCCTTAAAATATACCTTATTGGACACTTCCCTACATCTGTTCAAATTACATCATGCAGATACAGATTTTGCAGTTAGACTTCTAAGTCAGGGTTCCCATTATCCCTGGACCCTACTTCATTGTCTTGCTTTGATCAGATCTTTTTGCCTGCCAGAAAATAAGTTCCCTGAGAGAGCAGAAACTGGCCTATTCCATTATTATTGCATCTGCAATTACGAGTGGCCACCCAATAAATAACCATTGTTCTATAAATATAAAATGAATAAATGGGGAAAATAATTAAATGAATCGTTACAAGACCTTCCTAGTTCATCTCACTTGGTTTGTCTTTTCCTCAACTCAAATTATCATTTACTCTCAAACCAAACTGGTATTTCTGAAACAATATTTTGTACATGTCAGTTTTACGTATAAAAGCTTGCCATGACTTCCCATTGCCTACCGAATTAACCATGCATTATGGGTTAAATTTTTGTGACCCCAAACTGCTCTGGAGAACAAAGGTGGCAGGACCCCTGCCCAGCAGGTCCATTGGATGGGGATACTGCCCTGTGGGACCAAGTGTAAGTGTAGAGCATCCCACTAGAGGGGATTATTCTTGAGCCTAAAGATCTAATTAAGTTTCTCTTGCTAGATTTTGGACTCTGGAGATTTGTTTCCCCTTCCTCTTTTCTAGTTCACCCTTTTGGAATGGAATGTCTACCCTATGCCTGTCTCACTGTTGTATTTCAGATGTGCATAACTTATCTGGTTTCACAGGTTCATAGCTACAGAGGAATCATATCTTCATTCCTCATGATGTCTCAAGATGAATCATGCATTGAGTCTCACCCATACCTGATTTAGATGATATTCATATGATACCCTGCACTTTAGACTTTAGAGTTGAAGCTGAAATTAGTTAAAACTTTTGGGGCAGTTGGAATGGAATGAATGCATTTTGCATGAGAAAAATATATAAATTTGGGAAAGCCAACAGTGGAGTGTTGTGGAATGAATGTTTAAATTTCCACAAGCTCTAAACCCCAGTGTCACTGAGTTTGAAGATGGGGCCTATAAGGAAGTAATTAAGGTTAAATGAGGCTCTAAAGGGTGAGTCTCTGACCCAACAGGATTAGTGTACATATAAGAAGAGACACCAGAGAACTCATTCCCTCTCAATGCACACATGATGCAGAAAGGCCATGGGAGGAATAGTGAGAATGCAGCTGTCTGCAAGCCAAGAAGAGTGCTCTCATTAGAAACCAACTCTGCCAGGCCTTGTTCTGGAATTTCTGCCTCCCAGAACTGTAAGAAAATGAATTTCTGTTGTTTAAGCCATCCAGCCTATGGTATTTTGTTATAGCAGCCCAGCAGATGAATACACCATGAATCACAATACTTCAGAAAGCCTCAACCCATCCTTCTATTCTTATGATCTCATCTCCTAAGATGATGCTCTGCCAAATGGATGGCTGGCTGATACCCAAACAGCCCTGGGTATCAGGTATCTTTGCAGTTTTGCTCATATGTGAAGTATATATACTCCATGAAACTCTACTATATAGAATAAAAGTAAATTGAGTTGAGATAAAGCATTGGATAATTTGAACTTTATGGCTTAGAGGGGCTTGAACTGGACAATTTAGAAAATAAATTTTTGTGGTAGCCAAATGCATCAATCTAGTTAACTACAACACATCAAGCTGCTTCTGTTGCATACTTACCGGGACTTTTGTGGGCCATGTATTTTGATGGAATGTAGTACCATGTGGAAAAACAAAAGGCCACTGTATGGAATCTAAGACTAATTCTGATGTGAGTCCTTGCTCTGTAACTTAGGAGATGCTGCTCAGGAACATATCTTTGATCCTCTTTGCACCTTGGTTTTCTCACTTATTAAATGGGGGTCATAATTCTTACTTGCCTTATAGTTCATTTTATTTGGTAAACAAATGAGAAATGAATGAGGGAGTGAATGAAATAGGGGTTTGTAAATGTGAGCTTTGCAAACCATAAACTCTGGCAGTGTAAGACTTAAGTATTCTGCCAACCAGCACAGGGCCTGACACATGCTTGGAGTCTCATCAATGTCTTTTGAGTAAACGTTCTTTTGAGATGTGCATTTTTTTTGGCTCTCCTTCAGCTCCCGGAGCATTACTAGCACTTTCTCAGCCAGCACTGTGTAGTTCTGACAAACTCATAAAGAGAAGTACTTGCCCATTTAACTTTTAATTTCTTGCACTGTATATGTAAAAAGTAAAAGTCTTCCTTTAACAATTTCTAGTAATACCCTAAAGGAAATCATGATTCTTTGTCCTGACCTAAGTTTTATTTACATATTATTTATGAAGAAATATTTCTTGCCAATTTGATTATTTAAAGTAGATGTAAACAAGGTTACCAGTGCTATTTAAAAAAGTTTTTCATTGTATGTGCTGTAATAGAACTCTGGACTTCTCCAACAAAGCATTTAAAAATTGTAATAAAATAATTTATGGCTTTATTCTGTTCCATGCCTGTATTACCTAAATCTTGTAAGTCAAGTTTATATGTTCACGTGAATATAAGGTGCATGAGGAGAGCAAGCTCTGAGTTTGACTTTTTCACTCTTTGTGAATTTAGTAAATGAAGTAATTAAGTATACACTCATTTCAAGTTTTTAGCAGCCTTCCATGGCATGCCAGTAATTAATTAATTACAATTATATCACCTCTTCAGCAAAGCTGGTTCAGTAGGACCAGTGCTTGCCAAACTTCAAAGGCAGTTCATGGCTAAATGTCCTTGAAATGAATAACTATCAATAAGAACTGAAATATCATATGCTACTTTACAGTTTTCAGTTCTTCAATTAGTTTCTTTAACAATCTTGAGCTATAAGAAAAATTATTACTAGTCAATGATAATTTTTCTTACAGAAGTCTGATACAAATGCCATAACAAAAGGTACCATAGACTTGGGGGTTTAAAAGACAGAATGATACTTTCTCACAGTTCTGGAGGCTAGAAGTCCATGATCAGAGTACCAGCAAGGTCAGGTACTGAAGACTCTTTTCCTGGCTTGAAGACAGCTGTCTTCTTGCTGTATCTTCACATGGTACAGAGAGAGAGAGAGAAGGAGAGAGAGAGAGAGAGAGAGAGAGAGAGATTCGATGTTTCTCCTAATGGGGGCATTAATCCCAACATGAGGACCCATCATGAGGACCCTGCTCTAACCTCAAGTACCTTCCGAAGGCCTCATCTCCAAATATCATCACTTTGGGAGTTCAGACTTCACCGTATAAATTTTGTGAAAAACACACACATTCGGTCTATAACACCCTATGTCCCCACTGAAAATACTCTGACTCAGAGGCAGCAACTTGCTTGTCCAGGTGGGGCTCACCCAGCCAGGAATGGGGCAAAGCTGGAGGCAAGCAGAATTCTTCCAATCCTGAATTCTACAATCTTTCCAAGAAAGTAAGCATTCTGTATCCCTTCTTCCAAAGATTCTATGACCCCAAATCACTTTCTATTTCCTCCTGGTTTTCCTCCAATTAACCAACATGATTTGTTCTCCTCTGGGGTAATTTTCTCCCACAGGTGACATTTGTCAATAGCTGGAGATATGCTTCCTTGTCACAGCTAGGGTAGGAGAAAATGCTACTGTCATCTAGTATGTAAAGGTCCAGGTTGCTGCTTAACATCCTACGATATTAAGACAGCTCCCTAAAAGGAAGGATAACCAAGCATAAGAAGTTAATAGGGCCAAGATTGAGAACCCTAACCCAGATGAGTGAAGAATCCCATATTTGGTTTTGGAGCTGGGGCTTTCTTACCTGACAGGTGGATGTAACAGGATTTCTGAATATCACCCCATGGCCTGGAGTCTCAATAACTGTTCATTACTCAGAGAAATTCAAGATCCAAGCTCTACTTTCAACTTTTCTTTTTCAATTTTTTAATGGTTTAATCCACTGCAAAAAAAAAAAAAATCCTTTCTGCAAAGTCCTGTCTGTAAATGTCAAGTGTGAGAGCAGCTGTTTTCACAAATGGGGAAACCAAGGTTCAGGAAGACAATAATTTTTCCATGGTGATACTGCTAGTAGTCATTAGAATTAGAAATGTTGACTCCCAAATCCGTATTTTTTTTCTCATTCTCTTCTTTTCTTTTTCCTTTTTTTCCTTTTTTTTTTTTCCAGGACCCTTCTTTCCTTTTCATGTAATTCTTTTTCTCCCCTAAGAATCCAGAGTATGGAGACTTCAGTCTACTTAAGCTACTTAATGTAGCCTAAGTGTGGAGACTCCAGATTCTTAGGAGAGAAAAAGAATTATATGGAATTGAAAAGGCAACCCTATAACAAAGAAGAAAAGAAGAGAATGAGAAAAAAATATAACATTTCTAATTCTAATGACTACTAGCAGTGTCACCATGGGAAAATTATTGTCTTCCTGATCCTCGGTTTCCCCACTTGTAAACTATGAATAATTATATTCGCCTCGTAAGATTGATCATTTACATAAAATGATATGAATATAAATATGATGCTAAGTTAAAGTAGTAATAACAGTAGCTATTAGCAATCATAACAGTTATTAGGGATAATATATTATTTATGTTTAATATTACTTTATGTTTCTATAAATAGTCATGCACCACAAAATGACATTTCAGTCAAAGACAGACTGCATATATGACAGTGGTCATTCAGTAAACTAAGGTTAATTCATTATTAAATAAATAAATATTTTAAAATAAATTTATTGCAGCCTAAAGACACAATGTTTATAAATTCTACAGTAGTGTACACTAATGTCCTAGGTCTTCACATTCACTCAGGACTCACTCACTACCTCACTCAGAACAACTCCCAGTTTTGCAAACTCCATTCACAGTAAGTGAGTAAGTGTCCTATACAGGAGTACCATTTTTTTTATCTTTTATATCATATTATTCCTGTACCTTTTCTATGTTTAGATATACAAACACTCAACATTGTGTTACAGTTGCCTACAGTATTTAGTACAGTAACATGTTATACAGGTTTGTAGCCCAGGAGCAATAGTTTATACTATAGAACCTATATGTGTAGTAGATGGTGTGAGGGTTAATATTGTCAACTTGATTGGATTAAAGGATACAAAGTATTGCTCCTAGGTGTGTCTGTGAGGGTGTTACCAAAGGAGACTAACACAGGAGTCAGTGGACTGGGAGAGGCAGACCCACCCTCAATCTGGGTGGGCACCATCTAATTAGCTGCCAGTGCAGCCAGGATAAAAGCACTTCCAAGTTCCTCTGCCTGCTCTTAAAAGAAGGCAGAGGAACATGGAAGGACTAGACTGATTGAGTCTTCTGGCCTTCATCGTTCTCCTGTTCTGGATGCTTCTTGCCCTGGAACATCGGACTCCCAAGTTCTTCAGCTTCTAGACTCTTGGACTTATACCAGTGGTTTTCCGGGGACTGTTGGGCCTTCGGCCACAGACTAAAGGCTGCACTGTCAGCTTCCCTACTTTTGAGGTTTTGGGACTTGGACTGGTTTTCATGCTCTTCAGCTTGCAGAAGGCCTGTTGTGGGATGTCACCTTGTGATCATGTGCATCAATTCTCCTTAATAAACTCCATTTCATATATACATCTATCCTATTAGTCCCGTCCCCCTAGAGAACCCTGACTAATACATAGGCTATACCATTTAGATGTGTGTAAGTACACTCTATGATGTTCACACAATGACAAAATCACTAAGACATTTGTTGGAAGGTCCTCTTCATTAAGTGACATGTGGCTGTATCATTATACTTATAAAAATATGCATTGCTTATAATAATATATGATATGCCATGATATATTCAATTATACATTGAATATTATAATTACATACTAGTAATAAAAAGTAGCAGTTAGTTACAGTAATAACAGCTAAAATTTCTGCATACCTACATGTTAGTAACTCCATATTAGCCATGAATTGGCTGAGACTAAGAGAGATTAAATAACTTATGTAAGATCACAAGGCTAGGAAATGTTAGCCTTGGGGTTCAACTTCAAGATCGCTTTTTCAGGAGCTCACATTCTCAGCTCCTGTGTGTATTTAATATTTCATAGAAGATATTTGACAAATTGTGGATTTTATAAATAGTACAGTCAAAAGAAAATAGTCCGGAAGTGGACTGAGGGAAAGGTCAAGGCGGGAGGGTCAGGGGGAGCTTCTGGTGCAGGCAAGGGCACCGAGACTGCCATTATGAGGCTCTGGCTGCCTGGCCAGGGACTGTGGAAGGTGACCTGCTTGGATAAAGGGAACATGTAGCGCCGGAAACTTTCAAAAGGACTTGATTGAATGTCCTACTGGATTAAACAGCCCTTGCTACAAAGGTCCGCAGCGGTGAGAAAGTACAATGCTGTGTACTGTATAAATGCTAAATCAGTCATTCTCCTCCAAGCATTTTGTGTGACCTGCTCTGTGCAGGACATCTAAGGTTATCCCCCACAGGTCGCATCGGCACCACCACTGCTCTCTCATCTTCAGAGAGCCCTCTGGGAGTTGGGCTCCCAGGACTCTGGTTAATTAGCCATCTAAGGGAGGACACTCCTGATAGTGAGTCACATTCTCTTTTAACCACAAGGCCATTGTTCCCTCCCCACCAGGTACAGCTGACCTAGAAATATGCCATATTGTACCAATTCTGGAACTATTTATTAAGCATCCTATTTTCTGCTCCAGGTCAGCCAACAATGGAAGAGCTGGCACAGAAACAGGTGAGGCCTGTGTCTAGAAGGGAGTTAAGTCATCAGTGAAGAGATTATGACAAAAAGAAAAGAGGCCACTGTGTGAAATTGATGGAATTCATGGACACCGGCACTCCCACATTGAGCAGGACACTGGATGAGATAGCACTGCCCTCTTTTCTGAGTCCTGACAAGACCTCTCTCTTGCCTCTCCTCCTGTCTGCCAGCCTGTGCTCTGCTGCCCATTTCCTAGTTCGTGCTCAGTAACTGGTGACTCCTATAAAGCTCTAAACCTGGGTTGTGCTGAAAGGTAAGCTGTGAACACTGCAGTTCTTCTGGCACAATCTCACCGTTCCTCGACTCTTTTTCTGGTCCAAGTTCTGTGCTTCTCCACTGTACACTTCATCTTGCTGTGATGACCCCATTCCTAAGTTCTTGGACTGGTCATTTTCACCTGATGATGAGCTCTCTCCACCAAAATTCAGTCCCCTCCTGTGGTCTCTGACTTAGACTATCTCCACCCCCATTTCTCACCCACTGCTTACCACCCTGGTTCTCTGGATATTGGACTATCCTTGGGGCACAATTCTCTGCCAGGCAAAAAATAAGAGTTATAATAGGTAATCAATATTTGTATGGATTATATATTTAATAATGACAAAGGAACTTTGGGTGCCTTTCTTGGTGTATTGCATGGAAGCCAGTCATATTTTCTTATGTATTAATAGACATCTTAAAAGTTGTTTACAATCTTTCAATGGATTACAAATCCTACTGTAGGTGCAAACCCAATAAATAGATGTCTGACCTGAACATGAACATTTCCAGGGTCAGGAAAAGATGCAAAGGAGGACCCATTTTTTTTTTAAATTAAGCACCTCACACTGCACTAGGTATATGCTTAGGCTGTGTTATCTCTGGCTGTCTTAGAACAGAGAAGGAAAGACAGAGGATAAAGGACGTGTATGAAGCCACTGCGGGCATCTGGAACTCAAGCCTGCTGGAAGAATTCTTGGAGCCAGGGAGGAACAAACACCTCAGAGTTATCCAAACCAAAGATTGAGGAAAGAACATTTATACATCTATTGCTGTGTTCATTGGTTAAAAGCAGCTGCCTGTTGAATGTTACTTCCTTGGTTCATCACCACCTGATGCTTGGACAGCAAAACAAGCTTCCCTGGGAAAAGAAAGCACTTAGGCACAAAAATGCAGATGCTGGCAGTTGCAAGCTAGGCTGGCGTGTGCTGAAATGGTCAAGACAAGGGACTATAAGCTGGGTACAAGCAATATCTGTCAACATAAATTATTGAAAATAAAAGAAAAAACCAACTTTTATTAGTTACTGATATAAAATGGGGTTGGGATATTGTGCTTTCTGTATTATCTTATGTCACTTAATCTTCACAATAATTCCTGGAAGGTTTTATCAGTACTCCCAGTTTCATTTTCAGAAACTGTGGCCAAAAGCCCGTAAAGTTTCTTCCACAATCACACAGGAAGGGGCAGATGTAGGGTTCACTCAGAGGGACTCTGCTTCCTGTTCTTCTCACTTTCTCTGGCATGTTTACAAGAAAACAAAATACTAGTCTCTCTCTCTCTCACCTTGATAAAAACTGTTTGCGACCCCACAAATTGAAAAGTGACTGAGGAACTATCAACAAAGAGAAGATATCACCAGCAAAATTTGCAGCTGGAAGGAGGCTTTAAAATGTGACACTTTGCAGACTCACTCATCTCTTCATTAATGGCCTGGGAAAGGGAGGAAATAGCCCTTTAATGCAATCTTTGAATGACATACAATTGGAAGATGTCATAAATACCAGTTACGGCAGAGAGACCAGGCTGGGTAAATTCCCAGCATGCAGAGAAAATCACTGAGCAGCTTACTCCTACTCAGCCCCTTTGGAACTCACTAAAGAGCAGGGAATAGAACAAAAAGCTGCAATACGACTGTTACCTCAGTCCCAGAGCAAATTAAGCAAAGACATCAGAGAAAGGAGGCTCAAAAGAGTGAAGCAGAAAAACATTTGATAGGAACTTCAGAGTTATGCATGCTCAAAAAATGCCAGATCTATTTCAAGCAGCAGGATAATTGTGGTGACATTTGATCAATGAGTGGGAAAGTGATACTTCCTTCCTTCAAGGAGGTTGTGGAAACCACACCCTGTCACAGAGCTTATTTCCAACCCTTAAACTCCATGGGAGTATGAATCCTAGCAAAAAGCAAAGATCCTAAGAAGAAATACAGTGACTGAGTGATTACATCGAATGCAGAGGAGTCTATGCAGAGAGCTTACCCTAGTAATTAATTCTCTATGATTTCCAAGGAACTTTCACATATGTGATGAGCCTCCTTGTAAAAACTGTAGAGTGGGAGCATTACCCTCCCTCTCTTTTTCAAATGAGGAAACTGACGACTGAGGGTGGGGAGAGAGATGTAGATTTCAAGCAACGTACCCAAAGACATCATACACCCATCTCTCCTGTCCCTCCCAAATTCTCCTGCCTTTTTTGCTCTACTATTTGACTCTGTAAAATGTGGGAGTAGGGACAATTAAGTATTTCCCCCATTTTAGGATGTGAGACACTTTATCAATGAGTGGGCACATGACTTTATCCACCCACCACATTAAATCAAAGCTACTCCAAGTAAAATGAGAATGGGAGCGCAAGAGTCCAGCCTGCTTTGCTGCATTCTCACCTCCAGACTTGGCCCTTCCAAGGAAGTCTTTGCTCTACAGGAAAAAGTTGGAAAAATTACCTTCCAATTGATCTGCAAATATTCTTCCAGTTGTGGATTATCTGATAGAGTTTACATTAGTCCATTCTCTAACTGCTATAAAGAAATGCCTGAGACTGGGTAATTTATAAATAAAAAAGGTTTAATTGGCTCATGGTTCCAAAGGCTGTACAAAAGGCATGATATATCTGCTCGGCTTCTGAGGAGGCCTCAAGAAACTTACAATTATGGAGGAAGGTGAAGGGGAAGCAGGCACGTCTTACATAGCCAGAACAGGAGGAAGAGAGAGAGCAGGGAGGTACCATGCGCATTTAAACAACCAGATCTGATGAGAACTCTATTAAGATAACAGCACCAAAAGTATGATGCTAAACCATTCATGAAGGATACAGCCCCATGAGCCAATCACCTCCCATCAGGCCCCACCTCCAACAACCGGAACTGCAATTCGACATGAGATTTGAGCAGGAACACAGATCCAAACCCTATCAGCGTTTCATTCAGATATGTCTCACAAACTAGATATATTTAAGGTGTACAACTTGATGTTATGATATATGCATGTATTGTAAAATAATCACCACAATAAAGCTAATTAATATAACCATTGAGTCCCATAATTATAATATCTTTTGTGAGTGGTAAGAACACTCAAGGTATACCCTCTTAGTAGATTCCAAGTTTATTAAATAGTATCGCTCATTATAGTTACTATGCTATACATTAGCTCTCCGGAACATATTCAGCTTGCATAACTGAAGGTTTGTACCTGTTGAGCAACATCTCCCCATTTCCCCATCTTAGCCCCCGTAACCACCATTCTGCTTCTGTAAGTTCCATTTTCTTTTCTTCTTTCTTTCTTTCTGTCTGTCTTTCTTTCTTTCTTTTCTTCCTTTCCTTCCCTTTATCTTTCTTTTTCTTTCTTTCTTTCTTTGTTTCTTTCTTTCTTTCTTTCTTTCTTTCTTTCTTTTTTCTTTCTTTCTTTGTTTCTTTCTTTCTTTCTTTGTTTCTTTCTTTCTTTCTCTCTCTCTTTCTTTCTTTCTTCCTTTCTTTCTTTCTTCTTTCTTTTCTTTCCACAGAGTCTCACTCTTTTTGCCCAGGCAGGATTGCAATGGCAAGATCTCAGCTCACCGCAACCTCCACCTCCCTGGTTCGAGTGATTCTCCTTCCTCAGCCTCCCAAGTAGCTGGGATTACAGGCATAAACCACCACGCCTGACCCAATTATTTTTCTTTCCACATATTAGTAAGATTGTGCAGTGTTTGTCTTTCCGTGTCTGACTTTTTTCACTTAGCATGATGTCCTGGTTCATTCATGTTTTCAGAATGACAGAATTTGCTTCTTTTTTTATGGTGGAATAATACTTCATTGAATGTATATAACACATTTCTTTATCCATTTGTTTATCGATGAAAACCTAGGTCATTGTCATATCTTAGCTAGTGTAAACAGTGTTTCAGTGAACATGGGAGTGCAGGCATCTTCATGAGACCTTGATTTTAATTCCTTTGGATACATATCCAGACGTGAGATTCCTGAGTCATATTATAGTTCTATTTTTTAATTTTTGGAGGAGCTTCACACTGTTTTTTCATAATGACCGTAACAATTTACATTTTCAACAACAAAGTGTAAGGCTTCTCTTTTCTCCACATCCTTACCAGCTCAAAAATAGTATAGCTTAGCCTTCCCTGACGTTAATTATCACACAAATATATGTTTTAGTTAGAATGCAGGAAATTATTACCAAAAATTCATTTGAGGAGTTGGAATTCTGATGCTCCCTTCTGGCTTATAATCATGAGTCCCTGAGATAATTGGGCTCCTGATTCAAGTTCATATTCACCCAGTGGTTAAAGCCCCCCACACCCTTATCACTCATCAGAGTGATGCATCTGAAAGAATGTCAGGCACTGAAAGAATAAAAGCTAAATGGCAAAATGTGAGGGATGGAGCTCCTAGATCAAGTCTGTTTTTGGAGCTCCTTGAAAACTCAGCATGAAAATGGAAAGAAGGAAAGAGAGAAGGAAGGAAGGAAGGAAAGAAGGAAGGAAGGAAGGAAGGGGAAATGGGAGGGGAGGAGAGGGGAATGAAAGGAAGAAAAGGGAGGAAAGAAGGAAGAAAGGGAGGGAGGGATGCAAAGGAGAAGGAAAAGGAGGGAACATTCCTCGAGCAATTTGTATTTCATTTTGACAGAGTGAACAAATTGTTTTGGGCAACGACCTATACTTTCCGAGTTTTAACATTGCAAGAACCACATCTCAGTCCCAGGTCCTGAGTGAACCCGACTGCTTGATCACCCTAATTTTAGAACTCATGATTCCTTGCAAACTCCATACCATTCCCAATCTGGCATCAGGATTAGGCAGAATATACATTCAAGTACCATGCCAGAAAGTTCCTGGAAATTTGAAGTCAGGAAATAGAGGGAGACTGGCCTGTGACAGTTGAGAATCTATTGCCAAGAGGTGTGTGGGTTAAAGCAGGCCAAGCTTTCAACCTAGCTAAGGGTTCCATGGTATAAACTATAGACTGAAGAAATGGTAGATTTTCTTTTTTTCCTATTTCTAACATAGTTTCACTAGAACATGGACTGCTTGATGTTTTAATCCTGCAGTGACACAAGGACTAGCTTCTTTGCAAGATTCAGATTATACATAACTCCAATTCATTAATGTATTCATTGCCATTCAGCCAATGACAAATTCTCATTCAGCCTTCAGACTTGGTTACATGTTGTTTTTTTGTGAGTGCTTCCCTTAACCCTTCTACATACGTAATGAAAATATGTACTTTATGGTAAAGAAAATTGAATTTTTATTAAGTGAACACTCATAATCACACATATTGGTAATTACAGTCTCTTAATTTTTTGAAAGCGGATTTTATGCATGTACTTGTCTAATATTCAACAAATAGCTTTATAGTTTAATTCAATTTTTATTTTAATTATAATTTAATCAAAAATTTAAATTAAAATTTTAACATAATTTAAAAATTACAAAGATTTTTTAGTAGAATCTCATTTACAATTTTTTTATTGAACAAAATGTGCAACATAGCAGACTATTTTTTGCAGACTATGAAAAATACACACATGCACACAACAACCTGTTATAACAAATACTCTGAAAGAATAAGGAGTGTTCTCAAACTGAACTTTATGATAAGCATGCACAAGTGAGGTCAGAGACCAGTGTAACTTGAATTGGTTTTGTTGGTGGTGGTGTTACTGTTTTCCTTCATAGGTAATGAACATCCATCTGATAAGCACTCTAATGATAGAGAACACCCAGATACCCACATGATGTATCTAGGAAGGACTCGTTCTGCAAAGTGACTCCAAGTGGTATCTTAAACATCACCATTAGATGCTTACTATTTAAACTTCAGTCCTGACAAGTTCAATGTATTACACACTCTAATAGACTGTAATTTTACTAGATCTCAATAATCTAGGAAATTCCTAGATTGTACAATCCCTGTTTCCCAGGAGCTCAAGCCTGACAAATAATTCACACACAGGCAGAGATAAATAAATATGCCGTGGGATTACAATGCAGGATCTACATTTGGTCAGCATTTAGAAAAATAGTGTCTACCTGATCCCTTCATAACCTGCACCGTCAGACACAATGGAACATGAGCTCGTGTGGCAGCATCTTACTAAAAGAGGGGCCTCGAGTTGTTAGTCAAGATCAGTCAAGAGGTTACTGTGGAAAATGAATAATGGTTGAATAACCACACTTTTGAAAGCCAGCCAGGCAGTGGGAATTCCATGCTTCTGGAAGTCAGCCTATCAGCAACAGCCACACTCTAATAACCAGCTTCCACAGCCAAAATATTAACAATCCCCAGGAACCTTCACTCCCAGAAGTCTTCAAACCCTTAGTCCCATGCTTATCAAACCATAAATGAGGTCTAAGCTTTACTTTGTTCAGAGAGACTGTGCTTTTCAAGCACAGCTCTGTCCTTGCAAGAATTACCATCAGGCTGTTTCTGTTATGAGAGGCAGCCTCTTTCTTTTTTTATCCTGACAAATATACCAGAGCAAATGAAACAAAAGCAATAGTCAATGAAATAGTAGAAGAAAAATTCTGTGAGCTGAAGAGAGAACTAAATCTGAATATTAGAAAATGTATATAGTACTAGGAAATAAATACTGAAATAGCCAAATCTGAATAAAACCTTGAACTTCAAATAAAAAGAAAATATCCAGTAAAAAGTACAAAAGTAAATAAATGTTACTTAGAGAGAGAGAGAAAGAGAAATTAAACCAGTTTTATGCTTGTTTTTAGAGAACTAAAAAGGATAAGCCAAAAGTACTGGGGAAAAATGCTTGAGTTTAGGGAATGATGGATGTTACCTAAGTCTTTATTTCTTAGACAAATTATTATTTTTATGTGTAAAATTTAGAAAGGATAACAGTTAAAATAGGCAACAGCTTAGAAATTATGCCACCCTTCCTGGGGAACTATTAGAAAGACAAAATATGTAATACAAAATAGTAATGAGGCTTTCAAAGAATAAAAACCTAAAATATAAGTCTTAGACTTCACCATTAAATAAAATAGAATGAAGAAGGGAGCCAGGAAAAATATGGAAATTGCCTCATTTTGCAGGTAGACAGTCATCAAAAATGTCTTTGGGAAAGTAATCCTTTAAAATTAATCAAAAAGATATGACCATTTGAAAACATTACAAATTAAGGACAATTATGAATAAGAACATTTGAACAATAATATGAAACAACAGTGATAAATTGTGTGTCTTAAAATCATGTAAGACCTCCTTGTTGCACTCTGGGTAAGATCTAAGTGTCTGGAAATTCCCCAGTAAGTCCATGAAGAGCTGGTCCCAGTCCACCTACCTGTACAGCTTCCTCTCTGAGCCCTTAGACATTTCACCTGAGCTTCAGAAACCCTGAGTTGCTTGTGCTCCCTCATCATATTCTGCTTCGCTCTCTTAGTTTGCATGTGGTTTTCCTTGTGTTACTGTTATTCTTTCCTCTCTCATTTCTCTATCCCTTGCCTTACTTCTGCCAGACTTTCAGTTTACTCTCTGGAGTGACATGCACAGAGATTTCCTGGGCAGTCTCAGAGTGGATGGAGAGCCCCGCTTTCTGCATGTGCATCTGTGATTTTACTTAACACTTTGGACAGTAATTGTCTGTTGATGATTTATAAGATTCTTAAGAAATATAAAAAAGACCCTGTTTTGTTTATCTGGGTGACCCCAGTGCTTACTACATATCTGGGTGGCAAATAATTACTGCATACAAAACAACCTTTCAACAGAATCTCTCTCTCTCTCTGGCCACCCAGATTACCTATTGGAACTCTCATTGTTGCTACCATTATTCTGAGATGCCTTATCTGAAGCTTATTGAAAGAACTGTGCATCCTTAGGCTGTTTTCAAATATCTAAATGGCAGTCATTTTGGTCAGAATGGACTAATTTATTTTGCTAGAAATTGTCAAGAGCAAATAAAACCTACGTCAAACTGTATTATTTATTTACCATTGCTTTAAATAGGAGATAAAGTTTTGTCCCAGGAACAATATAACTGTAGCCATTTTAGTTTGTATTTAATGCATGTTCCTGTGCCCTGGCTATTATGAAATCACAGTGCTTTCCCGTGCTGGGTATAGGTTAATTTCAATCTTCATCTGTTTTTCCCTGTAGGATTTCCTGAATCTTAAAACAAATAAATAGGTGGAGTTTTCATTTGAATGGTGGTATTTGAGATAAATATTTAGGTTCTAATGAATTTTAATGAATCTAAATCTGCAGTCCAGGTTTGCTAAGAGAGAATCATAAAATACATAAACTAGCTATTGAGAGGGGTGGGTAGGTGTAGAGTCTGATTATTTGGGAGACATTTGATGAATTAGGACTGGAAGAAAAACAAATTTCCAACACCATGATTTTATAGAACTGTCGTAAGGAAAGAAGTATCATTAAAAAAAAAAAAAAACTTCCTGATAAGAAATAGGATGACAAAGTAATGGTTTTTATTTTTTTTATTTTGTTTTATTTTTAAACTGTGAGATTCACTCCAGGAAATGCTCGGAGGTTTAGATGTGATGACTTAGGGGACTTTGTTTATTCTGCAGTGTGGGAGAAGAGAAAGAGGAGACCGGGGAGAGGAGGTTCAGAAAAGTGCAGACACAAATAGCCAGTGATATGATGATGCTAATATTTATTGGGAGTTCACTGTGGGGCACGCCCACACCAAGTGCTGGATGGGAACTTTCTCATTTAATATGCACATAGCCCTGTGTGGAGATGGTACTATTCTTTCCATTTCAATATGAGGAAAGAGGATCAGAGTGTAATTTACTGGCTGAGAAATGGCCAATAAGTAGCAGAGTCTTGACTTTAAATCCAGCTGTGGCCTAGCTAGCTGCAAGTTTTTCTCAGCAGGCTGGAACACAAACCAGGGCTTTGAACATTCCCAGAACATTCCCAAAACATTTCCATTCTCACTTGAAAGTGTGGACCACTAACCACTAAGCTATGCAAACTTGGATGAGTATTTAAAAGTGTGGAGGAAGTAATGGCATTTAGGAAGAGGAACAATTTGAAGGAAATGAAGGGCAGAATATTCTCCCGTAAAAATTCTGCATTAAACTGGGCATATTAGTAATGTTTCTGTTGATCATTTGTTTAAAAATTTCAAAGAGAAACTTTTTTGTTTAAATAATCCATGAATTAGCAGGAAAGAAAAGAACATGGATTTTTAAAATTAAATCTGTCAAGAAAATGTATAGATGCTCATGTTATGGATTAATACCTCTGGTATGCTAATTGTCTTATTCTCTTGTGGTCCCCAAGAACATGGAGATTATTGTATCTAATACAGAAGCATGTGTGATTATCTGCAAAGTGTTCCCAGGTGCCCAGTAAGGTCGGTTAATAACGCATGGTGTGAACGGAGCACAGCGGTGAGAAATGGTGTGTGTCTGTCTTCCAGGTTAACTAGGCTGCAAGGAATCATTCTCCAAGACAGGCTCTGTTTTGCTTTCCTTTTATTTCTCCTT